>NC_000002.12:121864618-122489618 GCF_000001405.40 Homo sapiens
CCTTGGAGCAGCAATTCCGTGACTTGGCTGTCACATGCAGTAGGTCTATCTTCCCTCACTGGTGGGGGCTGTGGGGGTCTCCATGCCATGGTCATTCTAGGCTTTGTTCTTGATATACCAAGTCAGAGCTAAAGGAATTAGAAGCCTTTCACTCTCTATCAAATCCTGTCTTTCAAGTGTATCTCCTTGCTGCAAAATCGTATTTTGCATGCCAGAAGCAGACTACTAATTTCCTCATTTTTTTCCTTTGCATTCTTTCTGTAACACATGAGTCCTGAATAAATGAATAAATGAATAAATGCACCTGACTGGCTAGGATGAGGAAGATACATTCAGGAAGGCAGAAGAGAAAATTAAATATTTTTCAAAACATTATTCCTATTAAATTGCTATCATTTCTGTGTTTGTCAAATTCTTTAGCCTATGACTCACTGCCTGAAAAGATTTTTGTCTAGCTTTAATACTTTAGTTTGTATTACGATTATAAGGAGTTACTTTGTTTTCCAAGCATAAGATTATTTAATATTCCTAAAATAATTTAAATTATGCAAGTATTCAATGATCGTATTATGACTGTAAATAAAGTTTACATAAAGCTAATGTCTGTCTTCAATAGCACCCCCAAATCCAAGATCTCTAAGAGATAACTGCACCTATCTCCAGTGTGTATCCTTCCAGATCTTTTCCTTGTGCATTTACATATGGACACAACTACCTACGGAAACATGTAGGTTTACTGCCTTTCTACTTAATTGTTATTATTCTTTGTGCACTGTCTTGAAGCTTGCTTTCTTTCAACTTACAAAATGTCTTAAAGGCCTTTCCATATCAGTACAGATAGCTTTACTTTACTTTCTTTCTTTCTTTTTTTTTTTTTTTGAGACGGAGTTTCGTTCTGTCACCCAGGCTGGAGTGCAGTGGCTCGATCTTGGCTCGCTGCAACCTCCACCTCCCAGATTCAAGCGATTCTTGTGCCTCAGCCTCCTGAGTAGCTGGGACTACAGGTGCGCACCACCATCTCCAGCTAATTTTTGTATTTTTGGTAGAGACAGGGTTTCACTGTGTTGTCCAGGCTAGTCTTGGACTCCTGACTTCAGGTGATCCACTTGCCTTGGCCTCCCAAGGTGCTGGGATTACAGACATGAGCCACCGCACTTGACCTACTTTACTTTCCCTTAACAGCTACTTAGTAGTCCCTAGTACAGAAACACCCAAGTTCTTAAGCCAGGTCCCTATGAATGGGCGTGAAAGTGGGTTCTTATATATACATTTTTATTGCTACAAACTATGATTGAGGGGACATTCTGGTAAATGCCTCTTTCTGCCTCTACACAAGAGTTTCCCTAGTGAGAGATTTAGATGAGGAATTTTTGGGTCAAAGGGTATTCACATTTAACATTTTAATATGTGCTACCAAATTGCCCTGCTGAAGGTCTGAACTGAGGCTATGCTATTGAGTGTGTCTGTGGAAGAATTGCACATGTCCTCAATCCTGTACCTCTGGAGATGATGACATACTCCTCCACTCCCTCGAGAATCATTCTTTCATATTTCAGTGTGAGCATAAGCATTGTGTTTTCTCGACCAGAGAAATCTATGTTAAAGGCTTGCTTCTAATTGTGGAATAAAGCATGTTGTTTGCTGCTGAAGTAATTTCAGGCACCAGTGAGCAAGCAAGGGAGGAATTTCAGGGTATGCAAGCCGTTCTGTGCCCCTAAAATTACTCTATCCTGGTAGTTGGCTACCCTGTGGGGCCCACATAAGGTCTGCTCTCCTTGTTTGTTTGGGGGAAACTGAATGCCTGGGGGAGCTGGGTCCACAGCCAGGGCTTGGTTCAGAATGGGAAGACCCTCAGAGATGAGATTTTTACTCTTGATTTTTGGCTCCTCTTTGCAAAGGGCTGTAGTAGACCTGGCCAAATACAGGCCTCTGGGACCTCTGTGGGAGAAGCCCAGAGCCACTGAGAGCAGACGCCATCCCAGCAGGTCCTGAGAGTCCCAGTAGAGGAGGAAGGGTGGGGTCAGACAAAACATTATGTGTGAGGAGCACAGGTTGAGACCATCCCAAGAGGCTGCTGGGAAGCAGAGCATGAGGCTGGCCAAGGAGGAATGGGCCACGACCAAGATGCTAGCTTTCATCCTTGTGAGATCCTGGCCACTTGGCTCAAGGTGGGCTGCTGACTTTGGGGCTCTAGAGTTGTGAATGTGGGTGGATGATGGGAAGTCGAGCAGGGCTGTAGAATAAAACTAGAATGCATAGAACTCTCACAAAAACTCTGAGCAATGGATCTTAACGTTGTCCCATTCAGCAGGAGACAGGCTGAGATGTTAGCATTCTTGTGGGCAGAGTCACAGTTTGCCTTCAGATCTGTTAGACACAGAGACTCATGCTCAGCCCCAGGAAGAGAAGGCCACTGCAGGTGTCCATTCATCTGAATGTCTGTCCTGCTGGCCGGTGTGCATGGTTCCCAAGGGCGCACAGTGGATAGTCAGCGTGTGTTTTGTGAGTGACTGAAATGGAGAACCAGAAGAACTCTCCAGCCATGAAGAGGCCCCATCCGCAAAGGGTGACAGTTGAGCAATCTCCCTCATCCCTATAAAGGCCATCTTGAGATTCTTCTCCCAGGGACAGTGCTACTCACATAAAGCCCCTCATGAGAAGCCTCCACCTTCTGATGAGAGCAACTGATCTCCTACAAGTGTGGACAGCCCACTGCCCTCCATAAGGGGCAGAGCTGGGGTTGGGGGGCACTCAGCTGGGGTATGGGTTGGGGGGCAGGTGTAGTGCTGGTCTGAGAGCTGAGGACCAGGTGTCTCCTCCTTTAGAGTTTTGTTAGGAATTAGTCCTGAAACATTAACAGCTTCTCTTCCTCCTCCTTTCCCTCTTTTCCCCACGTCCAGGTGCCACCTGCTTCTGCTCCCCTAACACCTACTGTAGCTGCACACGTGGTCACCGGCCCTGGGGCATTTGCATGAGGAGGCAGCAAGTTCACAGTGGAGGACATCGAGGCTCAGAGGGGCAAGTCCCTTCCTGTAGTGCACACAGATAATAGGGGACTGCACAACCTTTCACCTCCCTCCTGCCAGACTGTGGAAGTTCAGAATTCTCTGAAGATCTGGTATTGACTTCTGGGTTCTGAGAGAAAATAGAACTCTTCTGGAGGAGCCATCGCTGGGCTGTGATGATGAAGTATATTACCCTTTGAGGGCCAAACCTTGGACATAAATCACATTTACAGCCTCATGCCTAGTGACTCTATGAGTAAATGACAGCATCACATTTTCCTTTATAAATCCCGAGTGCATGCATTTGCTTCTGAAAAAGAAAGCTTGCTCTTGGCTAAGGATGGGATCCCAAAGATCTGGAATGGGGGAACTCCCTTCAAGGGAACTAGAAAATACTGACAGTTCAGGGTGTACCAGAACTTCCGTCTCAGGAGGGCAGGGCGCTGGGTTAGAGTTGGCCCTTCCCTCCATCCCTTCCCAGGCACTGAGAGATAATGACACCTTTCATTCAATAGATGACATAATGACATCTTTCATTCGATAGATGATATAATGACACCTTTCATTCGATAGATGATAGATTTGATAGATGGCTTCCTGATACTCCTCATCTTGACCAAACTCCTCAAGATATAAATTACTTCCTCTATTTTACCTATATGAGTAAACTGAAGTTTGGTGAGATGAAGTGCTTTGCTCAAAGTCACACCAGTGATAAGAGTGGGATTCATGTCTTTATACCAAATCTGGCTGGCTCTGAAGTTTGAATGTTAGCCACTAAGCCATGAAGCTTCATTAAAGTCCTGCTGGTTCTTAATGATATAGGATAATTTCAAACTCTCCATAAAGGTCAGGGTACCTGGAAGGAAGAGAACTAACATTTATTGAGTGTCTACTATGTACCTTTTACAAATTCTTTACTCTTCTTTCCAACAACCCTTTGAAAATGTCGTAGATCTACTTCACTATAAAAATAATTGCCTCAGTAGGAAAAAGGGTTAGAAGTCAGAGTTTCAGACTTGCTATTGCAAAATTATTTTAAAAATATATATTTCAGCCATGAAGATGATTTTTAATCATGATGAATGTAAATGCTATGAACTAAAAGTAATAGGAATATCACCAAGGCAATCCTCAACAGCATATTCAAACCAAACCTAAATTGCAGCAAGAGGTCACAACCTCTAAACATACACAAAAGCCTTTTTTGTCAGAAGTGCAGATGGTGACTTGGTAAACAATCTGTGAGCTCCTAAGCTGCCCACATAATTGATCTTCTCTTATGCTCTAGCGTCAGCCTCAACTGTGAGGAAATTATAACAATGAGAGTCTTCATGATGCAAAGTCTGCTTCCTAATAAATGAATTCCCCATTCTCCAATTTATGTGGGGAAAGTTGGTACACCTGCATTGCTCTTCAGGTCCCAACTTTCTTTCTGGGAGCAACAGCCTAGCTGATGATTTGGTCTGAGGCTTATGACACCTTTTCCTGCTGGCACTTGCCAAACATGCCTGGGTCTCCCAGCAAGCATCAGACTCCAGGCCATGGGGAGGTAGAGGAGAGAAGCAGCTCTGGAGGGCAGTTGCTGTTGCCTCCTCTGCCTTTAGACGTTTGTTAACTCCTTTCTGTGATCCTTTGATGTGTTCCAATTGAAAAACAAGTAACAAAAAAAAAATACCCCAAACTCTTTTGCCCTCTTGGCCCTCAAGATAATGTGATTAAATGGGGCAGAACTGGCCACCAGCTATACCAATAACATCTTGAAATTTTGCCCTTTAACCCATTAGAAAACACAGTGTCTCTGAAGAGAATGGGCTCATTTATCACATCTCCCCAGAACATTGGCACTGACTGGGCCGGTGAGCAAAGCTCACTGCAGAGAAAGGACAGGAGGAGGAAAACCCTGCACACCTTGTAGAAGCAGAGTCTGCGTTTTCCACTCAGCAATTAATCTCCTTTGGCTCTGCTAGATTATAGCAGATGCAGGACAGCTCTGCTGTAGGAATACGAGGGGGACAGTGAGCCCTGGAGCGGAACATAAAGCAACCTTGCAAATAATGCCGAAATATCCCAGAGGGGCCAATCCCTGCTGCCCTGTGGCACTGCGTGGCCCAAGGCACGATGGCAGCAGTGAGCATGAGCCCTTGAGGGACATGGGGGAGTTTGCACTGCCTCCACACGCCTCCTTCCATTGCTCTCCACTCTTCTGGGCAGAGCACGCACAGTCGTTCCTCTGTGTGCTCTGATCCCTTCCATCTCTGCTTGATCTGGTCCCTGCCTCTCCTTATTTATTAAGCTTAGCCATGCTGGCTTTCTTTCTGCCCTGAGCACACCCAGCTGGGCTCCAGCCTTGAGGTCTTCACCCTGCTGTTCCCTCTCTCCGGGTTACTCTGTCCTGAGATCACCACATGCCTGGATCTTTGTCATTCAGGAAATAACTCAAGTCACCTTCACAGGGAGGCCTCCTGGTATTGACCAGCTGATAGGAGCCACATGCAGCCCCCAGACCCAGTCTCTGTCACGTCACTCTTTTCACCTTCGTTCTAGCTCTTCTCACCATCTGAGGCTTTCCGCTGAATTTCTTGCTTGGTTGTCTTGTCCCTCCAGAACACAAGCTCCTCGAGAGCTGGGGTTGTGACCTGTTTGTTCACTGTGTACACCCAACATCTAGAATAGTGCCTGGCATGTCGCTGAAGCCCATCAACTATCTGTTGGATGAATGCATTCTATGTGCAAGGTTGGATAAGGTGGATCCAAATCAAGTGAGAAATGGAACCCAGAGCTAGACTGACTTGGGGCTTTCAGCAATTCCCTCCCCACCCTCAGGAAAGGGATGGGCTACATCAAGGCCTGTTCCTTTAGTGTATCCACGCACTCCTTTAGCGAGTGCCTCCTCTTCCTGTTCCAACTTGCCTCCATCCATTCACTTCTCATTCTTGTCTCTGCTCATCAGTTCACAGCAGTTTTATGCCTGTTTTGCTTAGGAAATTGTCTCTGGTTCCCTTTTGCTCCTAACACTGTCTACTTCCCTGCCTAGCATGGTCTCAGTCAGTGGCCTTCTGCTGCCCAGGACAGGAGTTTAGACTTCCTTGGGGGGACATTACCCTGCCTACCTCACTCACTTTGCAACTCCCTTGCTTCATATAATAGTCCCAAGCTTGCTGACTATTTTTCCAGAGAGGGAAAATGAACACAAGGCTAGATGTTTGTCGTTCTATTTCTTTTCATCTCATAAACTTTAGAGCATCACTAAGCAGTGGGATGTTCCTTTCATCGTCCACCTCTTTGCTTCAAACATATGTAAAGAATGAATATATGTGACGTCTCTTAGTCCATGGCCAGTGGGCCAATATGGTCTCCCCTTGGTCATCCAGTCCAGATGTCACCTGAGCTTCCTGCCTTTTGGAGATGTGGTTGAACCTGACTGAACCCAACTTCTTTGACCTGTGTCAGCCCAGAGCCCTCCTCCCCAGGCTCTCTGCAGATTCCCATGGTTTCTCTCTGTTTCGGCAACTCTGCTCTGCAGAAGACCATGCCACCCTGCTCCCAATCTGGATGCAGAACTCTGTTTCTCCCTAAGAAAGCCATGTACACCAAGACTTTCATGGTTTTTTGTCAACTGCCATTGACACTTTGGGGACCCCAGGGAGGGGTCATGCTGTTGGCCATCTTTCCTTTTCCATCTTATCTGCCCCACTTACCTTCTCCTCTCCTCTCTGCTTAAGCCTCCTCCACTGTCCCTTTGCAACCAAGACATGTCTCTGTTTGTCTTGCGCAAGATGGTTTTGGCCAATATGGGAGGTCCCTTTTTGGATGGACACTAATTCACCAAAAGTCAACTCACTGGATGATCAGAGTCCAGGATTATAAAGTGGCATGGCAGAGGTTATGCTGTGGTGTTTGTGTGGGGATGTTGGACGTCAGTGTTTCATGCCTTTCACATTCCAGAGGCTGAGCTCTATGCTGGCGACCAACAAGTTGCACCTGAGGGGGCAGTTTGCCATCCTCTGGGAATACTTATGCCTAAGGCAGACCCATGTACTCTATGTCTGTTACTGAAATGCCAGGGGTTCAGTCTGGGTCCTGCTGCTCACTGCATAGAAAACCAATCTCTTACCGGGTGTGGTGGCTCACGCCTGTAATCCTAGCATTTTGGGAGGCTGAAGTGGGTGGATCACCTGAGGTCAGGAGTTCAAGACCAGCCTGGCCAACATGGTGAAACCCCGTTTCTACGAAAAATACAAAAATTAGCTGGGCATGGTGGTGCACACCTGTAATCCCAGCTACTCGGGAAGCTGAGGTCGGAGAATTGCTTGAACCTGGGAGGTGGAGGTCGCAGTGAGCTGAGATCGCACCACTGCACTCCAGCCTGGGCAACACAGTGAGACTCCATCTCAAAAAAAAAAAAAAAAAAAAAAAAAAGAAAAAAAAAGAAAAGCAATCTGTGAGTCAACGAGTATTGCCAGGGAAGAAAGCTATTTAATTGGGTGCTGCGGCTGGGGAGAAAGGGAGATATCTTAAATCTGTCTGTCTCACTGATTGACTAAAATTGGGGGGCTTGTATATCTGGGAAGGCAGGAAAACAAGAATTAGGGAGGGATAAGGAAGCGGTCATGATGGATGAGAGGTCTGGCATCTCATCGTCTGGATGAGGTGACCTGATGAATTTCAGTTCCTTGCCTGAGGGTCAGTTTCCGGAGAAAGGAACTCAAATAAGACAAATGTAAGTTTCAAGTTTTAAGACCAGGGAGGGTCAATTTCTACATTTATTTTTAAAACTGTTACTATGAGTTCCATGGGACAATCGGGTCGGTTTTCTGTCTAGGGTTGCATGGTGTGCCTGCTTCTATGTGGCAGGCTGAGAACACTGTCTATAAAGTAGAGAGAACCTGTGCTGGGGTAAAGTGGTGAGTGAGCAAAGCCATTCTTTCACATCTGGAGTATTAAACAGTTTCAACAACCAACTATCTGCAGTGTGAACTGTGCTTAAAATATTCATTTGATGTAGCTACTTCACACCTCCTTAGTTTATGTGATAGTGAGAAGTCAGAGGCCTGAGTGAAAATATGCTAGCAGTCAGAAATCTTGTTCCATGACCACAGAAGGCATCCCCCAACACCTGAAATCACAGCAATGAGAAATTCTCATCCCCAAAGGTCATGAGACCAAACTGTGGAGAAAGCCACCAGCACACTTCACTCTGGTAGGATGCAGAGAAACAGCTGTGGCAAACTGCCGAGGGCCAGTCGTACAGTACTTGTCTGATAGTTGGGCAAATTGGTCATTCAGTGAATTAAACATTCAGCAGTTTGTGTTTTGGAGAATTAACTTTCTCTGAACTGGCTTTTGGCAAATACTCTACAGCCCACAGCTTCTATCCCAAGTGGCTTATTAAGGAATTTCTTCTAAATAAGTACAAGGCAATCCCTGTAAAGAATTCCTGTGAACACAGTTTGTACCTAGTTCTTTAAACAGCTGGCTTTCCTGCCCTTACTTTCTTTGGCAGGTCCTGGATTATCCTGAGCCTTGGCCTTCCTGATGAGGTTTTCTTTTCTTTTCTTTTCTTTTTTCTTTTCTTTTCTTTCCTTCCTTCCTTCCTTCTTTCCTTCCTGCCTTTGTTCTTCTTCCTTTTTTTTTTTTTTTTTTTTGACAGAGTCTCCCTCTGTTGCCCAGGCTGGAGTGCAGTGGTAAGATCTTGGCTCACTGCAACCTCTGCCTCCCGGGTTCAAGCGATTCTCCTGCCTCAGCCTCCCGAGTAGCTGGGGTTACAGGCATGCACCACCTTGCCCAGCTAATTTTGTATTTTCAGTAGAGACAGGGTTTCTCCATGTTGCTCAGGCTGGACTCGAACTCCCAACCTCAGGTGATCTCCCCGCCTCGGCCTCTCAAAGTGCTGGGATTACAGATGTGAGCCACTGTGCCCGGCCCTGATGAGATTTCTTTGATGCAACCTGCTGGGGACACTCATCTCCTGGTTTCTAGGGTGCTCCCTGGGAGAACCCCTTGTGTTTGTAAGACAGCAGCCCCCCCCTCCCTCAATGGGAGACTTGGAATTCTATGGTGAAAACGTCATTTCTTTTAGCTTTCCCCTTAATGTTGTTACGGAATGAAAGCATCTCTTTCCCTAAGGTGTGGAGTGGATGCTGCTTTGATTGGCTTCCCTGTTCCCCCACAACAGGGCTCTGGCATGACACTGTCATGTTGTCACTTCTTCTGAAGGCTGCCGTCACTTGCCTTTACAGCCTGGTCTCTCCTGTTAGGGGGAATTAGGTGGCTTCGCCCCACATGGGCCCCTCTGTGTTCACCACTACGGCCTTTGAGGCCAGCCAGGGATGGATCTGGTGCTGGCTTCATGGCAGCAGGAGACTGTTGGCTTGTCTGGGTCCCCTCCCTGCCCTTTTTGCTCTGAGCCACTTAGCGGCCTGTGTTGGGAAAGCCTTTGTGAAGGGTCCAGCGTGGGGGACCCTCCCACAGGGCGGCTGCTTTGTCCTTCTCCTCTGTTCTCCGTGCTGCTGCCTTTAGGAAGGCAGTGCCCTCTGTATCCTTCTAGCAGACCTGCCTCTTTACAACAACACTGGGCTTCCACTGTGACCCTCCCATTGTTCAGTGCAGGCCCACCGAGCTTTATTACTGATGAATAGAAGATTTTTTTTTTTAATTCTACCTAGAAACTCCACACTTCATTCAGTATTTATTGATGGCTTATTGTGTGCCCAGCACTGTGCTCCATGCTGTGAGAGACACAAAAGAGGATAAGCTGGATTCAGTCCAAAGAGAGGTGACTGTCTCAGTAGGGACATGAGACTAATGGACTGGGGACATGGAGGTGTATGGAACAGGAATCAATAACAAGCCACAGGCGGAGGTAAACACTGAGGGCTTCAGAGAAAAGGTAGCATGGTGGGTTGTGGGGATCGTGGGGATAGTGGAGGCCTGGTGGGGAAGGGGATTGGATTTAAACGGGGCCTTGTGGGAGGGAAGGGATTTGGGTACACTAAAGAGGAGGAAAGGCATCAAGCAGGAATTGGGAGAGTGGCAGGAATAGCCTTGCAGAGGTAGGAATGAGTGTGCCAGGTCATGTGAAGGACTGGGCAGAAAACAATTTGACTTGATGGAAGCTGCTCTTCACAATCATTTGGCAGTGATGATGATTTCGTCGAAAATACATGTCACTTTTTTTTTGCAATTTTTGGTAACATTTGAACATAATTGGGGTAGTTTTGCAACAACTTGTGTGTCCCTGAGAATTTCCTGATTTTTTTTCACAATTTTATTTTTCTTACTTTTTTCTTTGTATTTATAGTAAATCTTTAGCCATTCATTCCCTCCTCTGTACTCTTTAGAACAGGGACGATTTGAGTCACTGTAGATGTCCAAAGAGAGGTGCTGGAAAAATCTATGAGATAAAAATGGATGCACATATCTGTGTAAGGAAAGGACACACTCCAAGGTGCTTTACTGATTGTCTCTGAGTGGGTAGAATGAGGAGTATTCTTTATCTTTTTCTTTTTGCTTGTCTATGTATTCACATTTCTTTCATAAAAGTGGATGGCATTTGTAAAAGGAAAACAACAACAAGAAGAAAGCCAATCAGCAAAAGAAATTGCAAAAGAAAATTATCTGGAATTTTTCAGGGCTTGGAGTTTCTTGTCATACAGTTTTGAATTAATTTAAAGCCAATTATGCCTGCTCTGCTGCTTTGGCTATGCTTTCAGTTTTGTCCACTGTTTGAAGGATTTAAAACTTGCATTCTGGCCAGCCTGCTTTCAGCCAGATTGTCTTCTGCCCAGTCACCAGGGCTGGTGATGGACAGCTAGAGCGAGCAGCCAGGAATGGACAGAGCGGCGGCCACTTCTGCGATGCCTTTGGAAAGGTCTTAGTGGGACACAATTCTGCCGTGTGTCAGAATCACCAGGGGATCCCTCCAAGCCCTCACTTGCCTAGAGACTTGGATCCACTAGTATTTTTGGGGATGAATTTTTTAAGAAGGCCACCCAAAGGATTCCCACATGCAGCCAAGGAGGAGACCCACCGAGCTAATTCCTTTCTGGCTCATTCTTCAACTTCTCCATTGGATCAAACCATTCTGCCTTCTCTAGGGTGAATTTCTCAGTGTGCTGCAGAGACCTTTGCATAGAATCATCTGGGAAGCCTGCCCAACAGGCAGATCCTTGTGTCCCACTCAGACCCACTGAGTCAAGACCTCTGGGTATTGAACCCAAGGATCTGAACTTTAAAACTCTTCAGTAATCCTTTTGTGCTGTCGTTGAAAACTTGGAAACTTACTGTAGTCTTCTGTCTTTCACTGGCTGCCTTTTTAATTTTTTTTTTGCTCTTTCTGTTCACACCCATTTCTACATAGCACATTGATTTTGTCAGTCCTTTATGGGATGAGCATTTCCAAGGCCCAATTTTACATCTGGTAACCACTACTTTTTAAAACCACTTTTCTTCTAGAGGCATTATAACAATGTGAAACTGTGTAAATTGGGTAGAAAGATATGTTTTTTTAGATGAATATGTCTATTTTATAATTGAGGCCATTATTGGTATATATTTCCCCATTATAAAAGTAATATGTTTTTATTATACACATTTGAAAAACGCAGAAAAGGAGAAATTGGAATGAGAAAATTGCTCACATTCCCACCGCTCAAAGACAACAACTTTCTACAATTCAATGCATTTCTTTTTAGTCTTTCTTTTTCTGATACATACAACTTTTTTTTTCAATCGTGATCATATTGTGGAAGTTGGACGTTATGGGCTTATGTTTATAGACTGACTTTAGTTACTGAAGGTAAGCTATAATTGTATCTAATAAGAAACTTTGTGAACTTTTACTGTGGTGTTATAATTGCTTTTCTCAATAAGAGAGGAGGGGTATTCACACTGCGGTTCCCATCAAAGTAGAAGAAATGAAGAGCTGAGTGGGGCACAGGCTTTTCTGGGACAAGATCCTTCCCACATTACTTCTCGTTAATGAGAAGAAGCAAGGCTGGTGAATTAATGATTTAGTCACATAGGTTTGGAAATCACGTTTATTACAGAAAATTGTATTTGTTCACTTAAGTTATAAAATACGTTGGTTAGAGGAAACTGAATTTGTTAACTTAAGCTGTAAAATGACCTCACCAGCTGTGTGTTAATTTAAACCACTGGTATATATACTGAGTGGGTTCTATTGCTGGTTATATAGTCTCAGAAGCTCGGTGGTTTATTCACAGGGGTGAAGGAACTGTAAAACATCCCTGTAGCTGTAAACTACAAAGTTCTATTTCTTTTTTTTTTTTTGAGATGGAGTCTCGCTCTGTCGCCCAGGTTGGAGTGCAATGGCGTGATCTCAGCTCACTGCAACCCTGGCCTCCCGGGTTCAAGTGATTCTCCTCCCTCAGCCTCCTGAGTAGCTGGGATTACAGGTGCACACCACCATGCCCGGCTAATTTTTGTATTTTTAGTAGAGACAGGGTTTCACCATGTTGATCAGGCTGGTCTCAAACTCCTGACCTCAGGTGATCCACCCACTTCAGCCTCCCAAAGGGGTGGGATTACAGGCGTAAACCACCGGGCCCGGCCCAAAGTTTTATTTCTTACTCATGCAGTAGTCCATAATGGCATGGCATGGGGTCTGTGTCAGCCCCTCTTTGCTCAGGGGCCCAGGGTTCACCATTTGCAATGTCTTCATTTGCCTGAGCTGGGGGAAGGACAGATGGAGAAACACACAAGGTTTTAAATACTGATATTTTATTTGCCAATAAATAGCAAGACTCATGGCTTTGCCAACCCTCAAGAGGATGGGTCATAATCCCCTCTATGCCTGGAAGTGGATATTGAACCACACATCAGTGAACAGAAGTCTGTCTATGACATTTGGGTCTCACTCTCTTTGTGGACTGAAAGTAACTAGAGTGCCTCCACAGATTCAAATCCAACACAGCACAAAGCCTTGTTCTTTCATATTTGTGGTTTATTGACTGTTGTTTCCTGTCTTCCTTATTTATTTTAGACATGTTTAAATACACAAATACTTACCATTGTGTTACAACTGCCTACTGTATTCAGTACAGAAACATACTGTATCGGTTGATAGCCTAGGAGCTATAGGCTGTACCATCTAGCCTAGGTGTGTATATAGTAGGCACAAACCATCTAGGTTTGCACAAGAAATTCTATGTTGTTTGTACAATGCTGAAATGCGTTTCTCAGAACACTTCCTGTCATTAAGTGATAAGTAACTACTACTTTCTATAACAAGATATTTCCAATTTCTCCCTCTAATTCCTTATAACATAATTTTACTTACCCACAAGCTATATCATTATTATAGTGATAGTATTGTTACCATGTTTGTTACTGTTGCAACTATCACTGTTACTATTGTTATTATTGTTACTGTTATTTTGAACAAAGAATTGCTTATCTGATCAATTAAGAATAAGAAAAATAAAATACTTTACCTTCATTTATTCCTTCTTTGGTGCTCTTTCTTTATCTAGATCCAAGTTTCTGATCTATATCATTTTCCTTCTCTCTGAAGGACTTTTTTTAAAAAAAACATTTCTTGTAGGGCAGATATGCTGGTGATGAATTTTGTTTGTCTTAGAAAGTCTTTATTTCTCCTTAAGTTTTGAAGGATGACTTCCCTGGATCCAGAATTCTAGGTTGGTGGTGTTTTCCTTTCAACACTCGGAATATCTTCTTCCACTCTTCTTGATTGCATGGGTTCTGATGAAAGTTCTGTGGTAATTCTTATACTGTTCATTTATAGGAAAGATTCTCCCCCAACTCCTCTGGCTTCTTTCAAGATTTTGTCTTTGTCTTTGGTTTTCTGCAGCTTGAATATGATATACCTAGTGTAGATTTGTTTTTTTTTATATTTGTCCTGTTTGGTGTTCTCTGAACTTACTGAATCTGTGGTTTAGTATCTATCATTAATTTTGCAAAATGCTTGGCCATTATTACTTCAATATTTCTTCTGTTCCATTCTCTCTCCTTCACCTGGCATTTCAGTTATGCATTGGTCATACCATTTGAAATTGTCCCACAGTTCTTGAAAATTCTTTTGTGTTTTAAAAATTCTTTTTGGATTTCAGTTTGGGAAGTTCCTATGGACATATCTTCCAGCTCACTGATTCTTCCCTCAGCTGTGTCCAGTCTGTTGGTGAGCTCATCAAAGGCATTCTTCATTTCTGTTGTAGTGCTTTTTATTGACAGCATTTCCTTTTGATCGTTTCTTGGTGTCACTATCCCTCTGCTTATATTACGCATCTATTTTGCATGTTGCCTGTTTTTTTTCCCATTAGAGCCTTTACCACGTTAATCACAGTTATTTTAAATTTCCTATTGATAATTCCAAAATCTGTGCATATCTGAGTCTGGTTCTGATTCTTTTTTTTGAGACTGAGTCTCACTCTATTGCCTAGGCTGGACTGCAGTGGCATGATCTTGTCTCACTGCAACCTCTGCCTCCCAGGTTCAAGCAATTCTCAAGCCTCAGCCTCCCGAGTAGCTGGGATTACAGGTGCCCACCAACATGCCTGGCTGATTTTTGTATATTTAGTAGAGATGGGGTTTCACCATGTTGGCCAGTCTAGTCTTGAACTCCTGACCTCAAGTGATCCACCTGCCTCGGCCTCCCAAAGTGCTCGGATTACAGGTATGAGCCACTATGGCTGGCCCTGATTCTTGTTTTGTTCCCTCAGCTGTTTTTTCTTGTTTTTTTTTTAGCATGTCTTTCTATTTTTTTTGTTGTAAGCCAGACATGATGTATTGGGTAACAGAAATTGAGGTAAACAGGCCATTAGTGGGAGGTTTTATGTTCATATTGCTAGAATTTGGGCTGTGTTTAATGTTTGCCATAGCTGTGGATGCAAGAGACTTCTAATTCCCCTCGTTTTCTTTCTTTTTTTTTTTTTCATTCATTTTCTTTGGATTTCCCAAGAGCCTACTTCTTAAATAGAATGTGGACCTTGCAGCTCTTTCAGTTGTAATCCCTGCTGTTACACTGAGGCCCTGTTGCTGTGGTGGTAAGGAGTGGGGAAGGGGAGGTGTTCTACAATTTCATGAATAAATTTCAGTCCCTAGCAGGCCCGTATCCCTGGGATGTTACCTTCACATGTGTTTCTTAGCTTTTTGTTCCCTCCTTGGGTAAGACAGGAAGGCTGGAGGGGGCTGGAGTTAGTTGGGTAAGGCTCTGGTTTCTTCTGCTGGGGAGTAAGTCTTTGTTATGGAGAATTCTCTGGACTATTTAAAAATGGTTACTTTTTGGCTGGGTGCGGTGGCTCACGTCTGTAATCCCAGCATTTTGGGAGGCCGAGGCAGGTGGATGATGAGGTCAGGAGCACGAGACCATCTGGCCAACAAGGTGAAACCCCATCACTACTAAAAATACACACACACACACACACACACACACACACACACACACACACAAAATCAGCTGAGTGTGGTGGCATGCACCTGTAATCCCAGCTACTCGGGAGGCTGAGGTAGGAGAATTGCTTGAACCCAGGAGGCGGAGATTGCAGTGAGCCAAGATTGTGCCACTGCACTCCAGCCTGGCAAGAGAGCAAGACTCCGTCTCAAAAAAAAAAAAGGTTATTTTTCTCCTCTGTCTGTCAAAGACATAAGGGGGTCTGTCTCCACCCTTCACCCTGAGAACCTGGTAGAGTTCCTGGAAATAAAACCCATGAAAGTGTATCCCCTCAAGACTGCAGTCCCCAGGAGTTTCTTACTCACTGCATCCACACTCAGCCTTTCAGCACCTCTTCAGAATCACCACTGAAGTGATTCTGCAGATTCGGTTTCACTGAAGTGAAACTGCCTACCAGTTTATGGCTGCAGCGGCTTCTGCTCCAGGTACGCTGATGTCAGAACACAATCTCAACTCACCTGTCTCTCCAGATTTTACAGTAGCAGTTTGCCCTGCAACCTCAATTCTCTGATAGGTGTAAGAAAAGCCATTGGTTTTCAGTTTGTTCAGCTGTTTTCGTGTTGTAAGGATGGGAGGAATGACTTCCAAGTTCTTTACATGTTGGAGTGAAAACTGGAAGTTCTTTAAATACAATTTTTAGCATAAAAAGGATAAATCAGAAAATTTCAGAAAATTATGTGGCATCACATAATTCTTGTAAGAATACCTATATAGAACATTTCTGCACATTTACCTCTTTGTATATTTGTGGATAAAGTTTGCTCAGGATGCATATCCCCCTGTCAGGACTGCAATCAAGGTGGGATCAGGGTTGGTGGGGGAGGATTCTACTTTTTATACCTCACAATGTGTGACTTTAAAATAATAAAGATATTATCTCAATAAAACCACTTGAAATAAAAGGATTTGGCACCACAGAAGAAGCAAAGGCATGTAATTTGAGGAAAAGCCAATGGGATAGGTTGGATTGCATGGTTTCAAGAGAGGCTGGACACTGACTACAGATGATGCTAATGATGACCATTGGCTTTTGCTGCTGCTCATGGTGAGGCAAGTCCCCTGCAAGTGGTTCTGTGGTCCGTCAGTAATTTCATTGTCGTGCTGGGATTCCCATGCCCATCTGCAGATGAAGATCCTGAAGCTCGTGCTGGTGAAGTAACTTGCTCATAATGAGACAGGGAGAAAACTCAAGGGAGTGATGGAAAATTGGGCATCCAGTCAGGTAGGGTGACTGGATCCTTCACCACAGGCTGGAGAATTTGCTGCATTTAAAGCAAAGACATGTGTGCCCAGAGGGTGCCAGGCAGCTTCCCCCAAACTCTTGACCCTGGGTCTGATCTTGCTTGCGTGTCCCTGCTGAGGTGCTGCCAGCTGGGGAGGAGTGAGGAGGCTACTCAGGTGGGACACTGGGCCAGGTACCTGTGGTGCAGGCCATTGCTTCTCCAGGTGTAGCCTGGGGACCAGCTGCATGCCTGGGAACTCATGAGAAACACAAATTCTAGGACCCCACCATAGACCTATCAAAGCAGAAACTCTGTGGGTGGCACTCAGAGATCTGTGTTTCGATCAGCTTTCCAGAGGATTCTGGTGCTGTCTCACATTTGAGAACCATTGGTGAAGATGATGGCCATGGGGAAGAACTGCCTGCAGTCATCTTCAGGCTCAGCAAGAGACTCAGGAGGAGGAAAGTCTAGAGGCTGTTCTTGGTAGAAGAGATGAGTGTCAGTTCAGTGGGTGTCGAGGAAAGTCTTTTGTCTTTGGCCTTTTCTCCAGATCAACTTCTCCTTTCTTTAGCTTTGGAAGGATAGGAATTATTTATGATACATCATAAACATCTATATAATAAAGTAGATTTTATATAATATATATTATATTGCATATAATATATAATGTATATTATACATGCTATAGTTATATATACACATACGTTCATACACACGTATGTGTGTGTGTAGGTTGAGGGGTATGCAAAGACTCTCCTTAACCAAACTTGTGTCAGGCTCCTCCGAGCCCCTTCTCAGCTAGGCCCAGGCTTGGGTTCTATCCTTGGCCTGCTTAGTCTAGTGGTAGCAAAAATCCTGCTGGGCCAGTTGAGTGAGAATCCGCCACCCTTGATAGCTCATTAAATTCCTCACCAAATTCCCACCCTCAGTATCTGATTGCCCTGGCCTGTCTTCAGCAATGCTTAGAAACTACCATCAGAGTGAACAGGCAACCTACAGAATGGGAGAAAATTTTTGCAATCTACTCATCTGACAAAGGGCTAATATTCAGAATCTACAATGAACTCAAACAAATTTACAAGAAAAAAACAAACAACCCCATCAACAAGTGGGCAAAGGATATGAAAAGATACGTCTCAAAAGAAGACATCTATGCAACCAAAAGACACATGAAAAAATGCTCATCATCACTGGCCATCAGAGAAATGCAAATCAAAACCACAATGAGATACCATCTCACACCAGTTAGAATGGCAATCATTAAAAAGTCAGGAAACAACAGGTGCTGGAGAGGATGTGGAGAAACAGGAAAAATTTTACACTGTTGGTGGGACTGTAAACTAGTTCAACCATTGTGGAAGTCAGTGTGGCGATTCCTTAAGGATCTAGAACTAGAAATACCATTTGACCCAGCCATCCCATTACTGGGTATATACCCAAAGGATTATAAATCATGCTGCTATAAAGACACATGCACACGTATGTTTATTGCGGCACTATTCACAATAGCAAAGACTTGGAACCAACCCAAATGTCCAACAATGATAGACTGGATTAAGAAAATATGGCACATAAACACCATGGAATGCTATACAGCCATAAAAAATGATGAGTTCACGTCCTTTGTAGGGACATAGATGAAGCTGGAAACCATCATTCTCAGCAAACTATTGCAAAGACAAAAAACCAAACACCGTGTGTTCTCACTCATAGGTGGGGAGTGAACAATGAGAACACATGCACACAGGAAAGGGAACATCACACACCAGGGCCTGTAGTGGGGTAGGGGGAGTGGGGAGGGATAGCATTAGGAGATATACCTAATGTTAAATGACGAGTTAATGGGTGCAGCACACCAGCATGGCACATGTATACATATGTAACAAACCTGCATGTTGTGCACATGTACCCTAAAACTTAAAGTATAATAATAATAAAAAAAGAAGTGGTTTAGCCAGTGTCCTGGCTACCCCTGAAGTTTCCTCTTAGTAGTTTTTCATCCCGAACCCCGTCCCTGCTTCTTGGCTGTAAGTCCCCACTTGTTCTTGTTCTATTTGGAGTTGAGCCCAATTTCTCTCCCCCACTGACAAGCCCTACTGCAGTAGTTCTTTCTTGAATAAAGTCTTCCTCATCATCTTTAAAAAGTGTCATGAATAAGTTTGCTTTGACTACATGTAATCATAAAAGTTTCAACACCTTCCAAAGCTAAAGCTGTGTGTGTGTGTGTGTATGTGTGTGTGTGTGTGTGTGTAAAACTCCAATTGGTTCCTGGGACAGTTGGATCAGTTTATTCTTCTGCCAAGAATGTATTATATTGCCCATCTCATTACATCTTCATTGAAAATGAGCATTTCATGCTAAATTTTTATACCAAAACATTTTCTTCTATTGTCTTAATTTATATTTATTTGATTCCCTGTGGAGGTACTTTCCCTTATGCTTATTTATTAATTACTGTTCTCTTTCTAAACTGTTCACATTCTTTGTGCTTTTTTCAATTTGTATCAGTTTTAAATATTATGGATTAAGCATACATACTTCATTTTCACTACATATATTTTCAGTAGGATATCCTCATTTTTTTCACTTCTGAGTTCTATTCCTCTAAACTTAGAAATTTCTTCCTTTTTGTATGTTTAACACGTGTTTAGTTCTGTTTTCTTGTAGTTTATCACTGTTTTGCTTTTAAAATATTTACTGTTTTAATCTGTTAATTCAGTTTTCAGTTTCTCTACCTTCGTGGCTTTTATTTTGACAAGTAAGTAATATCTTGGAAACATGCGTCTCAAAAGCATAAGAAGCATTTTTTATTTGAGGAAGTCCTTCAGAAAATAAATATTTTATAATGCAAACACGATCTCTTCTAACTTGTGTGATTTCCACATTTGGATATTTTCTGCTGCATTTTCACACTTAGAAGAGGCACAGAGCGGGAGGCAAACCTGGTATGAGAGTGGGCCCTGCTGCAGCCTCCTGGCTGAAATGGGGATCCTGGCACCTCTCCCTTTGGCATCAGGGTATTGAGACAGTGATTATGACAGCACCTTGGCAGTGATAAATGTGCCATAAAAATTGCAGGGGGTTGTGTTGCTGGCCCAACAGGTGCTGGCTACTGCAGGGGTGAACAAAGCAACCCTAACCTAGGAAGGCCCCCTCCCCCCGCCATGAGGATGCTGCAGTCATTCTCCCTCTCATCCCCATCCCCAACCCACACACCAGCTAAGAAGCAGTAAACATTTGGGGGAAATCTGGCTCATGATTATGGTACACTGAACGTAACAGGATGCAGAGAGCAAGTGGCGTGGGGGATGGGGGAGATGTCAGCAGCTAAAGTCTTCACCCACACATGACAGGAAAAAGCTTCCAGAAAACTCCCCTTTCCTATCCTCACCTCCCCTAACACACTCACAAAGCCAGCTTCCGCCTGCAGGCAGAGGTCATGGTTTTTCCCATGTGAATCAGCTGTTCTAATGGGGCATATGAAAGAGAATTTCATTCCATGGGCACATCCTCAGATGCTCAGGGACAACAAAGCACCCTCTTAACCACTGATTGGAGGCAGGAATCTCAGCTGACATTTCCTGCTCTGCAGAGGCGGAGGCCCTGGGCCCTCTGTGGGAGGCAAGAGAAAGGTCTACATTATTAAGTGGTGGCTGTGCCCTGCAGCCCCTTTCCCAGCTGCAGACTACAAAGAAAGGCTCAGATGTTCACATGCCTTTTGAACCTATCAGCGGGGCCATGGCAGAGAAGTTCAATGGAGACAGTGAGCCCTTAAGATGGAGGTGGCTGTGACTGAGTTGAACCAATGGAGGAGGATGAGAAGTCAGGTGGGGCCGGGGTGCAGGGACAGCATCAGAATGATGGGGCACAGCTCCTCTCCACAGAGGCTTAGAGTGTAACTGGGAGGACCCAAATTACATAGCGGAGATGGTACAAATGTGCCGAGGTACCATGTGGAGGCATGGACTCTAAGGGGCTGACAATTTAGACAAGCATGAGAAAAGAATGAGGAGGTTTTCGTGTTTGTGATTCACAGTTTATTCCTCTTTAAAAAAATTTATTGCTTTTTGGTAGTTCTAGTTTTTCTTCTTTCTATGTGTCTTCTTGACACCAGGTGTGACTGGTAATAAAATTCAAGGTGTAGAGGGAGAGATGCAGAGCATTTTAGCAAAACGATGCTAAAATGTATGCTAAGAGGAGGCAGAAGCAGTCGGAAGGGTGTGACTGTGATGGAGAGATGCCCCTCAGGGTTAGGCTCAGGGGTCTTCCTTTCTCTTTCCTCCTCTCCAACTACAGAATCTGCTCACTTCTCTCTCCAACTGACCCATCTTGAGTGGAACTCGATGAGACCAAAGAACTCATACCTGAAAAGAGCTGGGAAAAAGGCTGGGAACCAAAAGGATTCCAGAAAACCTCAGGGCCATGGGGAGAGGGAAGAGTGAGAGGTTCCACAAGGAGTAGCTTTTCCTGCACAGCTGTGGGGGAGAAGACCCTGGGCTTCTGAGAGCCACGAGGAAGGCTTGGATGGAGGCTGCAGGAGCAGGTGGCCAGAGGAGACTGGACGCCATCCCCACTTCCCACCCCCGTGGACCCTCAGTTAGAGAACACCACTAGAATGTGAAGCGAAGAACTGCACCGTCCCTCTCACTGTACCTGTGGTTGTGCCAGGCCAGTGACCTGCAGGATTGCTTCGCAGAAGACCGAGAAAGGGAACAGCAGCCCCGGCAAGAGGAGAGCAGATCTTGGTGTTCTCCCATTGACCATAAACCATGTCGCAGAATGCCAGCTTTAGACAAGGCCACTCTATGACTGTGATGAATCAGGGCAAAAACAAGACCCCTCCTGCATGAGATAGGAAAAACAAAACCCTAAACTGACAGTTTTCTTCTACTATCCTCTCAAGACAGCACACCACACCGCTGATTCCTGCTGTGTGGGAGTTTCCCCATACACCAAGCAATTCTCCATCAGACACCTACAGAGCGTTCTGCAACTGAGCTCCATTCTGACATCATCTACTGGGAGATAGCATCAGACTGTACAAGTGAAGGGCTCAGTCCCACAAGACTGCCCCTGCTTCAGATACCAATTGCAAAAAGTAGGTTACCCCAACTTCTGTCTGACTTGACTCATTGGAGGTTCCCACGATACCTCCTCAGTTTCGATTAATTTGTTACAGCAGCTCACAGAATTCAGGAACACTTACATTTACCAAGGAAATCAATGATATGATAAAGGATAAAGGTGAACAGCCAGGTGAAGGCGTACACAGGGTGAGGTCTGGAAGGCTCCTGAGCATGGGCTTCCATCCCTGGGGAGCTGAGACATGTTGCCCTCCCAGCAAATAGATGTTTTCTGCCAGCCTGGAAGCTCTCCAAACCCTGTCTTTTAGGGATATCTATGGAGGCTTCATCACATAGGCATGATGGATCATTAACTCAATCTCTAGCCCCTCTCCCTTCCCCAGAAGATCAGGGGTGGGGCTGAAAGTGCTAGGCTTCTAATCATGACTTGGTCTTTCTGGGGACAGACCTTATACAGGGCCCCATGGAGAGCTGCTGCATTGGAACGAAAGATGTTCCTAGGACCCAGGAAATTCTAAGGTATTAGGAGCTCTGTGTCAGGAACTGGAATAAAGACAGAATATTAGAACAAAAGATGCTCCTAGCACCCCATTGCTTAGGAAACTCCAACGGTTTTAGGAGCTCTGTGTCAGGAACTGGGGCCAGGGACCAATATATACATATATCTTATTTCACACTCTGTAATCATGTCTGAACTCAAAAACAAGAGCATTGTCCAAGTCACAAAAATATCAAACATCCCTATATCCTGGCTAACATGAGTGACAGCTGCTTCTTTACCGATTGGACATTTAGCCTCACTTCCTTCCACCTTTCAGCGAAAAGTCAGTTAAATCCCGGATTATAGAATTACCCCCGCTTCCCAACAGCTTCCAATCCCACTCAAAGCCCAAATCACCCAGCCTTTCAAACATCCTCTCACTGAGGTGCCCCGTGGTTCCCCATGCTGTGCGTTCTCCCTTGTCGCACCCACTCAGTAAATCCAACTTTGTTTGTCAGGCTGGAGGGCACCCACAGGACATCCCAGACCTCACTTCCACCATGAAGGGTGCAGCACTGGGGACACCCATCATTCATTTGTTCATTCAGCCCATTGAGCCCGAAACCTGCAGGTACTGGGACGGGGCTGGGATGCAACAGTCAATGAGACATGGCCCCTGCCCTCAACCACCTGGGTCTTTTCAGCAGACAGACAAGCAAAGGAGCAATTACTGTGCAGCGAGCATGCGAAGTGCTCAGACAGGCAAGCGGGGCAGATATGGGGGCTCAGGAAGGCCGTAACTGAGTCTGGGTGAATCAGACAAGGCCTGAACAGCTGTTCACTCAGCACAGGGAGGGGATCGGCATGCGCAGGAGCTGGAGGCCCAGGAAGGCAGAATGATTTCAGGGAGGCCAGGGTGAGAGCCGAGGCTGAAGGGGCCACCGCCAGAAGGCGCAGGGCCTGGGAAGCCTGGGGTTCTAAGGACTACCCTGGGAGCCATGAGAAGCCACTCAAGCTGTGAGAGGGAAGCAGCAGCACCAGTTTTGTTTTTTGGGAGGTTCACTCCGGCCGAGGGGTGGGGAAGTTATTGGTGGGGGGGGTCGCTTGCAGCCATCCAGGTGCCGGGGATTGTGGCCTGCGCCCTGGCTATGGGGATGCTGAGAAGTGGGTGGATTTGAGCTGATGGGACTTGGTGGTGGGCAGCATGCAGCCAGTGAGCGGGGCCCAGGGCGACACCCAGCCTCTGGCTGCTGTGACTGGTGAGTGGGGGCCACTTTTGAGGAGGGAGTTGTTCCAAGACTATGCTGATGCCTGAACAACTTGGAGGGAGGAAGGGCAGGCATTGGGACTGATTGTCATGAGAGGGGTTGCTCTGGGCCGGCAGCCAACCAGAACATGAGGCCACTGACCTCAAGAACAAGGAGACTGTGCTGGAAGGAGCAAAGGTGCCCAGAGAGAAGCCACACCAGCAGCAGCCAGCATGCTCCAGCATGCAGTCCTGAGCAGTCTTCTCACCTGCGAAGTAGGAGTGGTAACTTCTACCCTGCAGGGCGCTGGTGGTATTACACAAGACCGTGTGGAGAGATCATCTAGCCCAAAGCCTGGCACACAGGAGGTGTTGAGAAATGTCATTGGTATTTTCTCCTTAATTCTTAGCTCTAGCTTGGCCTATTGTTATGATTATTATTTGCTTTCGGTTTACTATTTTTTGAGCATACTGTGGCTTCCTTCTATATTCCCAAATTCTCTCCTGCTCTGTTTCTGATAGGAGGACAGAACCTCGCACATGCTCCACTCCTGAGATATCCCCTTTCTCCCTCCCTGTTCAGCCTCCCTAGAACTATTTGGGGATGAGCAGACCCCAACAACTCTGTAGTTTCAGGCTGGCAGCTACTCCCAAGCTTCCCAGCTCCTCAGGGCACAGGTTCATGAGAGGCCTGAGCCTCCATTATTTGGAATAGACAATCTCTTTTGCTTTGCTTCAGTTGATTTCAACATTTCTATATAGAAGCTCTCCCAGAATAGGCTGGGTGCTGTGGCTCATGCCTGTAATCCCAGCACTTTGGGAGGCCGAGGTGGGTGGATCACCTGAGGTCAGGAGTTCGAGACCAGCCTGGCCAACATGGTGAAACATTGTCTTTACTAAAAATACAAAAAATTAGCCAGGCGTGGTGGTGGGCACCTGTAATCCCAGCTACTGGGTAGGCTCAGGCAGGAGAATCGCTTGAACCTGAGAGGCGGAGGTTTCAGTGAGCTGAGATGGCGCCATTGCACTCCAGCCTGGATAACAGGAGCGAAACTCTGTCTCAAAAAAAAAAAAAAAAAAAAAAAAGGAAACCCTTCCAGAATAAAAAATGGGCCATGCCAGAGCTGAAGCAGTGCATGGCCTGGGCCATCCCAGTGACCCCAACCTGGCTGAGTCGTGAGCCTGCTCCTGAGTCACCCTTTGGGAGGCTGAGACCCGGGGACTCTTTTCTCCAGGAGAAGCTCTGCAGACTCTGTATTTGTCATCCTTGCTTTTCCCCCAAGACCCCAGGCCCTGTCTGTTCAGGCTCCTGGGCCCATGTTCTTTCAGATGGGTGTCCCGGCCGGTGGAGTAGTGATGGCTGCAGGCAGACAGGTCAGGGAGCAATGGAAACATAGGTTATTAGGGGGACCCTGTTGGGTGGTGCTGATGATGTTGACAAGAGACTGGAGATAGTCTATGCCTCCACCTTGGGATTCAGTCTTTTCCCGCTCACCCATCCTTCTCTGTCCCTGCTTCTCTTCTCCCTGGTTTTTGGTAAGTGTCACTGTCAGAGGCCAGGCTCTGGGAAAGGAGCACTCACTTCCTTGTTCCTCTCTAATCTCCTTTCTGGCCATTATGGTGCTGGGCTTTATAAACATACAAAGTTTCCTACTAATCCTCAAGTTCTTCTTCACATTTAGACATGAGTGACCCATTATTACTTCAGTGTCAACTCATTCATAGGAAGCTGCGTTGCTACCAATATTTAATTCTAAGTAGGTAAAACGTGCTTACTAGGGAATGACTTCTGCGGGATGTCTGCATATCAGTGGGACTCCGAATTGGGAAACTGGGAAAGCTAGAGCTAGAAAGCAAGCAAGAGACCGCTAGGAAAGCATAGAGTTCTGGGACCCACGAGGAGGTGGGGGAAGCATCAGAGGTGAAGGAGACAGTCTCTGTCCTTACAGAACAATCTCCAGAGGTAGAGGAGAAGCCGTTAGCCTGACTCGGTGGCTTGACAGACAGGGGTGTGGTGGATGGGTGCCTGGGTTTGGTGGCAGCAAAAGGAAATTGCTGTGGGCCTGAGCCGGACACGGAAGTGATGGAACCTCCTAGGGTTGCGGGGGAGGGCGAGGACCAGGGAGAGCTGCAGGAAGGAGTAGAAGAGAGCACAGTGAGAAGCTGAGCGAGGCCCATCTGGCTTCTGCCAGGCACTGCCTTCAGGAAAGGAAACCCCCCCACCACCGAGCTCCAGCTGGCTATGATGTGAAGCGGGGTAAGAGGAGTTATTCACAGGCTGTTTTGAAGAGCTGCTGGGGTAATGTAAGTGAAAGCATCTAGCAACCAACCAGTAAACCAGTGGTCCCCAAACCTCATTGTGCATCCGAGTCACCCAGAGGGCTCTCAGAGCACACCTGGCTGGGCCCCACCCTGAGTTTCTGAGTCTGCAGGTCTAGGGTGGAATTCACAGCTCTAGAAAGTTCTCAGGTGACACTGATGCTGCTGCCCCACCCTCTCCCCACCCCCAGGACCACACCTTGAGAAGCACAGTTGTAAAGGTTAGAGGCTGGAGAAAGGGAAAGTGGTACGGCCCTCCCTATCCACGGGGTTCACATCTACAGATTCAACTAACCACAGATTGAAAATATTTAAGAAGAAAACAATAAAAAATAACAATACAGGCCGGGCGCAGTGGCTCATGCCTGTAATCCCAGTGCTTTGGGAGGCCGAGGTGGGCACACCATGAGGTCAGGAGATTGAGACCATCCTGGTCAACATGGTGAAACCCCATCTGTACTAAAATACAAAAAATTAGCCAGGTGCTGTGGCACGTGCCTGTAGTCCCAACTACTTGAGAGGCTGAGGAAGGGGAAGCACTTGAACCCAGGAGGCAGAGGTTGCAGTGAGCCAAGATCACACCACTGCACTCCAGCCTGGCGACAGAGCAAGATGCCATCAAAAAAAAAAAAAAAAAAAAAGATAAAAAGTAATGTAAATATAAAACAATACAGTATAACAACTATTTCTATAGGATTTACATTGTATATGTTATAAGTAATCTAGAGATGTTTTAAAGTATATGGGAGGATGTGTGTAGGTTGTAAGCAACTACTATATCATTTTATTTCTGAGACTCAAGCATCTTTGGATTTTGGTATCTGAAGGGAAGAGGGTGTCCTGGAACTAATCCCCCACAGATACCAAGGGATGACTGCATCTATTTAATGTTTTTGTGCCATTAACCAAATTCAGTTTAAAAGACACACACTGTCTTTTCTTCTGTCTAGTTATTGTACCTGATAATTACACCCGTAGGAATAAACAAATATGGACTTTTGGGATCAATTTATCCTAAAGTTTTTGCATCATCAAGTAGAGACTAAGCTCCATTTTGGTGGCTAGTAACTGAAATCCACTTGAGCTGGCTTAAGCATCGAAGGAGAATTTATTCTAAAGACTGTTCATCTGCCCTCTGTCTGCTCTGTAGACCAACTTTCTCTGCTTCCCAAGCCATACAATGGCAGGAGAAGGATTCTCATTGGCTTAGCTTTAGTCAGTTTTCCAACCACTGCCCCATCAATCACCTGTGACTAGCAAGGGTGAGGTCTCATAGAATCTATAAGTAAGCTTTCATTGTAACCAGGGGGATAGAAGGTGGGGCTAGGGGCAGATGAAACAAGAGGAAGACTGCAGATACGAATAAAGTGGGCTGTTCTGGTTGAAGGAGCTGGCTTCCTATGTAGCCCAGCACTGGGTACGTGGGCTTTGCTAAATGTTACATAAATTAAATGCAGTTATTCTTAGAAAACTCCTGGGACTATGTGTTAGGCATGTTTTTGTGCAAAGAACAATGATTTAATAACTGTACTGAACAAATGCATAGATGGAAAATTCAAGAGGCAGGTTTTCGACTTTGTGTCCGTCACTATGATTTACTTAAGCGTATCCTTAAGAATCCTTTTCCCTCTCCCTCTCCCTCTCCTTCTCCCTCTCCCCCTCCCTCTCCCTCTCCCCACGGTCTCCCTCTCTTTCCACGGTCTCCCTCTCATGCGGAGCCAAAGCTGGACTGTACTGCTGCCATCTCGGCTCACTGCAACCTCCCTGCCTGATTCTCCTGCCTCAGCCTGCCGAGTGCCTGCGATTGCAGGCACGCGCCGCCACGCCTGACTGGTTTTGGTGGAGACGGGGTTTCGCTGTGTTGGCCGGCCGGTCTCCAGCCCCTAACCGCGAGTGATCCGCCAGCCTCGGCCTCCCGAGGTGCCGGGATTGCAGATGGAGTCTCGTTCACTCAGTGCTCAATGGTGCCCAGGCTGGAGTGCAGTGGCGTGATCTCGGCTCGCTACAACCTACACCTCCCAGCCACCTGCCTTGGCCTCCCAAAGTGCCGAGATTGCAGCCTCTGCCCGGCCGCCACCCCGTCTGGGAAGTGAGGAGTGTCTCTGCCTGGCCGTCCATCGTCTGGGATGTGAGGAGCCCCTCTGTCTGGCTGCCCAGTCTGGAAAGTGAGGAGCGTCTCCGCCCGGCCGCCATCCCATCTAGGAAGTGAGGAGCGCCTCTTCCCGGCCGCCATCACATCTAGGAAGTGAGGAGCGTCTCTGCCCGGCCACCCATCGTCTGAGATGTGGGGAGCGCCTCTGCCCCGCCGCCCCATCTGGGATGTGAGGAGCGCCTCTGCCTGGCCGCGACCCCGTCTGGGAGGTGAGGAGCGTCTCTGCCCGGCCGCCCCGTCTGAGAAGTGAGGAGACCCTCTGCCTGGCAACCACCCCGTCTGAGAAGTGAGGAGCCCCTCCGCCCGGCAGCTGCCCCGTCTGAGAAGTGAGGAGCCTCTCCGCCCGGCAGCCACCCCATCTGGGAAGTGAGGAGCGTCTCCGCCCGGCAGCCGCCCCGTCCGGGAGGGAGGTGGGGGGTCAGCCCCCCCGCCCGGCCAGCCGCCCCGTCCAGGAGGTGAGGGGCGCCTCTGCCCGGCCGCCCCTACTGGGAAGTGAGGAGCCCCTCTGCCCGGCCAGCCGCCCCGTCCGGGAGGGAGGTGGGGGGGTCAGCCCACCGCCCGGCCAGCCGCCCCGTCCGGGAGGGAGGTGGGGGGGGTCAGCCCCCCCGCCCGGCCAGCCGCCCCGTCCGGGAGGTGAGGGGCGCCTCTGCCCGGCCGCCCCTACTGGGAAGTGAGGAGCCCCTCTGCCCTCTGGGCCCGTCTGGGAGGTGTGCCCAACAGCTCACTGAGAACGGGCCAGGATGACAATGGGGGCTTTGTGGAATAGAAAGGCGGGAAAGGTGGGGAAAAGATTGAGAAATCGGATGGTTGCCGTGTCTGTGTAGAAAGAGGTAGACGTGGGAGACTTTTCATTTTGTTCTGCACTAAGAAAGATTCTTCTGCCTTGGGATCCTGTTGATCTGTGACCTTACCCCCAACCCTGTGCTCTCTGAAACATGTGCTGTGTCCACTCAGGGTTAAATGGATTAAGGGCGGTGCAAGATGTGCTTTGTTAAACAGATGCTTGAAGGCAGCATGCTCGTTAAGAGTCATCACTACTCCCTAATCTCAAGTAATCAGGGACACAAACACTGCGGAAGGCCGCAGGGTCCTCTGCCTAGGAAAACCAGAGACCTTTGTTCACTTGTTTATCTGCTGACCTTCCCTCCACTATTGTCCCATGACCCTGCCAAATCCCCCTCTGTGAGAAACACCCAAGAATTATCAATAAAAAAATAAATTAAAAAAAAAATGAAAACAAAACAAAACAAAACAAAACAAAACAAAAAAAAGAATCCTTTTCCTAAAAGCGTTTTGTTTTGGTCCTCATAGCTGGTTGATGGACCAGTGAGTTCAGCCAAGCACAGGATCAGTAACTGGTAGGTCCAGTCAAACTCTAGAGTCCATGTGTGCATTTACCAATGGATTGAAGCAGCCACATATCCCCTTAAATTTCCTTTGCCGTGTTCTCCACAAGTGGAAGGATGGGTGTGTTTGCAGCTCCAGTGTGGACAACTTGCAGTTTCCAAAGGATGCTTTTGGGGGTGCTACAAATTATAATTTTAAAGTACATCTCTGCAAGAGACTCTCACCTCCTCAAAGTGATCTGGGGACTCTGTATGAATATTGACATCTGGAAATATTTCCTTGTATTGTAAAACTACTGTACATGTTTGGGGGCAAATGCAGCAGGAGCTGTAATCTCAAACTTCTTATTCAAAGTATTTTCTAGCTACTTAACAATTTTGGTATTTTCATAATAATTAAATAGGCTGTGAGGATTGCTAATGGGTTTCTCCCAGGGGTTCCTTCTTTTCAAAGGTGTCTGGCAGATTTAGGTCATATGTTTTCTTCCTTTTGTGCTGAAAGGGAAAATAAGGAAAAGAAATAGAGAATTCCCAGTAAGAGTCTTTTCAGCTACTTCTACATTAGCTCAAACCAGCAGAGGTCTGCTCTGCCCATAGCTGTGGGAAACCTGTTAGAGTCTTTAAGGACCTGAGTGAGGAAGGGAGTTCCTGCCAACGGGGTCAGCCATTAGAGCTGGCTCTTGGTATTATTAGCGGGACCCTCATAGGGAAGCCACGGGGGCACTGGCCTGGGTTGGAACTCACCTTTAGCCCAACATTAGTCTTCACCTTCCCTGGATTTCTTTGGTCCAGGGAAACTTGTTGGAGGTGAAACCTCCCAGATAGAATCAGACTCAAGCAGAGAATCAATCCATCAAAATGCCTGGACGTGGGATCGAGCAGAGTTGGGTTTCACTCCTGGCTTTGCCACTTGCCAGCTGTGGTACTTTGGGCAAATCACTTAGCTTTTTAGCCTCACTTTCCTCATCTGTATACTGGGAATAATCATTTGTCTCTCATTCGGTAGTTGTGAAGAGTAAATAAAAACATAGGGGAGACCATCCTGGCTAACACGGTGAAACCCCGTCTCTACTAAAAATACAAAAAATTAGCCGGGCGTGGTGGCGGGCACCTGTAGTCTCAGCTACTCGAGAGGCTGAGGCAGGAGAATGGCGGGAACCCGGGAGGCGGAGCTTGCAGTGAGCGGAGATCGCGCCACTGCACTCCAGCCTGGGCGACAGAGTGAGACTCTGTCTCAAAAAACAAACAAACAAACAAACAAACAAACAAACAACATAGGGAACCTAGCAGAGAGAAGATGCTGAATAAATGGCAGCTATTATTAGGATTAGTATTGCAAAGCTTTTCAACCCATTATCATAAACACATTTGTCAACAGCAAATATTTGAGCATCTCTTGAAATGATGACTGACCTTTCCAAACAGCGTTCACATCCATTCCTTCATTTATGTCTGGAGATGGCGCTGAGAGGTATTCTGGCCTGCAGCTATCTCCAGAGGTTACCTAATGGCTCAAGGTCATTCTGCTTACAGTAGCAGTGGGGAGACACTCAGGACCTGCTATAGAATTTGGAGGCCCTAGGGCAAAATGAAAATATGGAGCCTATGTTCAAAAATTAACCGTTGTAAGACTGCAACAGCAGAGGATTAAACCACGGATGGAGTCTTCTACAAGCAAGCCCATGAAGCTGGCTCCGGGTAGACTAGGTGCATCAGCTCCAGGGGCTCTCAGGCTGACCCCAGTCTGCCACCTCTCTGCCTACTCCCAGATGCTGCTGGGGAGCACTGTTGCCATGGACCGGCAGATTCTCTGGATTTCAAGGGTCTAAGGCTGCTCCCAGCCTGGTTGCTTGGGATTTCTTTTGCAGCATTTCTGCTGGAAGCAGCACTCTGCCCAAGGCCTTCTCCTGGGAACTCTAAGCACCATGGGAACAACTTGCTCCTTCCTGACATGACCTTGACTCTGACTGTTTATGACCTCCACCTGGAGCTTTAGTGACAGGCCCCCAAAGCAACGCCGCGGAAGTCGTTTATCTCTTCCTTCCTGCAGTCCTTTGGGTATCTGAAGATGGCTCTCCCATTTCCCACTCGTGTTTCTTCGGCAAGCCACGTGCTGCCTTTCTTAACATGTGCTGAGAACAGATATGGCTTTCCAGGTATGGTCAGTGTGGGAGGATGACTACGTCAGGGGTCATTCAGACAGCAGTGAACACCCACTGTGGCTGAGGTGCCAGGAACACAGAAACAAATATGAGGACTGGCCCTCGACCTGCAGGCTGGGGCCACAGGTGTGAGTGCTCCCAGCATGGATGGGAAGAGCATGAACAGGGAGCTGCGGGAAGTGGGCTGGGGTACAGAGGGCTTGGGAGTGCATCTCAGAGGCATGAGCACTTGAGTGGGGCCTGCATCGAGGAAGGGGAACTCATGTGCAGAGCGTTCTGGGCGGTGAACATGGGGCAGAAATTGGTGTGGTGGGGGTCATAAGGTGCGGTGTGGGGGAGCTGGCCTGTGTGAGTTTATCTGAGGCAGACAGAGGCCAGGGACTAGGTTGTGAAAACCTCTGCCTGAGAGCCTGCCTGCATGCTAGAATCACTGGGAGCTGCCAAGAACTTTCCAGTGCCTGTGCCCATCCCAGGCCAGTTAGACTGGAATCTCTGGGGAGGCCAGGGATGGGAGTTTTGGAAAGCTCCTCAGGGGCCTCTGATATTCAGCACCGTATAGAGCAGGGGTTCTCAAAGTGGGGCCCTGGACTGACAGCACCAGTATTGCTTGGGAACATGTTAGAAATGCAAGTTCTCAGGTCCCGCCTCAAACCGAGGAATCAGAGACTTGGGGGCAGGGGGTGTGGGGGCCCAGTCAGCTGCATCTTAGTCAGCCCTCTGGGTGACTCTGATGCATTAATGAGTTTGAGAACCATTATCCTCAGAGCTGACACTTTTGGGACAGAAGATCCAGGAAGACTTGCTGTTTTTTCTGTTTTCTGTCCTGTGGCGCACCTTCCCTGAGGCACTGAAGGACTGAATCAGCCACTTGCCTGGGCATGGGTAGGGAAAGGGGAAAATGTAAGGAGGAGAAAAATCCATACATGAATGTCTCAAAATATTATCCAGCCATAGATAAGCTCCCGGACCTTGCAAAGGCGGGCAGATTCTGTGCCTGCAGCTCTCAGTGACCCTCGCGGGAGTGTGAGGGGACTCACTGGGGCCTGGGCTGCCATTCTAACAGGGACTGGGGTGAGGGTGCAGAGGTCTCCCTCCAGCCAGTCTGGGTGCACAGATCCTGCCTCCTGGTAATGTGCTTGCTCCTTCCTGCAAAAGCTGCTGGGCCCAGGCCCTCCGGGAAGATGGGACATTTTCTGTCACTGCTCCCAGGAACGTCTGAGTCCACTGGTGCCCAGGGTGCCATCTACCCATCCCTGGAGGCTAAGCCTGTGAGGCTATCTCACATCTCTCAGAGGTGCTGAGGACATAGGAAGGAAGGGAAGGACCTGACTGTTTTGGAGACAGTCATGGTGTGGGTTGAAGTGAGGCGAGCAGGCACCCCCTGTCTAGGGACCAGTGACCCTCAGAACCCTCTCACCTCATCTGCCTGCCTCACTCCTGTTGGCACCATTGAGAGCTTGGCTGCCGGCACCCTGGACTTTTGGCAGGTTACTTCGTGTTCCCAAGCCTTGGGGTCCTCACCACCCAACCGGACTCAGCAGCTTTGGAGAGAGAGGATGCATGGTTTACCACTGACTGGGGGGCTTAGCCTACAGAAATGTATTTGCTCACAGCTCTGGAGGCTGGAGGCCTGAATTGAAGGCATTGGCAGGGTGGTTTCTCCTGAGGCTGCTCTCCTTGGCCAGCAGGTGGCTGTCTTCTCCCTGGGTCCTCCCATGGCTGTCTCTCATCTCCTCTTCTTGTAAGGACAGCAGCCATATTGGATCAGAACCCACCCTCATGAGCTCACTTTACCCTGTTACCTCCTTAAAGACCCTATTTCCCAAAACAGTCCCATTCTTCCACCAAAGAATTTTGGGGGGGGGACACATGTACATTACAACCCATAACAACGGTAAATAGCTAATTGTTTGCTAAATCCAGGCAGCTGGTACAATTCTGTGACTCTCAGTTCTCTGGGAAGCCCTGCCCGACCCCACAGTCTGGGCTGTGGGGCCCCTCTGTGCTCTCCTAGCCCCTGGGTGCCTTCCCGAGGGCAGCCATCACACAACTGGCCACTGTAGGTTTATGTGCTGGTTTTCTCCCCTGGACCTGGAGTGCCTGCTGACAGCATCTGTCTCTGTCTCTGTGTGGATCCAAGTACCAGATCTCGTTGCTGGGGCCTTTCCATGCTCTTAGCATCCCCATGCTGCCCTCCATGCTGCTGGGAGGTCGTTGCTTCCTCCAACCCTGTCATCCTCTCTGTCTAGTCCCTGTGTCTCCTCCCTCACAGTTAACAGCAGCAAGGGGATGGTGGGGACGCGGGAAGGGGAGGAAGAGGGGGAGATGGGCATTGAGGGATGGGCAGGGGATGATGGATGGCAGAGGGCGCAGTGGCAGAGGGGAACGGGTAGCAGTGACGCCAATTACAACAGAATATCTGCGGGTGGGGTTCGGGCATTGGTATTTTAAAGAAAACTCAGGAGATGCTGATGTGCAACCAAGGCAGAAGACACTTACTGTTGGACTCACCCCCATCAGCTGCAGATGGGAGAAATGCCTCTCTGGCTTTTGGGTCCAGAGACTAGGGACTTCCTTTCACCTGTGAACAAGCAGCCTGCATTGGCTGCAGCTGAGATCATTTCCTTTCTGAGTAATGTGATGTTTTAAGTGACTGCGCAGAAAGTCTGTTGTTGCAAAACCGAGTATTACTGCCAGTGATTAAAACACTAGCAGCACCTTAACATTATTTTCATGCTGATGAATAATTTAATTTTTAACTTAATGTTGCATTAATGTTGCTGTGCATATCATTACCTTCCTTTTTATTTCAAGGAAAAATATAGCAAAATACTTGAGTTGTCAAAAGGGCCTGGGATTCTCATAACTGGGGCTTCAGACAGGGGAGTGCTGATGGGGAACAAATTTGACTCTAAGGCCTTTATCTGAGAAGAGCCTGGGCACTGATGGAGAGTGGAGGATGAACTGGGCAGCACAGCTGGGAGGCTGATGGAAACAACCTCTGAAGCCAGAGTTGAAAATATTTTTCAGAGTTTCACATACTTCTGATCCATGATGTCAGCTAATCCAAGAAATTGTTCATTCTCAAAATTTGAGTTTGTTTGCACCTTGAAGTCACAGAGGCCCTTCAGTCTGCATGTTTTTTCTTTCCAGATGTATTTTGGATCGATTTGTCTATGATTGGCCCCTCAAACATGAGGATGGGGCGGGGCATGGAAAAGCTCTGTTTTGGTGATTTTGTGTGTGAGACTCAGCCCTTGAGGAGCTGAGAATCCTGTCCAGAGGAACAGACATCAATTACAAACAAAGTTTAAACAGAGAAAAGGATTAGGAACATAGTGGAGGAATATGTAAACTGGCCTAAAGAGTGGGAGCATCTGTAACACTTTCTAAGTGGAGGTCACATTTCATTTGGGGTTTTGAAGGATGAATAAGATTTGCTAGAAGAAGCAGGCAGGGGATAGTGGTGATGAAAATGGTGATGAAAAAAGGCAGAGAAAACAACATTGCATTTCTCTCAGTGCCCAGGGAGTGGATAGGGCTGACAGGAGTGAGAAGAAGCTGTCAGGAGGTCCAGCTTGAGTGAGCCTGATGGGTGCTCCTGACTCTTTCCTTGTGGGGCCAGAGTATGGCTACTTAGTAGGAAGAACCTGGACTTTGGGGTTAAAGAGACTTGGTATTGAATCCTGGCTCTGCCTTTGCTAGCCACGAGGAACCGGGCGTGTTGTTTTTCTTCTCAGAGCCTTGGTTTTCTCATCCTACTTATTGTGGTTGATAATGAGACTATTGCCAGAGCCCAAGGGGTTATTCCAGAAGCAGAGGTCATCCTGGTAGGCCAGTGCCTGTGAACATCCCAGGCAAGGGCATCAGGTGGAGATGATGGGCAGAGGCAAGTTTGTGAATGGGACTGTCTGTTGGGGGAGGGAGAGGGACTCCAGACCTGGGGATCCCAGAGGATTCCTAGTGGGGAGGCCACAGTCAAAGACACAGGCCTGTGGTCAGAACCCCGGAACCCAATAGGGAAGCCACTGTAGAATGGCACCATGGCGGTGCCTGGCACTGTTCTGCACTATCCATAGCTGAGCCCATCTGACCTTCATACCTTTCCCATGAGGTAGGAGCTATTTTATCCTTTATTATATAGGATGGGAAATTGGGTCTTAGAGAGGGGAAGTGACTGTCCAAGGTCTCACAGACAGCAAGAGGCAGGGGTGGGATCTGGACACAGGCATTCTGACTCCAGGACCTGAGCCTGTGCCTGGTGACTTTCGGGGGCAAAGTCACCTCTGCATCTCTGATCGTCCTCCTCTTGCCTCTCTGTGGTGGCCTCACTGGGTCTGCATGTTCTGAACTGGGGGTTGGATGATGCAGGATCTCCATTAGGAACTGGGGGCTTTGCAGACCTCAGCTGCTGTTCATGACTTTTCTCTGCATACCCTGTGAAGGTAGGAGCCCCGTCTGCTCACATCGACGGCCTTATACGAATATGTGGATTTAGAGCTGGCTTGTCTTGGAGGCCACGACAGAAACTTCAAGCAGGGGCCGAAAGAGTGGCGTAACAGGGTGTGCTGAAGTTAGGAAGTTAGAAGAGAGAGGGGGCCCAGGGGCGGGGGACCAGGGAAGGCTTCCTGGAGGAGGAGGTGAGGCTGGAGAGTGACTTTCAAGGGCAGGAGGACTTGAGGATAAGCTGAAGATGTAATTATGCCAGAGAAAGGTATAAATTCCCCAAGTAAGATGAAGCTAATTGAAATGTCAGCTCCATCACCTCTGCTCTCACACAGAGCCAGGCTCTGCTACGCCTCATAAGAGCCCTGCTGGAAACGATGGCCGTGAAGTGTTTTTTTAATTGGACAAAGCACTGATTTAGGCAATGCCTCTTTTGCATAGATTTAAAAAAAATGTAAATTGCTTAATCTTGGTTGGCTTGATGAAGCGAGTGCTTCTAAGGGGACTGTGGGAAGACCTGGAATTTCTCTTCACCCCATTGGGCTTGCCTAATAGGAAATCAAATCTCATCAAGGCGTTTACCTGCTGTGGCAGAGGCTGTGATGAGGGGCTCCCAGCATGCCCTGAGCAACATGGGTACAGGCAACCTCCCTGAACTTCTAGAAGCAGAGGGGTGAAGAGGGGCGGGAGAAGGGGCAACGCTGGAGGAGTTGTCAAATTGTCACTCCTTGAGGAAAAGCGGGGGACTGAGGCTGAGTTCCAGGGCCAGATTCCTAGGCTCTGAGACTCTGGCCTGCACCTGAATAGGAGACGGCCCTGTGACCTTGTGCTGATGGGTCTGACACAAGCTCAACACCTCACTTGGAATAATAACTGCCACTACTGAACATCCACTCCAGGAGAGACATTTCACCTGTTACATTCTCACCACCATCCCATGCAGCAGTTAAGGATTATCTGCATTAACTGATGAGCAACTTGAGGTTTGGGAAACATAAAGAAACCTGACCAGGGTTATACAGCTAGTGTGTAGGGGACAGCATGTGCTCTGGGAGCCTCTGTCTTCCCAAATCCAGACTCCACGTTGCTTTTTGTGGGTTGAACCAGATGGGGTCCCAAGGCCCCTAGCAGATCTGCTGTCTGCATAGTCCTCTTGGTTTTGCCCCTCATGTAATATATAGGTGTCTTAAGTCTGTTTGGGTGTCTATCACAAAATATCATAGACTGGGTAATTTTGAAACAACAGAAAAGTATTTATCACAGTTCTGGAGGCTCTGGGGGGCTTCTGGGCACCCCACCACTCATGACAACACTGTGTAGACAGTAATATGTGTTTTCATTCCCCCAGCGGGTCACCAGGCAGCAGGTAATGAGGGTCACCAGGTGCCAGGATGGGTGCCACGATTGTTCACCAATCAGCCAACTTTACAATCCAGCTTCAGAAACTTCCAAGTTGAACATTTAGAATCAGTTAAAATATTAGGATCTAGCTCTGGGAAGTGAAGTTTATAGGGTAAGAACTGCTTAGAAGTTTTGATTCCAATAATTAGAATTATAAACTAAGCCCCCATTTCTTACACTATTTTAGCACCATCAGGCTTGGCCAAGAAACCCGTTGGAGTTACAATTTGCACTGCCTACAAAACAGACTCAGAATGATCTCAAAATCAAGCCTCGAGACCCGATTAGCTCAGCTGGATGTGATCTGGAATGAAGAAGCATCAGACACTGGGGGGCGCTTCTTGAACAGGCACTGGGCTAGACAGCCCAGACCTCGCGGAAACAAAGCGGGAAGGGGCCGCTCCTGGGGAGTTTTTCCCAGCTTCCCTGGGCCGGTGAGGGGTCCTGGCGTCCTGAACTGGAGATGCTCCTTAGAGGGCACTGCTTCAGCCACCCCTGCCTTAGCATACATACGGGTCCCACAGGGGTCCTTCGACACCAGCTCATCGTCTGGGTTCCACCATCCACCCACGCACTCATTTGGCAGCTATCAACGGAGTATTCACAGTACGCTGCTCACAGTTCTAACCGCGGAGGATAGAGTTGAGGCCCACACGACAGCCCCTGCTCTCACAGAACTGATGTCTCTAGAAGAGTCTTCCCTCAGTGAGAACGTTCTGATTTCTAGAACATTCTTTCTTCTGATGAGTGAACAGCCTCACCGGAACTTCCCCATCCTCCTGGCTTGGTTCCTGAAGTGGCCCAAGGCTGCCTTCTCCCTCCCGTGGGTGAACAGGGTCACTGCTTCCTCTCTTGTCCAGGCCCCCTGGCCTGACCCTGAGTCCCGGGCGTAACGGCGTTGTTGAACCACCACAACCCCAGGCGGCGCCTTCCTCTTGGCCCAGGGGCTCTCTTGGGGACAGTGTGCAGTACTCCCCAAGGGGGCTTTGCTGTGCAAAAGCAGCCCCTGCCGATGCTGCGGCTCCCGTGGATGGAGCACTGCCGTGGGAACAGAGTTGGAACTCATCCAAAAGGTATCACTTAGAATTACCTCTGTGAGATGGGAGAAGGTTGAAGGAAGGTGGTGAATGGGGTTAGGAGAAACAGAGAGATGGGAAGGGGGGCAGCTGCTGGTGCCTCCACCCTTCCTTCTGTCCCTTTCAGCCATCTTCCCGGCCAGGTGCACTGAGGCTTTCCACACCCAAGTCCAAAGGGTGTTGCTGCTTTCCCTCAGTGTCTGGGTGCCAGCTGTTATGCCGGGCGCCAGGAACATGCGATGCTGAACACCCTAGCCCCTCCCCTCCTGGAGCCTGACCCGCTGAGGGAGCCAGAGCCGGGCAGACGTCTAGGAATGTGGTGAGGGACCGGGCAGGGTATGCACTCGGCACCAGGAGCACAGGGGAAGGGATAGTTTTTGCGACCTCAGGGTTTGGGGAAGGCTTTCTGGAGGAAGAAATGTGAGAGCATAGAAGCAAAGTAGGCAGTTATCCTTCGTATAGGAGAGCAGGAGGGAAAGTCACTGCTGGTGCGTGGCAGCTGCAAGCAGTTTGCTTTAGTGCTAGGCTGCTGTGCGTAGAAGGGCATGGGGCACGAGGCTTTATTCTGCAGGGGACTTGGGGCTCCTACAGGAATTGGAGGTGCTGAGGAAGGGATGGGCTGGGGAGTAGTCTGCAGGACTTTTAGTCACAACCAGGTTTCTAAGGAATTCTGAGGCTTTGGGCAAAAAAACCACAACCCTTTGAGCCTCAGTTTCTTAATTTCATCCTTTCACCCTGTCTCCTCCCTCCCTCCCACTTGATGCTGGCCCAGTTCTGGGAGCTGGAGAAGATGACTGGCTTTCACCTTGAATGTCCAGGGTAGGAAGGAAGACTTGCGTGGTGGAGGTGGATAGTGGGCCCACCCCACTGCTGGTGTGTTCTGCAGCCTGTCATGCGGGTGTGTGGCACCCCACTCATTCCTCGGGTGGCCCAAGGCTGCCAGGGCTCTCTGGAGGGCATGCAGCCGAAGGTCATCCCTGCCTCTAGCTGGTCCCAGGATGGATAAGCACAGTTCTCCGGCTGGAATGCTTCAGCCAGGTTCTTAGAAAAATGGTCAAGTGGGCTCTGGGATCCTCACTTCTCTTTGTGGGACCCAGCAGGATGGTGGAGCTGGGACCATCTTGGAGGAGGCAGAGCCTGGGGCAAATCACCTAAAACGTTAGACACAAGTCACACCAGCTAACCTACATGATTGCTTTAGATCGATTGCAGTGCTTAGGGGCCAGACTCTGTGGGACTTTGAGCAGGTTGCTTCACCTCTGTTGAGTCTCAGTTTTCTCTTCCAGAAAATGGGGATGTTAACAGGACTCACTGCACAGGATCAAGCTGGTTCATGAGCTAAGCCATGCTGGATGGTTAGCACAGGGCTGGTCCGAACAAAGGCAGCATAGACGACCCTGACCTTGAGCAGGAAGGTGTGCCCTCTGCACACCAGCTGGAGACAAACTGCAGAACACCGGGCCCGGGCTTGAGGGCAGCCAGGGCACAGCACACGGCTCAAACCCGAGGGCAGTGAGAGGGAGAAATTAGTCATGCCACTTTGAGTGGAACTATATTTGACTGCGGTTGGATGCTCTGGGTATGAGTTTGGAGCAGGTCCTGGCCAGCCTCTCTGACCCACGTGAATGTGTAACCTTTGGAGATGATCAAGCTTTTATGGGTGGAGTGCGGATGTAAAGTTCTCCAATGAATGTTCTATAAATGCTTTTTATTAGCCACCACTTTATAATGTGAGAGCCATTGAATTAGGTATCCATTAGTGTCTACTCCCTGGGGAAGCAAGGATGCCTTCCCGAGGCATCCTTGGATGCTCTGGGGCTGGTTCAGCTTGGCAAGGAAAACATCCAAGTGACAGGTGGTTCTGGACTCAGGCAGGCAGTCTGCTCATATTTCTTTGTGGGTGTGTGTGTGTGTGTGTGTGTGTGTATGTGGTTGCCTTGTCAATGACTAGAATCAGAGGGAAGGGGACAGGCTTCTGGGTAACTTTAGCAGTAGGCAGAAGGCTGGGCAGGGCCTCTGTGTACAGTTGTGCAGGCTGTGCACTGCCCAAGGATACATTTAAGAGAGCATTGTTTATATCATAGAAACCATAGATTGTATAGGTCTAGTATGACAATTCTGGGAAGTAGAAGTGAAGTGTCTCATTTTAATAAAAATCAGAAAATGGTGAGAATTTAAAAATGAATAGAAATGAAGTGTCTGTGAAGGGGAACCTTTTGACTTTGTGCAGAGGTATCATATAGACTCCTAGCATCTCTGAGGCAGGGCATATGGGCTGGGTCAGTCCATGGTAGACGAGAAGGAGGGGGACCTGGGGTCAACAGGGGCATGCTGGGCTCCTCCCTGGTATACCCTGGTATACCCAGCCGCACAAGGTACGATGCTACCGTTGGACGATGCTGCCACAGTTTTCACCAGGTCATGGGTGCCTCCCTTACGGGGATCTGCAGGTGGCTGGGGCAAGGCAAGAGGGGAGAGTGGTGGCATTAATACCATGTCACAGGTTGTGAAAATTGTTTTGGTGAGAGGTTGGCAGGGGGGCAGCAGGTTTGGGGGATGAGGTGGGCTTTTTGTTGAGTGAATCCAGGGCTTGAGGCAAGAGACGAGGTGGTGCAGACGGCAGTGCATTCTCCAGCTGGAATGCTTCAGCCAGGTTCTTAGAAAAATGGTCAAGTGGGCTCTGGGATCCTCACTTCTCTTTGCGGGACCCAGCAGGATGGTGGAGCTGGGACCATCTTGGAGGAGACAGAGCCTGGGGCAAATCACCTAAAACAGACACAAGTCACACCAGCTAACCTATGTGATTGTCTGAACAAAGATGGGAATGTGGGAAGACCGGGGACTCCTCCGAGGCTGGAGCCTGGCCACATGACTCTTAGTTGAATCCAACAGGTTTTTAAAGCTGGGACTGGTGAGAGAATGCCGTCATGATCATGTCGAAGGGTGCTGCGATTTCCAAATGGTTTTTGGTGGAATATCAATCCTGAGATACATTTGGCAGAGAAATCAAACCAAACCAACCTTCAAAATATGCTCGGGTTGAGCGAGGTGGAAACACCGCACATGGCATGCTGCGCTCAGGCCCAGAATAGGTTGGTGCTGAGAAGTTCTGTCTAGTGAGACCAGGCTTGCATCACTGCAGCCAGGATTTCCTAAATATGGCCATAACATTTAAAAAGAATGAATACTTTTTAATTTCCCCAGGAGCTGGTATTCCTGTGTCATCTGAATACAGAATGGGGCCTGCCCAGGGGTCTCTCCCTGTGCCCAGAAGCCCTGCCGAGCTGCGTGGAGCAGATTGTAGCTGCACCCGCGCCACCGCCCCCACCCCCCCGCTCCCCCACTCCCCGCCCCACCCTGCCGCTGCCTTTCAACATACCGAGGCTCGAGGCTCGGAGGAGCTGGCAGCTGCTTGCCTCCAAGGCTTTCCAGAACCCTCTTCAGACAGCTCTCCCTTCAGCCAGTCTCCACTGAATAGTATTCTGTTGTATATATGTACCACATTCTTCCATAGATGGGCTTCTAAATCTTGGCTACTGTGAATAGTGCTACAGTAAACATGGGAGTGCCCATGTCTCTGACTATCATATGGTGGTTCTATTTTCAATTTTTTTTTTTTTTTTGGAGACGAAGTCACTCTTGTCGTCCAGGCTGGAGTGCAATGGTGTGACCTCAGCTCACCGCAGCCTCCGCCTCCCAGGTTCAAGTGATTCTCATGCCTCAGCCTCACGAGTAGCTGGGATTACAGGCGCCTGCCACCATGCCTGGCTAATTTTTGTATATTTAGTAGAGACGGGGTTTTGCCATGTTGGTTGGGCTGGTCTCAAACTCCTGACCTCAAGTGATCTGCCTGCCTCGGCCTCCCAAAGTGCTGGGATTACAGGCATGAGCCACCGCACCTGGCAGTGCACATTTTTTGTTTTTGTTATTCTTGGAACACACGAGGAAATGTTGCCATGCTTTGCAATTTCAAAGCACCTTTACCTGCATTGTCTGATTTCATCCTCACAGTAACTCTATGGGAGGTCTTCAGGGAGCAGTATTCCCAAAGTTAGATAGAAACCTAGATTCCGAAGGATTAAGTGTCTTTTCCTAGGTCTCAGCCAGTGGCATGGCTCAGTCTTAAACCCAGGTCTCCCAGTCTTTTCACGTACGTATGGGGGTCTGAGAGATGCCCAGGAGACAGCTGGATGTGTGGATTTGGCTCACAAGGCAGAGGCCTAGGCTGCAGAGAGAGAGATAAGCCTCACCAGCAAATGTACCTTTTGCTTTTCTGATAAAAGGAGACATATGCAGCTGCAGCTGGCTTTGCCCATCTCCCCTCTCCTACCTTGAAGGCAGGTGTGATGTCTGGGGCTGTGGCAGCCATCTTGTCACCAAGAACTGGCAAGTGATGCCAGAGGCCCATTCACCAAAGATTGTGGTGTGGAGGCACAGGAGGCGCCAGTGCTGCTGAGTAGTTGAAATCCCATGGGCATCTGCTTACCTCTGGACTTCCTGTGATGAGGAAAACAAGCCCTGCTTTTCTAAGTCCCTATAGTCAGGTTTTCTTTGCTTGATGTTTCCCCGGGAGATGTAACACCTAGAGGGGTAGCATGAAGGAGAAAGAGCAAGTACACTAAAGAATGCAGACAGTGCTGCAAGAGTAGGGAGGCTGGATCTTCAGTGACCCGGGATCAACCTTGCACCCGCTACCACCAGGCTGTGTGAGGTAAACGGGAGCTGTCCTGGTGTGCTAAGCCACAGCTGGTCAGGTTTCTGTTACGGGTAGACAAAATTATTCCTAATTGTTACACCTGTCTTCCTTGGGTAAAATGCTAAATTGATTTATGAAATAAATTATATAAATGGACACACACACACACACACACACACCCATACACAGAGACAGTGTTGAAACAGAGAGAGGCAGAGGCGAAGGTGGGGTGGAGGAGTAAGGGGCAGTCTGGCTGGGACCAGCCTTCCTGGGCAGGCATGAGGAAGGCACAGCCTTGGGTCTCGAGGGAGCAGCTCCATCCTGGGAGCTCTGCCAGGCGCTGTAGGCACCGCGTCTTTCTGCCCCCACGGCTCCCTGCTACGTGCTGAAAGCCTTTGTGCCTGCTGCTGCTGTCTGGGCCTCACTGTCACCCCATGCTGTCCTGTGTCATGTTTCCGTCGTGGCTGACTTGCCTCTGCATGCTGAGCTGTGTGGCAATTTGTAACAAAGCAGGAAAGCCCTCTCTCCCCTTTCTGGGACGCCCTGTAATGGAGACCTGAGCTGAGTGGCTTGTGCACCAGTGAGGTGTCTCCTTTTGGTTTCTCTCGGAGCTGTCCCTCTGTCCTGAGCCAGATGCAGGTGCAGGAGGCTGGGCTGTGGGAGGACCAGAGAAGCAGCTGCAGTGCTGGGCTCAGGATTCCTTTTTGCAACCAAAGACTGGGGCTTAGTGCCTTCTTCTCAGGGTGAGCTGTTTTCAGGGAGGCTCCTCAGTTCCTTGGCAACAGGCATCGTCCTTTGGGCACCCCACTGATTTGTCAGGTTCGCTGGTTCACATCCGGCTGGGTCTTTCTCAGGAACCTCCTTAGCCTCCTAGGGAAACAGACTCCATTCAGCACCTCCTTGTCCACTAGACACACATTCCTGGGCCATCAGAAACCTTTTTGGCCACAACCCGTGCCCAAGATGCACTCCCGCTTCCAAGATGGAGAGAAGGAACACCTAACACTGTCATTTTTTTCAAAGTTTGGGCCCCAGGCCTGCAGCTCTCTTCCCTCCTCCCGGGTGCAGATTCCAGATCCTGCCCACACTCCTCCTAGAACGCGTCAAGTGGCTACCTGTGCAGAAGCTTCTTTGGGGCTTACTTGTAGAGCGTGAATCCCAGAATAGACACTTCCCTATGAAGGAACACAGATAATGGGAGAAGAAAAAAGATACCTCCTTACTGGGGCAGGTTTGCTTTGCCCAAAATAGCCCTGTAACCAACGTGCTTCTGAAGTGCCTTTTGAAATCTAGGAACATTTGTAGTATTTTACATTCAGCTTAATAATTTATTGATGTTTAATATTTCACAAGAGTAAGGCAGAAAACCTGATAAAATTTTCATATCTGCTATTATAAGCTAAATGGAACATGAGGCGCTTCCGGATGGTGCTGAGTGGCTGAGGCCCGGGGTACGCCCCACACCCCCTCCCATCACAGCAGGTCCAGGCAGCTAAGTCAAACTCCTCCATCCATTAATTTTCCCAAATGTCCTGTGCACTTGGGAGAGCTGGAGGCCTGGGGATGTCGTGAAGTTTAGTTGAGCAGCAAGACCTGCTTATGGTGTGATTTGATGAGGGCCAAGCATCTCCCCTTTCCCCCCAATTTTTCCTGCTGACCTGTTGTTGATTCCTGAAATGTCCATCATTAGAACAGATTGCACTCCTTGCAGGAGCATCAATACCTGTGAGAAGCGTAGCTTATAAATAATAATATAGCAAATCTGTGTCACTGTTCTCATATATAATTCATTAACTTCTCACAAGAATCCTGTGAGGTAGGAGCTCTTGTTATCCCCATTTTACAGATGAGAAAACTGAGACAGAGAGGAAAAGCTGATTTGCTCAGGATCATGCAGTAGCAATGAGCTGGAATTTGAATCCAGGCAGTCTCACTCCAGAGTCTGTGCTCTTAATCATTACACTGTTTTTCTTCTCTAAGTACAAATCAAATCAACAGTTGATGGTGTCTTCTCCAGGCACAGAGCTCTGGGCCACACACTCTGGAGGAGATAAAAGTGGAGGCTTCTCATCTGAGTGATGAGCCCAGTAGCACAGATGTGCTCGGAAGGCACTCTGGCCCTCCCCTTGCTAGCTGAGTGACCCGGGCAAATTACCTCATCATTCAGAGCCAAAATAATATCTGCCTCACAGGTTTACCTGGAAGATGAAAGAAGATACATTAAAAAAATTACACTGGAGCCGGGTCAGCAAACTCTGGAGAATGGGCCAAATCTGACCTGTGTACTACTTGTTTTCTTTTTTCCCTAAACAGTTTATTGATATGCAAATCACACACCGTGACATTTACCCATTATAGGTGAACAATTCAGTCATTTTTAGTGTATTCACAGAGATGTACAACCATTGCCACAGTCAATTTTAGAACATTTTCATCACGTCGAAAAGAAGTCCTTTAGCTACCATCCCTACCCCTTAATGTCTCCTCATTCTGCCCCTCCTCAGCAAGTAACTACAGATGCACTGTCTGTCTTTATAGACTTCCCTGTTCTGGGCATACCATTTGAATGAGTGGAATCATATAATACCGGGTTTTTTGTAACTGACTTCTTGTTTTTAGCACACCACTTTCTAGGTTTTTTCCATGCTCTAGCATGTGCCAGTATCTCATTCCTTCTTATGACCAAATAACATTCCATTGTATGGATAGACCACATTCTGTTCATCCATTCCTCAGTTGATAGACACTTGGATTGCTTCTGCTTTTTGGCTGTTAGGATGCCTACTGCTTTTGTAAACAAGATTTTATTATGATACAGTCCTGCTCAGGCCTGGGATTAAGGTGAGACAAGCAAGGTGTCCAGGGTTTAACAAATTAAGGAGGCACTCAACTCTCGGGGTCCTGCAAGTTCACAGCCAGCCCTGGCCACACCTGTTTGTTTACCTATGGCCCGTCACTGCTTTAGCCCTAGAGTGGCAGAGCTGAATACTTGTGACAGAGATGTCTGGCCCATAAAGTCCAAAATATTTGCTAACTAGCCCTTCACAGAAAACATTTGTTCACCCTGGTTTTTAGGTCCCTTACTCTCAAGTTTGAGATAGAAGACAAAAACGAGGACTTAAAGGGCCATCCAACACTTAGCATAACATCAGCCTGGGTATCAGCCTTGTCTTTGGCTGTGTCTGGATGGGCCATTGAAAATGATGAAGTGGTTTTAGATTTGAAAATACCACTGCCAGGATGAAAGTGTTTCTTTCAGAGCCATAATATTCTAAAGCTCCCTCCCAGAGTGTGCATACTTTAAGCACAGAACAATACGGCTTCCCACTCAACATAAACTACCTTTTCCCCAAATGTCCTATCTAATCAAAATCTGAGTGCTCAAGATTGGATTAAAAACCCCTAATGCCTGCAAAACTGTTTGCCATCCATTCAAGTAGGGGTGTTTTATTTGTGTTGTCAGAGTCACAAGGAGTGACAGCTCTCCTTGTCAAGAGTGCGTTTTTCTAAAGATCACTCTGAAAACCCGCCCTCACTCCCCTGCCCCCCACCTTGCCATTATCCTGCTTCCTTGGGCTGGAAGATGTAGTAGAAAGAACACTGATGTTGGAATCCACTTCCTTTGATAGTAATTCTGACTCTGCTGCAAAATAGCAAAGTAGCTGTGACATTGGGCAAGTCACTTAACCTCCTCTATTAAATAGCGGACACAATGCTTCCCTCACTCGGGTGTCATAGAATGAAGTGCCAGATAAAACAAGGACTGTGCATCAGTACAATGTCATTGTTTGTTGCTGACTGAAAATTGTGGGCTAAATGATGAAGAAAATGAAGGATGGCTTTATACCCGTCTCCGCTCAATGCACCTTCTCTTCTCTTGGACAGAATCACCACCTCATGATAATCTCTAGGGATCCTCCTGGTATTTCTTTTTTCCTATACTCTCCTTTTGCAATCAAAGAAAGAATGTTCTAGAAAAGACCTGAGCCACCAAATTCGTACCAAGGTACTAGTGACTGATAAAACTTTCCCATATTAAAAGCCTCAGAGATGTTTGCCTTACATCAAGAAGCTTTATGCTAAAAAAAAAAAAAAAAGAAAAAATCTCATTTTGCAATGTACAAAATGTAAGAAAAAGAGAGTGACAGCATGGGATTTGGGGATGAGGCTTTCCTGGGTCCCAGGAGACAGACTTTCTTTGTGTCTGTTGAATCACACCATGTGGACATTGTCTATTCTGCACACACAAATGGCCGGGCTTGCACATATGCCTTAGGAACTAGGCAAAAATGAACCGAAAATGGGAGAAGAACTTCTAAAATTGCCCTGTGACCCATTACCTTATTTTTTTTTCAGAGTCTATCCTGGTTCCTTTAATCTTTGGGTACTTAATTTACCTAAGTACTTGTAGTGGACATTTATTGTTTTGTTGCCTACACAAGGCCCTTCCTACTTGGGAGTATTTCTGAGCCCTACTAAGGAAGCTGTGTTAAGTAGCCTTTAAGGTTGCACCAATACCAGCCTTCTGATATTCACATTCTTGTGTAATCCCTTCTCCTTGGGTGTGGGCTGGATTTAGTGAAGTCCTTTTAATGAATAGAGTACAGCAGACATAATGTCGCCTCTGAGATTAGGCTATAAAAACACGGTGACTTCTCTCTTGGGGGCTCTCTCTCCCTCTCTGAGATCCCTTGGTTGAGAGACTCAAGCTGGCATGTTGTGAGCCACTCTCTGTGTCCATGTAGTGAGGGATCAAGACCTGCCAACAACCATGTGTGTGAGCTTGGGAGCAGATCCACCCCATCCATCACTCCAGTTGACTTTTCAGTTGAAATGGCAGCCATGACTGACAGTTGACTATTGTAACCTTATGAGAGACTTCACCCTGTGGAAAGGGGCACAGTAAGAGGAGGATCACAGCAGGCCCCCCTATGGTATAGAGCCTGGCACAGTAAACCTGGTTGCCTAGGTCTAAGAGTGGTTCCGAATGTGCCCCTCAGGAGGGCCTAGACATTGCTTTCCTTTTTTTTTTTTTTGGAGATAAAGTCTTGCTCTGTCACCCAGGCTGGAGTGCAGTGGCATGATCTTGGCTCACTGCAACCTCCACCTCCCGGGTTCAAGTGATTCTCCTGCATCAGCCTCCTGAGTAGCTGGGATTATGGGCACGTGCCTCCATGCCCAGCTAATTTTTGTATTTTTAGTAGAGGCAGGGTTTCACTATGTTGGCCAGGCTGGTCTCGAACTCCTGACCTCAAGTGATCTGCCCGCCTCACTCTTCTTTAAGGCATTAAGAGAGACATCTGTGCCGAGAGGAAGGATCAGCATCTTTGAGAAGTATGGTACTGGGATTGCTCTGTATGCTGGTAGGAGACACTGTAGTTGGAAGGGGCTCCCTGGTTTCAATCTGGGTGAGACAATTCTGGAACAATAGAGGCTGAAGATCCACACTAAAGAGAATCAAGATGGTTACCAAATTATGGCTAGCGTGTAGTTAGAGCAGTAATCAGAATGTTCTGACCTACATGGATCTTTGGGGGCTGGTTAATTTTAGAGACTCTAGAATTGAAATAGGTAGGCAACCCATTAATATTCTACTTGATCTAAAAAAATAAACAAAACAAATATCCCCTATAGATCTAGTGATCAAGTCATGGTCCTTCCCTAATACCTAAATCTAAGTCAGCTGCCAGACCCAGAGCTCTTTGGATCGAAGGAAAGACAGGTTCCCTTGAGGAGGGAGCCTGCAATGTCATCACAAATATATACTGTGAGTCTTTCTCAAATCTTTTGCAAAAGGACTGTGTCTATTTACTAAAGTAACCAGGTACTGGGGGCAGGGAAAAAGCAAGTTCTTTTGGGGATTACTGAACACTAGTTCTGAAATAAGTCTAAATTCTCAAGGGACAGAATGTCATGCTAGTCTAGTGGTTTTACTGAGAGCTTACAGGAGTCAGGTTGTTGATTTCAGCCTGAGTTTTCTTTATAATAAACTACATCCTGAGATTATTTCTTCATATTGTGAGTTTAAAGTTAAAACATACACACACACACACACACACACACACACACACACATATATATACTCAGCAGTTGCTAGAATCCCCATCTTGTCTTTCTGATCCATGAAGTCAAGGATATTATGGGAGAAAGGGTAAAATAAAGTCCTTTTTTAAGGAGTTACATGTCCACGTGTGCAGGGAAGCTTAGGGATAAGCAATACCTTATTTGGAATGGCTTTTCCCTGCTCTGACTGCTGTAACAGAAGGACCATGACTTGATCACTAGATCTATAGGGGATATTTGTTTTGTTTATTTTATAGATCAAGTAGAATATTAGTGAGCTGCCTACCTGTTTCAATTCTAGAGTCTCTAAAATTAACCAGCCCCCAAAGATCCATGTGGGTCAGAACATTCTGAATACTGCTCTAACTACACGCTAGCCATAATTTGGTAACTATCTTGATTCTCTTTAGTGTGTGGCTCTTCACTACTAAATGGTAATCCAAAGTAATACTACATTCCAGGGGAATTTCAAAGATTAGCGCCACCACAAAAATCATGATTTCTATCAAGTTTGACTGGTGTGGAATGTAAATATGGCTTAAAACAAAGACCGAATTATTTTAAACCTAATGATGTAACTATAATTGGGTGTCACAGGATAATCTAGCATTATTTCCCTATTTTAAGGTAATCTAATTAGCAACCTTAATGCTCCTTTGCCATGTAACCTAACATATTTATGGGTTCTGGGAATTAGGACACATGGGTCTATTACAGTACCTCGCACACATGGAAACACCAGGAAGCCCTCTAATGGCCACTGTAGTTTATCCCATACACCTTCTTGCCCTCATTGGGTAGAGCAGCATTAATTCCCCTTAAGAGTATCAATCATACCAGCTAACATTCTAGCTTCCAATTTTGCCTGTTTCAGGCATGTGAAACAAGAAAGATTCAGGTAGCAGCCTCTGCTACAATTCAGTGGAACAGTTGTTGTGTCTTCTGGTAAATCATCCCTCCCTTCAATATGAAAACTTCAAAACTGGCATGTTCCAGACTCATGGGGATGGAAATCGGTATTCTAGACCACTGGACCCTGGAAACTGTATTGAGATGACACACCTAAATATTTTCATGGTGTTTATCTCTGACCCTTTGTGTGTTACATAATCATCCAGTATGGCTGCAGCCTTCTGATTTCTATATTCCATAAGCCTGGCGTCATTAGTATTGTGGGTGAGTATAACATCCTGTAGGATAATGGTGATATAGGAAATACTCCTGTGGAGTAAGTATGGCATAGAGCTGACGCTATAAAATAGTCCCAAAGAAAGACGGTAAAAGTGTGTTGTTGTCTTTATCAGATGAAGCAAACTGCTTTGGGTTTGAAAATTTTGTTTTGATTTTCTGCTTATTGAAATAGAGGAAAAGGCATTCTTCAGGTCAATAGCTGCATAGTAGGTGCGAGGGACTATGCGAGAGAACATGTATTGAGCGATGCAGTTTGGGAGACATAACTGCCATGTTTTCAGAAGCATGGATGGCTACTGTATTCTTTCATGTCTTTTAATGTATACATTAATATATTTTAATGAATTTCCTTTCATTGTTGTCTCTAGTGTTGATGGTGGTTGTTTTATAATTTGTTACCTAGGATATAGAATATCAAGATAGAGTGGCAACAATGAAAAGAAATTCATTAAAATATATTAAGTGGAATGGACATGGTCTAGAAATCTGGGCTAGCTGATGTAATATGGGTGCCTCACCTTGAGGAGAGTTGAGAGCACTTTCAGCATATTAAAGGATAGTTGTGCTATGTTAGGAACACTTTTAGAAAGTTCCCATTATGGGAAGACTAGTGTGAGAAAATGTTGGGGAGCTGAAGAGATGGACTGCAACAGGCTGTCCATTACTTTTGGCTGACTAGTTTCCAAATAACTCACTTCAGAAAATGAGGGGGGATGGTTATCACCTACCCTGGTTTCTTGGAAGCTGGGGTGCAGGCTTATGACCTATCCTACGTCAATTGGATGTTTCTGCCTAGGACTTTGAAACGTGAGTAACAGAGCTGCACAGGCTGAGATAGAGACTGCAGTCCAGTGACAATGGTGTCAGTGATGGTATGTGTTTTAGTCTGCTTTGACTGCTGTAACAAAATCCCAGAGGCCGGGTAGCTTATAAACAACAGAAATTTATTTCTCACAGTTCTGGAGGCTGGGAAGTCCAAGATCAAGGTACCAACAGATTTGGTGTCTGGTGGGGGCTCTTTTCCTCGTTCATAGATGGTGCTTTCTAACCATGTTCTCATGTGGTGGAAGACACAAGGCAGCTCTCCAAGCTCTTTAATAAGGGCACTAATCCCATTCATGAGGGCCTGTAATTACCCTGCAAAGGTCCCATCTCCTCATATCATCACATTGGGGATTAGGTTTTAGCATATGAATTTTAGGGGGACACAAACATTCAGACTATAGCTGTGGTGCTAAGAAGGCTGTTCTCACAGTGTGATCTTCTCAACACCTTATTTTCCTTAGCTTTTTTCTCTTTTCTGAACCTGATTCCCAGGTAATTTCAATTGAATCTGTGAGCCAGCCAATGCACTACAAACGAATTTCTTTTCTGCTTAAGTTAGCTGGAGTTGTTTGCCTCCCAGAACACTGATTGTTAGAGTATTCAGTATTGTTCAACCCAAGTGTGTGTGTGTGTGTGTGTGTGTGTGTGTGTGTGTCTGTGTCTGTGTAAATTTCACTCAGAGTATTGGAGAATTAGTAATGGGGACTTTCTTAAATGGAGAAAGAAACAAGTTCATTCACCTGTAGATATTATCCTGAGATAGCTTGTGGCAGAAATTTTTGGTGGAATGCATGAGCTGGCTCAGACCTGGGCTAACCCTTAATCCAAACTATGATGTGGGAGACTTTTGTTTGAAATGGTTTCTATTTTTATGCCCTGTCCCCCAGCCCCTCGCCAAGCATTTATAGAGAATGGGGGCTGGGGAATTGTACTGGCATAGAAGCTACTTGGAAAATAGATTGACTGATTAACTAAGAAGTGGAAAGATATTGAATAGTATTTCATTTATGTATTCAGCAGACACTTACTGACTTAGTTCCTAGACCCCAGCCTGGCAGCCAGTGACTGTCCCATAGCATGATCTAGGGGCAGGGCACTCAAGGTGTAAGATACTTATCATCAATGACCTCACTTTGCCACCTGATCCAAATCTAAGTGTGGAGGTTCAAAAAACCATGGAAATGAGTGCATTAGTATGCACGTGGATTTAGGGTAGCTTTTTTAAGGAGTTACATGTCCACGTGTGCAGGGAAGCTTAGGGAAAAGCAATACCTTATTTGGAATGGCTTTTCAGTCCTAGTGAGAGCCAAATCAAAACCAAAGTAAAAATTTAAAACACCTCATTACTCCCAACCAAATACAGAAAAAAGTTTTTTCTGACAAAACAACTTGTATTTAGAGTAATGGATTCTTTTTTCTTGTGCTTGTCAAATGACCTCACGTGACTTAATCAGGGTGGCTGCAGTCTGGGAACGCTTGGCTGTAGCGGGAGTAGCTTGCGTGCATTTCTGCCCTCCCTCGTTCCCCATAAAGTGCCCATCATTCTCATTCATGTCTCTACTCCCCACAGCCATGTCTGTGACAGCACCACCACAGGCCTGAGCTCTGTCCGCGCCTCTCCTCTCAGCTGAGTGGTGCTAACTGCTGTACAAACCACCCCAAATCTCATTGGCACAGTCCATCCCATGCAGGCAGCTATCTTCCAAGGGGTGACTCACGGACCCAAGCTGCTCCATGTCATGGCGTTGCCATCTTGTGCTGCACAAGGTCGACCTGGAGTCACCCAGGGAAGGGGCATGGAGAATCCTGCACCTAATGCTTTACCAGGTCAGCCTGGAACACCTATCACTGTCACCCCCATTCCACTGCAAGATGTTTAATTCCAAATGCAGGGGAAGCTGGGAAGTGCAGTCCCTGGTAGGCTCCCCAGTAGCAGCCTGACTGTGGAGTGGGAGCATGGTCCTTTCTGGGCTGTGATCACCTCTACCACACCATGTAATACCAAACTTCTTCCCCAACAACAAGCTTTTGACTCATCCCCATGGAGTAAGAAACTGGAGAAACCAATTCACCCTCTGCCACTAATATTTGATGACATTTTATTTCATGACCAATTCCAGAATATTTATATCTTTAAAAAGAGGAAAAAGAAGGTAGTCTGCCTGAAGATAACTCAAGGCCATGGCTTTCCAATGGTGGGGGGAGTAGTTTGGTGGGGGAGGGGAATTCCTGTTATCTTCAGATGATTTGCAGAGGACACACCCATTCACCTATGTGTTAGGGAGATTCAACTTCGAGTCTCAAAGGCTGATCGTATCAGAGAGGGGACAGAATAGATGCCTTTTGGAGATTTCCAACCAAATTCCAGCCCTGCTGTGTCCTTATTGGCTCCATAAGTCTAGGAGCAGAGCAGTGGCGCTTGGCTGGCAAACAGCTTGAGGAGTGGTGTGGCCCAGCTCTGTTTTAGTTGGGAGTGAGATTGGGGTGAGATTGATGGGCGCCTCATTCATTTTCCAATGCTGATGGATTCCCTGACTCACTCACTGGGGCCAGACATGCATCTCCTGCCCGGCAGTGAAAATGTCAATAACCACTCTCTTTTTACTCTGCTTCTTTCCAAGCTGGGGATGGGCTTTCATTAAATCCTCAGCCCATGCTTTTTTGGTTAAATCAAATTTACAGCCACTGGAGGGATAGGATTTCAGCTATATTTACCTTGCCCTCAGCCAAGTATCCTGGACTAGTTTTTTCAACAACTTACATTTCAGTTTCCAGTTAAAGCCAAGGGCAGGCCCTAAGCTTGAGACCAGGAGAAGCTGCTTCACCTTCTGTATGGGACTCAGGCACCCTAAGAACTGGAGGGGAATGGGGACATTGTGGTGAGGTGGCTGACCTTGGGGTGAGGGAGGGTGACATCAGCAGGAGAGTGGGTGACATTAGTGAAAAGATGGGTGACAACTGGGAGAGGCTGGAATTGCTGACTCTTTGGTCAGTTAATTTAAAGCCAACCATATCGAAATGTCTATCACCCTGTAAGAACACAGCTGATAGACTAATTAACATTCGAGCATCCAAGATTAATGATAGCAAACATTCACTGATTGCTTACTAGATATTGGTCACTGTGCTAACCAACTTCCACATCACCTCATCTAACACTTCCAACAAGCCAGGGAGGAAAGAGGATGATGATTGTCCTCATTTCTCAGCTGAGGTATTGGACTCAAGAAGAAGATAAATGACCTTCCCAAGGTCACAGAACCAGTTACATGGCAGAGCCAGGATTTGAATCTCCAAACCTGGCTTTAGAGCCTGGCCTCATAATTGCTGCCCTACACTTGGTGGTAGCAAGAGCTCCTAATGTCATTGCTCCTGAAATGGTGACATTCTAAAAGAGCCCAGAATTGGGCCAAAGAAATAAAGCCATAATGGTAGCCCTTTGGTGGGGACATGAGGGAGGAGTTCTTAGCCAGGAGGTTTTTATAAAGTCATCTTTCCAATCATACCATGCTTTCGGTAGAACATGCTGCCCATGGAGAAGCCCAGCCCAGGGCCATATCTAAGGGGAAGATGCCATCCTCAGGTGTTATCTTCAGCTGTGGTGTTGGAGAAGAGATCAGCTACGAGCTGCTCGTGGGCAGAATTAGAAGAAACTAAGAGGAACCCAATCATTACTCTTTATTCTCTGAACTCACATTTGCTCCATGACAGAGTTGGTGCATTTTCAGTCTTTTAAAAATTTAGTATTGGGTTAAATTCTTCAATTTGGGCTTACATGGGACATCCTTTCAAATGGAAGTTGCCACCAGGTGGCCCTTCCTGGAAGAGCTTTCATAGCTCTGCAGGGGCAGAGAGGCCTTGGGGTGAAGTCCCCCTGGGGAGCCTTGAGCTGTGGGCCCGCTCCTCCTCCCAACCACCCCAACAGCCTCCTGGGGGATTCCTTTCAGTCTGGTGTGGAATGACAAAGGCAGGGAAGAAGGGCATCAACTGTGGGTCAGAGGAGTCCCCAGGCATAGGCCAGGCTGAGGTTCTGGAGTGGGTGGTGTGGAACATGGCTCGTACCTGCTGGTGGGACCAGCGTTGGAGCTGGTGTTGGGGGAATGAGAAGGAAGTTCAGGGAACACAGGAGCTGTCCTTGTCTCTACCGCTACTGCGATTCTCTGCCATCTGTGCAGCCCTGCGCTGAGATGAGAAGCCAGCCTTGGGACAGGTGGTCAGGGGCTTGTTCAGAGCTCTGCCTGTGGTTGGGCACAAGGACATGCATCCCCAGTCCCCGGGCCATGGACCAGTATCAGTCTGTGTCCTGTTAGGACCCGGGCCACACAGCAGGAGGTGAGTGGTGGGCAAGCGAGCATTGCCACCTGAGCTCCGCCTCCTGTCAGGTCAGTGGTGACATTAGATTCTCATAGGAGCACAAACCCTATTGTGAACTGTGCATGTGGGGAGTCTAGGTTGCTCGCTCCTTTTGAGAGTCTAATGATAAATGTAATGCTGTAATGTGTTTAAATCACCCCCAAACCATCCCCCACCACCCCCTAGTCCATGCAAAAATTATCTTTCGTGGATCCAGTGCCTTGTGCCAAAAAGTTTGGGGACTTGCTGTGCAAGGACATCAGGCCAAGTGGCATGGTGGGACTGTGCTTGCCCACCTGTGCACCCTGGCATTGGGCTGAGTCTGTGTGGAGGAAGGAGTGCCATCTTCTGATGACCATAAAAACACTGTCTGCTCACTCTGCTGTGTGTCCCCAGGGCCATATTGACCAGAGAAGGGCCTTTTTTCTAATTCACACAAAGGCTCTACATGGGCTAGCTGTGTTCCTGGTTTGGGCATTCCCGACTGCAGCATATTTGAAAAGGGATCCCAAGAAGTGATTGAAGATAAGCAAAGAGAGTTTCCATGGTTTCTGTTGGCCCCTAGATGGAGTGGCCATTATTGAAGAGTGAAGAAGCTGTGTGTGGCAGTGAAGAATGGGAAGAAGTACTTGTGACATGGAGAAGTGTGAGCTGCAGGTGTATCAGCCTGCTCAGGCTGCACAACAGACTACAGCAGACTCAGGGGCTTAAACAACAGACACTTATTCTATCATGGTTCTGGAGGCTGGAAGTCCAAGATCAAGGTGCCTGCAGGGTTGGTTCCTGGTGAGGCCTCCCATCCTGCCTTGCAGAAGGCTGCTTTCTCACAAGGCCTTCCTCTGTGCACATGCACTCCTAGTAGCTCTTCCTTTTCTTATGAAGACACACATTGTATTGGATCAGTGCCTCATCCTAACAAACTCATTTAACCTTAATTACCTCCTTGAAGACCCTATCTTTAAATATAATCACATTTGGGGGTGGGGGTGGGGATATAATTTAGTCCATAAGAGCAGGAAATGCCTACAATTCTGCAATTCGTGTTTTAGTATCAATTTGTGTGTGTGTGTGTGTGTGTGTGTGTGAGAGAGAGAGAGAGAGAGAGAGAGAGGCTGACATCCCAATTGGATCACAATCTTCTGAAGCAAGGCCTTTGTTTAAAAAGTCATTTTTTTTTGGCTGGCTGCAGTGGCTCACACCTGTAATCCCAGCACTTTGGGAAGCCAAGGCAGGCAGATCACGAGGTCAAGAGATGGAGACCAGCCTTGCCAACATGGTGAACCCAGTCTCTACTAAAAATACAAAAATTAGCTGGGCATAGTGGCGCACGCCTGTAGTCCCTACTACTTGGGAGGTTGAGACAGGAGGATCTCTTGAACCTGGGAGGCAGAGGTTGCAGTGAACTGAGATCACACCACTGTACTCCAGCCTGGTGACAGAGCAAGACTCCATCTAAAAAAAAAGTCATTTTTTTTTTACCCCTGTCCTCTTAGTCCCCCAGCCCTCCACCACAGTGCCAAACACAGGCCTTCTGCCCATTAGGCACTAGAGAACTGTATGTGATGCAAGCCCTGAAGGAGCTTCCTGGTGCACATGTGCAGGAGAGAAGAGTGAAGCCAGCACTTCATTCTGGGAGACGCTCTCAAATCCAGATAGGAGCTGATGGAGGGAAGGCCCCATCAGCTCACTCTCTGAAGAACGAGATGGAATTTTCAGAAAGGAAATGAACTCTAATTTCAGCCCGTTCACACTCTAATTTCATTTTGTTAAGTAACATTATTTATTCAGTAACCTTTGGAATTCACATGCTTCATATTTAATGGGTCCAATTATACCCTTTCTGGCATGCCTGTGAAACATGCCGTTTTCACCATTCGAACGTTTGTTTGACACGATTTCAGATGTTATATTACTCCATAGGGTAATGTGCCTTAATAGCTCCAAACTCCAATAACAAGAAGGATTAGCAGAGCAATAAGCCTTTATCCATCAGCATAACTCCAGAATTGCCGCCCACAAGAGACCCTGAAGGCAGCAGATCTCTTATTTACTCAAAGGCTCTTTTGAAAAAAGCGAAAGCGGCTTTTTAAAAAAACGATAAAGATAATATATGCTCATTAAAAAAGTGTAAACAATGAGAAAGATATAAAAGTAGAGAAATTGCCCATGGTTCTGCCACCCAGGATAGCTCCTGGACTCTTTAATGTGTTCCATTTGGTTTTCTTTCTTTTTTTTTTTTTGATATGGAATCTCCCTCTGTTGCCCAGGCTGGAGTGTGGTAGAACAATCTTGGCTCATTGCAACCTCTGCCTCCCAGTTTCAGGTGATTCTCCTGCCTCAGCCTCCCGAGTAGCTGGGATTACAGGCATGTGCCATGATGTCTGGCTAATTTTTGTATTTTTGTAGAGAAGGGGTTTCACCAGTTGGCCAGGCTGGTCTCGAACTGCTGTCCCCAAGTAATCCACCCACGTCAGCCTCCCAAAGTGCTGGGATTACAGGCGTGAGCCACCGCGCCTAGCCTGATTTTCTTCCTGAGCTCACTCTCATGTCTGTAGGTGTTTGCTGCACTCTTTTGCATAATGGGATTATACTAAATATCCTGTTTCCCTACCCTCACTTTAAAAAATCTTTTTTATTATGAAAAACTTCAAACACATACTTAAATGGACTGAAATCCATATTGAATTTCCATTTGTGGCGCCTCTTGTTTCATCTGAACTGCAATTTACCCGCAACCTAGATTATTCTGAAGTGAATCCTAGCCATGCTCTCAATTTATCAGTAAATATCTCAGCATGTCTCTATAAAATATAAAAACTCTTAAAAAATGACAATACCCTTTTCACAGCTTAACAATTAGCACAGTCTTAATATCCTTAAATACTCAATCACTGTTTACGTTTCTCTAATTGTCTTGTAATTGTTTTCTTTCCAGTTTATTTGAATCTGGATCAAGGCATACTTACAATAGGTTCCTTTGGCTGATACGTCTCTTAAATCTTTTTTTTTTAACTCTTATTTTAGGTTTGGGGGTACATGTGAAGGTTTATTATATGGGTAAATTTGTGTTATGGGGGTTCGTTGTATTGTTTCGTTACCCAGGTACTAAGCCTAGTACTCAATAGTTATTTTTTCTGCTCTTCTCCCTCCTCTAAACCTCCACCCTCAAGTAGGCCCTCAAGTAGTGTCTGTTGTTCTCTATGTTCATGACTTCTCTTCATTTAGCTCCCATGTGCAAGTGAGAACATGTGGTATTTGGTTTTCTGTTCCTGCATTAGTTTGCTAAGGATAATAGCCTCTAGTTCCATCTGTGTTCCTGCAAAAGACATGATCTCATTTTTTTATGGCTGCATAGTATTCCATGGTGTATATGTACCACATTTTTTTTAAAGTTAACATGGACATTTTTATTTTTATTTTTTTAACTTGTATTTTAATTTCAGGGGTAGATGTGCAGGATATGCAGGTTTGTTGCATAGGTAAACGTGTCATGGGGGTTTGTTGTACAGATTATTTCATCATCCAGGTATTAAGCCTAGTATCCATTACTATTTTTCCTGATCCCCTCTCTCCTCCCACCCTCTGCCCTCTGGTAGACCCCAGTGTGTGTGGTTCTCCTCGATGTGTCCAGGTGTTCTTATCATTTAGCTTCCACTTATAAGTAAGGACATCTGGTATTTGGTTTTCTGTTCCTGTGTTAGTTTGCTAAGGATAATGACCTCCAGCTCCATCCATGTCCCTGCAAAGGACATGGTCTTGATCCTTTTAATGGCTATATAGTACTCCATGGTGTATATGTACCACATTTTCTTTATCCAGTCTATCATTGATGGGCATTTAGTTTGATTCCATGTCTTTGCTATTTCAGTAGCGGTGCAGTGAACTTTCACATGCATGTGTCTTTATGGTAGAATAATTTATATTCCTTTGGGTATATACCCAGTAATGGGATTGCTGGATCAAATGGTATTTCTGTCTCTAGGTCTTTGAGGAATTGTCACACTGTCTTCCACAATGGTTGAACTAATTTACACTCCCACTAAGTGTATCAGTGTTCCCTTTTCTCCACATCCTAGCCAGTATCTATTATTTTTTTACTTTTTAGTAGTAGCCATTCTGACTGGTGTAAGATGTTATCTCATTGTGGTTTTGATTTGCATTTCTCTAATGACCAGTGATACTGAGCTTTTTTTCATATGCTTTTGACTGCATGCATGTCTTCTTTAGCAATCTTTTAAATCTATAGGCTCCTCTTCTATCTTTTCCCCTTATAGTTTATTTGTTGAAGAAATGCAGTCATCTACTCTATCAAGTTTCTGTCTGGATCTTGCTGATTGCTCCCCTGTGGTGTCTCTTTGCTGTCCCTCTGTCCTGTGTAGTTCCTGTGCGTTGCTAGTTAGATCTGAAAGCTTGATGAAATTCAGGCTCCTTTTTGGCTAGTCACATCTATTAATACATTATAAATGGTGTCGCGTACATGCTCCAGGAGGCATCATGTCTGGTCTCTCTTACGTTACTTAGATCTGTTACCTAGATCTACTAATTCATTACAAGGTGTAAAATGGTGATGCTGTAATCCCATCATATCATTTTTGTTTATCAGTTGGAATACTTCTGTAAACATAAATTTGCCCTCCACAACTATTTGGTTACCCAGAGGCATAACTTACACAGTAAGGGCAGGATAAATGCTTGATTCTTTTCCTTTCTTTACCAGTTTTCAAAATAATGGGTAGGTTTCTCATCATCCCACCACTGAACAATGAAATGTTTTCTCTCCTTTGTTTTTAGTATTATCATGAACTTGTAGATTTAAAGATATTTGACATGATTTAACATACCTTGTTCCTTAAATATATCATAGGTATTTTTGTTTGTCAACATAATTCTAAATGATCAGTTATAATGGCTGCACAATTTTCCCTTACATGAATGTATTAGAATTTACTTAACCATTTATTATTATTGGACATTTATGTTCTGCCTCTGTAGATTTAGCATTTCTACTCTAGTTCAGTCTTGCTTTTATAAATATATGTATTTTTTCCTGAAGTAAGGTAGTACTTTCTCTAATATTATTTGAAAAGATAAAATTAGTAGATTAATTTTTAATGATGATCATGATATGAAAGGGAGTCTGATTAGTCGAGTAGCCTTTTTATTGAAGCTTGAAAGATATTTTCTACTTTACCTATTTAAAATATTCATACCATTAGTGAGGGAAAATATTCCTTTTTTTTCCTTCAAGGGTTGAAGAAGTTCTTCATCAAGGACAAAAGATAAGACTATCAATTCAGCTAAGATAGTAATTAAAAGTATAAGAATGATAGTAGTAAGGTACCTTTTGCTATTTCCATATTTGATTGAATGTTTTCATAAAAAATACATTTTCTAGCTTTGAAAGAAATCATATTTGCCTTTATTAATTCACCCTAATGGCAGGAACCATCAGATGCATGACTGAATTTTGTGTATTGATGCACAGACTAGTGCCAGCGATGAGTCAGGTGACATTCATCCTGATGTGCCTGTGACAGTGCCTGTTTATATCTGTTATGAAACTATTATTAGTAATCTTCCTGGCCGGGCATGGTGGCTCATGCTTGTAATCCTAGCACATTGGGAGGCTGAGGTGGGTGGATCATTTAAGGTCAAGGGTTCAAGACCAGCCTGGCCAATATGGTGAAACCCCATCTCTACTAAAAATACAAAAAATTAGCCAGGCGCGGTGGCACATGCCTGTAATCCCAGCTACTCAGGAGGCTGAGGAAGGAGAATCGCTTGAACCCAGAAGGCGGAAGTTGCAGTTAGCCGAGATTGTGCCACTGCACTCCAGCCTGGGCAACAGAGTGAGGCTCTGTCTCAGAAAAAAAAAAATTTCCCTAGTGCTCTCAAAAGAGTCCTGGTCATTTGGACAATAAATTGTATGATCACCCTAGATATTAACATTTCTGTTTTCCTTCTACTTACTCAAGTTTCTTCATGTCCCTTATTTCAACTGTCTCAAAGATAAGAGAGGGATGTCAAAGGATGACCTTCTTCTTCCCAACCCATCTGGACCTCCTCCCTTCCCACAATCCCATGGCCACATTTATCTTTCCCCTTTTCTTGCTTATTTTTGATTTAAGCAAGTTGCTACTGTGTCTCTTCCTCTGCAACCCCCATTTTTACTATAGTGCCCTTCAGTAGGACATGAAGTGGTCAGAGCAGGGAGAAAGTCACTGTGTAACAATAGTAGTTCAGTCCAGATGAATAGAATTCAATCCGGATGAGAAGACTGAAGCCAGAAGGGACATGTGGGCCATGGCAACACAGTTAGTTAGTGGCAGAGCAGGACAAGGAGCAGGGTCTATAAATTCTCTGCTAACTGACCTTTGCTAGTTAGTTCTTTTCATAATTGCCAGAACTTTGGGAGAGTTTGATGTTTTGAGGATGGTAGGACACTAGCTCCCTTCCCATCCCTTTGCTATCAGGTGCTAAATTATAATGAAAACAAGTCTCGGATCCAGTTCTGCCATACACACTACATTTATGACCAAGCCATATTTATTGGAAGCAGGCAAAGAAGAGTTCTACAATCTCTTTCTCCAAACTTAGGTCAAGTCCACACCCAATTATTATGTTGTTTGACAAGCACCTTGTATGAAAGGCCCCCTGGTGCCATGGTAGAGGCAATGCTATTCTAGTGGTAGAACCAGACAGCTGTCTAGTCAAGTCAGCTGACAAAACCTTATGTTAAGTTGAAGATGGTGGGAGAATACACTCTAGACCTGGAATACTCCTCTATCAGTGAAACCTGTTGGGTTTGACAGATTCTTTTTTTTTTTTTGAGATGGAGTCTTGCTCTGTCACCCAGGCTGGAGTGCAGTGGTATGATCTCGGCTCACTGCAACCTCTGCCTGCCAGGTTCGAGCGATTCTCCTGCTTCAGCCTCCTGAGTCACTGGGATTACAGACGTGTACAACCATGCCCGACTAATTTTTGTATTTTTAGTAGAGACAGGTTTCACCATGTTGGCCAGGCTGGCCTTGAAGTCCCAATCTCAAGCGACCCACCCACCTCGGCCTCCCAAAGTACTGGGATTTCAGGTGTGAGCCACCACACCCAGCTGATTACTTCTTATATTTTATTTTTGCAAAGGCAGTAAATCCTGTAAATCTTTTTAGTCAGTCATATTTTTTGAGTTCCACTCATTTAACCAATGAAGAGGACTTCTAATGTTGTGAAAAGAATGGTTAGCAGCAGTCCTGCAATTTATCCCTTTCCCTTGGATAAGGTTGCTGGGATGCCTCTGGGAAAGGAAGAAGGAAGCCAATCTGATTAAGTCTCTTGTAAACATGTTTGTAACAGGCCTCCTGGAAAACCACTGACTGGTGGTTAGCTACCAATAGTAGCTAACAGGAGAGTCCTTACCTATGGAAGGATTTTTAGCAGGATGTATTTGGTCTTTATAGGATTGCTTATGGTAAGTATCTTCGTTCTTTCAGGCTGCTACAACAAATTTCCATAGACTGGGTGGATTAAGCAACAAAAATTTTTCCTCACAGTTCTGGAGGCTGGGAAGTTCAAGATCAAGGTACCAGCAGGTCCTGTGTCTGGTGAGGATCTGCTCTCTAGTCTGGTGAGGACCTGCCTTCTGGTTTGCAGAAGGTTATATTCTTCTTGTATCCTTACCAGTGTAGAGCAGAGAGAGGAAGCAAGCTCTCATGTCTCTTTTTATAAGGGCACTGATTACATTCATGAAGGCTCCACCCTCATGACCCAATTACCTCCCCAAAGCCCTATCTCCTAAAACCATAACATTGAGGGTTAGGATTTCAACATATGAATTTGGTGGGGGACACAAACATTTGGTCCACAACAGTAAAAAAAACCAAAAAAACAAACAAAAAAAACACTTGAGATCTATGGATTTATGTCACAGGACTACCTGGAAAGTATCGTGTAGGCTATGTAAATATTTAAGTATAAAATTGGAGATGTTTTATGACCACAGCAGATCCCTTTTGTGTGAGTGATGCAGCTGCATGGAATTCCTCAAAGTGCATGCTGATGTAGCAAGAGTGGACCTGGGGAGCTATGCCCGGTGTCCAGACTTCTCTTTGCTTTATCTGTGCCTCACAATTACTTGCATCCTTGGACTTATTAGTAAATCTTGGTACTGGTTAAGACCTCTGATCCTTGTGAGTCTTATTTGGCAGTATAACACTTTGTGCATCTCTTATCCCTTATGCTAACTAGTGTACTCCTGGTATAAATACAGATGAAAACACCTGAACAAGGCCTTACTTTCCTCTGGAGTATGGATTTATGATTAGATGATTCAAATGTTATTCAATAACTCTTGGGTATAAAGTTAATTTGTATATACGTGTACACCATGCTGTTCATACTGAGATATTTTAATGCATATTACAGACAATATAACATGAACAAAACAGGATTATGTCTTCTATGATTTCTAGTGATGGTTATTAACAGCAACAATAGCACTAACTATAACTATCAATTGTTTTGTGATGGTTGTGTGCTGATCACTTTGCATATATTAGTGGTAGCTCAGTAAACTTGTAAGGTCTCTGTTCTCATTTTACAGGTAAGAAAACTGAGTATTAAAGAGGTTAAGTAACTTATGCAATGTCACATCACTCTGTGACCTCAAGCCTGATATATCTAAAGCCTTTGGATCTGCCACAAACCCAACTGTTCTCAATTGTGAAACAAAGGACTAAAATGGATGGGAACTTAGGCTCTCTGTAGTTTTAATGCTATGGTGGCTTTATGACAAAAGTTTCCAAAAAGTTTATGGAACTGCTTTTACAAACTCAGAGGCAACTGGAGACAAAGGCTAGTGGGCTCCCTGGGGGCTGGTAGGGTGGGATGCGGAGGGCAGGCCTCCCAGCTCCAGGATGATTCAGAGCCTTCTACGTTAGCCTTCATGTAGGGGACATGTAGAAGCAGCATAAAACACAGTTCCCTTCTCAAGGAACTTACACTGGGCGGAGAGGGGGTAAGATATATGCAGAAAGCAATATTGGCTGATTCAGACTGTTGAGAATGATGGGCGTCATTGTGTGGCGCATCCTATAAGTGCACCAGGACTTCGGAGCTGGGAATGTGAGAATAGGAAAGTTCATGAAGAAGAGCCAGACTTTGGAGAAGGTCATGGGTCCCAATCTGGCTGTGATGCTGGACTCACAGTGCAACAGTGGCCTCCCTAACAGCAGTGATGCCCTATTGAGTGCTTGCTACCTGGGTTCCAGTTAGGCCCTCCACACACATTTTATTGCAAGTCCTCTGAGCCACACTGCAAAGTAGATGTCATTATCTCTATTTTATAGTCGAGGCTCAGCCAGATTTAGTGACCTGCCCATTATCATATGGGAATTAATCAGTAGGGTTTATACTTGAACCTGAGTCTATGTCAAACCTCAGCTTATACCTATTCCACGATTCCAGTGGTTCTCAGAATGTGAACCGGGACCAGCAACATCAGCCTCATACAGGAACTAATTGGAAATGCAAATTCCCGGTCCTAATTCAGACCTCGGACCTCTTGACTTAGAAACTCTGGGGGTGGGCCAGCAATACACGTTTCAGTAAGCCCTCCAGGCGATTCTGATGTACCCTAAAGTTTTAGAATCACTGCACCAGACCATCAGCTTCTGTTTCTTATCTACAAATGGGGGCAATAATCCCCCTTCACAGTGCTGTGGTAAGGATTACGTGAGACAATGTGTGGGAAACATCTAGCTTGGTGCCTGGCTTGTAGGAGGAAGGACGGACAGTGGCTGTTCCCTTCCTACCATAAGAATATGAAGTGCCATCTTTTTTTAGCTAGCACCGTATCTGGAGGATAGTAGGTAGAAGGTTGAGTGAGGACAGACATTTTCAGGGGAAAGGGTGGAGCATTTCAGATGACGGGAATCACACAGCCACCAGCTGTTACTAGCAGGGCACAGACTTGTTCTTCCATCATCTTCAAATTTCTTCCTTCTTTTTTGTCTGTCTGAGATTATAACAATCATTATTATTGGTGAGACACCTGTTCAGTGTAATGTACCTGGAGTTCACTACAATTGGCAAATGAACAGTTCCTTGTAATTGGCTCATAAGTATGATAAGATGTAGACAGCCATAGTTAAAATGTTTTCAGTTCATGCGTGCCATTAGTGGGAGCTCATTAGAGACATGAACGAAGAGAAAATGTAAATAAAGAATCCTGCTTTCGGTAATCACACCTGTACATCTAACTCCCTGGTCCCAGGGTTCAGCTGAAAGAAAATCTCTTTGTGCTCACAGCCTGCTGGCCTACCTGCTCTCTGCAGCCTCATTTTCGCGGGTCTCAGACTGTCTTGTCTCTGTTGAGCTGCAGCCGGGTTGGGGATGTGGCTTACAGTCTGTGGTGGACAACACTGTCTCCATGGCTGTGGGCCCCAGGCAGGACCCCTCCTTAGCATTTAGCACAGGCCAGGGAGGGGCATGGCAGCGAACCCTTGTTCCTGATGCCTCTTGGAAGCACGGTAGTAACCTGAGTGTGTCCACTGAGTGACTTAGGTTCCGTGACATGGAGTTCTTGCAGGTTTTACCCCCCTTGCAAAATTAAAGGTAAGTGTATCAGATAGCCAAAATTATATTTAAATGATATACTTAATGCATAATCAACAAACTCCATGTCAGGCTCTATTTTGGGGCATTCTTTGATTTTAGCAATTTTCTAACCAAGCAGTATTACCGAGACCAGCTCTATACATCGGCAACTCAAGTTACTTCACAGCATGTGTGATTTGAGGCACTAAGAAATACATCTCTCTCATATTTAAAAAGCCCCCTAAAAAGAAAACAATATGGAATTAACAGCCAAAAGCCCCAACAAATCCCCATTAAGTAGGGTGGTAGATGCTTGAAATCCCACCATTTTTGCATTCTGCCTGAGGATGCAGGTATTGTCTGTCTAAATTTGAGATGCAGAATTATTAAACCAGTATCAGTCTCCTGCATGTGTGTTTCAATTTAAAAAAAAATCTGCTTAGTAACTCCTAGAGTGGTGGACCCTAAGTAGTTTGACTTGGGGATTGCTGAAGTGGGGCTGGGCCCAAATTCCTGGGGAGCTGCTGGGGGCTGAAAGGGAGGTGCTGGCCCTGCAGACCACCTTTACCTGGCAGGTGTTTTCCTAAGAACCAGCACAAATTGGCCTCCCCCTGCTGTGGATCAGATGGGTGGAGACCAGGCAGGTGATATGGGCTTCCATTCCCTGCAGCTCCCAGATGCTGGTTGCTGATAAATTGCTTCTTAAGGAGTCACTCTGCATTTCTTCTTTCCTGATATTACAATACAGAGACAGAGATATATCTCAATGCAAGCTGATGGGAAAATGGGGATTTGTAAGGAATTACCTGAGATGGATATGAGTTTATTTATGGGCTCTGTACTTTCTGCAGGCACTGCACTAGGGGCTGGGCATTCCAAGACTAAGCAGGTCGACTCTCAGGTCTCACAGCTCAGGACAGTGCTGGCCAGACTTTTTTTCATCATTGCTCCCTACAGAGACTTAGGCTTCCTTTCCTAATCCCCTCACTCCATCATGAAATTTTAATACCATGGGTTTACTAGATATCTGTTTATGTACTGTATAGTTAGTACCTGTCTATCTATCTATTTTCCATCCATTTATTTATTTTTTTTTGAGATGGAGTGTCACTCTGTCACCAAGGCTGGAGTGCAGTGGCACTATCTTGGCTCACTGCAACCTCCACCTCCCGGGTTCAAGTGATTCTCCTGCCTCAGCCTCCAGAGTAGTTGGGATTATGGGCGCGTGCCTCCTTGCCTGGCTGATTTTTGTATTTTTAGTAGAGACGGGGTTTCATCATGTTGGCCAGGCTGGTCTTGAACTCCTGACCTCATGATCCACCTGCCTCAGCCTCCCAGAGTGCTGGGATTACAGGTGTGAGCCGCTGAGCCTGGCCCATTTATTTATCTGTTTATATATCCATCTATCTCTCTATATATTTTATACATAAAATGAATAAATTTTTTACCCCCTCTTCCAATCATCCCTGTTGAAATGCATGGATAGTCTGGATAAAGAGACAGACATGTAGATGGGAAAATGATAAAGATTCACAGAGAGTGAAAAAATAATAACAGCTCTCCCTATGTAGCGCTCACTCTGTGCTGGGTGCCCTTCCCAGTATTTTACAAGTATTAACAAATCCTCACAGCAGCCCTGCTTGTGAGCTACTTAGTAGATGGGAATAATGGCACAAAGAGTTAAGTAACTTGTCCATGGAGGCGCCTGCAGTTGATGTTTTAATCATAGAAGTCCAGGACTTTGGTTAACCCTCCCGTGTTTGGTGACCTTGTCCCAGCACTTCAGGCCAATGCATATCTCTTTTCTTTAACTTTCAGAGAAGCAGATTCTTCAGAGTCCACCTCCCTGCCTCCCCAGGGAGGACCACACTGAGTCCATGTGATGGGAACCAATGTCTTGTGCGTGCCATGGAGGGGCGGCAGCTGCTCCTCTACCCTAGCACTGAGGACAGAGTGGGGGCTCTCTGCAGTCAACGGAGTTAAATTCCGGCCTCTACATAACTGTCTTCTGTTATGCATTCTAGAAGAACCACCTCAAAAGTGGAGCTAGCAGAGGTCTGATTAAAGACGTCTTCCATAAGTAGAATGAGCAAGAGCTCTATAAGGTGTAGGATGGAGTCTCTCAGGCCCCCTCCGTACCTTCTTGTCAAATCTCCTGGGCCACATGTTTTGTCACAAGCTGCAGAGTCTGACTGGTAGCTGAAGCTACCTGGAGGGCAACATTTCACCTCCCTAGGTATAAGGAAGGACCTAGCTCCAAGTGGGTTCCCTGCCTTTGACTATGGTCCCTGAGATGGCTTGAAACCTCGCTCCTCCAGAAGGGACCCTTCTAGTATTCTCTTCCTTGGCATTGGAGAGCTGCTTGCTAAGGTTTAAGAGGTTTGATTTTAAAAGGCATATATTGAATTCCTCTCAAGTGCTAGGCCCTGCGCACAGCATCCCCAGGGTCCCTGTGGACCACACGAAAAGGCCTGTGTGGGGTTTTAACCAGCTGATCTAACTCTTGTAATTGTGAGCTTTAAAGTAGACTCTACTGAAAGATAAGGAAATCTATTTTATTTACAAAGACTTAATAATTTGTACTCCAATCACAAAGTCTGGGTGGGTGCATTCTCCCTGAGAACTGAACCAGTCTCCCCATGTTAAATAATGCAGGGAACAAACACACTTTCCTGTCCTTGTGCTAAACAGTTCTGGGAAGAATTGAGAACGTTTTTATACCTGATTTTATACCAAACAATCTTGGGACCAGAGAGAAATAGCTTAGCTGCTTCCTCCAGGAAATACCTGTTCCTGGAAGATAAGACTGTGAACCAAGATTAACAGCTTTCTCATCAATGCGGCTTTGAGACCCTCACCTCACCATGCCCATCAATCTCCAGCTGCTGTGTCAAAACTCTGCTCCATCCCAATCAGTTCTCCACCTTGTAATTCTTGCCATAAAATCAACCAGCCTTGGCCTTAAAATCTTATAAATACTCTTCCCTGATTTTCCCTTTGAGACACCACTGAGACCATCAAGGTGGTGTCTCCCTTGCTTTGTTGAGTTGGATCCACGTAGTTCTGCCTGATGGGTTTTCCTGGTGGGCATTAGGGGATTGACAGCTGACATCCCTGCTCTATTTGACTCTGTTAGTGAGCCCCTCTTGACCTCTCTGACCCAAGAGCTGTTCTCTGGGCAGTGTGAACAGCTTCATCTGCACATGTGCGTGGGAATGCAATTAGGGGTCAGGGAAATCCCCATCAGAGCATGGGAGCTCACCTGATCCTGGAACACTCTGCCAGACAGCCCATGGCTCACTCCTTCACCCCTTCCTCTTGACTCAAATGTGACCTTCTCAGGGAGGCCTATCCAGACCTCCCTTTTAAAAACAGAAAATCCAGGCTGGGCATGGTGGCTCATGCCTATAATCCAGTACTTTGGGAGGCTGAGGTGGGAGGATCACTTGAGCCTGGGAGTTCATTCTGGACAATATGGTGAGACCCAGACTGTATTAAAAAAAAATTAGCCTGGTATGGTGGCATGTGCCTGTGGTCCCAGCTATTTGGGAGGCTGAGGTGGTAGGATTGCTTGAGGCCAGGAAGTTGAGGCTGCACACTCTAGCCTGGGTGAAAGAATGAGACCCTGTCTCAAACAAACAAACAAAAAACAGCAACAACAAAAACCAGAAAGCAAAACGAAACAACAAACCCACAAAAACAAAAAATACTGAAAAATCGCCACCCACTCACATAACTTTAGTATGCCCTGTCTTCCTTAGATTGATCTACTTTATTTTCATTATATTTTAATTATTTATTTATATTTATTTACTTTTTTAGAGACAGGGTTTCACTTTGTCTCCTAGGCTGCAGTGCAGAGGTGTGATCATAGGTCACAGCAGCCTTGAACTCCTGGGCTCAAGGAATCCTCCCGCCTCAGCCTCCCAAGTAGCTGGGACTACAGGTATGTTCCACCATGCCAGGCTAATTTTTAAAAAAGTTTTAGAGAGATGATGTCTCACCATCTTGCCCAGGTTGGGTTCCAGCTCCTGGGGTTAAGTGATCCTCTTTCTGTGGCCTCCCAAAGTGCTGGGATTACAGGCATGAGCCACCACTCCCAGCGTATATGTATGTGTGTGTGTGTGTGTGTGTGTGTGTGTGTGTGTGTGTGTGTATATATATATATATATATTTTTTTTTTTTTTTTTTTTTTTTTTAGACAGAGTCTCCTGTGTCACCCAGGCTGGAATGCAATGGCATGATCTCAGCTCACTGCAACCTCTGCCTCCCGGGTTCAAACAATTCTCCTGCCTCAATCTCCCGAGTAGCTGGGATTACAGGCACCTGCCATCATGCCTGGCTAATTTTTGTATTTTTTTTTTTTTTTTTTTTTTGAGACAGAGTCTTGCTCTTTCGCCCAGGCTGGAGTGCAGTGGCGCGATCTCTGCTCACTGCAAGCTCCGCCTCCCGGGTTCATGCCATTCTCCTGCCTCAGCCTCCCAAGTAGCTGGGATTACAGGTGCCTGCCACCACGCCCGGCTAATTTTTTGTATTTTCAGTAGAGACGGGGTTTCACCGTGTTAGCCAGGCTGGTGTCAAACTCCTGACCTCAGGTGATTCACCTGCCTCAGCCTCTCAAAGTGCTGGGATTACAGGCATGAGCCACCGTGCCTGGCCACCCATTATATTTTTAATGGAAATGAAAATATTATTGGTGGTGGTGCTCCCTCTCAAAGACATAGCCACTCAGTTTCTCAGTTAGTAGTTTGAAATACCAGACAAACATTAAAATTAACCAGGCAGTTCCAAAAATACAGATGACTGGGCGTGACTTACAGAGATTCTAGTTTGGTGGACTTGGGTGGGATGGAGAACGATTATGTGTGTGTGTGTGTGTGTGTGTGTGTGTGTGTGTGTGTATAGCTATGTATGTGATGAAGCTGCGCAGCTGACTGACCTACCTACAAGTAACCAACAACAAAGACAAGTACAGTCTGCATGGAGCAGAGCCATCATAAAAATGCACACCCCTTGATCTAGTTATTTCACTTCTAGGAGTTTATTCAAAGGAGAAAATCCCACAGGTACATGAAATTCTGTTCAACTAGAGTGTTCATTAAGTTTTGCTTATAAAGGGAAATCTAAGACTGAAAAACAATATATTAATATTTGTCAGAGACCTACACATTTACATTTCCTTCGTTTCAGATAGAATCAAATTTACCAACAAACATGTACCTCTATCCCAATGACGGCTTGCTGATGACAAAAACTGGAAACACCTTAGTGCTCACAATTAGGTTGGTTCAGTAGAAAGGAACTGCCTCCATGAATGATACACCACTCCATCGTCTAAATGATGATAGAGATGAATATTTAACGGTGAGGGAACAATCTTCATGCTGTATTTTTTTTTTCTTGTTTTTTGAGATGGAGTCTCACTCTGTCATCCAGGCTGGAGTGCAGTGATGCCATCCCACCTCTCAGGTTCAAGTGATTCTCCTGCCTCAGCCTCCTGAGTAGCTGGGATTACAGGCACCTGCCACCACGTCCAGCTAATTTTTGTATTTTTAGTAGAGACGGGGTTTCATCCTGTTGGCTAGGCTGGTCTCGAACTCCTGATCTCTGGTGATCCGTCTGTCTCGGCCTCCCAAAGTGGTGAGATTACAGTTGTGAGCCACCGTGCCTGGCCCTTCATGCTGTATTAAGTGAATAAAAATATAACTCAACTCACCAAGTATTTATTATTTATTGTGTGTAGCCCAGGTTCTGTTCTAGGCTCTGGGAACACCTCGGTGAACACAGAAGTCAAAAGCCCTGACTGCATCATGAGGCTTACATTCCAGTGTGGGGAGAAAGCTGACCTTATGGTGTGTTCGAAGGTTAAACATATTATGGAAAAAAGTAGATAAGTCTAAGGAAGAGAGGCCATATTAAGGGTGTGTGTTTGGATGGGTGGGGGATTTTCAGTGTTAGAAAGGGAGGTCTGGATGGGCCTCACTGAGAAGGCTGTGTGTGAGTCAAGAGTAAGGGGTGATGGAGTGAGTTATGGGCTGTCAGCAGTGTTGCAGGCAGAAGGAACAGCAGTGCAGAGCCGCTGGGGTGCAGAGTCCCTGGCACAGACAAGGACTTTAAGAAGCCGTGGCAGGGCTGCAGTGGGGCGAAGGGAGGAGGAGCGAGGTCAAAGAGATAAGAGGTGTACGGCTCACAGGGGTTCCTATTGGCTATTGCAGGGGATTTGGCTCTTACTCTGAGGGAAAAGGGGAGCCACTGCAGGGTTTTAAGTAGAGGAGCGACATAGTTACTTATGTTCTAAAATGATCATTCTGAAAGCTGTGTTTAGAATATTCTGTAGCTGCACTGTCTACTTTGGTGGCCACTTGCCACTTGTGGCTACTGAGCACTTGGGTTGTGGCAAAGCCGGAGCTGAGATGTGCCATCAGTGTGAAATACACACTGGCTTTGTATTATAAACACTTAGTGTGAAAAAATGTAGAACATGTTACTGATTTTTATACTGATTGCATGTTGAAATGGTAATATTTTGGATATATTGGATTAAATAAAGAATATTGTTAAAATTAATTAATTTAAGTTTTTCCCCCTTTTTAATGTGGCTACTAGGATTTTCTTTAATGTTTTAATTTTTAATTTTTTATAGCTTTCCAGAAGCAATTTGAGGCTAGAAAATTTTAAATTACATATGTGGCAGCATTCTATTTCCACTGGACAGCTATAATCTGTAGAGGACACTTGGGGAGGTGACCTGCAATTGTACAGAGAGGAATGGTAGTGGTTTGGGCAAGGGTAATAGTGGTTAAGGGGAGATTTGAGGTAGGATTTATCTGGATGTATTTTGAATCAAGAAATGATGATGATTTTTTTTTTGGATGGATTGAATGGGTGAAAGATAAAGATGAAGCCAGGATGATTCCAAGGTTTTGGACTGAGCACCTGGAAGGATTGAGTTGGGAAAGATCGGGACGTTAAATGTGAGAAGTGCACCACAGAGCCAAGTGGAGGTGTTTTGTAGAGAGTTACAGAGGCAAGTCTGGAGTTCAGGGGAGAGGTCAAGGCTGGGGACATAACCTGGGGAGAGAGCATGGAGACCTATTTAAAGCCATGGGTCTGGATGAGGAGCCTGAGAGAAGAGAAGAGAACCGAGGACTGAGACCTGGGTTCGCCCCTCCAATTTCGGGAGGCTGGGAGAAGAGCAGAAACCACAGAGGAAGTGGAGAGAGGTCCAGTGAGGTAGGAGGAAACCGGAGAGGCTGATGTCCTGGAAGTGGGGTGAAGAAAGTGCCTCCAAGAGGCAGGAGAGGGAAATTGAGGCAAATGCCTTCAAGAAGGTAGTTAGGAAGAAGGCTGAGATTCGGCCCTCAGACTGAGCAGCATGGAGGCCACGGGTGATCTTGACAAGAGCCCTTTGGGGGAAGGTAGTGGTAAAAAACCTGACTGGAGGAGTGGCTTGAGGAAGAGCAACCTCTCAGAAATTTGAGAGAGTGAGTACTGCATTTTTTTCCCAAAGAGTATGAGTATAAAGGGAGAAAGAGGAATGTGAAGATAGAATTAGGATTAGGTCATACACCAAAATGTCAGCAATTGGCCAGGCACGGTGGCTCACACCTGTAATCCCAGCACTTTGGGAGGCTGAGGCTGGCGGATCACCTGAGGTCAGGAGTTCAAGACCAGCCTGGCCAACATGGTGAAACCCCATCTCTACTAAACATACAAAAATTAGCCAGGTGTGGTGGCACATGCCTGTAATCCCAGCTAACCCCAGCTACTCAGGAGGCTGAGACAGGAGAATCGCTTGAACCTAGGAGGCCGGGGTGGCAGTGAGCCGAGATCACGCCACTGCACTCCAGCCTGAGCAGCAGAGTGAGACTGCATCGCAAACAAAACAAAACCAAACCAAAGAAACAAAAATGAAAACAGAAAGTCAGCAATTGGACCCCTGGGATTATAAATGTTATTTTTTGAAAAAAATTATTGTTTTTTTTTGCTGTAATGTTTTAAAATTACTTTAATATTTCAAAGAACGAGTTTGAACAAAATTTAAACAAAAAGTTATAAAGCCAACAGTGGAGTTAGTACAACTTCTTGTTAGCCAAACCCTCCAACTAGCTTAGCTCTTGAACAGAGAATAAACTGGGTTGGAAGGTTCCTCAGGGATGCTTTCAAATTTTCCTTAAAATGTGTGGTCATGTCTCTTTACCTAAGATGAGATGCAATATTTATTTCTCCTTAAATTACTAGGATCCATTTCCTACTGGCCTGTCTCTAGAAGAGACCTGAACTAATTGATCCACCACCCGTCGATGAAGGGCTTTTAAAAGGATCTTCTTACTCTTGAGTCTCTTAGAATGAAAGTCAAGAAGTTGACTAAATCAGGATTACTTCCTCACGACTGGTATTTTGGAAAGTATTTGGTGCAGCAAGTGTTTTTACTTGAGGAGTGCTTATTATTAACAGTAAAATAGTGGTAAGCGACTATTCACTGAAGTGTTCACCAGGTGCCAGATTCCATGTGAAGGGCTTTACATACCTTTGTTCATATAATCAGCACAACAACCCTATGAGTTAGATGTTATTACTTGCATTTTAATGGCTAAGGCAGCTAAAGCTCAGAAGTCACACAAGTAGTGTGTGGCAAATCACGGACTCCAGCCAGGCTTGTCTGATCAAAACTTGATTCCTGTCCACTCTCAGGAGTGTGCCATACCAGGCGAAAGCTCCCTCCTGCTCCAGGCCCTGCAGATTGCTTTCTAAGGCAGGGAGAGAGGCAGTGCAGGGGCAAGGCCCTATGGCGCCTCTTGGAAGGTTTCCACCAAGGCTTCAGAATGAACAAAGATGAATTTTATTACTGAAAGAGGAGCTTTTCCTACATTCTGAGCTTAAAAACTAGTCAAGAAACCTAAGCAGTAACGTCTGTAACCCTGGCCTATGATAGGTTTTTGGCAGAACCAGACTCTAGTGTTCCTGTGGGTGGGTCAGAGCCCATTTATCTCTATAGCAGAGGTAGTTACATTACAGTGATGAGAGAAGTGGTCTGAAACTCATCCTGATCATTTATCCACAAATTGCTGCAGTGGTCATTTTATTCCCCAAATAAAGGACCCTTGTACAATTGAATTCCATTATATGTCCTTTGTTATTACATGAACTTGACTATTTGGCCAACCAGTAGCATCTCCATAGAGTATAAACATTTTTTACAGTGAACTCAATAAATACAACAGACACTTCCTCTAGCCTTGATTTTTCATTATGAAGGGGCATAATAATAGCAACCCTCATAGGGTTGGAGCTATTGTCACTGCTTAGCACATTGACTAGCCCATATTAAAGGCTCAGTAAATGTTAGCTGACATTAATAATAAATTCATATTAGAAGACTACATAATTAGCATATCAAACACCATCCTGAACATCATACACTGCTTCTTTAGCTGAAATGACATTCTTCATAGGCAAATTGTGCTTCTAGGATGTTTAATAGTTTTATTCTCTTAAGTAGGTAAATATTCTTTCTATAATTTCATTTACTCTGTAAGATGAGCCAGTAAGTTGTTTTGTCCCTAGATAGAGGCATTGATTTTGCATGCCTGAGTTCATGTGAACTCAAAATTAATGAAGAAAATCTGAATTGACAAAAAACTACTGTATGTTGCAGATTGCAAATTTACTTAGCCAGATGTGTATAGTTTTTTTTATGTTGTCAACAAATAATCTAGTTTTTCTCTAACTTATAAGTTCTTCAAAGTTTAAAACAGTTTGACTTGATTAAATTGTTAGGTAATACATTCAAATATTTTAGGAAAAAAAGCGCGGTCTTTTTTATTTTTTTATTTTTTTATTTTGAGAAGGAGTCGTTTGCTCTGTCACCCAGGCTGGAGTGCAGTGGTGCGATCTTGGCTCACTACAACCTCCGACTCCTGGGTTCAAGCAATTCTTCTGTCTCAGCCTCCCAAGTAGCTGGGACTACAGGTGCATGCCACCATGCCCAGCTAATTTTTGTTTCTTTAGTAGAGATGGGGTTTCACCATACTGGTCAGGCTGGTCTGGAACTCCTGACCTTAGGTCATCCACCCATCTTGGCCTTCCAAAGTGCTGGGGTTACAGGTGTGAGCCACTGTGCCCGGCCCAAGCGCAGTCTTTTTATCTCCACTCTCTTCCCCTCCCCTCTCTTCTCCAAGGTGGCATCTGTATCCCGGGGTGAAGGAAGGAGAGGGACTCTTGGATGGGCATTTGAGGTGGCAGCTTCCAAGAGTCCCTCATGGTGAGTAGGAGTGGCCCTCCGGCCTTGGGGGTCCGTGCCCTTCATCTGACACAATCCCTTACATTGCGGCCCTTATCAGCACGTCTCTGCTTCCTCTTTCCGTAATTCCCTGGCTGGGAGGGGTGGGCTTTCCCTTCCTTTTTCAGTTGCATCTCTCCCTTGTAGAAAAGGACTTAGACTCTGGTCTCCCAGCCCTGGTCCTTGATGCATCACATAGATTCTAAAGACACTTAGCAAATCCTTTCTGGTTTTTGCAATGTCTGACCTTCTAGCCTACTGTCTTCTTAAAGAGGTCATGGTCTAGCTGTCTTCTGCCCTGGAGCAATACGCCACATTCCAGGAAATAGGAGGTTGCATGTGGAAAAAGAGGAGGTGGGGTTAAAATGCCTTGATTTAATATTGGCAAAATATTATCCCTGTAGCTGTGTTTTGGAAATGAGTGCAAACCTGGCCGTCTAAATGGCCACGTTAACTTGGGTAACTGCCATATGTAAATAACATGCAGAAGTGGAAAGATGGACCAGATGGTTAATAACAGATGTGGTGATTGAGTGCTGGAGGAATTAATGGTGAATAATGACTAGAATGCTAACTGATAGTATTTCTAACACCAGGAGTGACAGACAGTGAACAAACTTGGTAATAATTAGAAAAGAAAGAACAACAAGAGGGTATGTCAAAGTTTGTGTTAACTGAAGTTCCCATATGGATCCAAGATTGCGGCAGTGATGATTTCTGCAACACGAGGACCATCTGTTTCCTCATAGCAGCATCATTTAACAGTGAAAGGACAGGGCCTCAGCCTTAAATTCGGGGAAAACAAGTAGCTAGAACCAATGAGAAGGGAAATGTTGATGTTAATATATGAGTTTATTTTCTGTTATTCAGATAGACTCGTACTCCAACTTCTCTACTCTCTTTATTCATACAACTCTGGTACCTTCTTCCCTCTTTTCCTTTCCCTCCCTGTTTCTTTTCCTTCCTTCTTTTTTCCCTTTCTGCCTCTTTCCCTTCTTCTTCTTTTATTTTTTTTTTTTTGAGCTGGAGTCTCACTCTGTCACCCAGGCTGGAGTGCAGTGGCATGATCTCAGCTCACTGCTACCTCTGCCTCCTGGGTTCAAGTGATTCTTGTGCCTCAGCCTCCCGAGTAGCTGGGACTAGAGGCATGTGCCACCAGGCGTAGCTAATTTTTGTATTTTTAGTAGAGACAGGGTTTCGCCACGTGGGCCAGACTGGTTTCGAACCCCTGACCTCAGGTGATCTGCCCACCTCAGCCTCCCAAAGTGTTGGGATTACAGGTGTGAGCCGCCACACCTTGCCTCTCTCTTCCTCCTCCTCCTTCTTCTTCTTCTTCTTCTTCGTCTTTAAAAAAATCTGTCTTCTTCTGTCATTCAGTTACAAACCCACTGACTGCTCCAGCCCCACCAATCACTTTTCCTTTGGAATTCTTATTCCAGGCAGCCAGCACAATACAAGTTAGCATTTGACTTAATAGTGCTATATTCTGTCTTGTTAACAAAATTATTTCTTGTATATTAGAGCCATCTTCTCAATGGGATTATATATGCTCCCATGGAAGAGAATCTAGACATTTGCTGCTCTGTACTTACTGTCCTTCATTAGTGAATGTTAGCTTTATGACAGACTAATAATTATGAGAAAAACAGTAATAGTTATTTTATCAATAGTGTGGTCTGAATAGTCGAGTGTAGAGATTTGCTTTTGGTTTTGTTTAATGCCTGTTTGAAGAGCTTCCTGATGAAATGGGATGTGCTTGGCATTGTGCTTGGAGTTGTCATTGTCATTCTCATCATCCTCATCCTCATCCTCATCACCATGTCACAATAAACACTGCTTCCAGTTAATATTCACCCCTTCTTATGTGCCAATTATGTTATTTAATTCTCAAAATAGTCTTAATGACATACTCTGAAGGTAAAACCAAACTGTGTTTTTTCCTACCCTCACACAACAGCACTCAGCTCTGGTCACCAAAATGTGTGTGGGAATTTCTCCCTACCAATAACCAATTCTCTAATTTAATTCCGACGCCATCTACCTGGAGACAGCGTCATGTCCCACAGGTTATAGGCTCATTCCCACAAGACTGACCCCACTTCAGATGCCAACCACAAGTCCCGAGTTGTAATCTGTGCTTCTGACTCAATGACTGTAAATGGAGGGTTCCCAGCACCCCCACCTTGGGTTTGATTAATTTGCTAGAGTGGCTCACAGAACTCAGGGAAACACTTACTTACATTTACTCATTTATCATAAAATATACTACAAAGGATACAGATGAACAGCTGGATTCTAAAGACACTTTAGCAAATCCTTAGATTTGCAAGGTAAATCTAAGGATTTGTAGGGTGAGGTAAGAGGGAAGGGGCGCAGAGCTTCCATTCCCTCTCCAGGCACAGCACCCTCCAGGAACCTCTGTGAGTTCAGCAACTGGAAAGCCCTCTGACCCTGTCCTTTCCCATTTTTATGGAGGCTTCATTATGCTGGCATGACTGATGACATCATTGGCCATTGGTGATCAATCTCTAGCCCCTGTCTCCTCCTCAGAGGTTGGAGAGTGGGGTGAATGCCCCAATCCTCCACTCATGGTTTGGTCTTTTTGGTGATCAGTCCCCATCCTGAAGCTTTCTAGGGGCCCCCAGATGTCATTCATCTTATTAGCATACAAAAGGCACTCTTATTACTACAGAAATTTCAAGGGTTTTAGGAGCTGTGTGCCAGGATTGAGGGGCAGGATCAAATTTTTTATTATTATATCACAATATCACACATAGATATCACTTCTCCCATTTTGTAAATGAGAAAACAGGTGTCTAGAGAACTTACTAACTCCATTTATTGTAATTGACTTATTCAACAGTAATAGAGCACCAATTATGTCTCAAAAATATTTTGAAGTTCTACAAATATCTTATTTCATTCTCAAGACAATCTTAAATGAGGTGAGGTTTCATTGTCCTCATTGCACAGATTAGAAAACTAAGAATCCTGGAGAATTTAGTAACTTAACTACTGTTTCATGCAAGTCTGCACACTAAAAGAATGGCGGAATTCAGTGAGTGAACTCGGTTCTGATTGACTTTGTATCCTGATGCTGCCCTAAGATGCTGGCAAGAGTAACCGTACCCCATGCTCCATGCTTACCGCATACGAGAGGGCCTTGTAAATTCCTTGCAAATCAGAAACACACAACACAGATTTGGGAACACATGGACTCCTCTGCCTCCTGGAACTTAGCAGGGGCACAGAGTGACTTGTCTCCTTAAACATCCACTGTGTGACTAATACTGTTCCAGCCCCAGGGAAACATTTCTTCACATCTCTTCCTATTTCCTCAGAATAAAAGACAACTGTGTTGGAAGATTGCCAAGGTTTGTAGCTGTGCCACCGCAGACTTCAGAGATGAACACTGCCTTGGAGACGAGGAGGATTCAAGTTGCAGAAGCATTTAGGTAAAAGAAAAGATAAGCTAATTAAGTTGTCAAAATTTTCCTTGAAGAAAGACTAATTAAATTGCCAGATTCTCTCTCTCAGAACACGTGAAGACTGTAGAGTCTTGCAAAACAGAGTATCATTATCCACTAGTGCTAACATTCATTTTCCTACTTCATTTCACGTTCCAGTTGGAAGTACTCACCAGTTAGGTCCATAGTCACAAACATTGCACTGATGGCTGGGGAACATTTTGCAAAATTGTATGTCTGTAAGTCTAGACACAACACCATGAAGCATGGTACCCACTCATCATGTTGACATTTAGGAGGACAGTGAATGCCAGAATCATGAATAGTTTTATGTTTAGATAACCAATTTAAAAGATTTAAACTTTCAAAAACTTAAAAAGAGCTTTTACAAAATACATTTGATTTTAAAAGTTGATCATAATTATAACTTTACTTTGCCTTTAACTTTGTTGCATAATTTAGACTATTTTTGAAAAAAAACTTTTTGTAAAATTTAAGAAAAATAATTTTAATTTTTCATTGACACCTTTGAAGGAACTTTTAAATTTTGTATTCAAATTTTTTTTTTTTTTGGTTGAGATGGGGTTTCACTCTTGTTGCCCAGGCTGGAGTGCAATGGCGTGATATTGGCTCACCGCAACCTCTGCCTCCTGGGTTCAAGTGATTCTCCTGCCTCAGCCTCCCGAGTAGCTGGGATTACAGGCACGCACCACCACGCCCAGCTAATTTTTGTATTTTTAGTAGAGATGGGGTTTCACCATGTTGGCCAGGGTGATCTCAATCTCCTGACCTCGTGATCTGCCTGCCTCAGCCTCCCAAAGTGCTGGGATTACAGGCGTGAGCCACCGCGCCTGGCCCCATTTTGTTTTTTAATCTCTAATATCATTACTGACAATAGAACACAAATTATGGTTAAACTTTTAACATAATTTATGATTTTAATAAAATGAAGTAAGGGATAAAAACTTTCATGGAATAAACATGTAATAATATATTAATTAACTATTTTTTTATCATCACCCATCCAAACATTACCTACTCATCAGTAGAATACCCAGGAAGGCACAATCACTGCACTCAGCTGTCTTTGGCATCTTGCTAGTTTTAGTAACATAAAAGCCATAAGGTTACACATTTTGAAAGTTTGTTGCAGAGAAAGGTGTATTTGTCAAGAGAGGAGGATAGAATGTACTTGATCAGGCAGTTTGTGAGCTTGATTTATATCTTTTAGATATTTGGACACATGGCATGATGGACCAAATTGTGTGCCCCCCCACTCCGATTCATATGTTGAAGGCTGAATATGGCATGAGGGCTCCCAGCTGTACTTTTGCCTTGAGCCCTGCAAATGAACCTGTTAAGGGCAGCCTTGCTAGAAGCCAAGCTTTTTTACTTTGTTTTAAATTGACACATAATAATTTGTACATATTTATAGGATACAGTGTAATGTTTTGATGCATGTCTATGTTGTACAAGGATCAAATCAGGGTATCTAGTGTATCCATCACCTCAAAAGACTTGTCATTTCTTTGTGGTGAGAACATTAAAAATGTTCTCTTCTAGCTATTTTGATATGCGCGATATATTATTGTTAACTACAGTCACCTTACTGTGGTAGAACACCAGAGCTCTTTTCTCCTATTTAACTTTGTACTGGTTGGGCAACTTCTCCCTTCACTCCATCTTCCCTTCCCCAGCCTCTCGCAACCACTCTTCTACTTTCTGTTTCTATGAGATCCACTTTTACAGATTCCACATATGAGTGAGATCATGGCGTAATTGTCCTTCTGTGCCTGGCTTGTTTAACATCATGTCCTCTAGATTCGATCCATATTGTCTCAAATGACAAGATTTCATTCTTTTTTATGGATGGATAATATTCCATTGTATATATGTACCACATTCTTCTGTAGATGGGCACTTAGGTTGCTTCTAAATCTTGTCTACTGTGAACAGTGCTACAATAAACATGGGAGTGCTGATATCTCTATCATATGGTAGTTCTAGTTCCAATTTTTTTTTTTTTTTTTTTTTTTTGAGATGAAGTCTCGCTGTTATCGCCCAGGCTGGAGTGCAATGGTGTGACCTAGGCTGGCTCACTGCAGCCTCCGCCTCCCAGGTTCGAGCAATTCTTGTGCCTCAGCCTCCTGAGTAGCTGGCACCTGCCACCACACCCTTCTAATTTTTGCATTTTTAGTAGAGATGGCATTTCACCATGTTTGCCAGGCTGGTCTCGAACTCCTGACCTCAGGTGATCTGCCCACCTCGGCCTTCCAAAGTGCTGGGATTACAGGTGTGAGCCACCGCGCCTAGCCCTATTTTTAATATTTGAGGCACCTCCATAGTGTTCTCCATAATGGCTGTACTAATTTACATTCCCATCAACAATGTGTAAGAATTCCCTTTTCTCTTCTAACAGGGGTGAGGTGATATCTCATTATGGCTTTGATTTGCACTTCTCCACCATAGAAGAATTTTGGAAACACAGATATAACTTCCAAATCACACGTGTTACTAGTTAGAAATCCAGGGTTCAAACAGGAGTCTGACTCCTGAGTTTCTGCCTCAAAATGTGTTGCCAAACCTTTGGTAGGTTGTCAGCCTGGTTAAAGTGCATGCCAGGGAAGTTCCCAACCTCTGCATCCTCTGTGTTAGGAAAGACGAGGGTTAGAAAGGGGGATGGGGCAGGACTGAGGGCTTTGCCTGCTCTACCAGTCAGAGGTATTTGGAAAAGAGATGGGAAGCACAAACGGATTTGCTGAGATTCCTTCAGTGGCCTGACTGTTTACAGCAGGACTGTCCAGTAGAGATAGAATGTGAACTGCATATATAATTTTAAATTTTCTGGCCAGGTGCGGTGGCCTTGCCTGTAGTCCTAGCACTTTGGCAGGCCAACGTAGGCTGATTGCTTGAGCCCAGGAGATTGTGACCAGCCTGGGCAAGATGGTGAGACCCCGTCTCTATAAAAAATACAAAAATCAGCTGGGCATGGTGGCACACGCCTATAGTAACAGGTACTCAGGAGGCTGAGGTGAGAGGATCCCTTGAGCCTGGGAGGTGGAGTTTGCAGTGAGCTGAGATTGCATCACTGCACTCCAGCCTGGGTGACAATCTGTTTCAATTTTTTTTTCTTTAGTAGCTACATTAAGAAAATAAAAAGAAACAGGTAAAGTTAATTCTAATAATATATTTTATTTAACCCATCAAGTAATGACTAGAAAATTATTAATGAGGTATTTCATTTTTCATACTTCACGTTAGAAATCTGGGGTGTATTTTACACTTAGAGTACATCTCGATGCCAACCAGCTACCTGTGAGCACTCAAGGGACACATGTGGCGAGCAGCGATCATGTCAGACAGTGCACGTCTAGATGTGCATTTGGACATCTGTGTCTGAGCGGCCTTGGGGGTTTATGACCCTCTGGGGACCAGGATTCCGTCACTAGTTCTCTCTGGCTCCACACCTAGCTGCATGGTTGATTAGTTCTCTTTTTCTGCTGGCATGAAGTCAAGTTCACAAGATGTGTGTGGCCACCCTGAATTTATTTCTCAGAGGATTTACAGATCCTACAAGGTGACACACTTGGTGTGCAGTGCTCCAGCCCCAGCCAAGGAGGCAGTAAAAGTGTATCAAGAAATCCTTGGCCCACAGATTTTTGCCAACAAACATTTCTCTACTTCTCAATGATGACTATGGAATGGTAAAAGTTTGAAGATACCTTAATTTTCACAGTCAGCTGGGTTATCTCAGAGAGATACTTTCCCTAGTGAGTGTTCTTAACACTTTCTTGAGTGGAAGGAAACAATGCTTTTGAAGTGACATTCCACGATGAATTCCTTCTGCTTCTAGAGAGAGTGAACGTTTTCAGTCAAAGAAGGTGCCAGCAATTTGGATTTTGGACTTGACTGCTTGGGAGAAGGGTTCAGAATTTCAACCAGCAACATGCCAAATCCACCTGTGTCTCTCAGTGTTCGCTCACAGCCACTTTCTTTTACACATTTAAATCCTCTCTCCCCACTCTTAAGCATTTCCTGTGGAATAACACTCCCTGAATCCTAGCTTAAAAATAAACATGGTGGTCAACAGCTGGCCTTTGCAATCTGGCAGAATGGAGGTTTTGTTCTGACTGTCACTTAATAGCTGGGTGATCATGGCAAGACATTTCCTCATGGCAAAGAATAGGTGAAAAGGTATTTTCTCATATGTAAGATAAGCATAATTCCTGTATCCTAGGTTTTTGTGAGGATCAAACGAAATAGTGCCCACAATGCACACAATGCACAGTGACTGCGTACATATAGGTAAGCAAATGTCGACTGCTACCGAAGTCTCTTGAGCCCTGGCATCTGCCTGGTTGACCAACCATAGACTGATGCCTAGATCTGATGCTTTGTATAGGGAGTGGCTTGATTCCTAAGTAAAGGCCTTGACATGCAGAAGTTGATTCTCTTCTCTGTGGAGATCAGAGGTTCTCATACAGTGAGCTGGTACTGGGCTCACCACCCCTTGCTGAAGTTTTTTGTTGTTACTGTTTTTTTTTTTTTTTATGTTTTTTGAGATGGAGCCTCAATCTGTCATCCAGGCTGGAGTGCAGTGGCGCGATCTTGGCTCACTGCAACCTCAGCCTCCTGGGTTCAAGCAATTCTCCTGCCTCAGCCTCCTGAGTAGCTGGGATTACAGGCAGGGGCCAGCATGCCCAGCTAACTTTTATATTTTTAGTAGAGACGGGGTTTCACCATGTTGGCCAGGCTGGTCTGGAACTCCTGACCTCAGGTGATCCGCCCGCCTGGGCCTCCCAGTGCTGGGATTACAGACGTGAGTCACCGAGCCCGACCCTTGGTAAGTATTTATTTTTTCACTCTTGATTCTTCCTTCTTCTAATTCTCTTCTCTTCACCGCTTTCACTTCACTTTTTCTTTCTGGTTCTTTTCTAGCTTGTGACCTGGGGATGCTGGTGCCCTGTATATGCGTGGCTTATTTCAGGCAAGGTCTGAGAAGCAGTTCTTTAATGCAGGCTCCTTGGCACACCTGTTTCCTTTCTTGTGGGTGACAGCTGTGCAGTAATCCTGAGGCGAGAGCTGGGAACCTCCAGTCATTGCACTCGGCTCAGTGTGGGTTTTCCATAAATGGCCTCTGATGATGTGCTGGAGGGAGATAATTAACGCCTGGGATGCTCTATTTATACATTTGGTGCAGAGCTCACCCACCCACCTCCATCCTGGGAACCAGCCTGGCCTCCAGCCTATCGGAGAGGCTGTGTAGCTGCCACTTCACAGGGATACCTGTAGCCCATGTATGGCAGGGTGAGGGAGTGGCTGCTATGTGGGAGACACAGTGGGAAGGGCCACCAGACAGTCACCTCAGGGAGACCACAGGTAACTGGGTGGCTGGGCAGATGGCATGGGCAGCAGGACTGGGGAGCTGAGGCCCAACGGGGAAGAAAGGATCAGAGCCAGGCGTGGGAGTGGGACACAAAGGCCAACAGTCAGACTGCAGCCAGTGGCCAGAAGTCAGGGGGCAGCCGGGAGTCAGGGAGCCCTCAAGACCTAGAGGCAAGGGGAGCCAGTGGTCACAGGTCAGGAGTGTAACTGGACATCAACAGCTCATCAGCCCCTTCCTCAGTTGGGTGGCCCCTGCGCACCTCCTGCTGTGGGAGCTGCCGATGGTAGCATGTGGCAGATAGGGCAGGAAGGTGGGTGGGGGTACTGGGTTGAGAGGTGTGGGATCTGGGGTAAGGGCAGAGTTTGACATTTTGGCAGAAGTAGTGGTACTAGGTGTTGTTAGGAACTGAATGTTTGTGTCACCCCCAATTTATATCTTGAAGCCCTAACCCCAAATGTGACTCTATTAACGTTAAGTGAGTCACGAGAGTGGGGTTCTGACCCATCAGGATTGGTGTTCTTTTTTTTTTTTTTTTTTTTTTTTTGAGACGGAATCTCGCTCTGTCGCCCAGGCTAGAGTGCAGTGGTGCAATCTCGGCTCACTGCAAGCTCCGCCTCCTGGGTTCACGCCATTCTCCTGCCTCAGCTTCCCAAGTAGCTGGGACTACAGGCGCCCGCCACTATGCCCAGCTAACTTTTTGTATTTTTAGTAGAGACGGGGTTTCACCGTGGTCTTGATCTCCTGACCTCGTGATCCGCCCACCTCGGCCTCCCAAAGTGCTGGGATTACAGGCATGAGCCACTGCCTGGTCAGGATTGGTGTTCTTAAGAGAAGAGGCAGAGAGAGAGAACTTCCTTGCTCTCCTCGCCGTGTGAGGGCACGGTGACGAGGTGGCTGTCTGCAGCATGGAAGAGGGCCCTGTAGAACTTGACCACGCTGGAACACTGATCTCAGGCTCCAGCCTCCAGAACTGTGAGGAAATAAATTCCTGCTGTTTAAGCCACCCAGACTATGGTATTTTGTTATGGCAGCCTGAGCTGACAAAGACAGTTGTTAAGGTTTGATTTGTGGGGAGTGTGGGGAAGCGAACATGTACTTTGAGAGGCGGGTAGTTTTGGGTCTGAATCTAGCTTTGTGATTACCAACCTATGTGGCCCTTGGCAGCCTACTGACATTCTTTTGAGTGTCTGTTTCCACTGACTGAAAGGGGCCATGAGATGCACCTCTTTGGGGTGTCAGGAGGATTTAAGACAATGAGAAAGTACGGAATGGCAAGATAATTTCAGATATGTGATAACTGCTTTAAAAAGTTGTTTTTCTCTCTCTTAGTTATTGAAGAAGCTTTTGCTGAACAGGTGATGTGGTCCTATGTGGCAACCTATAATGTTGCCCACTACAGATGACCTGGCTGGAAACAGAGCCTGGAATGGGCTTGAGGTGGCATGTGCACACTGGGCGCATATGCGTGTACTCATACTTTCTGGCTTTGTTCTCTGCCTCGCTTTACGGCGCCAGGGATCTGCCCTAAGCTGAAGTGGGCTGCAGTGTAGATGAGGAAGGGAGTCAGAGATCATCACCTGGCCCCATGGTTGTGAAGCGAAGGAGAGAGACAGCGCCTTAGTGATTTCTTGATTTCTATGTAGTCACAGAATAGGAATTTGTGACTTTGGGGTCATAAATAGCCGCCACTTGCTAGCCCCAACCTCTGTACCTAATCCTTGAGACGCGAGCTGTTCAGCTTACCTTGTGTATTTCCTGAGCCCCTGAGATGTGGATGGTCTCAGCTGGGATATGCTGTAAGTGTAAACTATATGCTGGATTTTAAAGATTTTGAAAAAAAGAAGGTAAAGTATCTCGTAAATAATTTAGAACATTGACTGCATGTTGAAATGATCATATCTGAGATCATATTTGAAATGATCACATTGAGTTAAATAAAATTATTTCTCCCAGTTTCTTTTTACTTTTTAAAAGTGGTGCCTAGGAAGTTGAAAATCACATATATAATTCATATTATGTTTCTATTGGTCAGCACTGCTTTACAGCAAAATTCAGGTGATAAAGAGAAAGAATTATTAATACTGAGACCTGGACCCGACCTTAATTCCTAACCAATGTCAGGCTTTAGAAGATGTAGCTTGTGAGCATATCTGCTAAGCTGCAGCTTTTTCAAATGTTGGCCAACCCATTCCCAAAGTATTAAAAATGCTGGCCTGTTTTTGGCCACTCTTCGGAAGGGTGCTTGGAAGTCTAGGAGGAGGCAGACTGGTGTTGCCCCACCTCACACCGTGCAGGTAGTGGTCACATGGCAGCAGTGTGGCTGCTTGACACGCAAAGCATGAATGAGACAGTGGTGGGTACTGCAAGCACGTGATGAACCAGCTGTGAAGCATCACCACACACAGGAGCAGGAGCAGAAGGTGACCGGGGAATTTGGACAGGAGAATTCCAGAGAAGGCTGGAGCCCGTGGCTGGGCAGCAACATGCCAGATTAAAGAATCCTGCTCAGTCTCTTGGAGAAGATGTGCTGGGAGAGCCAGACTGTGCCAAAGCTGATGGAGAATCTCAGAGGCACCAACACCCTTGAGGAACTTTGATCCATTTCGGGAACTAAGACTTGGATTTGAATCCCGCTCACCCTGTGCTTGCTGTGGGAATGTAGCCCTAAGCTTTAGTTTCTTATCTGTAAAATGGCCATGAACACATACTGGGCTGCTCTGAAGACTGGCTGATGTGGGCCTGGAAAGCTGAGTGCGTGGACAGGGCCTGTCACGGCCATCTGTCGCACCTGCCTGCCAGCATCCTTTTTCCTTCTCATACACCACCCTCATGTCCTTTTGGAATGCTCATTCGTCTTCCACCTGCTCCTGTAGGGGACACACGACCCTGGCCAGGCCAGCCAGAGTCACAGAACCTGGTTTAGGGCTGGACATGTGACCCTATCCAGGCTGAGTGCAACTCAATTCTGAGACTTTCGCTGGAAAGACTGGAACAGAGGGGATGGGGCCTGGAGTTGCTGGTGGCCACCTCGGACCCACACAGGCAGAGCTTGCTTGAGAACAAAGCCAACATGCAGGAGGAAGAGGAGGAGAGTTGGATGCATATCAATCCATCCATAGACAAGGAGCCTGGAGGCATCCTTAGGCCCAGGATGCAGCTCTGCTGCAACAGGAAGCATCTTTGCATTTCCAGGTTACGCCAGGCAACAGACTCCCTCTTTGACTAGTTCAGCCTCTTGGGAAAGCATCTTGACCCATTCAGTGCTCAGTACATGCTACAGAAAGACTGTTTTTATGTGCTTATAAGTGAGAACATGCTTTATTCAGTTTACTATTCCTGTGTTAGTTTGCTAAGGATAATGGTTCCAGTTCCATCCATGTCCCTGTGAAGGACATGATGTCATGCTTTTTTAATGGCTGCATAGTATTCCATGCTGTATATGTACCACTTTTTCTTTATCCAGTGTATCACTGATGGGCATTTAGGTTGATACCATGTCTTTGCTATTGTGAATAGTGTTGCAATGAACATACATGTGCATGTGTCTTTATAACAGAATAATTTATATTCCTTTTGGTATATACCCAGTAATAGGATTGCTGGATCTCTAGGTCTTTGAGGAATCACCACATTATCTTCCACAATGGTTGAACTAATTTAGTGTATAAGTGTTCCCTTTTCTCTGCAACCTCATCAGCATCTGTTATTTTTTGACTTTTTAATAGCCATTCTGACTGGTGTGAGATGATATCTCCTTATGGTTTTGATTTGTATTTCTCTAGTGATAAGTGATATTGAGCTTTCTTCATATGCTTGTTGGTTGCATGTATGTTTTCTTTTGAGAAGTGTCTGTGTCTGTTCATGTCCTTTGCCCACCTTTTAATGGGGTTGTTTTCTTCTTGCAATCTTGTTTAAATTCTTTATAGATGCTGGATATTAGACCGTTGTCAGGTGCCTAGTTTGCAAAAATTTTCTTCTGTTCTGTAGGTTGTCTGTTTACTCTGTTGATAGTTTCTTTTGCTGTGTAGAAGTTCTTTAGTTTAATTAGATCCCATTTCTCAATTTTTGCTTTTGTTGCAATTGCTTTTGCTTCATTATGTGTCTTCATTATGAAATCTTTGCCCGTGCCTACGTCTTGAATGGTATTGCCTAGGTTGTCTTCCAGGTTTTTTATAGTTTTGGGTTTTACATTTAAGTCTTTAATCTATCTTGAGTTAATTTTTGTATGTCGTGTAAGGAAGAGGTCTCGTTTCAATCTTCTGCATATGGCTAGTTAATTATCCCAGTAACATTTATTGAATAGGGAATCATTTTCCCATTGCTTGTTTTTGTCAGCTTTGTGGAAGGTCAGATAGTGTAGGTGTGTGGCCTTACTGTTGTGTTCTCTGTTCTGTTGCATTAGTCTATTTTGTCTCTTTCTGTGCCAGTACCATGCTGTTTTGGTTACTGTAGCCCAGTAGTATAGTTCAAAGTTGGGTAGCATGATGGCTCCAGCTTTGTACTTTTTGCTGAGGATTGCCTTGGCTATTTGGTCTCTTTTTTAGTTATCCATATGAATTTTAAGGTAGTTTTCTCTTCTGTGAAGAATGTCAATGGTAGTTTAATGGGAATAGCATTGAATCTATAAATTGCTTTGGGCAGCATGGCCATTTTCATGATATTGATTCTTCCTATCCATGAACATGGAATATTTTTCCATTTGTTTGTGTCATCTCTGATTTCTTTGAGCAGTGGTTTATAGTTCTCCTTGCAGAGATCTTTCACCTCCCTTGTTAGCTGTATTCCTAGGTATTTTTTTTTTTGTGTGTGTGTGTGTCAGTTGTGAATGGGAGTTCATTTGTGATTTGGCTCTCAGCTTGACTGTTGTTGGTATATAGGAATGCTAGCGATTTTTGCACATTGATTTTGTGTCATGAGACTGCTGAGGTTGCTTATTATACACTGCGGTTGTGAGGTTAAATTCCTCCTTTGGGAAACTTCAGTTTTTGCTCTTCAGGCCTTCAGCTGATTGGATGAGGCTCACCCACATGAAGGAGGGTCATTTGCTTTACTTAGTCTTCTGATTTAAATGTTAATTATATCACACAATACCTCCACAGCAACATTCAGGCTATGCTTGAGCAAACAACAGGGCACCATAGCCTAGCCAAGTTGACAGTCCAGTGTAAAGTCCATCCTTGATACTTCTGGTAGCCCTGGTCAAGCATTTTCCTCTTTGGTCTCAGTCTGCCCATGTGTAAGAGAGGTGGCTATATTAGGAAGGTTTCCAGGGCCTTCCAGGTGAAATGTTCCTGCTTCATCCAGGAGACCTGATGACCCCAGGTACAGGCAGTAGAAAGTACTTTGTGGGCTCCTGTACAGACCTCTTCCCCAGGGGTTGAGCACCCCCATCTCTGTTTCTGTCAGTGTCTCCCTGATTCTTATTCTCCTCTTTGCATTCTGCCATGCACATAGTCCAAGGGGCCACCAGCCCAGCCCCAAATTGGCATGTTATGACAATTCCATCACCCATTACGGATTAGCATAGCTGTGTCCCTTAATTCAGATTCCAGGGAGAGACAGTATTTGGTTGCTGGCCAGCCAGCTGGATGGCTGGAGCTGTGTCAGGTACCAACTCCAGGTTTAACCAGCTCTGGTTGGGAGCAGAATCCTTTGGCCAGCTGCCAGCTCAGCAGGTGCTATGGGAACAGATTCCTGGAGAAAAGCCCCGTGGGGAGGGAGGCGGCCAGGAGATAGGGGCTGCCCGGGCAGTTCAAATTGACTGATGCGTCCATTACAGTTCCTTTACGCTTAATGATCTGCTGCCTTGCTGTTGTCACTGTTGATTTGTTTGGTCTGTGGAGACTGTGTGGACCACATGGCATTAAACCCCACATCAAGGGCACTCATGCTGATCATGACAGCCATGGAAAGGAGTAGAGAGGAAAATATTTTGAGGGCAAACAGATCAAGAATGAGAAAGCCGCTTTTGCCCTCACTAATGACCCTAAAATTTACTCAATGATCCAGAAACCCTAAAAGTAAAGCCATTAGTCACAATGTTGTCAGAGTAAAAAGGAAAGAAAGAATAAGCCGTGTGTTATCATTTTAGAATCCATTCCACACAAGTGCCCATTTCAAACGCCTGAATGCCTGAACCATGCAGGTTGATTTAATTATCGTTTGCCCTGCATGCTATGGAGTCAGCCACATGCCCTGCACACCCCAGCATCAGGGGATGGCCTGTGTCAAGCTGAGGGCTCGTGCATTTCCTTTGTGCGCAGGGGCTGGGGCTTTCTTGCCTGCCCAGCTGAGCTGTCCTCCTGTCAGCTTTGAGGGCAGCGGTGTCCAGTCTCCGACGGTGATGTAGACAGGACCTCCGCATCACTTCTAGGACATCTCTAGGTGGAGAGTGAGAAAGAGAGGGAGAATGCTCAAACAGGTTGGGGGGCTCAAGAACACCTCCCGTGAGTGGGGGGCAGCCCACTTGGGGGTGGGAGCACTCCCTGATTTCCTGGTAAGTTGCCGCATAATATGTAATCATTAGATTATTTGTTTACTTGTTTCTCTCCCCTGATAGACTAAATTCACAGAGGGCAAAGCTCTTGTCTTGACTTTGCAATAATAATAGTTTTCATTGGTTGATTGCCTGCTATTGGCCATGTTCTATGTTGAATTCTTTACATATATTAGCTCTAATCTGCATGGTAGATTATCGCTCTTTGACAGACAGGGAAATGGAGGCTCCAAGAGGTTAAGTACATTGTCCAAAGTTAGACAGCTGTATGGGACACAGTTGGAATTTAAACTCATGGACTTTTCATCTTTCCAAGAGCCTCTTACATACGTGATGTCTGCACCATACTGAGTATTAAATACATACCTGTGGAATGAATGAAGATATACGCAGCTGCTTCTCTTCCTCTTCTCTATGGCTCCTCTATGGCCTGTTGAACTTTGGGAGACAAGGTTGGCTGTTGGCAAAATTTGAAAATCTGCCCTCCCTTTCTTTGTGTCTTTCCTATTTTGCAAGCTACCATTCCGGACCTAGAAGCAACACAATGTAGTGGAAAGAACACTCAATTTGGATTTCAACAGAGCTGGCTTGGAACCCTGGCTCCACCGAAAGCTCTCTGGAGTTATTTAACCTCTTTGAACCTCAGGTTCCCTGTCTATATAATGAGAATAACAGCACCCATGGCAGAAACATGGCGAGGATTTGGTGGCACAAGGATGTAAGTGGCACCTGGGCACTGGGCTCAGAGGTGGTATTCAGGAAGTGGAAGTTCCCCCATTTTCCCCCAGCCACCTTCATGCCTGATCTCTGCCCCACTCTTGGGCTTTAGAGACACGTGCTGGGGTCTTGGTTCCTGGAAAGATAAAGTGCTACAAAAATTAAATTCTAGAAAATCCTACAGAAAACTAGAAAACTCGGTTCTCTGAACTTTAGTCATTAAAAGTGTCACACGCAAGGGATGAAAGATTTTAATTTGATTCAATTCAGTTCTGTTCTGCAGACACTGGCGCCACAGCCCCTGCAGTAGGCAATGAGCTGGCCTGAGGACACAGAACTCCTGTCTCAAGGTGTTCACACTCAGCTCTGGGGGAAAGACAGCTATGAAGCAAATAGTTTGAAATGTAGAACCCTTGGGTACAACAGAGAACTGTGTAGTAGGTCCCAAAGCGGCACAATGGGAGCAGGGGCACAGAAGGGCAGAGAGCCAGGGGAGGCCTCTCAGAGGATGAAATGAATAAGGTGAGTATTAAGGGATGAATAGGTGTTTACCTGCTAGGAGAGGAGGTAGGAAAGTCACAGGAACCAGCCTGTGAAAGAGATGGAGAGGCCACACTGTTTGATGGAAGGGCTGGAGAACAATTTTGTAGCATTCTATGCACAGTTGCTGGGGAGTTCTCCAAAATTCACCCATCTTCAGCACAGTTTGAGAACCCTGTGGGCCAGTATGTTCAGGGAAGACTTCCTGGATAATGCTGTCTCTGCTAATTTAGAAGGCATCATTTCTGCCCTAGATAATGCTAGGATAAGGCTTACATATTTTACAAGTTTTTCCTCCTCCCCCTCTTTTTCACACATAGCATTATAGAGTGATTCATTCCTTTGTTCAAAAACCATATTTTAATAGCTCCTGGGATGTGCCAGGCCCTGTGTATGTGTTGGTTCTGCAGAGCTAAAACCCATAAAAATTATTCTCAGTCCAGTGGGAGAGTTGCTGTTGTCAGCAGATAATTAAAATGCCAGTGGCACTGGCTAGAATGGAGGGGCCCAGAGGGCCTACTATGTGCCTACTGCTAGTGGTACTCACAAGACTGAGCAGAATCTTCAAAGTCTTTGGTGGAAGGGTGCTTTAGCTTAAATTCAAGTTATATGCAAATTGCCTTATCTACTCACAAAATCAGTTTTTGGAAAAAGGTGGTGAGGAGGTTTCAATGGGTGAGTAGGAGGTAATGTTTATTAGGTACCTACAGCAGGGCCCTCTTACAGCTGGGATTTCATTTAACAGCTTTAAGAGGTAGGTATTGTTAGCCCCATTTTCCAGAAGAGAAACAGGAAACACAGAGGTTAAGTGACTAGCCCAAAGTCACACAATTAGTAAATGTGCCAGCCAGAATTTCGACGTAGGTTGGACTGACGTGAGAGCCCAACTCTTAGAGTATACCATAAAGGTGGCCCTTGTCCTAACCTGCTCTGCCTAAGGCTGTAACCTGTAGCTCCAAGTGACCATTGGGCACTTGAAATGTGGCCAGGGTGACCAAACTGAATTTTTACTTTTTTGGAATTTTAATTAATCAAAATTTTAAATTAAAAACAAATACTCCTTTAATTGTTGGAGAACTTTTATGTCTGAACAACTTGGGCATGTGAATCTACTCTTTCAGCTATAAATTTGATGAACTCTAAGTATGTCTGATGCAAATTTAGTGTTTGCATCCCGATGCACTGTAAGTGCAGATTTGGAAGACACGTTGATTATATATTGGAAGGCAGCTATGCTCACCACTCTACCACCAACGCCATGTTAATTATATATTGAAGGGAGAATATGTTGGCTATATTGGGTTAAATAAAAAATATTTAAAAGATTTATTTCACCTGTTTCTTTTCAGTTTTTAAAATGTGGCTACTAGAATATTTAAAATGAAGTATGTGTCTTGCATTCTACTTCTGTTGGATGGTTGGATGGTGCTGCTTTATGCTAGAGTTTCAAATAATTGAATAAACTTTGTCAGGGTTACTGTACGCAGAACAAGATAGTAATCAAATACATTCTAAAAACTCTTTCTTTCTTCTTTCTCTCTCTTCCTTTCTCCCTCTTTCTTTCTTTCTTCTTTCTTTCTTTTTCTTTTTCTTTTTTTTTTTATCGGCTCTTGCTTTGTTCTCCAGGCTACAGTGCAGTGGTGCAATCATAGCTAAGTACAGCCTGATCTTCTGGGCTCAATTGATCCTCCTGCTTCAGCCTCCTGAGCAGCTGGGACTACTGGTATATGCAACCGTGCCCAGCTAATTAAAAAAAATTTTTTTTTTTGTAGAAATGAGGTCTCACTGTGTTGCCCAGGCTGGTCTTGAACTCCTGAGCTCAACCTATTCTCCTGCCCTGACCTCACAAAGTGCTGGGATTACAGGTGCGAACTACTACACTCAGCCAAAAATATATTTATTTTTCTACTCTCAGCTGATCTCCCTAGCCTTTAAGGCATTGGAATTGGGAGGCCCACCCTGTTTTACATGCATGTTTCAGAGCGGGTGAGTGTACTATGGCACCAGATGCAGAACAAATTAGGAGGTGGTGAGACTGGTGATGCCTGGGAGGTAGACAGGGGAAGGAGATAAATTGATAATGAGTCTAGTTGTGGTCCTAGAGACAGTTTTTGACAGCAGCTTTAAAAAAACTGGGTGATCCATGCCCGTACATACAGAGGAGCCCAAAGCAAAAGTCGCCGGGCCCAGAAGGTCTAAGAGCATAACTGATTCCATAAACTAGACGTGGCTATTCCAGCTGATTCCAGGGCTTTATTTTTGTCTGAGTCTGTTATTACAAAGGTTTTCTGTCTGATTTCTTCATTACTACTCTGTGAAGCTCAGATTTAATATTTGAAGTCTGAATTTTCCCTTCAGACCAGACTTCACTGGCAAAGTAATACCGACGCATTTGAGGGGAGGGAGGGTGATGAGATGAGGTACACTGTAAATTTAATGAAGAAAACACACATGATATTGAGTGAGAGTTGAGTTATTTTGATAATTGTTGGGGGGGTGAAATAGAATTGTGGCTGGTATTTTGATTCCTTTTTGATGCTGTTTTAGTATTTTTCTGAGGTTTGCCTCTCTAGCATTATTAAAGCTGTTGTTCAGGATTTTGATGTCTGCACTTTAATAGTTTTTCTTCTGAGGCTGGAGAGAGAAAGAGAGAGAGTGCAAATTAATTTTGGAGTAAGAGTGACTTTAGACCCTAAGCATTAGAGGATTTGATATATTTGTGGTTTCAACTATTTATTTGCAAAGCACCCTGAAAGCCCTTAACACACGATGAATGGTCATTTTTAGAGACAAAAATTTGAATATTGATTCTCGTGAGGCCGGCACAGAGGAGCTGGTGAGTGAACCTAGCCACATCCGGAACAGCCACTGCTCTCTTAGGTCTTGGTGGTTTTTGCTCAGTTTTGAGTATGTGATAATCTTCACTAAGGGTTTAAGAAGCTATTTAAGTATCTCAAATATGCTGCGTGCATTTAATGGGGACATTGTGTGCTGTGGGTGTTCAGAGGTTTGGCAACTATCAAACGTTTCAGGAGACCCTCGTGAACATCCAGTATCAGTTGGAATTGGAAGACTTTGGGAAACTCTGGACTGATGGTGTGGCTGCAACAGCTTTCATATTGCTTTTCTAGAAGATTCCAGAGAAAGTTGGCCAAATCCAGAGAAAGCAATTACACAGAGTGAAAACTGAACTGGGCAAGGAGTGGGGGAACAATAAAGTGTTGAAATTGGACTTGGGTGGTGGAGGCCCCAGGAAGGCTTTTGCTGTTTTGGTGCTGCCACCATCCTGACTGTGTCTGGAGGGATGTTGTGTTGAGTATTACCACCTTTTCTGGGCTGGCCGTAACTGAAGGTGCAGGCAGCTTTCTCCTGTCTACCGACCATTTATCCTAGGGGCTTACCTTAATCACAGTGACGATGACACTACTTCCTGTTCTGTAAGCTTTCTGGTTCGGCATCTTTAGACCTTCGCCACGCTGCTTGTTCATTTGTTCAATTTTTTTACTCATTTATTTATTTATTCAACAAACATTTACTGATTTCCTATCATGTGCCAGATCAACCTGACCACACAGGGACATTTCTTGCCATGTCTAGTTCTGAGGTTCTTTTATTCCTTTAATAAATACTAAAGCAATTTCAATAGCCATACAGCAAGCACTACAGTGGTGCTAGGTTCTGTGGAAGACTTGGGTTCTCCACGAGATGTTGATTAGATTTTGCTCTTTTCCCACCTCCTCATCTACTGTGTCCTTTTCATAGTTTTCAGGTCATCAGTTGGTCAACCAGTCTTTTTATATCATTGTTTTTATTTTACATTCCTTTAAAAAGATTAGTCAGGAAGATACATTGCAATTGAAACATGGTTAAAAAAAATGGAAGGAAAACAGTGGAAAGGAATGGAACCAGAGGAATAGTTCTCACTGAAAATACATCCAGGAGGTTCAGATGATTTTCTAGAGGTGGACTAAACTATAGCTCTATGTTTTTCTAAGCACTCACTCAAGAGGAAGACACAATCACTAGCACTGTATAGTTACAGGATTTATGGAATTTCAAGAGATTCCTCATCAATCAGTGATTCAGGAGAGGCGTAAAGACCCCTGGCTCCAGTGACTCCAGTGGGTACTTCTAAAGGCTCCTCACTTCCAGGGCCACATCATCAAACCATTCTTACAAGAACACGAGGAGGAGTGTCTTGCACAGGACTATTCTGTCTTGCATCCTTGGCACTGGCTGTGGGCACATCATCTAAGCTCAACTCAGTAAAGGGAGTTAACATTGTACCCAGCAATGAGGCCCAGGCATGCAGCAGTCTGGTCTTAGACTTCCTCCGAAAGTAACATCTTAGCACATCTGAAGCAGGAGGGATAAACCCGAATGCCTCCAGGGTGTGGCAGGCAGTTGCTGTGTGTGATAGCAGGAAGGCAGGCCGGTGGGGAGCTGGTGAGTACCAGCTCTGGTAAGGGCATTCCACTCCCACTTACAAAGACCACAAAGACCCAACTAAATACTCCGAGGACCAAGTTCAGCCTTGGGCTGCCAGTTCATGAGTTCTGATCTACAAAAATAAATAGGCTGACAAGTTTTCATAAATATTGTTTTCTATAGCTGAGCTATTGGTAAATATTGGGCAGAAAGAGTTCAAGTTCTTGCTGTTTGATAAGTACTGAGAAATTGGTTAGCACAAGCAGCCTTGTAATTAATAAATCCTTAAAATGAATTTTGCATATTGGGACTGCATATGCTCTGGCATACTGTTATGCTCTGGAGTTATACCTTGAAATAAAATAGAATCCCTGCCTTCATGGAAATCAAGTCATGCATGTGAAAAATACATAAAATGGGGTGTGATGCAGTAAGTATGTACCAGGGAGGCACAGAGGAGGGGTGGGAATAGCACCAGACTATTGGGTCTAGAGGTCAGGAAGTCAGAGGGTCAGGGGTCAGGGATCAGAGAAGGCTTCATCCAGGAAGAAGGAGGAAGGCAGCTGGGTCATGGTAAAATAAACACCCTCCACTCCAATATCTGTTTTTACTTGCCATCCTGGGTGCCAAGAAGACTGGGAGGTGTGACTGAGGAAAGGCCATCTTCTTGTGGCAGCCAGGGCCCCTCCTGGTGCCACCTGGCTGAAGCAGAAGAGGGGCTCGGGAACCGTCCTGGACAAGCCTTCAGGGTGAGCCAGTGGCTCAGGAACCCTGGGCTCCACCCTTTGGGATGGCACCGGAGGGGCTACATTTTCCCATCTCCATTTTCATCCTTCTTTTTCTTCCTCCCACTCTCTTTCCTCCACAGCACTGAGCTTGCAGATGTTGACTCAGGAATGACACAAGGGTGGCCCAAGGGTCTCCATACCCCTCCCTGACATCTTCCGGGAGAGCAGTGGGCTGGCAGGTCTTCAGCATCAGGAGGAGCGCAGTGCAATCTCGGAAATACTCCGAGGCTATTGTTAGAAACCTTAGACGATGTTCTGAAACTGTGTGCGGAACTGTCTGGAAAAGGCAGATATCTCCCTGCCCCCACAACCCTCCAGCAAACCCACATGGCCTTCGTGGAAAGGTGGCACAAAGGACAGGCAGGGGAGGCTCAGTTCCGTTCCTGAGTGGCTTTCACCTGTCTATATGTGGACCCTGCTGTTCTGAGCTGTCCAGCATCTGACTTGCCCCTGCTATGTGTGGGGAATTCCCCACCTTGTGGATCCAGGCCCACTTCCCATAATTGAAGCTGGACATGCTGCTTCTCTTCTTCCCACCTCCCTCAGTACCAGCGTAAGGCATGGAACTTAGGCTTGGCCAGTCCTGAGGTTACCCAGGGTTTGAATGGTAGTCAGGGACTGCATCTGCGGTGGTGAAGACAGTGGGGCTGTAGGCGGTGTGTGCTGGGCCAGGGCAATGCCCTGGGTCAGTGGCTGGGGGGAGGCCCCAGCCTGGGTCTGCGGGATGAACTTGGGCTTTGCTTCTGGTTGCAAAGCCTCAGAGTGCTTCTCTATCCCCTCTTGAGTGGTTTTCCATCTCTTCCTGTCAATCAGCCTATATACTTATTTTTCTTTAAATCAGACGCAAAATTCATTCTAAAAGCTGAAAAAAGTGTGGCAGTTTGGAAGTTGCTTTAGCACATTTAAATCAAGTGAGAAATCGCAAACTCCTAACTGGGACATATATGCAGTGCATCATCTTTCATCAACTTTGAACTTACTTATTAAAGAAAGAAGAGAACATTCAGATAAAACAATAGTGAATATAAAAATATAATAAAGATGAGCTATGAAACCAATAGGCTTTTTTTTTCTGACAGCTGGAAGCCATTTGCATCCAAACCCAATATATTTTCTAATAAATATTCTCTTTGCTTAAAGCAGCGAGGTTCAGTTTCTGTCACTTATAACCAAGAACCATGGGCGATAGAGTCTCCTTCCTCATCTGGGGGTTGTGGTTGAGTGGAAAGAAACTCAATTTTCTCATTGTAAAGTGGGAATGATAATAGCAGCCACTTCATAGCGTGGTTGGGAAGATTAAATCAGATCAAATAAGACAGTCTTAGAACATGATTGTCACATAGTAAATAATACATGTTAACTGTCAGAACTAATAACTTCTGGGTTTTCACAATGAGATATCATCTCACACCCGTCAGAATGTCTATTATTAAAAAGTAAAAAAATAACAGATGCTGGTGAGGTTGGAGAGAAAAAGGAACACTTATACACTGTTGGTGGGAGTGTAAATAAGTTCAACCATTGGGGAAAGCAGTATGGTAATTCCTCAAAGAGCTAAAAGCAGGCCAGGTGCGGTGGCTCACGCCTGTAATCCCAGCACTTTGGGAGGCCAAGGTGGGCAGATCACGAGGTCAGGAGATCGAGACCATCCTGGCTAACACAGTGAAACCCCGTCTCTACTAAAAATACAAAAAATTGGCTGGGCGTGGTGGTGGGCACCTGTAGTCCCAGCTACTCGGGAGGCTGAGGCAGGAGAATGGCATGAACCTGGGAGGCGGAGCTTGCAGTGAGCCGAGATCTCGCCAGTACCCTCCAGCCTGGGCGACAGAGCGAGACTCTGTCTCAAAAAAAAAAAAAAAAAAAAAAAAAAAAAAAGAGCTAAAAGCAGAACTACCGTACCATTTGACCCAGCAATCCCATTACTGGGTATATACTCAGAGGGATATAAATCATCTTACCATAAAGACACATGCATTTGAATGTTTATTACAGCACGGTTCACAATAGCAAAGACATGGAATCTACCTAAATGCCCATCAGTGACAGATTGGATAAAAAAATGTACATATACATCATGGAATACTATGCAGCGATAAAAGAACAAGATCATGTGTTTTATGGGAACATGGATGGAGCTGGAGGCTATTATCCTTAGCAAACTAATGCAGAAACAGATAACCAAATACTGCATGTTCTCACTTATAAATGGGAGCTAAATGATGAGAACTCATGAACACAAAGAAGGGAACAAGAGAAGCTAGGATCTACTTAAGGGGGAGGGTGGGGGGAGGCAGAGGGGCAGAAAAGATAACTATTGGGTACTGGGCTTAATACCTGGGTGATGAAATAATATGTGGAAAGAATCCCCATGACATGAGTTTACCTATGTAACAAACCTTCACACGTACCCCTGAGCCTAACATAAAAGTTAATTTAAAAAAAAAAAAACACTTCTGGGTTTCAAATTTGATCAACAAATTTTTAAACAAACATTTAGACTCTCTGGTCTCACAGTTCTCTGCAAGGTGGGAGTAATATCTGCTGTATCTATCTTATAATTAATGTGAATGGCAAACAAATGATGGAATGGGGAAATGCTTTGCAAAAGCATAAAATTCAAATAGAATACAATCGATTTCTATGATCATGTGATTAAGGCCACTCTTTAATTCTCATTAGCCCACCCTGATCTCTGGGGACTCTCAGCTTGGAGGCTGAGGCTTATATTCATTTTATGTGATGGGTTAGTTGTGTTGAGAGAAGGGAAGACAGCATTTTGGGGAAAAACAACAGAAAAGCCTTACATTTAATGAACCTAAAATTTTTACAGTGCTTTATTGTTCTTGTGAGGCCAAAAGAAAATCTAATATCCCATTTTGAAATCTGGACATGTCTTGTTTTATGTGTCAAAAATGTTTAGAACACTTAAATCCATCGAGATCCCAATGGTGCCGTGGGCAAAGCACCTCCTTCACCTCCTCTCATTCTCTCTCGTCAGTCACATGCCCTGCTTGAGAAATAGCTGTTAATGTTTTCCTGTTCAGTTCCTTGCAAGGTGTGGCAGTGTAAGAAAATTGCCTCCAAGGAGCTCAGAGAGCACAGTAGAAAGGTTGACTGGCTGGTTGGGTGTCTGATCAGGCGGCTGGCCAGGCCCAGAGAGGTGAGACAGAGTTCCGTGGTGAGGGGAGGCTTGAGGTAAGTATGGAGGTGTGAAGCCCCGCCGCACATCCTGGGGACAGCAGTAGAGGGGATTAAGTTGGGGATAAGGGAGATGAAGATGGGAGTGAAAGCAGGGCTCAAATGTGGAAAGGGATTCAGTTTTCAGGGTGATAGGGATGTGGAGAGGTACTGTGGCCATTTTAGTGTTCTAGAAAAAGTGACCTGCGGAGTGGAGGATGTACAGGATGTGTTCGAGGAAAAGACATAGTGGGCGGGAGGACCATGAGGAGCCTGGGGCTCTCATCCTGATGCAGAGGGAGAGACTGCGTCCTGGCAGGCTGGGGAATACGGAGGTTAAAGACACATGTAAGCACAGAGATGGCCAGCGCAGGGACTTTCAGATGAGCGGATCACACAGGGTGGTTGACTTGGAGGTTGGAAGTCCAACCCAAGTGAAATGGGGCATCTAGAAGGAGAAGTGGTGTTGGGGGTGGGTGAATGGGGATGATGGAGACTTGCAGGGAAAAATATCTAATGTTGAGATTGTCATGAGCATGACTTTTGCTGAGTTCCTCTCCCTGTCTCTCAAAACGTGGTGACAATGAGGTTTCGCTCATGGGGATTGGTCCTGGGCTTCACCCAGACTTCTTCCCCACCTGCCTGGCTTGCATACATCAGACTCTTGGGTGCAATAGCTACTTGTTGAGTTCCCCAGCACATCTCATAGAAACATCTAGTGTCAGAGCTCTCATAGCCCAGCATCTCCCAAAGTGTTTCTGAGGATCCCTGGGCCTGTGAGGTGAGGGGCTGAAAGGAATTCTATGCTTAGCTAAGTTTCGGAAATACTGATACCCAAGTTAATAAAGTTTCTTTTTTGCAGGACTTCTCAGAGCCTTTAATATGTTCATGTGTGTGTGAATCCCAGAGAAGGGAGATTTAGAAAGTACCATTTCTGTATTAGTTTGTTCTTGCATTGCTATAAAGGAATACGTGAGACTAAGTAATTTATAAAGAAGAGTTTTAATTGGCTCGTGGTTCTGCAGGCTGTACAGGAAGCATGGTGCTGGCATCTGCTCAGCTTCTGGGGAGACGTCAGGAAACTATCAATTATGATGGAAGGCAAAGAGGGAGCAGGCACATCTTACATGGCTGGAGCAGGAGCAAGAGAGAGAGGGGGGAGGTGCTATGTACTTTTAAGCAACCAGATCTCACCATAACTCTATTGCAAGAACAGCATCAAGAGCATGGTGCTAAATGATTCATGAGAAACCGCCTCCATGATCCAATCACCTCCCACCAGGTCCCACCTCCAACACTGGAGATTATAATTTGACATGAGTTTTGGGTGAGGACACAGACCCAAACCATATCTATTTCCTAAAAGCATTGGATAATGGAATCCTTTTGGGGGAATACTCATAATAATAATTTTTTACTGGAAGTACTTTAGGGAAAGTTGATTGTAAGACTAAATCCCTCACAGTGGTTAATCATGCTGCATTATTTACTTGAAATTATCTAAGGGAGCAGATCTTAGTGTCCTTACTTCCCTCCCGCTCCCTACACACACACGAATGGTAACTGCTTGTGGTGAGGATGTGTTAATTAATTTGGTAATCAGGACACAGTGTATACGTATATAAAATCATGCAGAACACCTTGAATATATACTATTTTCCTTTCTTTTCTTTTCTTTCTTTCTTTCTTGTTTTTTTTTTTTTTTTTCTTTTTGTGAGACGGAGTCTCGCTCTGTCGCCCAGGCTGGAGAGCAATGATGCGATCTTGGCTCACTGCAAGCTCTGCCTCCCAGGTTCAAGTGATTCTCCTGCCTCAGCTTCCCGAGTAGCTGGGATTACAGGCCCCTGCCACCATGCTTAGCTGATTATTGTATTTTTAGTAGATGGGGTTTCACCATGTTGGCCAGGCTGGTCTGGAACTCCCGACTTCAGGTGATCCACCTGCCTCGGCCTCCCAAAGTGCTGGGATTACAGGCGTGAGCCACCACAGCCAGCCTGATTCAGCTTTTTAGAGAAATATGGGCCATCACGCCTGTAATCCCAGTACTTTGGGAGGCTGAGGTGGGTGGATCACGAGGTCAGAAGATCGAGACCACCCTGGCCAACACGGTGAAACCCTGTCTCTACTAAAAATACAAAAAAAAAAAAAAATTATGCCACTGCACTCCAGCCTGGGCAACAGAGTGAGACTCCCTCTCAAAAAAAAAAAAAAAGTAGCATGACAGACGCAGCTAATGCTCCTTCATGGAACCTGGCATAGTCTCATCACTTTCTATCTCACCTTAGAGGTAAGCTGCATCCTGAGCTTGGTGCTTACCAGCCATGTGTGTCTTCCATGTGCACTAGTATCTGTGTATAACAGACAACACATACTATTGCTTTGCAGCTTACAATGTTGCTGCAAACGAATGGTATCACATATCACACTAGCCATATCCTCCTGAACCTCGTTTTGTCCCTTCAGCCCTGTTGTTGGGATTTCCATATATGAATAGCTTTCCATGTATGAATGAAATAAAGATGAGGTATACCTCAAGCCATTTAGCCATTCTCCTGGTGATGGACCTTTAGGATGTTTGTACCATCTTTGATATTGTAAGCCAAGCTTCTGGGAATATTATTGTCCAGACATCTTGTTGTGTGTGTTAGTGAGAGCTTCTCTACTGAATATTCCTAGAAAGGGAATTGCTTTCTGGTTATCAGCTTCTCAGGGTACAACAGCTACTTTTTAGGTGAGTTTTTGCTTCTCCACATTCTCACCAACACTCAGAATTATCAGGGATTTTCCCACTCTCTTTGCTGTAAAATGGTGTCTTATTGTTTGAATTTAAGTTTTCCCAATTCCTTGTGAGGCTGATATCTTTCCCTGTTTCTGGCCATTTGTTTTCCTCTTCTGGGACTTATCTGTATTTCTCGTTTTTGCCTAGTTTTTATTTTAATTGTGTTTTTTTCCTAAAAAATGTTTTTTCCTTCAGTTATTGCCTTTGTTTTTTGATGCTGTTTATGATGTTTTTTGTTACAAGAAAGTTTAAAAAGTTTAATGTGTTATGTTTACCAAAATTCTCCTATGTGGGTTATGCTTTTTGTGATTTCTTTACAAAGGCTTCTCTACGTAGGAGTTAAAAAGATAGCCTATTTTTCTCATAAAAGTTTAAAATTTGCCTTTCTCCATTTAGGCCTTGTGAAATAAAACTAAAATAAGACTCCAAGCTCTCTGTGATTAATAGAGACAGGCTCCCTGTGAATAATAGAGACGCTTCCAGTTTAAAAGCAGAACCAGGCAGCGATGCGGGCTGATGAAGAATGGTCACATGTCCTTGGTTCTCAGAAAAACCAGCTCCTGACAAACATTTTGCTTTATATCCCCGAGCCAGAACAGTTCCTATAACCAGAGCCAAAATAAACTGCTTCCAGAACATTCTCTTCCCCACTCCAATCCAGTTGTTTGAAAGAAACTTCTGGTTTTAGGGTTGGAAACTACTCAATCAGAGCTCGAATATTTGGTTCCATCTGAACTGAACAAGTTTGAATCCTTTTTAGAACAAATGGACCTGATTGAGAACCTGGGCAAGAACATTCACTCCCTTTGCTCTTCAGCGAGCACACTTTCACTCGTACTGAAGTCTGAGCCTCCCTAATCTGCAGATTGCTTTCAGGAAGGAAAGCTCTCTTTTCCCTCTGCAGATCTCATGGTATTTTGTTAACAGTCTTTAATTCTTCTGGGGTTATTTTTGTGGGCTGTTAGAGATGAGAATCTGATTTTATTCTCTTCCATTTAAGTTATCAAATGTCCTAGCACCATTTATTGAACAATCTGTCTTTTCCTTAGTGGTTTGCAAAGATGCCTCTGTCATTTGTTAAGTCTACGCACACGCTTGCCTGCCTCCTCCACCGGGTTACAGCTGAAGAAACTGAGTCCTGGAAGAGGTGAGCAGGTTGCTCAATGCCCTGCAGCTGTGGCAGCCTTTCCAAACCACACCACAGGGAAGAGGAAGTGCTCTCTGCTGGGATTTTCTTCTCATCTTTCTCTTCTTTCCTCCCTTCCTTCCTGCTGTCTCTTGTCTTTCTTCCTGCTCCCTTTTTCCCTTGTATTTCTTTTTTATCGCAGATAGGCTTATGTTTCAGCTTCAAGTCCTGTTTTTGTGCATGACGCAGCCATCAGAACACAGCTATTCTTCAAGCAAATGTTTTATCAAAAATATGGCTAGGTATATCACATTTCCTTTTCCTGAGCATGGGCTGGCTGGGCTGACCTCTTTTCCATTTAGAAGAGACAGATAGTTGGGGCTATTAAAATCTACAGCACTTTTCTTTGGCTCCTGGTGATTCATGGCTACTAATCCCTGTGGATATGTTTTTATTTTCTTGGATATATTGGATGTGCAGGTGGTATATATTGAAAAAGCCTGTTGTTTATTGACATGAGCCCAGTAAAGACTCTGATTAATCTAAAAAATAAATAGAGAAAAGTGGAAGGTCACACTCTGGATCAAGAGCTCCAATTATATCCTTGATCCCTGAGTTATTTATTTCCAGTTGAGAGAAATCCTCCCTGTGGAGGCGTCAGGAGATAGATGAAGATTATTAACAGGCGAATGTGTGCGGGACTCCTTTTCCAACCCTTTCCTATCCTTGCTGGCCAAATGTGCCTTCTCTAACTCACCATTTTGGGGACACATCTAGCATTTTCTTTTATAATTCTCTTGTCTTCAGTTGTTTTCAATGGCTTGGAGATATTCTGTCCTTTCCCTACAGCCCTGAGGCACCCGGAGGGTTGCCTTTTTAGGTTTGCCTGTGACTCGGAAGGGTTGGATGTGCCTGGTGAGGTTCCCCCAGGGAATTTAGGACAGTTTCTCAGCTGCCCACATCCATGGAGTCCTTTCCTGGGGGATGTTCAGGATGGTGGCACATGGGTCTTGGGGTGTGTGGCATCAGCAAGAGAGCCGTCCTGACTGTGGGTGGGTGGGTGGGTGGGTCTCATATGGGGCTGCACCCGTGCATTTGAGGATGGACTGCTGGAGCGAACATGAGAAAGGAAGTTGTATTTTGAGACTGAGGTTGGGTGACTGAGTCAGACTCACGCCCTTCCTCAGTCTTGCACTCAGGCTCTGTCACGGGGGTCCTGCTGCTCACTGCCCCTCCTTCACTAGCGGAGTTCAGGACGAGCATCTGCTTTTGTCTAGACAATGGAAGGAACTTTCTTGTAAATTTCCCTGGCTCTTTTCTCCCCTCCTGGCTACTCACCCTCAGCCCTGGCTGTCCTAGGGGACTTCCAAAAACACCAAATGCATCATGCTGCTTCCTTGGTTAAAACTCTTCCTGAAAGGGCTCACCTTTCAAATTGGAGATGACCTGGACATTGTGCACATCAGTTCTGTTTACATCCTGTGACCTGAACTTCTGTCAGAGGGAGGCTGGGAAGTGTGGCGCTCACCTGTGCTGACTTATGCCCACTGACAAGGCTGTAACCGGAAGACAGCCAGGGTAGATTTGGTGGTTAACTATCTGCCTCCACCATTGCAGAGGACTCTTTGACATTTGGTGGTGCCCCCATGGAAAGCCTTCCTCTCTTTCCCATCTCAATGTCACTTCCTCCATGAAGCCTTCCCTGGTTTCTCCCAGTTAGTTGCCTTTGCCACCCTCCCCTCAGCACCCTTGTGTTAGCAACCAGGTTCATTTCTGCCTACATGAAACAAGCCAATCACTGTGGTGATGATTTTTTTTTTTTCAAAAGAGAAAAGATTTTATTCTCAAGGCTGCCATGTGAGGAGACAGTTGAACAAATCTCAAATCCACCTCCCTGAAAATCGGGTGTGGGGGTAATTATAGGAGAGAAATTGTGGTTGTCTGAAGTGTGGGGAAAGGTGATTGGTGGGAAAGAGAGGTGAGGTAATAAGGGTTTTTGCACAAGCATAATGGTGCTACATGGCTCTTCATAGGACACATGTGCAGAAAATAAGTGTGTTAGCATGATTGGAGGGTGGAACTTTTGGCCTTCTGACATAGAAGCCTCTTTGGGTACCTATGCAGGCCCAGTTGAAGAGTTTGTGGTCCCAGCCGGCTTGAACTAAACAAGAGCTGACCGCTAGTTCCCAAAAAACAACCTGAAGCAACTGTTACTATCGTGAAGCACAGTCAGAGATGTTATTTATAAGGAAGCTAGTGGGAGTTTTAAGATCGACTAGAAATAAGCCATTACCCTAAAACTTAAAGTATAATAATAATAAAATTAAAAAAAAAAAGCAGGCAGGAAGGTTAAGTTTGGCAACTTAATCAGATTAGCCTCCAGTTTCAGTGGCATCCCTCCTTTGAGCACAAATTGTTTGTGCTGGAGTCCTTTGTTTCTTGTCTTTTGTCCCAAGTGCACAGCGGCTTACCTTTTTCATCTTTGCATGTCCCGTGCAGAGCATAGGGCAGGATGCAAAATAGGGCATGTGTCCTATAAGAGCCATGTAGCTCCATTATGCTTGTGCGAAATCCCCTATTAGCTCACTTTTCCTTCCCACCAGTCGCCTTTCCCCACGCTTCAGAATGAATGATAGGTAACTGCAATCTTGGGGGCCCCTTAGTGGTCTTTATATCAAAATATGTTTTTTTTAAAGAATTTTTAAAAACGATTTTAAAAACATCAAAGAAAGACTTGTGAAAGGCAGTCTTTATTACTACTGTTTGTCTTTCTCTAGTGCAGGGCTTCTGAAATCTCACCCAGGGAATATGTGAGAAATAGCTATGGGGCTGTACCCCAGACATTCCCTTGAGTGGGTGTGAGGTGAGGGCCTGGGGCCCCTGTGGTGCAGCCAGTCCTCAAAGAGAGATGAGGTTGCAGGAGCCCGAGGGAAAATGAACTATAGAGGGATCTTTGTGCTCCTTCCATTTAGAGATCAGGATGGGGGCCAAACTGGTGTCTGCCTTCCTTCTCTCTCTACTTTCCTTTTTCTGCCCCTCTCCCAGTGATGACTTTCATTATCCTCAGTAGCTCAGGGCTGAGAAATTCTAATCAGAAATGCATCCACTGTAGCCTGCAGCTTCCTAATTCTATCCAGCCTCCATGAATACAATCTGTGGTGATTATGTTTGATGAATTGCTGATACCTTTGTGATCCTGGATGTGGCATCCCCTGTGGGAGTTGAGCCTATCCCCCGGCTCTCGGCCTCCAGGCATTGGGCTCTGGGAAAGTTGTGGCTCCCAGCCAGCAGCTGCATCTCACCTGGGGCTTCTGGAGGAACTGCTCAGAGCTTCAAGGACCCTGTGGTCAGGCTCCTCTTTATACTGCTACTTCAAAGTGACAGAATACTGGCTGGCCACTGTGCCTTTCTGAAAAGGGGTGTAAAAAGAGGATAAGCTCCTTAGATTTTCCTGTGACCTTCCTCAAACCCATCACTGGCACTTCCAGGGAAAATGGATGATTTTAATGATAAAATATGCACAGGAAGGCATGGTAAAAAGCCAGCCTGCTGGAATAGAAAGTCATTGTTTTCCTGGACTCCAGTCAACTTGTAGGGGTCAGAAACTCTAAGGCTGCAGTGGCCAGAGAGGTAAAATACATGAATGAATTTGAGATATTGGGAAGCAGCAGGGACTGTGGCAAAGTAGCAAGTGTCTAAAGAGCATTCACATTCATCGTCTAAGAAAATACGGTGTTGCATATACAAAAATCAACTCAAGAAGGATTAAAGACTTAAATGTAAAACCCAAAACTATAAAAACCCTGGAAGACAACCTAGGCAATACAATTCAGGACATAGGCACAGGAAAAGATTTCATAATGAAGGCACCAAAAGCAATTGCAACAAAAGCAAAAATTGACAAATGGGAGCTAACTAAACTAAAGAGCTTCTGCATAGCAAAAGAAACTATCAACAGAGTAAACAGACAGCCTAAGGAATGGGAGAAAATTTTTGCAAACTATGCACCTGACAAAGGTCTAATATCAAGCATCTATAAGAAATTTAAACAAATTTGCACCAGGGTCTGCTTTTAGCACTGTATGAATATTAACCTCTTTAAACTTATGAAGTGGGTTTTATGATTATGGTCCCCATTTTACAGGTGAGGAAACTAAGGCTCAGGGAGGTTAAGAACCTTGCTGAGTGTTACCCAGCTGGTAAGGAGAAGATCTAGGATCTACATGCAGACAAATGAGCCCCAGAGCTCTTGTTCTTAACTCTCCATATTACCTCCCTAACTTTTCTGATGTCACACAGCTACTGAATAGTAGATCTGGGATAAAAGCCAGGTGAGTCCCATTCCAGACCCTGAACTGGGAGTCCTAGGTACACTTTGCCACCCCCAAGGGGAAAGACTCGTCAGGTCGAGTGTAAAAAGGTGTCTTTTTAAAATAAGAGATTCAGTTTCGAATGTTTGTTTAATGCAAACTAGGCAGATAGTGCAGCTAAAACCAGAAAGAAATAAGACCAGACCACAGCAAGTAACATGCATAAAAGGAGGAGTGTGTGGCTCTGGGCAAACCAGGAGTTGGGTGGGTACAGGTGGGGCAGGTAGCAGGATCCTACTAGGATTTGGAGCAAAGACAGAGCCATGGCAGTTGGAGTCCACATATGTTCCTTCTGAAAACAGGCATTATTTAGTATGTTGATTATGCACTGTGTTAAAGTAGAGTGTATTAACAGAAACTTCGGCGTACAGCAAGGCCAACAGATCGAATTGCCATTGAAAAGACTGTTTGTTATTCACAGTTCCCAAGAGGAGGGGGCACCCCATGCCAAGGGGCCACACTAGTTTTAGAACTGCCTCACTCTGGAAGGGGAAGTCCCTCCAGGGTAAGCAAGGGCCCCAATGTCAAAGCATCAAGAATATAGAAAACAAAAGACAAGGTCAGTACACCGACCTTGGTCTGACTTCTCTCCAGGGCATAGTATTACTGCCTACTTTGGGCCTTAACCTATTTGCAATTCATTTTTTTCTGGACATTTTGCTGCAAAGGCTGAGCATATCATGAGACTCCTCCCTCATGTGATTCTTGGGCTCAGCATGGGCTGGCTGCATGGTGAAGGGACATGTGACTTTGCTTCACCCATGCCCAGATGCATTACTGTGCACCCCCGGCCTCTCCTGGTGTCTCGGTGCCCAGGGACTGGAGCCGGGCCAAGGGCAGGTCGTCATTCTGTTGTGGGGAACAAGCACTGCCCATTGGAGTCCACACCAAGGCAGGCACCATTCACTCTGTAGGTTTGTGTATTTATTATAATAAGCTTCCAGCAGATGGCAGTAAAGCGTCGTGATCTAACAAAGTCTATTAGGACGATGTTTCTGACAAACAGAAAGTGCCTGTAGGGTGCACTCTGCTCCGAAAGGGTCCACGCCCAGTGGCCCAGCAGTCCGGTCTCAGAGGCCACCGTGCATTATCCCACTCTGCAGGGTCTGCAGCTACACCTCTGTTATCCAGGAAGAGATGGCTTCTCTGCTTAGCCCCAAGGCAACGTTCCCTGCGGTTTTACAGCAGCCTCCCTTTGGACTCTGCTATCTGAGCCCTGGGAGGGAGCACTGAGGTCCTGGAAGGTCACAGGGGGGTGCCACATACTTCAAGGGGAGTGTCACATACTTCAAGGGGAGTGCCACATACTTCAAGGGGGGCAGCACTTGAAGTCTGAGGTCCTGACAGCCAGGGGGAGAGGGAGGACTCTGGAACCTGACAGGCATAGCAGGTATGAGGTGATGGCTTAATGAGTCCTGCACCAGGGAGGGACCAGGCCTCTAATGGATTAGATCCAACTACTTGGACACTTAATGAAAGGGGGGACAAGGAATGCGTGGCCTTGTCCTGTGCTCTTTTCTGCCAGGGGTGTTGCTGACGTGGAGGGGGTGGTGATGGAGCCAGGCCAGAGCCCCCTGGCTCTTGCTGTGCCCCGGCCTAGGGCAGGGCCATTGGTGTTGTAACATCAGGCTCTGGGTCCCTCTTGGGGAGGAGCTGTCTTTGGGAAAAGTCTTGAAACACCACTGAGAAAGAGGGTGCTAGAGGGGTCTCAGGTCACAAAAAGGATGTTAAACTGCTTTTAATGAGACAATGAGGACGATTTGTTTTATATCCTTTGAAAGAGGAGAGGTGAGGAAGGAGGCCGGAGGAAGAGGAGGGAGTAGCAGGCAAGATGGGGAAACCTGGAGTTCCAGCCAGTGCGGGTGCTGTCCGGACAATGGCCTCTGGGCGCGGGTCAGCGAGAGGGAACAGGAATGCCTGACACCTGATTCGGAGTTGACTGGGCTGCATGCTGTGGGAGCCGGCCCCATGGACACCCCTCCCCTCGTCTTCAGTGAAGTTTACTTGCCAAAGTTTCACATGAAAGTTTTGTGTTATGTGCTGTGTGTGTACGTGTGTGTGTGTGTGTGTGTGAGAGAGAGAGAGAGAGAGAACTGGGGAAAGCCTCAGTTCACATCTGGACCAGTTGATGTGGCACAGAATAGAGGAGGCATGAGTGGAAGACAGCCCAGAAGCTGCCTGGGCCGTGCCCCTGGAAGTCCCTCGGGATTCTGCAAAATCCTGGTGAAGGCTCCACACACTGGAATTAGGGATTTTATTCACTTTTACCCAGATGTCGAGAGTTTGGGTTGTTCCAGTAGATATCGGAGTCACACTGATAGCTATGTACGTGGAAGGGCTTTTGGAGGCCCTCCTGATCTGTCAAGGTGTCTGTACACATGCAATGTTCCTGAGCCGAGCAAATATGAAAGATGGTCCACCCCATGCCCCCAACAAAAGTGTCCTATCAGTTAGAAGAGTTTACTGCTATCATTGTCTCTTCAGCCACAATGACACTGAGGAGAAGCATTCAAGTAGATTCAATTCTTTAATAGATACACTTTTTAAGAAATGAATTTTGAATGGCTTTATATTCGCTCATTCATTCACTGACTGATTCCATGTATTAGCACCTAATGTGTGCTGAGAACTGGCCTAGGCACTGGGGAGCCATGGAGAAGGTGGCTGCCCTTAAGCAGATTTCAGGATGTAGGGGTGGGGTTGATCAGAGTAACAAGAATATAGCAGCTCAGGGTCACATTTTTAGCAGCTACTTTTAATTTGCTTGACAATCTAATTTGCTTGACAAACTGTGTCAGGAAAGTCCCTGGGTAGAAATTACTTCGTGCTAGAGAAAATACAGGCCTGTTTTCCAGCACGGGTCTGATGTGCTTATCAAGTTTCTGTTGAGAGCAGGAAGAGAGGCAATAGGATCAGGGTGGGCCCGACCCAAAGTAATCCTTGGAGGAGAGTCTCAGGGCAGTGTGGCCTTACCCACTCTGCTTTTCTGTTACTGAGATTGTATGCATTCTTAGTTTCATGCTGGCTCTATAAAGGCATTGCAAAATTGTTCTTAAAACCAGAGGATAAAATTGCTTTGGAGAGCTCTCATTTTGGTCTCCTGGTGGGTTGTAAGTAAATACATTCTTGGAAACTGAGCAATGAAACTCTGTTGTATCAGGCCAAGAGGACGAGGCAGCAGCAAAACTTATGCTGCTTTGGGTGCCCAGCCGTCTGTGGTCTACAGGGAGGTGCCATCTTGGGTGCCAACAACTGGGGAATTCACACATCTGGTGCAGAGTAAGGGCTCAGCACGTGCCTGGTAAAGGAACAGAAAAAGGATTGATACACAGTGCCACACACCACACCCTTCCATTTAAAAACTTAAGTATAATCCACCCTTTTTAGTATACAGTTCTGAGAATTAAAAAAACAAAAACAAACAAACAAAAACACTGCATAGTTGTATAACCACAATCAGAATAAGGAATTCTTCTGTAGCCCCTAAAGTTCTTCCAGCTCCCAACAAACACTGATATATTTGATATCCTTATATTTTTGACCTTGCAAAAATGTCATATAAATGGAATTATACAGTATGTAGCCTTCTGGGTCTGACATTATTCACTTAGCATAATGCATCTGGCATTCACCCATGTCGTGTGTGTTAGTGGTTTGCTCCTTTTTCATTGTTGTGTAGTGTTCCATTGCATGGTTGTAGCATAGTTTGTTTATTAATCAGTTGAGGAAACTTTGGGTTGCTTTCAGTTTTGGGTGATTACGGAAAAGTTGCCATAAATGTTCATGTACAGGTGCTTGTACAGACATAGGTTTTAATTTCCCTTGGGTAAATAGCTAGAAGTGGGATTTCTGGTTGGTATGATATGTTTAACATTGTAAGAAACTGCCATATCATATATTCTAAAGCATATAATTTTGCATTTGCATCAGCTGTGTGTAGGAGTTCCATTTGCTCTGCATCCTTGTTAGCACTTGGGATTTTCCGTTAAGCAACAACAACAATTAGCTATTCTAACAGGTGTGTAGTGGTATCTAATTATTTTAATTTATACTTCCGTAAGGATGAATGATAATGGGCATATTTTTATGTGCTTATTTTCCACTGGTACATCTTGGCTAAAGTGACTGTATAAATCTTTTGCCCATTTGTGGCTGGTTTGTTTTCTTATTCAGATTTGAGAGCTCTTTATGTATTCTGGATACAAGTCCTTTATCAGCTACATGCATTGCAAATATTTTCCCTCAGTTTTTGGCTTTTTTTTTTGTTCTTTTAACAATGTTTTTCAAAGAATAGAAGTTCTTAGTTTTGATGAAATTCAATTTATCAAACACTTCTTTTATGAACAGTACTTTTGGTGTCATGTCTCAGAATTCTTTGCCTAATCCCAGGTGTATTAGTCCATTTTCACACTCCTATAAAGACATACCTGAGACCAGATAATTTATAGAGAAAGAAGGTTTAATTCACCCACAGTTCTGCGTGGCTGGGGTGGCCTCAGGAAACTTACAATCATGGCAGATGACAAAGGAAAGCCAGCATTTTCTTCACAAGGTGCAGGGAGAGACAGAGAGAGAGAGGGGGAGAGAGAGAGAGAGCGAGCGCAAAGGAGGAACTGCTAAGCACTTATAGAACCATCAAGATCTCATGAGAACTCATTCACTGTCATGAGAACAGTATGGGAGAACCACCCCCATGATGCAGTCACCTCCCATCAGGTCCCTTCCTCAATATGTAGGGATTACAATTCGAGATGAGATTTGGGTGGGGACACAAAACCAAACCATATTACCAGGTCATGAAGATTTTCTTCTGTGTGTGTGTTTATTTAAAGTTTTATAGTTTATATTTATAATCTATTTTTAGTTAATTTTTATGTAGGGTGTGAAGTTCAAGTCAACGTTCATTTGCATATGAATGTCCACTCGTTCCAATATTATTTGTTAAAAAAATTATCCTTTCTTCCTCCAATGAATTGTCTTTGCACCATTGTCAATTTACCATATTTGTGTGGGTCTGTTTCTGAACTCTTCATTTTGTTTCATTGACCCATGTGTTTATTTCTTCACTAATACCATGCTGTCTTGATTATTGTAGTTTTATAATAGGTTATGAAATTGGGGAGTTTGAGTCTTGAAAGTTTATTTTTTTTTCAAAATTATTCTGGCTATTCTAGTTTCTTTGGCTTTTCATATAAATTTTAGAATCAGGTTGTCTGTATTATAAAATATCGGGCTTGGAGTTTTACAGAAATTGCATTAAATCAATAGATAATTTGGGAAGAATTGACATCTTTACTACACTGAGTCTTCCAATCCATGAACACTGTATGTCTTTCCATTTATTTAGGGTCTCTTTAACTTATTTCATCAGCATTTTATAGTTTTCAGTCTATAAATCCTGTAATTTTTGTTAGATATATTCCCAAATATTTTCTTAGAGTTGTTGTAAATGGTATTATTTTTATTTTTTGTTTTCAGACATATAATTAATTTTAAAATGTTGACCTTTTATCCTGTGACCTTGCTAAACTCACTTATTATCCTTAGTCCTAAACTCACTATTAGCCTCATTTATAACCCTTAGACCCTACCCCTACTTTTTTTTGATTCCTTGGAATTTTCTGTGTGAACACTCATGTTATATATGAAAATGGATAGTTTTGTTTCTTCTTTTTTAATCTGTATACTTTTTCCCTCAATCATCTTAATATTCTGGCTTTAACTTCTAGTACAATTTTGAATAAGAGTGAAGAGAGTGGACATTTTTACCTTGTTGCCAGTTTTAGGATGAAAGCATCCTGTCTTTTACCATTATGTTTGACATTTACTATAGGTTTGTTGTGGATGCCTTTTATTAAGTTGAGGTAGAGCTCTCTTTTATTCCTAGTGAGTTGAGAGTTTTTGTAATGAAAGGATATTAAATTTTGGCAAATGCCTTTTCTGTATCAATTTATATGATTATGAAGTTTTTCTTTTTTAGATTGTTAATGTGGTATATTATATTGATTGATTGATTTTTGAATGTTGAATCAGACTTGTGCTCCTGGAATAAACCCCACTTGGCCATAATTATTATTCTTTTTGTATATTGTTAGATTCAACTTGCTAAAATTTTGCTGTAGATTTTTGCATCTGTGTTTATGAGGGTTACTGGTCTGTTACTTTATTTTCTTGTACTGCTTTTGGCTTTGTAGCTAAGCTAATGCTGGACTCATAAAATGAGTCAAACTCTATGCTAGAAGAGATTGGTGTTATTTCTTCTTTAAATGTTTGGTAGAATTTTCAGTGAAGCCATCTGGCCTGGAGATTTCTTTTCCAGGAGGTTTTAAAGTATGAATTTAATTTATTTAATAGTTATAGGACTACACAGGTTATCTGTTTTATTTTAAATGAATTGATTTATTTTGGTTTTCAAAGAGTTGGTTCATTTCCATTGTCAAATTTTCTTGCATAGAACTGTTTATGGTATTGCTTTATTACATACATATATATATATATAGATATGTATTTTTTTTTTTTTTTGGAGACAGAATCTTGCTGTGTCCCCCACGCTGGAGTGCAGTGGCATGATCTCAGCTCACTGCAATCTCTGCCTTCTGGGTTCAAGTGATTCTCATGCCTCAGCCTCCTGAGTAGCTGGGATTACAGGTGCCTGCCATCACGCTCAGCTAATTTTTGTATTTTTAGTAGAGACGAGGTTTCGCCATGTTGGCCAGGCTGGTCTCGAACTCCTGACCTCAGGAGATCCGCCCACCTCGACCTCCCAAAGAGCTGGGATTGCACGTGTGAGCCACTGTGCCTGACCATTGTATTATATTTTTAATTTCTGTGGCATCTGTAGTGATATTCCCTTTTTCAATCCTTATACTAGTAATATGTATCTTTCTTCTCTTTTTCTTTTTCTTACTAGAGGTGTACTCATTTTTGATCTTTTCAAAAAAGTTAACTCTTATTTTAATAGATTTTTTCTATCATTTTTTCTGTTTTCAATTTCATTGTTTTCTGCTCTTATCTTTGTTATTTCTTTCCTTCACATGCTTAGGCTCTATTTTGTTCTTCTTTTTCTAGTTTTTTAAAGTGGAGGCTTAGATGATTAATTTGAGGCATTTCTTCCCTTTTAATGTAAGCATACCATACTCTAAGTTACCCATAAGTATTGCTTCAGCTGCATCTGACAAAATTTGAGAATTCAGATCTGCATTTTCATTCAGTTTAAAAGATTTTCTAATTCACCTTATGACTTCCTCTTTAACCCATGGACTATTCAGATGTGTGGTTTTCAATTTCCAAATGTTTGAAGATTTTTTTGGTTATCTATTATTGTTTCTGGTTTAATTCCATTATGGTCAGACAGCATTCTATGTATGATTTTATTTTATTTTATTTTATTTTATTTTATTTTATTTTATTTTATTTTATTTTATTTTATTTTATTTTTTGAGACGGAGTCTCCCTCTGTCGCCAGGGTGGACTGCAGTGGCGTGATCTCTGCTCACTGCGACCTCTGCCTCCCAGGTTCAAGTGATTCTCCTTCCTCAGCCTCCTGAGTAGCTGGGACTGCAGGCGCACACCACTATGCCTGGCTAATTTTTGTGTTTTTAGTAGAGCTGAGGTTTCACCATGTTGGCCAGAATGGTCTCTATCTCTTGACCTCGTGATCCTCCCATCTCGGCCTTCCAAAGTGCTGGGATTACAGGCGTGAGCCACCACTCTCGGCCTATATGATTTTAATTCTTTAAAATTTGTTAAAATTCGTTTTATGACTAATACATATGATATGTATTAGTGTATTCGAGGAGAATGTATATTCTGTTGCTATTGGATTAAATGTTCTACTTATAGCAATTAGATCCAATTGGTTAAAGCTATTGTTTAGTTCTCCTATATATTTGATGATTGTCTATGTACTAGTTGTATTGATTATTGAGAAAAAAAGACTACTGAAGGTTCTGTAAAGGACAGACACTAGGATGGTACCCAATGATCCCTGTGTACTGTTCACCCTCTCATATAATTCTCTCCCCTTGAGTATGAGTGGGACCTGTGATTTACTTCTAACCACTAGGATATGGCAAAGGTGACAGATGTAACTTCCGAGATTATGTTACATTATATGAGTCCATCTTCCAAGAAGATGTGCTCCAGGAATTTCATTTGCTGACCTTGAAGGAGTAAATAGTTGTGTTGAGAGGCCCATGGGGCCGGAAACAGGGTAGTTTCTAGGAGTTGAGGGAAGTATCCACCCGACAAGCAGCAAGAGTCTGGGGCTCCCAGCCCTATAGCCATAGGGAAATGATTTCTGCCAAAAACCTGAGGGAGCTTAATAGCAGAAGCTTTCATAGTCAAATTTCCAGATGAGAAATCAGCCCTGGCCCACACCTTGATTGCAGCCTTATAAGACCCTAAGCAGAAGATCCAGATAAGTTGTACCCAGACCCCACCCACAGAAGCTGTGCAATGATTGATGTGCTGTGTTTTCAGCCTGTGAATTTGTGATAATTTGTTACGCAGGAGTAGAAGCCAATATGACTTCAACTTTAATTGTGGATTTGTTTCTTTTTTTAGTTCTGTCGGTTTTTGCTTCATGTATTCTGAAGCTCTGTTGTTAGGAGCTTATTCACTTAGGATAGTTACGTCTTCTTGATGAATTGGACCTTTTATCATTATGTAATGTGTCTCTTTATTTATGATAATTTTCTGTGCTCTGAAGTATGTTTTGATGATATAGGCATTTCCTTCCTTCCTTCCTTCCTTTTTATTTTTTTTGACAGAGTCTCACTCTTTTGCCCAGGCTGGAGTCCAGTGGTGTGATCTCGGCTCACTGCAATCTCTGCCTCCCAGGTTCAAGCAATTCTCCTACCTCAGCCTCTGAGTAGCTGGGATTACAGGCATGGGTCACCAGGCCTGGCTGATTTTTGTATTTTTAGTAGAGATAGGGATTTCACTGTGTTAGTCAGGCTGGTCTCGAACTCCTGACCTCAAGTTTCTGCCCGCTTCGGCCTCCCAAAGTGCTAGGATTACAGGTGTGAGCCACTGTGCCCAGCCCCAACTTTCTTTTTATTAGTTTTTGCATGAAATGTCTTTTTCTATTGTTCTACTTTTAACTTACCTATCTCATTATATTTGAAGTCAGTTTGCTAATTCCTAACTAAGACCATTTACATTTAATGTAATTATTGATATGTTTGGATTTAGCTCTACCATTTGATTTGTTTTCTGTTTGTTACCTCTATTTTCTGTTCCTTTGTATGCCCTTTCCTGACTTCTTTGGCTTAATTGAATACTTTTTAATATTCCAAAATATAAATAAATAAGTTTATTTATTTTAGTGCTTGTTCTAGGGATTACAATATATATATATCCTTAGCTTTTCACATTTAAGATTTACTCTGTAAAGTAATTCTGATTACTTTATATTGACTACGGATTAGGTTGATTACTTAGAATTAATGTTTACTATGTTTTACAATCAAGTAAAATCATCAATCTTACCACCATATAACTCCGTTTATACTCCTTTTGTGTTACAATAGTGCTATGTATTGCATCTACTTACATTGAAAATCCATCAGATAATACTATAATTTTTATTTCAACCTTCGAACATATTTTTAAAACTCAAGAGGGAAAAATAGCCTACTATATTGATATGGTTTGGCTGTGTCCCACCCAAATCTCATCTTGAATTCCCATGTGTTGTGCGAGGGACCTGGTGGGAGGTAATTGAATCATGGGGGCAGGTCTTCCCTGTGTTGTTCTCGAGCTAGTGAATCTCGTGATCTTGTGATAGATCTCATGAGATCTGATGGTTTTGAAAAATGGGAGTCTCCCTGCAAAACCTCTCCCTTTGTCTGCTGGCATCCATGTAAGATGTGACTTGCTCCTCCTTGCCTTCTGCCATGATTGTGAGGCTTTCCCAGTCACGTGGAACTGTAAGGCCAATTAAACCTCTTTCCTTTGTAAATTGCCCAGTCTTGGGTATGTCTTTATCAGCAGTGTGAAAATGGACTAGTACATATATTTACCATTTACCCAGATATTTACTATTTTTCCTTTATTCCTGGTGCTCCAAGTGTACTTCTTTTTTTTCTATTTATTTATTTATTTATTTATTTATTTATTTTTTGAGACAGGGTCAGGCTGGAGTGGTATAATTGCAGCTCACTGCAGCCGGGAACTCCTGGGCTCAAGCAATCTGTGGTCCCACCTAAGCCTCCCAAATAACTGGGACTACAGGTGTGAGCCACCGTGCCCAATTAATTTTTTTAAAAAATTTTTTGTAGAGACTGGTCTCACTGTGTTGCCCAGTTGGTCTCAAATTCCTGAACTCAAGCAATCCCCCTGCCTTGGTCTGCCAAACTGCTAGAATTACAGGTGTGAGCCACTGTGCCTGCCTCCAAGTTTACTTCTGATATAATCTCCCTTCTCTGTGAAGAATTTCCTTCAGTAATTCTTTTAGTGAAGGTCTGTTGGCAACTAATTATCTTAGTTTCCCTTTGTCTTAATTTGTTCGGGCTGCTATAACAAAATACCTGAGACAGGGTAATTTATAAATAACAGAAATTTATTTCTCACAGTTCTGGAGGCTGAGAAGTCCAAGATCAAGGTGCTGGCAGGTTTGATATCTGATGAGGGCTGCTCTCTGCTTCCAAGATGGTGCTTTTCTTGCTGCATTTTCCAGAAGTGGAGGAATGCTGTGTCCTCATATGGTGGAAGGGACAGAAGTTGGGAGGCAGCTCTCTGAAGCCTCTTTTATAAGGATACTAATTCCATCTGTGAGGGTGGAGCCCTCATGGCCTTATCACCTCCCAAGGGCCTCACCTGTTAATACTATCACCACCTTGGGGGTTAAGTTCTAATATATGAGTTTTGGAGAGACATATACATTCAAACAATAACACCTTTTATCTGAGTATCTGAGGATCTACCTATTTCACCTTCATTTTTAAAGGATTTTTTTTTAACTGAATAAGGAAGTCTGACTTGACAGTTCTTTTGGTTTAGGAGTTGAAAAACAGTTTGCCAGTCTTGTGGTTTTCTTGGGTTCTGATGAGAAACTTGCAGTCATTTGAATTGTTTTTTCCCTATAACTAATGTATCATTTTTCTTTAGATGCTTTCACATTTTTTGTGTAAACACACACTTCTAAAATCTAAACAGATTTTAGAAGTTTGTGATGATGTATCTAGATATGAATTATTTGGCTTTGCTGAGCTTCTTGGATCTGTAGGTTCATATTTTGCCAAATTTAGAAAGTTTTTAACCATTATTTCTTCAAAAAAATTTTCAGAACCACATATTTTTTCCTTCTGAGACTTTGATAACACTAATATTTGATCTTTTGCTAAAATTTACCTTTCTTCAATCCACTGACTTTTTTTTTCCTGCCATTTCTATTTTGTTTTTAGCCTATCCTGTGAGTTCTTTATTTTGGTTATTATATTTTTCTGATATAAAAATTTCCATTTGGTTGTTTTTTCTATCTTGGATTTCTTTGCTGAGACTTTATACCTTTTCATTTCAGGAGTGTTAACCATTACTTCTTGGAACATTTTTCTAAAGTCTGTTTCAGATAATTCCAACATCTGTGTCATCTGGTGTTGGCATCTGTTGTTTGTCTTTTTCCATACTAATTGAGATTTTCCTGGTTCTGTAACTGCTGAGCAATTTTGGATTATGTCCTGAATGTTTTGAATATTATAAAACTCTGGGTCTTATTTAAATCCTATAAGTTGACAATTTTGTTTTAATAGGCCAACAACCTGGTTGGGTTTAGGCTGCGAGTGCTGACCAGTCCTCTGAGGAATGTGGTTTCAATTTTGGGTTCATTTTAAAAGCATTTATAATGCTATTCATATCTGTTGCACACATGTGCTCCTCAATGGCCAGTTGGGTATGCAGGTGGCGGCCTCTTAGTGTAGTTCTCAAGTCTTTGGTTTGCTGTTGAAGATCAGATCCACGCATGTGCCGCTCGAGTGTGGGCCATCTAGAGCATTTCTTCTCTGTGATCTTTCTGGTGCATTCTGGTTCCTGGGGCTTCTCCTTTTTCATCCTCTGGCCAGAAAGCTGTAGCTTTAGTTACTCTGCTCTGCTATGGTTGCCCCTGCTCCTGGGGACAAGCAGTGGAAAAACACTGAGATTAAAAAAAAAAAAAAACAAGGGGGATTTGTCCATGCTCCTCTGAGCAGAGAGACTTTCCCCTCTTTGAGAGTTTAGGTGGTTGTGGAATCCTCGTGCCACATCTTTCACAGCCTCTGCTGCCATGAGATTCCCCTGAGGCTAGGACGTAAGAGAATGGAGAATGAAAAAAGAAAAAAAAAAGGAAAAGAAAAGTGTGGGATTTCCCCCACTCTCTCTGAGAATTAGGGGACCTTTTTCCAGTGTGTCAAACCAGAACTAGAGGGCTTTGCCTGTGCTGTTTCTGTCCGTGTCCTGACACCCCCTTCTGGATTTTGGGCTTCCTTGGGTACAGGCCAGGGGAAACTGGAGGTAAAATAGGAAACTTACCATCAATCTGACAGTATAATACTTTGAATTCTGGTATTCTTAATTTACCTGCTGTGATTTACTTTTTATAGTTCTCAAATAACTGCTCCAGGCATTCTTTCCAAGTTTTATAAATTTCATTCAATGGAAGAGACTTGACATAGTGTGTTCACTGTACCTTACTCTGAACTGGAATGGGAGCCCTTGGTTCTTAGCACACTTATTGCACCATTTCAGATACATATGAATTAAATGTATGCATGTATATGATGAAGAAAGCTTTGTTTATGATATGGAGAGACCCTCATGACATGTTGATAAATGAAACGAGGTAGGTCGCAAGGCACCTTGTATGGTATATTCTTGTTTATGTATAATTGTATATATTCATATATAGAAAACTTGGATATTTGGTTTACGTTTGCTGCTGCAAGTCACAAAATACCTAATCAAAAGTGCCTTGAACATTAAGAGAGGTTTATTATGTTGCATGGCAGGAAGTCAGAGCACGGTTGGTTCGAGGGTTGGCTAGTTTTCCAGCTTAAGAATGTCAGGGCTCTTAGTTTCCCACTGAGACATTCTTTGGACTTTCTTTAAAGGGTGTAAGTTGGCTGCAACTCCTTCAGGCTTCCTTTCATTACATGGCAATGTCCAAAGTCAGGAAGAACCATCTCTTCTTGTGTTTCTCTTTTATTAAGAAGGAAAACTTCTTCTTAAAGCCCCTAGCAGACTTCCGTTATGTTAATTAACCAGGGTTGAATCTGATGCCTGAGCCTTACCAGTCTCTAGAACTAATTATGGAACTACCAGGGTGAATAATACTAGCTCGCATTTATACCCTGAGGCTGGAAAGGGAACTCTGAAATCCTTTGGACTCCTGATGCTCAAACAAAATCATATTCATCCTCACAAGAAAGAAGAGAAGGAAATTAAGAAAGACATAAGTAAATGGAAATATAGCTTGTGTTCATAAATTAGAAGACTTAAGGATATTAAAATGTCCACACAACCCAAAACAATCTAGAGATTCACTGCAACCCCTATCAAAATCCCAATGGCATTTTTTACAAAAATAGAAAAAATCCCCAAATTTATATGAAACAACAAAGGACATTGAATAGCCAAAACAATTTTGAGAAAAAAGAACAAAGCTAGAGGGCTCATACCTCCTGATTTCAAAACATACTATAAAGTTACTGTAATCAAAACAATATGATACTGGCATAAAGCCAGACGTGTAAACCTATAGAACAGAATAGAGAACCCAGAAATAAACCTATTCCTATACAGTCACTTGATCTTTGACAAGGGTGCCAAGAGGACACAATGGGGGAAAGGGTAGTCTCTTCAACAAATGGTGTTGGGAAAACTGGGTATCCACATGCCAGAGAATGAAATTGCACCTTTATCTTACACCATACACAAAAGTCAACTCAATATAGATTAAAGACTTAAGATGTAAGAGCTGAAACTGTAAAACTCCTAGAAGGAAACATAGGGAAAAATCTTGACATTGGTCTTGGCAATAATTTCTTAGATATGACACCAAAATCAACAAAAGCAAAAATAGACAAGTGAGACTAGATCGAACTAAAAAGCTTTTGTACAGCAAAGAGAACAATCAGAGTGAAAAGTCTGCCTATGGAATGGGAGAAAACATTTGCAAATTATATATCTGATAAGGTATTAATATCCCAAATATACAAGAAACTCCAACAAACCAAGCAAAAAAATAAATAAATAAATAAATAATGGGCAGAAGGCCCAAATAGATGTTTAACCAAAGAAGTCATACAAATGACCAACCAGCATATGAAAAAATGCTCAACATCACTAATCATCAGGGAAATGCAAGTAAAAGCCACAATGAGATACCACCTCAGACCCATTAGGATGGCTATTACCAAAAAAATCACAAAATATAACAAGTGTTGGTGAGGATGTGAAGAATTTGGATCCCATGTGTCCTGTATTGATGTAAAATGGTACAGTCACTATGGAAAACAGTATGGAAGCTCCTCAAAAATTAAAAATAGAATTACCACAGGATCTACCAATTCTATTTCTCAGTATTTATCCAAAACAATTGAAATCAGAATCTTGAAGAGGTATCTGCACTCCCATGTTTGTTGCAACCTTGCTTACAGTAGCCAAGTTACAGAAACAATTGAAATGTCCATTGATGGGCAAATGGATAAAGAAAATGTGGTGTACAATGGAATATTATCCAGCCACAAAAAAGAAAGAAATCTTGTTATATGCTGCATGAATGGACCTTGACAACACTGTGCTAAGTGAAAGAAGCCAGTCATAGAAGGACAAATACTGCATGGTTCCACTAATATGAATTATCTAGAGTAGTCAAAGTCATCGCAGCAGAATGTAGAATGGTGGTTGCCAGGGGTTGGGGGAACTGGGAAAAGGGGAGTTGCTGTTCAATGGATATAAAGATTTCGTCGTGCAAGAGGAATAAGTTCCAGAGATCTCCTTTATAATGTTGTGTTTATAGTTAGCAATGCTGTAATGAACACTTAAAAATTTGTTAAGAGGGTAGATCTTATGTTTTGTATTTTTTACTCCAATAATAAGTTAGTTTAAAAAGTTAGAAGAGAGGGGTGAATAGGTTGGTAGGCGGCCAACAGAGTCTTCCAAGGAGGTGTGTACCAATCCTGACCTACTAACAGTGTTTTCTCTTGGGTGCAGGGTTTTGAGGAAACTTTCACTTTCTTGGGATTGGTCCTTTCCACCTGATCATATATGATGACAGTAAAATTGGTGTTTCCTATTTGAGAAAAGATAAAAGAGGGTCCTGGCTTTTATTTACTTCTCCATGGAGCCTGCCTTGGCTCCCAGGCCCTCTCTGATCCTTTCCTTCTCTGAAGACTGGATGTTTCAAGGGCAGTGTCATGCAATTTACGATTTCAGTCTAATACTTATTGTTTTGTTGGCTGCTATGTCTTGTGTATTCATTTATCTTCTACCCCCAACTGAGTTGTAAACTCTTTGATATCAGATACATTTCTTCTTGATCTCCAGGGGATCCAGGGCTGAGAACCTGGGTGGAACACAATAAATACCCATTAAATGATTTATGGTGTGGCCTATTTCTGGGCCAGCCCTGGGAATAGGGGGTAAGGCATGGTCATTTGCTATCAATCAGTTTCTGAAAATATACTATCATTTTTTTGCTTGGATCCCTGATGATAAGACACAAGTCAAAGAACCAAAATTTTACCAGGTGATAGGAATTTTTCCAAGTGATAGGAAGCAAATAATTATGTAATCAAGACAAGTCATAGTTGTGCTATTCTATAATGTTCTCATTGAACAAGTCTGTATCTCAGGAGACTTTTGCATGTTAATAGACCATGGGCTTTGCGAAAACTTCTTTCTGGTGGTCTACAGCGTGTGGATTCAAATCCTTAATGTTTTAGTTACCTGAAGAATTCTAAGTTTTCCAATAATACGCTTTAAAGAAAAATAATGCCTCAAATGAGTGTTGTGTAGTTAAGCATATTTACTTAACATGATGCTTTTTACCTTTCAAAGTCTTTTCACCTACATGACAAAATGTTCCAAGTGAAAAGGACTTTTGACAGCATGACTCCAATCCCTTTAGATACTAGAGAAACTGAGGCCCAAACAAGGGAAGTGCTTTTCCAGGATACACAGTTAATTATTGGCAGTACTGGACTAGAATCTGGAAGGAATGCCTCTGACCTTTACCACTTTGTCAGGCTGCTTTGAACATCTTGTTTCCTGGAAGGGTTATTGCTATTTTGATTATTTAGTAGAGTTGTCAGGGGAAGCCAACTAATTAAGCAAGATGTGAAATGTTAGGATTAACCTGTATGTTTCACTGAGAATGAGTGTACTAGACACTTTCTGGAGGAGATGCTAGACAAAGAGTTTGAGGTGGTGGGAACTTGAATTCAAGACACCAGAGGGACACACCTAGAGGGTAAAGGCCCTGGTAAGGAGGATGGATGGACAAAACCTGGAGGAGAAAATAGCACCTCTGCCACAATTGTACTACATGAACCAGATGTTGGAGGTGGGTATCTTCCCGTGTATTATCCAGATAAGATGGGCTTCATCTTCCGTCTTATGTCATGTGGGAAGTCAAATGCCTTCACCAAGGTTTTTGTAAATTCCTGTTTATACTCATTTCTAGTTACTTCTGGCTAGGTTCTGTCTTTGCCAAATTATCACTTTATGCTGTGCTTTTTGAAACTGCCTCATTATTCTGCCCTGGGATTGACCCAAATGTGAGAAACAGACCTGCCTAATTTATTCCCTTCTAGGAAAGAAAACTCTCCAAGATTACTGAAATGTCATGAAATGAGAAGGTTGGATGTTATATGTCTCCCTGTGGAAGTTTCCAACACCACTTATGAAGTAGTCTTGCCAAAAGAAATCAAACCAGAATCCAATCAACCCTTTCAATGGTTGGTGGATTTTTTCTGGCAAGACTACTTTATAAGTGGTGCTGAGTACTCCCATCAAGAAGGATTTGCTTCAGAATTGTCTAGTGAGGAAAAAAATGGGCGGGTGCAGCGATGAAGCAAGATTGACCATGGGTTGCTAAGTGCTGAGGCTGGGTGATGGGTACATGGGGCTTCACTGTGCTATTTTCTCTCTTATACATTTGAAAAATCCATAATTAGTAATTTGAAATTATTATCCTAATGTAGCATAAACAAAACAAAACAATCAACGCACATGAAGCAGCTCAGTGAGATGGGCTTTTATTAAAAACTCCGAGGTAATAGTGAGAGAAGTTACAGCAAACTTCATATAGTGGCTAATTTAATACTGAATATTAGCATTCTTTCTCTTCAGAAAAAACCTCCCCAGCCTTCTCAACTACTCAAAATCCAGGTGCCTGCTGTGTTTGTTTTCCACTTGCCTACCACCATTTTCCATCTCTAATGATGCCAGAAAAAACTCCTATTGTATTATGTAGAGCAATTCAGTGGTCCCTAGCCAGGAACTCAACTCTGGACTTTCCTTTGCAAATCCAATGGTCCAGGGATGCACTGTGCAACAGATGCTTCCTCCAGGTTTTGCAGCTTTCCCATGTATTTGATAAGGTAAAGATGAAGTAAAAGTAACTGACCAGGCAATGCCTCAAAACACAGACCATATTTTCCCCTCCTGTAATGGGTCTGAGGATAGATGGGAAGTCCAGCTCCGCTCCATGAGATCATTCAGAGAAGCAAGTTCCCTCCATCTGCTGCTCCCCCACCCCTGACTGGAGAACTGCCAGTGAGAATGAAAGGATGTGTGGAAGAGTCCACACTGGTGTCCACAGGACCAGCCCAGGAAGTTGCATGTGTGGCCACTACTCATATCCCATGGACAAGAACCTAGTTACCTGGCTCCACCAGCTATGCAGAGCCTGAGGAGTGGCCTGGCCTGCAAGCTTGTGCCCAGCTACAGTTCTGCCTCCATGGCAGAGGGGAGAACGGATTCTGGAATACGTCTCTCTGCTCTCAGTCTATGCAAGGAGAACAGAGGTTTCATCTGTACTGATATTATAACCAGGGTATGGAATGCATGACTGGTGGGCTGGGATCAAATGCAGCTTTAGTTTGTCCCCTATTCCCCTTTCAAGGTTACTCAGTGCTGGTGACTTTGCCGTGCCCCTGGGTGAAACTGTCAGACCCACAGCCTCTCTTTCTGTTCTTGGGTAATAGACCATTGTAGGGACTTTAAATCCCAGTTCAGCAATTTGAATGTCGAGTCCCAGATCTTACCTCAATTTGGTGACAAATATTTGCCTCTCTCCCAGCTTGGCCCAGCTTTAAGGACATGAGTGGCTTTCTCTTAGTTTCTCCACCTTGGCAGGATGATGCTGGAGGTGCTGGAGGAGGGAGGGTCCATCTCACTCCTGCTGGCTTTGCAGGGAGCTGGCTTCCTGTTCCCTGGGCCTGGCAGGTATGGAGAGCTGACTGCATCCCTCGTGCTGGGATTTGGAAAGCTCTTCAGAGCTTCCCAGGTGGGTTCCTTGACTGCATCCCTTTGAGCAGCCCTGTGCTCCTCTGTTCTGGGTAGCAGCTAGAGACACCTCTGGCAGCCCGAGGAATGCAGTCTTATCCTGACTTCTTGTGGCTGAGATCAAGATCTCTCTGGCCCCCTAGGTGGCCCTGTTGACCCTAAGATATCCCACAGCTGGCTTTCTCTCCCATGGGGCACACACTGGATCCTTGGGAAACACATCCCCTGCTCAGCACCCTTCTTGCTCAGAACTCTTCTTGCTCACCTTTGACCTCTTGGTTTTTCAGGTGGGAGTCGGGACCCAGCCCTCCCATCCTCCAGCTGTAGGGGCCACAGAGCCTGTAGCAGGGGGTGGGATTCACAGCACAGTCTGTGGTATATAATCTGTGGTCATATCTGGATCAGAGTGCTCCAAAGATATAATTACTTTTTGTATTCATGGAGAGGGTGAGAGAGTTCTTAAGCAGTGGACAAGGTTCTGCATCCGACCTTGATAAATTCCGCCTTTGGGGATGTGTCTACAGATTCTATGGTATTGGGTATCTGTTGTCTTGGTGCTCAGTTAAAATGGAAGCAGGAAGATTTCTGCCCTTCTAGCCTGTAATATAAAAGAATCATGCTGCTTGCAAAAGCAGCCACAGTCAATTTGGGTTTTAAATAACAATTTTTATCTCCCCGCTACCGTTGGAAATCCCCTGCATATAGCCCTGGCTACAGAAGGCAGACCCAACAGGGAAGCCATCATGGATGTCCTGCCCGTCTGTCCCCTGCTTCCCCACAGCCCATGACTGAGAAAGCATAAAGCATTGGTGGGACCATGTCTTTGAATAGGATTTTTGTCTCCAGCTTTCTGTGATGTGGCTCACCAGGGGAAATAACATTTTCATATTGTTATGACCTGTGAATATTTTCTTTAAAGTCAGCAAAACAAATCCTTCAGATTCTGTGCACTTTTGCTGCCACATAAATTGTAATTATTAGGTCAGTGGAGTGGTAGCAGTTACGGGGAGCCCAAGGCTGGGATTGTTAGAGCCAATTAGTGCAGACCTTGTATTAATATGTTTCCACCTTCACATGCCAAGCCCTGTACAAGGCTATGCATTAACACAAGGATTTATGTTGCAGCGGGCAGGGGCTGAGTCCCACTCCAGCCACATGGAGACGCAGTGAGCCGTCTTTGTGCCAATATGTCTTTGAGCCTTAGAGCCTAAGTCTAAAGGAATGAGTTCAGCATACACTGACCAAGAACCTGCTGTGTGCTTGCTACAGAGGGTGACAAGTTTAGTGATGAAGAAGACAGCTTCTCACCCAAGGAGCTCGGAGGCAGAGCCTAGAGAGGAAGGGAATTATATACACCTACTACCAGCAGCCCACTCCTAAGACCACTGTGGACTCCTCAGCATGTCTGTACGGCTAGGTAGGTTCATCCACCTCCTCTCGCCTGGGTGTTCCTCCTTACCTGGCTTCTGGAATCCCACTGCCCACCTTTCACTGCCCCTCCCACTGTCCTTCCATCTTAGGGTCCCAGGGCTCCCCCTCTTTGAGTCCAATCCTCAGCTCTTGTCATTTGTGAAGGTCCCTTCACTGACCATACAGATGGCTGCTGAGAGTGCACCTGTGGGGCAGTGAAGAAAAGGGGATTTGCCAGCAGCTCAGAGCTTGGCGAGCAGGTGTCCTGTGAATCACTCTTCAGAGGGAGGTGGCTGGGAAAAGCCCACCCAGGATGTCACTGGGTTGGGCTCCTGTACAGGAAACCAAGCAGAGATATGTGATTGTCTCAGGAGTAAAGCTGTTTTCTCCTGTAATTCCATCACTGTAGAAAGACACCTAAAACTGAATTCAATTTACCTCCTTGAGGTGCAGAGTGCTTTTTTCCCCAACATATTCTGTATGAGCAAGTTGCCCACAGGAAAGCATTCAGTGTACCAAGTGCTGTGGGACACAGCAATGGGAATTTCCAACTCAGCAGCTAGTCACTGGAGGGTCAGGACTGAGATCTGGCTCTACTGACTGCAAAGACCACGTTTCTTCCCCTTTATCATATTGCCTGCCTGCTAGTGATACTTTCTAGTTGTTTCTTACCTACATACTTTTCAGTTCATTATTATTTGTTGTAATAAAAAACAGCATTTACCATCTTAACCATCTTTAAGTGTACAGTATAGTAATGTTACCTATATGCACATTGTTGTGTGACAGATCTCTAGAGCTTTTTTGTCTTGCGAAACTGAAATTCTACACCCATTGAAAAACTCCTTTCCCCATTCCTCCTAGCCCCTGTCAACCACTATTCTACTTTCTGTTTCCAAGAGTTTGACTACTTTAGATACCTCATATAAGTGAAATCATGTAGTATCTGTCCTTTTGTGAATGGTTTATTTCACTTAGCATAATGTCTTCCAGGTTCATCTAAGTTGTAGCATATGACAGAATTTCCTTCTTTTTTTAAGATGAGGTCTTGCTGTGTTACTCAGGCTGTCCTCAAACTCCTGAGCTTAAGTGATCCTCTCACCTCAGCCTCCCAAGTAACTGGGACTACAAATGTGAACCTCTGCACCTAGTAGATTTCCTTATTACTTTAAGGGTGAATAATATTCATTCCATTGTATATCACAAGAGTTCCAGTTTCTCCACGATCCTCACCAACTCTTGTTATTTTTATTTTATTTTTTTGATAGTGGCTATCCTGATAAGTGTGAGATTTTATGGTTTTGATTTTCATTTCCCTGATGATTAGTGATGGTGAGCATCTTTTTGCTTGGTGGCCATTTGTATGTCTTTTTGGTAATGTCTGTTCAAGTCCTTTACCCATATCTTAATCTGGCTTTTTTGTTTGTTTGTTTGTTTGCTATTGAGTTGTAAGAGTTCTTTCCATATATTTTGGATATTATTAGCCCCTTATCAGATACGGGGTTTGCAATATGTTCTCCCATTCCATAAGTTGCCTTTTCACTCTGTTGATCATTGCCTTTGTTGTGCAAAAGTTTTAAAGTTTGACAGCCCCATTGGTCTCTTTTTGCTTTGGTTGCCTGTGTGTTCGATGTTCTTAGAAATAAGGATTCAGGTACAAGTAGTTCATTCAGGAGGGCAGGGAAGACTTGCAGGAAAATGATGCAAAAGAGAAACTGCAGAATGATCCTTCCCAATGGGTGGAGGAGCTGGGTATTTGTGCACCATTTCCTGTCAGTCATTGGTTGGGGGTTGCTTGTGGGGGATGTTAATTCCTTGGCACTTCTGATTTGCCATGCAGGGAAGCAGAACAGCATTCTGTGGTTCCAGCAAAACCTCCAGGTACAGAGATGCAGATGCTGGCAGTTTGGTAGCTTTTTGGAGCACTTGAAGTGGTGGGGTTTAAACAAAGCAAGTAGAGCATTGGCAGCATCTGCCACATCCCAAATAATCACAGGTCCTGGGTGCTAGTACTGATTCTGTTTGCATTGCTGTAAAGGAATACCTGAGACTGAGTAATTTATAAAGAAAAGAGATTTATTTGGCTCATGGTTCTGCAGGCTGTACAAGAAGCATGGCACCAGCATCCACTTCTGGAGAGGCCTCAGGAAGCTTCCAATCATGGCAGAAAAGAAAGGGGCGCCAGCATATGTAGATCACATGGCAAGACAGAGGAGGCAAGAGTTGGTGGGAGGTGCCTGGCTCTTTTAAATAATCAGCTCTCAGGAATAATTGCAGGAATTCATAGCTCAAGAACTCACTTATTACTGTGAGGACGGCACTAAGCCATTCATGAGGGATCCAACCCCATGACCCAAACACCTCCCACTAGGCTGCACCTTCAACACTGGGGATCAAATTTCAGCATGAGATTTGCAGGGGACAAATATCCAAACTGTATCAGTCACTAACAAGCTATTTGACTTTGGATGTCATGTGACCCTGTGCCTCAGTTTCCTCAAAAGCAAAATGGGAGATTTATAATATCCTCTTTCCAAGTAGAATACAAACTCCTTAAGGCCAGGCACTCTGCTTTGGACACTCTTTTCCAGGGTATGGGGCTAGATCATTTGCACACTTCATCTTGCTGCCTCTTCTGGAAATAACTTTAATCAAGACCTTTAGGAGACTTGGGACATGCAGAATGCGTGTCTTTGCAAAAGACATGACAATGTCACCATCCATGTGGCTACTTCTACACTAAGACATCTCTTGATGTTCTCAACACAGCTCTGGAAGCAGATTCAGTAGATGCTACTCGAGTCATCGGATGAAGCAGGAAATAGGGACACAGAGCTGTGTATGCACTAGGCGCTTACCAATGCTTGGCACAGCCACCGACTGAAATGTTCCCTATATTTTTGGCTGTATGGCAGGTGCTTGATCACAGATTCCCTATGTATGTGTCACTTTGAATAGATACATATTCTAAAGTGTCACCCACAGCCATTAAGTATGCAGAGATTCTCCTTGGAATGGGCCATTAACTACCATTTATGAACTGGTCTAAATCCCAAGAATGGTGCACCCAAGGATGACCTTGGTTCAGGTGTCAGTAAGTTATGCTGCACAGCATTTTGCTCATGCTGCAGTCCCTGGTCTGCAGGCGGGATAATTATCACACATTCAATAGGCATGTCCTTTCCATATTCATGGGTTTTCACTTCTTGGTTGTTTGCTCGCTTCCAAGTACTCTCTGAATTAGTCTCTCAATTTTTTTCTGACTTCTATAAAATGAAGGATTAATTTCCATCAGGAATCACCCATGTTTATAAATAATCTCCAAAAGTGACTTTTTGGCTGTTCAGCTTATATAGTTATTTTTGAGATGTGACAGGTCATGGTTATTACTTGGGACTTCTGAACAGGGAGCCTGATGAAATTATTCCAAAGTTAGAGGTGTGTCTTCATGGTTCCCATTTTGTCCTAAGATTGCAACATAAGAACACATGGCTGAAAAGTTTTTTTTTCATTTTGATCCATTCTCTCTTTCTCTGCATACTCTCCAGCCTCCTTCTAAGAAGATTGTGAGTTTGCCTCTCTCTCTCTCATATATATATATATATATGTCAACATGTGTGTATACTCAACTTGATTAAAAAAAACAAGAAGAAATTGAGGTCACAGCAAAATGAAGGTGTACACATAAGATCTCCAGGGCAGGAAAGGCTGGTAGGTACACAAATGCTGGTCCGAGGGTCTTAGGCAGATATGAGAGATTGTTACAGATTTGGCTCTTAACCTCTTAGCAGCCAAAGCAAAGAAACACTATCCACAGAACTCACCATGTCATTAGAGGATAAAATATGATTACTTAGCAGAAGCTCAGAGTTTTCTATTAGTAGGTGTACAGGTTTTTACAAAGGGCAGCATATCACACTGTCCTGGATAGAGCTATGATGAAATGCGGGTGGGTTTGTGCTGTGGGCTGTGTGTAGGGCGTGGCTGCTGTGTCTGTGTGTTGTGGGGGAAGGTTCGGGAGCTCTCTAAGGAGCTAAGGTCCATGGGAATGGGAGTGGGCACTCACACTGAGTGTGGTGGTCCTGTGTAGCTCAGACTGAAAGAGGACTTGGAGACCACCTTCCTGTGCAGGCCAGCCTGGACCTCTGACACACTCGTAACATGGCCCTGGCTGGGCTTGGTGGTTCACACCTGTAATCCTAGAACTTTGGGAGGCCAAGGTGGGCGGATCACCTGAGGTCAGGAGTTTGAGACCAGCCTCACCAACATGGAGAAATCCCATCTCTACTAAAAATACAAAATTAGCCAGGCATGGTGACGCATGCCTGTAATCCCAGCTACTCGGGAGGCTGACGCAGGAGAATCACTTGAACCTGGGAGGCGGAGGTTGCAGTGAGCTGAGATTGCACCATTGCATTCCAGCCTGGGCAACAAGAGCGAAACTCCGTCTCAAAAAAAAAAAAAAAAAAAAAAAAGAGGGCCCTGAGGAAGCACATGGCTGGGCTGCACCTGAGACTTTTCCTGGCCTCCATAGATGCCCCTGATTGTCTCCTCTTGCCCTGCACGGCCTGAAGGAGTTCCAGAGTTTCCCCAGTACTTGAGAGGCCTAGAACACATAAGTTGGAGGTCAGAGCCCATCCCCCACTGGCATCCTGTGTCTGACTCTCCACAAAAAGGAGGAAAGCAGGTACCAGACATGCCAGGGAGGTGTAGGCTGGCATGGAACAGCCGTTTTCTTAGCATCATCATCAACTTGTTGATGACATTTGTTCAGATGCATCCGGGCGCATGAAATGATGTGGCTGGGCTCATCTTCTCAGCCACAGACTGATCTCAGGCCTCTTGGCAATCTCTTGTGAAGTGAAGAGACTTGAAGGATCTTTGGCTCTTGAGCATGTGCATCAAATCTGTCCCCCGAAGGCTAACATGCCTTGGTTTCTCCCTAATTGACAACCTCCACCAACAGTTTCTCCTTTGCTCTGATCATTTACCTGGGATTCTTTTCAGTTTCCAGAAATAATGTTTTGAGATTGCAGCTCAGTTTCTGGCATTGCAGATAAGCAGCTTTTTTCAGGCTGGGCCTTGGGAACCTTGGCAGCAGCATGAACTGAGGGATGCCCGTGGCTGTGACTTTTGTGATGAGCGTGGCCTATGGTAGCTTCATCAGACGCTGCTACAGAAACTCCTTGTTGGCTATGCTTTTCGTGATTACTGTGGTCCTGGTAGCTTTTGACAGCAGCTGTTCCGGATGGATCAAGGCTGTTAGGGAAGTTCTGTTTCAAAGAGACAACTCAGACTCAGAGATAATTTCTCTGCAGGACTGATCAGGCCTTAAGATATGAAATGTGTTTATTGGGCAGCTGCCAAGTGCTTCCTGCTGCATAACACCGCCTGGGGTGTGGAGAGCTTTATGTAAACTTCAGAGAGCTTTTCCTGACTTAATTTCCACCATGCCTCTGTGAGGGAGTACATCAGCTAGAGCAGGTTTGTTTGCAAGTGACATGAAAGACTCCAGCTGACTTGATCTACGAAGGGGAGTTACTGGCTGGTTCATGTCACTGATATACTCAGCGGTAGTCCTGATTCAGGTGAAGCTTGATCTAGGGCTCAACAACTATCCCTAAGGTCCTGTCCCTAAGGGACAAATATTTTCCTTGTTCCTGCTCTGCCTTCCTGGACTAGGCTTCTTTCCTGAGGTTTATACCAAAGGCTGCTAGCAGCCCAGGAAAGCTTGCAGTTTCAAAATAGTTGCTGGAGTTCTAATCCTTACAACCTCTGATTATGTCATCCAGTGGAAGAGAGAGGGTCTCCTCTAGTAGTTTTTACAGAGCAGGGATACAGTCTCTATTCCCACAAAGCCCCGGAAAGTCTCCTTGCATATCCTTGGCTCTGATTAGTTTGTGTGTCCATCCTTGGGCCAGAAGCATGGAACTCTCTGACTGACTTAGGGACCCTCTCCTATGCTGGGGGTGGGTTTAACTTTATCAAGTCACAAGGCTAAGAATGGGAAGGAAAACAAAAGATTCTGTTCACGAAAGAGGGGAGTTTGTCCGCAGACCTGCGAAAAATGTCTGTTGGCTATAGGACAGTAAGAAGAGGCTTATACCCAGTCAGCAGAGGAGAGCCTGGGCTCGTCCAGGGTCATATAACAGGGGGATGGCGCTCCTGGGGGTGATTTTTTTTTTCTCCGCAGTTACCCTGTCAGTTCATTGATGCCCCAGGCCACTGATTTTATTTTTTCCTACTGTTTCTCCAAGATCCAGTATAATGCAATGCCCTTAGATGGTGCTTACCCAGTGTTTGTTGACTGACTGGAAGAGGGTAATTAGGGAAGTGTGGAGGGACATTGCTGCTGGAACTGGTGAAGCTCAAGTGGTGATTGAAATGGAGACCCAGGAAGTGCATCTGAAGGGATCTTGAAAATCTCTAAAGCAGCTAAGAACCTGGGCTTGCTCAGTAGAGAGTGAGACGTGCTGTTGTAGAAGGTGGGTGACGGTGAAAGGAAGGGAGCAGAATGTGAGCTGAGCTGGGGAGGCGGTTGCTGGGAAAGCCCTGGAGGAGGTGGCAAGCGCGGCTGCGCCTGCTCAGGTGAGAGCCTGGGCCGGACCCTGCATGGCACCGCCTCCCCATCAGCCCTGCACCAGACCCCTCTCTCTAGCACTGTGAAGAAAGACGGGACTGTTTTGCAAGTTAAGGCACAAGAGATAGAAGACACTCACAGCTGAGCAACATTTTTAGGACCTGTGGTGGTTAATGTCTTTGGAGCTAAATAGTGAAACATGGGTGGAGTTTTGGGTCCTGTGCTTTGAACAGAGCAGGGCACAGAGACTGTTGATGACATTGACTTGTTTGCCTACCATGACGGTGGGGCTTGGGGAGGGTGAACTGCAGCAGCAGCCACGCGGACCCCGCAGGTTTCCCAAGGCATGACATGGGTGGGGTAGTGGACGCCCCCTTCAAGGCGTCTGCCACTGTAGATGTTCTAGGAACGGGATGCCCTCAGGGAGTGCTGCACCCTGGCCTGCGAGGGCCCCTGCAGCCTTCTTGCTTGCTCCAGGTGTGGTTCATGTCCCTGTTTTAGCAGTAGAACGTGGTCTCCTGGGTCCCCGCACCATCGCGGAGGCACTCCCCCTGCATGACTGCTTCTCAGGGCTCCATGCTGGCATTTGTTCTTCCCTGGTTTGAGTTTCCTTGACAGGAAACCACAGGAGAAGCCCTGGGCTGGTGTTCTCTCTCATTAGGCCTGCCTGCACCTCAGGTGAAGTGAGAAATCTCTCAGCCTCCCAGCCCCCAGACCCGTGGCTCCCTGTCTTCCAACCGCCTGGTGGGATGCCCCCTCAGGGCACGTTGGCAGTGCTGGCAGGGGATGCCTCCAGGCTCCTGTCTTTCTGATGTGCCACATTGACCTTGGGTGACCTCTGTTGAGCTCAGCTCCACTGAGAGCCACAGGGAGAGAATAAGCCAGGCATGACATCCCGGCTGTGTGGTGGCTGCCTGCTCCCCAGGGAGCAAAGGACACTTGGGGTAACTTTTCAGCCCCCGTCTTGGGCTGACAAGGCCCTGGAGACTTTTTTCCATTACGCTTGAAGAATTTTAAACAATGTTGCACATGACGTCTTCTGTGTATTAGGAGAATAAAGGTTGGTTTAAACCTAGAATTTTTTCAGAGCTGAAAGAATATTAGTCATCTTTTGAGTTTACCCTGGTCATGTCCCAGCTGAGCCTGCACTGGTAAGCTGCAACCCAGAAGGTAGGTGGGCTCCTTATATACTTACTCCTTTCACAAAGTCCTGGAGGTGATTTAAAACAGGAACACATAACATAAAACAATGTAAATATAAGAAGAAAGATTTAGGTCCAAGGAAAATAAGAACAAGTGACATATGTTGAGCCTGGAGAGAAGGCAAGAAGAGCACCCATCACAGGTCCTGCCTTCTTGCTTTCAATTGAGCCTGACATTTGATGCTGAGCTCCCTGGTGGCCAATGTGAAGAAGAATTGGTTTCACTTTTCTCTTCAGAAGGAAATGCAGGTGTTGTGTTATGTTCCTTAAGCACAATATCTTGTTTCATCTTCATAACAGTCCAATGAAGGAGGTTTCCTTAGATCCAGTTTATAGATGAAGAAATGGAATCTCAGAGATTGTAGAGGACCCTCAGCTACCCAGCTGTTAGGTAGTAGGAATAAGACTGGAACCCAGTTCTGTCTGGTTAGGCCATGCTCTTGACTAGGAGGCTGCACGTTTCTGAGGTGAAGGAGCAAGCAGATGGCACCGCTACTGTTATTTTATGCTCTTAAAGAATCCAAACTGACGCCCTGGCATGGATGAATGCTCCTCTTGCCTGGATTTTCAGAGGGTGCCTCCAGAACCAACCCAGGCCTCTGCACAGGGCCGGCATGACTCAGCTCTCAATGACCTGCAGTCACAGATAAATCAGTGATGCTGTGTCCCCAGAGAAAGGCTAGGAGACACCCTCTTCCCCTTACCTCCTCCTGGGCTCCCCAGTTCTTGTCTACATTTTCGTAGGGTCCTTCTAAGGTGAATGCCCTTGCTTTTCATAATCCCAATTTCTCCAGAGGGCATTGTAATTTTGATGGGGAGGGTGGATAGTGTCATCATGGGCTGCTATTTGAGTGAGGGACACATACATTTGGATGAAAGCTGGCTTGCTCAGTGAATGAACGAGTAAAAGTAAGCCCATAGCGAACTGTAGATCAGGCTTCTATCATCCTTTTGTCATGCGGTGCAAAGAGCTCACCTTTTCTTTGAGCCAAAGAGAGCAAAGATAAGCTTCTGGGACAGGGCATCCCAAAGGGAGCACCCATGACTTTGGGGGAGAAGACGGACTATGGGGACAGAATGGGGCACAGGAGACAGTGGTTCAGGGGGCAGCAGGGCCATACTCTGCAGAGACTGGGTGGGAAGGGTCTCCTCCCTCCAGCCCATGGAGTCCCGGGAGCACCCATGACTTTGGGGGAGAAGATGGACTGTGGGGACAGAATGGGGCACAGAAGACAGTGGTTCAGGGGGCAACAGGGCCATACTCTGCAGAGACTGGGTGGGAAGGGTCTCCTCCCTCCAGCCCATGGAGTCCCTGGCCCTCCTCTGCCACCTGCCAGAGGCAACAAGCAACCATGAGAACCTGGAGAAAGGGGTCGCCGGCTGAGCTGTCCTTTGCTCTCCTGCCTCTGCTGGGGCCTCAACACCTGTGTCCAGAGCCTCTCCACCCACCTGCACTCTCTGGGTCCTCCTCTTTTGCATCAAGGTGTGGTCATCATGCCATCAGGTCAGGCCCTGCCCACCCCTCAGAAATAAACGGACACCATCTGCTGCCAGGGTGTGGAGGGCAGGCAAAGGCAACCAGGCAGAGATGAGAGGGGAAGAAATGGACGGAAATGCTCCCAGAGTTATTCTAATCAGGAATAGCCATGCCGCTACCTCGACAGTGTACACAATTTGAAGAGCACACAGGGAGAGATATAACATGAAGGAGGCTCTTAGCCGTGTTAATGCTCCCTTCAGTGGTGTTAGCTGCACAGCAGATGGTAGACGGCCAACAGAACTGGAGGAAATCAAGTATCCTTCATAGCTCACTTCAGGCAGCGTCTGGGGTGATTTTATTATTTATAGCGTCATGGAAACAAGCTGTACTGCACCTCAGTGTGCTGTTACTTAATTCTTTTCTCCTCCTGAACGCAGTGTTGGTGTACTCCATATGGTTATTACAGGTAGATTTGTTTCTCTTCCTGTATATATTTATTTCTGGAGTAACTAGCTTTTGGCAGCTCCACCTGAAAATTAATTTGAAGCATTAAAGAGAGGTAGTGGGAAGAAGCAACTCCATTCAGACCTAGAATAGATATGTTCTGTTTCCATGGACTCTTCTTACGTGGGCCATTTAAAGGATGCGAAACCACGGGAGAACCTCCCTGGACTAACTTGGCTCAGGTGAGAATCGGTGTGCAAAAATCCCAACAAATGAGTGTTGATTCCATAGACAGCTGGAGCCCTTGCTTGAATTTTGCTTTATGGAATCATTATTTTAAATGAAGTTCCCTTAGTGCTGTGAAGTCACCGATGATGCTGAGAATGGGCAAAGACAGCAGAGAAGATGAGGGCCCAAGGTTAAGAACTGCTGAACTTTAAGAGAGTAAAGAAAGAAAGATAATTGGAAATAATGGGGCTCTGTACTATGGTGCTAATGAACTCCTTATGGATCCCTTATTAAACAATTAATTTTTGAAAATAACTAGTTTGCAATATTAAAAATGTAATATGTATTCGTGACTACATTCAAATTATCCAGAAGGGCATAAGGTGAAGAGTATAAATCTCCCCTTCTGGCCCCTCTTCCTCAAGTTACCATGATTCATTGCTTGTTGCTCATCTGTCCAGAAATTTCCTATGCAAGGGAAAGGATGTATTGCTTCCTTTGAAAAATCACAAATGGAATCACGCTGCATGGAATGCTCCACAACTTGCTTTTCAGTTCATAGGTGATCTTGGAGATCTTCCCACATGTAAAGATTGGCATCATTCTCTGAAATGGCTGTACACTATTTCATTGCATGGATGTATCATAACTTTTCTAACTTATTCTCTCTTAAAGAATATGCATGCTGGTTGGGCGCGGTAGCTCACGCCTGTAATCCCAGCACTTTGGGCGGCCGAGGCGGGTGGATCACGAGGTCAGGAGATCGAGACCATCCTGGCTAACACGGTGAAACCCCGTCTCTACTAAAAATACAAAAAATTAGCCAGGTGTGGTGGCGGGTGCCTGTAGTCCCAGCTACTCTGGAGGCTGAGGCAGGAGAATGGCATGAACCCGGGAGGCGGAGCTTGCAGTGATCCGAGATCGCGCCACTGCACTCCAGCCTGGGCGACAGAGTGAGACTCTGTCTCAAAAAAAAAAAAGAAAAAAAGAATATGCATGCTGTTTCTCGGCTTTTGCTATCATGAAGAATGCCGCAAGCAACATCTTCATCTATCTTTGTGTATATCTACAAGTCTAGCTAACAGATAAATTCATCCTGTTTGGCACAATTTAGCTTGATCTCCAACAATTTTTCTTGCTAATCAGAAATGCCTGATTCTCTCTGCACCTTTCTAATATTTGCAACATCACAGGAGAAAACAATTCTTTTGTTTATTCAGTCACTCAAAGATATTAATTGAGCACCTACTATATGGCAAGCGTTGTGTGTTATGTTCCAAGAACACGATGAATATAAACAAGTAAATTTTTTTTTTTTGAGATGCAGTTTCGTTCCTGCTGCTCAGGCTGGAGTGCAGTGGCGTGGTCTCGGCTCACTGCAACCTCCGCCTCCCAGCTTCAAGCGATTCTCCTGCCTCAGTCTCCCAAGTAGCTGGGATTACAGGCACCTGCCACCATGTCCTGCTAATTTTTTTTGTATTTATAGTAGAGACGGGGTTTCACCATGTTGGCCAGGCTGGTCTCGAACTCCTGAACTCAGGTGATCCACCCGCCCGGGAGTCCCAAAATTCTGGGATTACGGGTGTGAGCCACCACGCCCGGCAAAAAAAGTGAATTTTTTATTGGGAAAAAAATCGGTTTCCCAATGGAGCTTATGGTCCAGATGAGGAGACAATAATTTAAAAACCACATAGATAAAATCAGTTTCCCAATGGAGCTTATGGTCCAGATGAGGAGACAAATATTAGTTTAATAATCACATTTTATAAGTGCAAAAATACATGATAGGAGAACATATAAAAGAGAGAGCTAATGTAGTGAGGGAATAGGCTGGGGGGTCAGGACAAGTTTCCCCCAGAAAGGGAGAATTGAGCTGTAATCTGAAAAATGAGTAGAAGCTCATTAGGGGAGGGAGGAAAGGAAGAGGAGAGGGAAAAGCATCTCAGGGAGAGGGGGTATACCAGGTGCAAAGGTCCTGAGAGAAGACCCAGATGGGAGGAGTTAGGAAAGAGTGATGGGTTCAGGGCCCACACAGGACCCATTAAGGATTTAAAACCTTTCCCAAGAGTGGTGGAAAACCTTTAAAGAGATTTAGATGGTGGAGAGATATAATCAAATTTGTGTTTTGAAAAGATCGCTGTGTTTACTTTGGGAGGGAGACAAGAGTAGAAGATAATTTATGTTGCTGTAATTTGCATCTATTTAATTTTGCGTGAGGGTGAACATTTGTTCTTATGTGATGGTCAATTGCCTTTCGTTTTCTTTGAATTGCCTGTTAATGGCCATCACACTTTTTTTCTACTGGGTTCATCTTCTGCTTATTGATTTATAAGAGCTCTTTGTGTATTAAAGAAATTAGTCTTTCATCTGCCAAGAGATATAATATTTTCCCTATTTTGTCTTTTGGCTATCTTTAGATACTTTTTAAAGTTGATATGGTCAGATTTGTCAATATTTTCTTTATGGCTTTTTAATTTTGTGTCAAGCTTATAAAGGCCCTCTCTCTGCTGAGATTATAAATGTTTGTCCTCATTTTTCCAGTGCTCTTGTTTTTATTTTTTATATTGTAGTTGATTTATCTGGAACTTATTTTTGATAGGAATTGAGTTAGAGATCAGGTTTATATATTTTTGCTAATTGCTGGCTAGTTGTACCATTACCAGTTTACAAATCCATTCATTTTTCTCACCAATTTGAAATGCTGTCTTTATCGCCTACTAAATTTTTATTTGTAAAATATGCATTTAGGTGTTACTTTATTCTGTCTACTGTATTTATTTTTGTCTATTCTTGAACAAGTACTAAATTAAAAGAATTACAGTAGCTTTGGAATATATTTTAAATATCTGGTAAGGTTCATCCTCATTTTTCTTTTCCTTTTTTCCCATGGCAATGCTGGCATGTTTCTTTCTTTGCAGGGCTCCCTGGGGGGATGAGGCAGCTAGCGTGGCTTCTGTCACCAGTTTGAAGGTGCTTGTCAATGGGGTCCCATCCCGTGTGTCCATTCAGCACCCTCTGGAGCACTGACCTATCTGCAGTTTGACCTGTGTTTCTCCACTTCTTGGCATCAAGGTGCTGCTGGGGTTACCATGTCTCTGCCTTGTTGTTTAGCAGCAGTAGAATCGACAGTTTCAAAAGCATCTTGGAGTTCCCTCCGCTTTCTTCCTTTGAAACACACAATGCTTTGAACACTCTGTGACCCGGCCAGCTGCATGTTTTCCCTTGCAGGCTTGCACCCAAGCTGGGCTTTGAACATTCGCAGGCACTGATAAAGTTGTTTAGGTTGTTGCCTCAAACACTGAAATATCACACATGTTGCTAAACATGGAGAAAGTGGCCTCAGCCCTGAGCTAAATGCCTTAAACCTTCATATAAACTCCATGACACTCGCTGGGAACACATCTGGGTAGAACATCTCCTATCTTGCTGACTGTTTAAAGGATGATGAAGCCCTGTGTATGTAAATTCTCCTAATAAATGCTTTAGATGGATCCCCCTGGGCGTTTAGTGTTTCCTTGGAATCCCAGCCAGCCCTACCTTGGGATGGTTTGGGGTAGTTCTTTCGGAAACTCTCATGCCACTGTTCCTGGGGTGACTCAGACTTTGCCTAGGCCATGGGGAGTGAGGAATGCAGGCAATCCTCAGCTTCTCTTACCTAAAGATAGGAAAACCAAATAGTGTCGGCAGTAACAGGGCTTCAGCTGTAGAACAAAGGGGGAAAATGTCATCTGGGCAGGCTGGACTGCAGACCTCTCCCTGACCTCTTATGCCGGTGCTGGTTTAGCTCAACCAGGTGCAGAGTCCCCGTTTTCAAATCTCCCTCAACAGAAAGAGCATGAACTTGAGAGTCAGGGACACCCAGGCTCAAGTCTGCCACCCACTTGCTCTGTGACCTTGTCCCTCTTAACTTCTTAGAGCTGCAGTTACTTCTCTGGACAATGGAGATAAAGAAGCCTGCTTCAAAGGGCTGTTCTGAGAAGAAGAAATAATATCTGTGTAACACCTGGCACAATGTAGCTGCTGAACAGTAACTATTGCTATTAAGCACATCACACATTTGTTTCATAAAAAATTTACTCTTCTTATAATGTCCAATCCCTTTTGTAACTTCTTTTTTTTTTTTTTTTTTTTTGAGATAGAGTCTTGCTCTGTCACCCAGGCTGCAGTGGTGCAATCTGGGCTCACTGCAGGCTCCACATTCCAGGATTCCAGGTTCAAGTGATTCTTGTGCCTCAGCCTCCCAAGTAACTGGGACTACAGGCGCATGCCACCACGTCTGGCTAATTTTTGCGTTTTTAGTAGAGGCGGGGTTTCGCTATGTTGGCCAGGCCGGTCTTGAACTCCTGACCTCAAGTGATCCACCTGCCTTAGCCTCCCAAATTACTGGGATTATAGGCATGAGCCACCGTAGCTGGCCCCTTTCTGTAACTTCTGATGGGGATTTAAATGCAGAGCCCAGATGGGAGTTGTCAGAGCCCCTCTGGTCACTGCAGGTCCTTTGTCGGCAGTATTAAATAAAAAGATGGGGGAAATATTCTGAAATAGGAAAGCAAATGGTGATTTATCATGTTCCAGATATCAGATTTTTACCCCGTGGATTTCACACCCCAAGCCCCCTCCCTATCCTGCAGGGCTGTGCAAAGGGGGCATTGCTGGGACAGCTCCAAAGCCCGCCTGCCCTGTGTCCTTTTGCAGGGGCATAGGCTCAATTAGCATGCAGAATCGCATCAGCCTGCATTTCTGGAATGAACTTTTATCCACTTCCTCGTTTCACAAGTTTAATTCGCTAAAACCGAGCCAGTGGTCTGGCGTAGATGGAAATGCTTTCAGAATAAAAATATCAGTTACTCTGCAAGCTTTTATGAAAAGTAAGGAAATGAAGTAACTAATGAAGTAAATCCCAAAGCCTGAAGTCTACCTTCCTGCCCACCTCTCCTTCTCAAAAAAAAAAAAAGGCACAAGAGAGAACAAAAAGGGGAAAATAAAAGAAAAAAAAATCAGAAATCAGACTTGGGTCAAAAGCAAACTCAAGTGATGGAGTTTTCCAAGCAGTTTGTGAAGCGTATTCTCTAAAAAGCCACCGATACTTTTAAATACCATGCCTAAAGAAGGTTGTAATCACCATGGTATATTTCATTAACAGAGAGGGTCACAAAGCATTCTGGTCAAAAGTAGATAATGTCATTCCGACAGAAATATGGAAATGCAGAGAGCTGGCTTTAGTCACATTGCTGCACTTGGATTTGGAGGTTGTGGCCCTTCCTTAGGTGATAAATACCAAGTGATGAGGGTGTGTGATGGATGGGCTTCAAAAGAGCAGAGGGCGAGGGGGCAGCGAGTGATGTGTCCTGGGACCCAGAGAGCTGGCACAGAGGGTGGTCACGCTTTGAGACATTAGGTGGAGATCAGCTGGGCCAGGCCCCCACCCCCAGCAATAGGGGACTACAGAGGCTCCCGAGAGGGCAGACCAGGCACAAGGAAGTGCAGCCCGGGCTCTCTTTGACCTTCCCATGGATGCAGGGCCTGGGATGCCTTCTAACATTCAGCATTTAGCTGCCTCTCCCCCTCTGATGGTGCCTGCTTCCTGTTCCCTTGCTTGACACTCTAGCAGCTCCTGTGGACTGGGGATGAAGCCTGCACTGCTGAATGCAAGGATGCACCGCTCTCTTGGGCCCCCCTCCTCTCCTGGGCCCTGCTGGCTCTCCCACTTCACCTCCCTGCAGCTGCATCCTGTTCCTGTCATCCTCCTGGCTAACGGGTTTGCTCCTCAGAACTGAGCTTAAGCTTCATGTTTTACAGGAAGTTTCTCTGGTGCTTCTGCCTGGCTGGAGAGCTCAAGGCTGGGCTGGAGACCCTCTCTGTGCCCCGGATAGCTACAAGCCTTCCTCCATCATGTCACTATCATAACAGGGCCCTGTGGCTGTCAGCTGGTTTGTCTGCTTCTCCTACTAGGTGTGAGCGCCTGTTTTTTCCGTCTCTACATTGCTGCCCCTGACATGGTGCCTAGAAATGGGAGAAGCTAAAAGGCCAGGTGTGGTGGCTCATGCCTGTAATCCCAGCACTTTGGGAGGCCGAGGCGGGCGGATCACGAGGTCAGGAGATCGAGACCATTCTGGCTAACACGGTGAAACCCCGTCTCTAATAAAAACACAAAAAATTAGCCGGGCATGGTGGCGCATGCCTGTAGTCCCAGCTACTCGGCAGGCTGAGGCAGGAGAATGGTGTGAACCCTGGAGGTGGAGGTTGCAGTGAGCTGAGATCGTGCCACTGCACTCCAGCCTGGGGGACAGAGCGTGAGACTCCGTCTCAAAAAAAAAAAAAAAAAAAAAAAGGGAGAAGCCTGTTGCAGGTTGGGCCTCCCAGGAAGCAGGCGCTGAGATTTTCAGCGGGCAGGGGGTTTGGTAGGGGAGCCCAGGGAAGCCACATCTGTGGAAGGAAGGGGAAGGCATCAGAAGAGGGCAGAGGAGAGGGAGCGGCTATGATGCAGGCCTGCCACAGTGAGCACAGCCCTGTGGGGAGTGCTGGAGCTAGATTGGCCCTTTGGAGATTTCCTTTCTTGGGCAGAGGAGGTCAGACCTCTCTGCTCCTGCCTGGATCAGTCACTGGGTGTGGGCCATGCTGAGAAGAGTGTAGCCTTAGGTGAGGGCTTTCAGCAGCGGAGGCAAACCCTGGAGGGGCTGAGAGCTCTTCACTCTGCCCACAGTGCCCTCACATCTGGAGCTACAAGTCCCCACTAAAGTGGGATCTGTGCAGTGCATGCACCATCCCCACAGAACCCAAGAACATCAGGAAGAATTGATGCATGCACGAGTCCAGCAGCCCAGGCTTGTTTTGGGATTCTCAGCCACATCTGTCCTCCTCAGACACCTTCTGTGCTCATTCATTTTAATATAGCAAATACCTGAGCACCAGGTGCTGTTCTGGACACTGGGACAGAGAGGGGAACTGGACAGACATGGTCTTTGCTTGCCCAGAGCCCATGTTCTAATGAGGAGACAGACAATAACTGCATCAACAGATGAGCAATGCAGTTCTCCTGCCTCAGGGCCCTGCAGAAAATGAAGAGCAAGATGGGAGGTCAGGGGACAGGAGCAGAGAGGGTGCTATTTTAGGAAGGAATGAGGTCAGAGTGCAAGGCAGGGACCAGGTCTTTGGTTTGAAAATCAAAATGAGGCTTTGATTTTATTGCAGGTACATTGGGAAGTTTTTAGAGTGTTTAAAGCAGGGAGTGAGCACTTATCTGATCTGTATTTTGAAGCGATCCTTCTTCTCACTGTTAGAATACGGGAGGCAGGGGAGAGATTGGAAGCCAAGAAGTTAGTTAAGAGGCAGCAGCAATACTAGGCAAGAGAGGGGTAGGGTTGGGGCAGGGGAGAGACAGCAAGGGGACAGAGAGGGCCATAGTGGGGGACATCGATTGGGTTGGCTGATGGACTGAAAGTGTCTCCTGAGGGAAACGAGGGCAGGAAGCTCCTGGGGGTTTGGTTTGAGGCACCAAGCATTCCATGGTGCTGCGTTCTAAAATGACGTGGAGCTGTTTCTTCCTCCTTTTCTCCATCATACATTTCCCATGGGAGGTCCCATTTCCTTGCAGTTAGAGTTTGCTACTTACAGGACAGATGAACCAAATCGCACTGATGTTACAAATAACTGTAAGGTGACTTATCCAGAAAATGTGTATGCAATGGTGGAAACTTAGGCAAACATTAGATCAGAGGATGGAATGTGAAAGTGTGGCAGCCAGCTACACTTGTGCACACAACCAAGTATTTTTTAAAGAATATTTTTTGTGGAGTCTGAGTGAGGATAGTGGTTATCTGGTCCTTTGCTGCTAAGAAAAGTTTGTGTTTTCACTACATTTTATCTCCTGCCCTATGTGGAAATACAAACAAATCAGATAAGTGCCAAAAGAAATAGGAAGCTAAGGTCAATTTCATGGAAATTTCTTAATGAGTGAGCTGTAGAAACAAAGGACAAATATTTGAGTCACAACTTGATTGGCATTTCACAGCCTCTGCGGTGACTGGGGCGATGGCAGACGCTGCTTTCAAGCTCTTCAGTCTCAGGGCAGATCTCAAGAAAAGTGTGAGCTGTGAAACTCATCTGGGAGGCTGTGCAGGAGATGTGGCCACTGGTGGAGCTGGGGGACATCATTGCTGAGGGACAGTGGATGTGTCTGCTCCTAGCTCCCCCAGCTGCAGAATGAGCCACCTGCCAGTATGGGTGGTGCATGGAATGTGGAGGTCTTGGGGCCACAGGTTCTCCAGAACCTCCCCAGCTGGGACTGGGGCCCAGAGCCATTGCATGGAGGAGCCAAGGTTGTAACTACAACAATGATGCTGAGAATGAAATCTGAGGAGTGATAGCATGGGGGACAGGGGAGCGCCATCAACAGGCTCAGGAGCTGGGATGGTGCAGGACAGGATGAACGGAGTCCAAGGCAGGCTGGGGAGCCCGGAGTGAGCTGCTGGGGGCAGCTGGCCTTTCTCATGGTTCTGGGAGTGGGTGTGGGAGGATGGGGTCTCAAGGAGACGGTGGGCAACAACACGGAAGGCTGTATGTCTTTCTTTCTTTCTTTTTTCTTTTTTTTATTATACTTTAAGTTTTAGGGTACATGTGCACATTGTGCAGGTTAGTTACATATGTATACATGTGCCATGCTGGTGTGCTGCACCCACTAACTCGTCATCTAGCATTAGGTATATCTCCCAATGCTATCCCTCCCCTCTCCCCCCACCCCACCACAGTCCCCAGAGTGTGATATTCCCCTTCCTGTGTCCATGTGATCTCATTGTTCAACTCCCACTTATGAGTGAGAATATGCGGTGTTTGGTTTTTTGTTCTTGCGATAGTTTACTGAGAATGATGATTTCCAATTTCATCCATGTCCCTACAAAGGACATGAACTCATCATTTTCTATGGCTGCATAGTATTCCATGGTGTATATGTGCCACATTTTCTTAATCCAGTCTATCGTTGGACATTTGGGTTGGTTCCAAGTCTTTGCTGTTGTGAATAATGCCGCAATAAACGTACGTGTGCATGTGTCTTTATAGCAGCATGATTTATAGTCATTTGGGTATATACCCAGTAATGGGATGGCTGGGTCAAATGGTATTTCTAGTTCTAGATCCCTGAGGAATCGCCACACTGACTTCCACAATGGTTGAACTAGTTTACAGTCCCACCAACAGTGTAAAAGTGTTCCTATTTCTCCACATCCTCTCCAGCACCTGTTGTTTCCTGACTTTTGAATGATTGCCATTCAAACTGGTGTGAGATGGTATCTCATAGTGGTTTTGATTTGCATTTCTCTGATGGCCAGTGATGGTGAGCATTTTTTCATGTGTTTTTTGGCTGCATAAATGTCTTCTTTTGAGAAGTGTCTGTTCATGTCCTTCACCCACTTTTTGATGGGGTTGTTTGTTTTTTTCTTGTAAATTTGTTTGAGTTCATTGTAGATTCTGGATATTAGCCCTTTGTCAGATGAGTAGGTTGTGAAAATTTTCTCCCATTTTGTAGGTTGCCTGTTCACTCTGATGGTAGTTTCTTTTGCTGTGCAGAAGCTCCTTAGTTTAATTAGATCCCATTTGTCAATTTTGTCTTCTGTTGCCATTGCTTTTGGTGTTTTGGACATGAAGTCCTTGCCCATGCCTGTGTCCTGAATGGTAATGCCTAGGTTTTCTTCTAGGGTTTTTTATGGTTTTAGGTCTAACGTTTAAATCTTTAATCCATCTTGAATTGATTTTTGTATAAGGTGTAAGGAAGGGATCCAGTTTCAGCTTCCTACATACGGCTAGCCAGTTTTCCCAGCACCATTTATTAAATAGGGAATCCTTTCCCCATTGCTTGTTTTTCTCAGGTTTGTCAAAGATCAGATAGTTGTAGGTATGCGGCGTTATTTCTGAGGGCTCTGTTCTGTTCCATTGATCTATATCTCTGTTTTGGTACCAGTACCATGCTGTTTTGGTTACTGTAGCCTTGTAGTATAGTTTGAAGTCAGGTAGTGTGATTCCTCCAGCTTTGTTCTTTTGGCTTAGGATTGACTTGGCAATGCAGGCTCTTTTTTGGTTCCATATGAACTTTAAAGTAGTTTTTTCCAATTCTGTGAAGAAAGTCATTGGTAGCTTGATGGGGCTGGCATTGAATCTGTAAATTACCTTGGGCAGTATGGCCATTTTCACGATATTGATTCTTCCTACCCATGAGCATGGAATGTTCTTCCATTTGTTTGTATCCTCGTTTATTTCCTTGAGCAGTGGTTTGTAGTTCTCCTTGAAGAGGTCCTTCACGTCCCTTGTAAGTTGGATTCCTAGGTATTTTATTCTCTTTGAAGCAATTGTGAATGGGAGTTCACTCATGATTTGGCTCTCTGTTTGTCTGTTGTTAGTGTTTAAGAATGCTTGTGATTTTTGTACATTGATTTTGTATCCTGAGACTTTGCTGAAGTTGCTTATCAGCTTAAGGAGATTTTGGGCTGAGACAATGGGGTTTTCTAGATATACAATCATGTCGTCTGCAAACAGGGACAATTTGACTTCCTCTTTTCCTAATTGAATACCCTTTGTTTCCTTCTCCTGCCTAATTAATTGCCCTGGCCAGAACTTCCAACACTATGTTGAATAGGAGTGGTGAGAGAGGGCATCCCTGTCTTGTGCCAGTTTTCAAAGGGAATGCTTCCAGTTTTTGCCCATTCAGTATGATATTGGCTGTGGGTTTGTCATAGATAGCTCTTATTATTTTGAAATACGTCCCATCAATACCTAATTTATTGAGAGTTTTTAGCATGAAGGGTTGTTGAATTTTGTCAAAGGCTTTTTCTGCATCTATTGAGATAATCATGTGGTTTTTGTCTTTGGCTCTGTTTATATGCTGGATTACATTTATTGATTTGCGTATATTGAACCAGCCTTGCATCCCAGGGATGAAGCCCACTTGATCATGGTGGATAAGCTTTTTGATGTGCTGCTGGATTCGTTTTGCCAGTATTTTATTGAGGATTTTTGCATCAATGTTCATCAAGGATATTGGTCTAAAATTCTCTTTTTTGGTTGTGTCTCTGCCCGGCTTTGGTATCAGAATGATGCTGGCCTCATAAAATGAGTTAGGGAGGATTCCCTCTTTTTCTATTGATTGGAATAGTTTCAGAAGGAATGGTACCAGTTCCTCCTTGTACCTCTGGTAGAATTCGGCTGTGAATCCTTCTGGTCCTGGACTCTTTTTGGTTGGTAAACTATTGATTATTGCCACAATTTCAGCTCCTGTTATTGGTCTATTCAGAGATTCAACTTCTTCCTGGTTTAGTCTTGGGAGAGTGTATGTGTCGAGGAATGTATCCATTTCTTCTAGATTTTCTAGTTTATTTGCGTAGAGGTGTTTGTAGTATTCTCTGATGGTAGTTTGTATTTCTGTGGGATCGGTGGTGATATCCCCTTTATCATTTTTTATTGCGTCTATTTGATTCTTCTCTTTTCTTCTTTATTAGTCTTGCTAGCAGTCTATCAATTTTGTTGATCCTTTCAAAAAACCAGCTCCTGGATTCATTGATTTTTTGAAGGGTTTTTTGTGTCTCTATTTCCTTTAGTTCTGCTCTGATTTTAGTTATTTCTTGCCTTCTGCTAGCTTTTGAATGTGTTTGCTCTTGCTTTTCTAGTTCTTTTAATTGTGATGTTAGGGTGTCAATTTTGGATCTTTCCTGCTTTCTCTTGTGGGCATTTAGTGCTATAAATTTCCCTCTACACACTGCTTTGAATGCGTCCCAGAGATTCTGGTATGTTGTGTCTTTGTTCTCATTGGTTTCAAAGAACATCTTTATTTCTGCCTTCATTTCATTATGTATCCAGTAGTCATTCAGGAGCTGGTTGTTCAGTTTCCATGTAGTTGAGCGGCTTTGAGTGGGATTCTTAATCCTGAGTTCTAGTTTGATTGCACTGTGGTCTGAGAGATAGTTTGTTATAATTTCTGTTCTTTTACGTTTGTTGAGGAGAGCTTTACTTCCAACTATGTGGTCAATTTTGGAATAGGTGTGGTGTGGTGCTGAAAAAAATGTATATTCTGTTGATTTGGGGTGGAGAGTTCTGTAGATGTCTATTAGGTTTGCTTGGTGCAGAGCTGAGTTCAATTCCTGGGTATCCTTGTTGACTTTCTGTCTCGTTGATCTGTCTAATGTTGACAGTGGGGTGTTAAAGTCTCCCATTATTAATGTGTGGGAGTCTAAGTCTCTTTGTAGGTCACTGAGGACTTGCTTTATGAATCTGGGTGCTCCTGTATTGGGTGCATATATATTTAGGATAGTTAGCTGTTCTTGTTGAATTGATCCCTTTACCATTATGTAATGGCCTTCTTTGTCTCTTTTGATCTTTGTTGGTTTAAAGTCTGTTTTATCAGAGACTAGGATTGCAACCCCTGCCTTTTTTTGTTTTCCATTGGCTTGGTAGATCTTCCTCCATCCTTTTATTTTGAGCCTATGTGTGTCTCTGCACGTGAGATGGGTTTCCTGAATACAGCACACTGATGGATCTTGACTCTTTATCCAATTTGCCAGTCTGTGTCTTTTATTTGGAGAATTTAGTCCATTTATATTTAAAGTTAATATTGTTATGTGTGAATTTGATCCTGTCATTATGATGTTAGCTGGTTATTTTGCTCGTTAGTTGATGCAGTTTCTTCCTAGTCTCGATGGTCTTTACATTTTGGCATGATTTTGCAGCGGCTGGTACAGGTTGTTCCTTTCCATGTTTAGTGCTTCCTTCAGGAGCTCTTTTAGGGCAGGCCTGGTGGTGACAAAATCTCTCAGCATTTGCTTGTCTATAAAGTATTTTATTTCTCCTTCACTTATGAAGCTTAGTTTGGCTGGATATGAAATTCTGGGTTGAAAATTCTTTTCTTTAAGAATGTTGAATATTGGCCCCCACTCTCTTCTGGCTTGTAGGGTTTCTGCCGAGAGATCTGCTCTTAGTCTGATGGGCTTCCCTTTGAGGGTAACCCGACCTTTCTCTCTGGCTGCCCTTAACATTTTTTCCTTCATTTCAACTTTGGTGAATCTGACAATTATGTGTCTTGGAGTTTCTCTTCTCGAGGAGTATCTTTGTGGCGTTCTCTGTATTTCCTGAATCTGAACGTTGGCCTGCCTTGCTAGATTGGGGAAGTTCTCCTGGATAATATCCTGCAGAGTGTTTTCCAACTTGGTTCCATTCTCCCCATCACTTTCAGGTACACCAATCAGACGTAGATTTGGTCTTTTCACATAGTCCCATATTTCTTGGAGGCTTTGCTCATTTCTTTTTATTCTTTTTTCTCTAAACTTCCCTTCTCGCTTCATTTCATTCATTTCATCTTCCATCGCTGATACCCTTTCTTCCAGTTGATCGTATCGGCTCCTGAGGCTTCTGCATTCTTCACGTAGTTCTCGAGCCTTGGTTTTCAGCTCCATCAGCTCCTTTAAGCACTTCTCTGTATTGGTTATTCTAGTTATACATTCTTCTAAATTTTTTTCAAAGTTTTCAACTTCTTTGCCTTTGGTTTGAATGTCCTCCCGTAGCTCAGAGTAATTTGATCGTCTGAAGCCTTCTTCTCTCAGCTCGTCAAAGTCATTCTCCATCCAGCTTTGTTCTGTTGCTGGTGAGGAACTGCGTTCCTTTGGAGGAGGAGAGATGCTCTGCGTTTTAGAGTTTCCAGTTTTTCTGTTCTGTTTTTTCCCCATCTTTGTGGTTTTATCTACTTTTGGTCTTTGATGATGGTGATGTACAGATGGGTTTTCGGTGTGGATGTCCTTTCTGTTTGTTAGTTTTCCTTCTAACAGACAGGACCCTCAGCTGCAGGTCTGTTGGAATACCCTGCCGTGTGAGGTGTCAGTGTGCCCCTGCTGGGGGGTGCCTCCCAGTTAGGCTGCTTGGGGGTCAGGGGTCAGGGACCCACTTGAGGAGGCAGTCTGCCGGTTCTCAGATCTCCATCTGCGTGCTGGGAGAACCACTGCTCTCTTCAAAGCTGTCAGACAGGGACATTTAAGTCTGCAGAGGTTACTGCTGTCTTTTGTTTGTCTGTGCCCTGCCCCCAGAGGTGGAGCCTACAGAGGCAGGCAGGCCTCCTTGAGCTGTGGTGGGCTCCACCCAGTTTGAGCTTCCTGGCTGCTTTGTTTACCTAATCAAGCCTGGGCAATGGCGGGCGCCCCTCCCCCAGCCTCGCTGCCGCCTTGCAGTTTGATCTCAGACTGCTGTCCTAGCAATCAGCGAGATTCCGTGGGCATAGGACCCTCCGAGCCAGGTGTGGGATATAGTCTCGTGGTGCGCCGTTTTTTAAGCCAGTCTGAAAAGCGCAATATTTGGGTGGGAGTGACCCGATTTTCCAGGTGCGTCCATCACCCCTTTCTTTGACTCGGAAAGGGAACTAACTCCCTGACCCCTTGCGCTTCCCAGGTGAGGCAATGCCTCGCCCTGCTTCAGCTCGCGCAGGGTGCGCGCACCCACTGACCTGCGCCCACTGTCTGGCACTCCCTAGTGAGATGAACCCGGTACCTCAGATGGAAATGCAGAAATCACCCGTCTTCTGCGTCGCTCATGCTGGGAGCTGTAGACCGGAGCTGTTCCTGTTTGGCCATCTTGGCTCCTCCCTCATGTCTTTCAAGAGAGAAGAAGATGGCCTGCCCAAGCTGTGGGATGTTTAGGGCGTGCTCTGCAGGGTGGAGATGGGCTTTTAGGCCTGAGAGACCCCACCAGGATCTCCTGGTAGCACTGATGTGACTGAGCTTCAGAAACAGGGGATGATGACCAGCAACGGTGGCCCAGCCGCCATGCTCCCTGTGATTGAGAGGCAGTGCTGAGCCCAGAGGTGGTGGCGTGAGGTGTGGGGTGCAGCCTTCATTCTGTTCCACAGCCACAAGGTCCTGAGGCTGACCTTGCCTATGACTGGCATAAGCCTTGACTTTCCTGCAATGGTACAATGACCGACTTCTGTAAGGAGGCAGTGATGGGGTAGTAGTCAGAGCCTGGAGTCCGGAGTTCCAAGCCCAGCTGACCCGCAAATGCTGCATGAATTGGGCAAGACACGGAACCTGGTGGAGCATCACCATTTCCTCACTGGAAACACAGTGGGGGTGGAGGGTAATAACTGCACTTCACTTGTAGGGTTGTTGCAGGGATTAAATGAGTTAATATTTGCAAAGCACTTAGAACAATCGCTGGTACCTAGTAAACACTCAATAAATGTATAACCATCTCCTGAGTGTTGGTTGTGTGCCAAGAGCAGTGCTAGGATATTCCTATGTAGAGAATTATTTAAGCCTTGCAGTAGCCCTGAGGGTGGTACTATTTCCATTTTACAGATGAGGAAACTGAGTTTGAGATATGTAACATCTTGAGATCAGGCACAGTTACCCAGTATAGCTGCTGGACGAGTGTGCAGGAAACTTGGCTCGCGTTATTTGAAATCCTTAAGGATCACACTTTCAAGACTTAATATTAGGCTCAGAAAGTGTCTTTGGGTCCTCTTACTGGAGCAGGTGCCAACTTCATCGTTGACCTGCCTGTGTCTTCAGGCATGAGCAGGTGGGCCACCTGCTGCTGCAGGGAGGGAATCAAAGGGGCTGCAGGGAACAGTGTGAGATTGGAGCCAAAGGCAGATCCTGACATCGGTTGGGGAAACATGGGCTCAAGCCAGCTCAGAAAAAAGAGATCATTGTTTTTCCATCAAAGGTTCTTTTGATTTAAAGCACCACAGCAGCACGGAGGATTGGGGAAGTACTAAGTTTGTCCTGCAAAGGATAAACGGCAGTGCTCAGAAGGCTGCCAGGACATGCCATGTGCTTCTTCCCAGGTCTCGCAGCGTTGGCAGGAACACACAGGCTCGGTGTGGCTTGGTTCTCTCACTGCTAACCAGGCTGTGCAGCTGCAGCACGTGAGGCTTTAGTTAAAGAGTAACTGGTGAGAAAGAGGAGGACTGAGCTCATAAACTTTTATTTAAGGGAGATTGAAGACTGCTCAGATGACTGTTTTGTAGAGCAGAAATCTGCATGTATCTGTCAGAATGGTGCTGAAAACCAGGTTCCTGCCAACGGGAGTGTCCACTGCATCCTGTGTTTTGCTAGATGCTTTTTAGGCACTGCCTCTGGTCCCTAGTGGGTAAGGTAGACTGCATATATGAGAGCACTGAGGCTCAGAGGGGTGACGGGACTCTGCCAAGACCCTGCAGTGGTGAGCTATTGAGATGGAAAGTCACCATCAGAACTCATTTGCAAAGACCCTAACAGTTACCAAAACTGCCTCAGCACACATCTAATTTTGATCGAACTAGATTCAAATGGGACTGAAAGGTCCCTTTAAAGAAATTTCGGAGCATGAATTGAGCTGGTCCTAACTGCAGCAAATGAGTCGTTCTTTAAGAAATGACACTGATGTATAAAGTGTGACTGACATTCATAAGCTGGGAGATGGACAGCCTGCCTTGCGAAAGCTTCCATAGTCTTTCCCTTTTAATAGCATGCTCCTATCATACAGGAAGACATGGATTTGATGAATAAGGTTCCTTGTCTGAGGTAGACTCAGACAATTTAGCCAGCATTCCACATTGTCATCTGCTCACTCCCGCCTTCTCAGCTTTGAAGTGGTCTAGCTGAGCCCACCCCCAGCCCACCCTAAACTTCTCTCACATTGACCTTCCCCACAAATATCAGCAATATCCTTTCCCTCTAACATTCTGCGTGCTTGACATCCCACCTCCTCTTAGAAGTCTGGCTTCCTCTTCTCAGCCCACTATGCTGAGGTTGCCAGATAAAATACAGGATGCCTAGGTATATTTCAATTTTAGATTAACAGTAAATTTAAAAAAATTTCTTGTAAGTACATCCCAAATAACATAATATGGCCCATGCAATATTTTGGACACACTTATAATAAAAATTATTCTTTGTTCGTCTGAAGTTCAAATTTAACTGAATGTCCTGTCTTTTTATTTGCTAAATCCAGTAACCCCACTGTGGGCTCTTTTTCCTTTAACTCTTATAGCATTTAATTGTCTGACTCATTCAGTTTTACTTTGGGTTATCGTGTCTGTCCTCTCTCCCTTGCTGGGCTATCGGCACCCAGAAACCAGGGCCCTGGCTCTCCACGGGACCCCATGGCATGCCTTCTACATAGCACATGGTCAAAAATATGTTTAAGTAGTAAGCCAGTTACATATGTATATACACACACACATATAATTAGGTTGGTGCAAAAGTAATTGTGGTTTTTGCCACTACTTTCAATGGCTTCATTGCCTGTGCTAGACTGGTGGCTTTTTGAGAGTACTTCCATATCCCAGCACTATTGAGGTTTGGGCTGGGCACAGAGCAGAGCTTAGAAGACGGCTGTTTACTTGTCTTTTCTGAAACACACCTCCAACATACATCTTAACACGTTGCCCTTTCTGAGTGTTTTTGGACTATTCGCTTTGCCCACATCCCCAAAACAAAATAAAGCAATGAAAAACTAAGCAAAACTAAATTAAACTGATCTGAATGGAACTAAACCAAACCAAATTAAACTAAACAGCTACAGGTAGATAGCCTTAGTGGAAAGAATATTCTAGTGGGTCTTGGCATGCACTTGGCATGTGCTGAGGGCAGCGTGGCCCAGAGAGCTTGGGTTTAGCTAAGTCTAGCATTGTGTCAAATGGGTGAAATAAACACAAGCCTAGCATTGGGTCAAATGGGTGAAATCAACTAAGTTTATTTATGTAATAAACAAACACAACCACACTATGACATTTTTCAGAGTTCAGGAAATTCTATTTATTTAACATTTTTCTAATTCAGAACTGATCATGATCCCCCAAAAAGGCAGGACCAGAGTTCCCCTTTGCATTCCTTTGAACAAAACATTGACCATACAAAGTAAGAATATACACAACACTGTCAAGGTGGGCTTAACCTATTTAAAAGAACAAATTGCTTTTGCTTTCAAACAAACGAATGCTGCTAATGTGAAATGTTTTACTCATTAAACCTGGACCAGCGAGTGCCTGCTTAGTAAGACAGAATGAGCATCCAGGGCAGGAGGTAACCTGAGCTTGTGGGAGCAATTAGGTACACTTTCACGTGGCCAGCATTCAGATGTTCTCTCCCCTCTGAAGACTGAGCTGTGAGAATGTAGAGTCCATAGGCCTTTTGTGGGAGAAGCTGGAGGTTCATCCAATTCAACTTTTGCCTGAGATAGGGCCATGATGTGCGGTCATGGGGATCCCCTTCCAATACCTTGCAATAGTGTGGGGCGCAGCCCTCCTGTGGATGCCTGGTCTGTCCTCTGTCTTCTCTGGCACAAGACAGCCCCTCAAATATCTGCAGGCAGCTTTTAGGGGCCATCTGAGCCTTTGATTATTTGCCAAAGCAGAAATGTCTGCAGGAAGCAAGGTCTAAAGAAGAGAGGGCTGTGTCATTCTCATGCCTCCTCTCCCATCTCCTTGGACTTTCTGAAGGGAAGATGGAGTAAGGTGGGCATGACTCCTTTCCCCTGAATTTGTGTTTGCAAGAGATGCCTTGATAGCTGTTTGAGGTGGGAACTGGGGGTGAGGCGTGGTTAGTGATAGAGGAGGGTTGGTAAACTGTCTTCCATTGGGTGGGTCTTGTTTAGGCAAGTGCAGAAGTAGGAGGTAGCTGGGGAGGGTAGGAGTTCTTTGAACAATGCAGGGAAGAGGAGTTTGAAATCAGGGGTGGAGACATCAGAGAGGGAGGAGACAGGAAACCTGGGGTTCACACGGGAGCAGACACGCAGCTCTCTGCAGGGAGGGGTGGCCCAAGATGGACTTTGAGAACAGAAAACATCCATTGTCAAACTGGGGGCAAAGTGATTGGTTCAAAAACACTCAGATGGCCAGGAGTGGTGGCTCATGCCTGTAACTCCAGCACTTTGGGAGGCCAAGGCAGGAGAATCATGTGAGGCCAGGAGTTTGTGACCAGCCTGGGCAACATAGCGAGACTGTCTGTACAAAAATAAAAGACCCCAAACAAACAAAAGCACACACACACAGAGCCAGAAACATCCCTTATGAGCTTCATGTCTGTTCACTGCTTCTCTCCCTTCCCTGATTCAGGAAGGAAAGGCCCATGAGCCAGCTGATGCATTGTAGAGGGTTGTGTGGTGTGCCGTGGTAACTGGCTCCCCTTCCTGGAGGGTAGCAGGCTCCACCCCACTCAAAGGACCCTGTTGGAGGCTGAGTCTTGGCAGAGGGGGCTGTTCCCCAACCCTTTTCTCCTTTGTCCTCCAGAAGGGGAACAGCTCTTGCTAAAGGTGTTACTGCTTTGCTTGGCACTCATCGCCCCCCTCAGTTATGTTCAAGTCAAGCACTTTTTCAACTGTGAGCAAGTATGCAGATGGTTCGAAACAGAAGCCTGTCATGTGCTTTATATTCATGAAAACTACAGAGCAAACATTTGAAAGCCAAGCCATCTTGGAGTAATTTGCATTTTAATTAATACTTCAAATGAATTGCTGTTTTGAAAAAATTCCTGTTTCTGGCTTTTGGATCTTGAAGAGCAAAGACCAGGTATCAAAGTCCCTGCTCCAGCAGGCTGTGGTTGCCTTTGGCCCCTGTCTTGGCTGGCTTGGGCGTTCTGATGCTAGGAGCGAGGATTGGGATTTGGTTGCCTGCCAATTGTTCCTTAGGGAGGGGGCTGAACACACTTACTTAGAAAAATTATGTATTAGAGTTGCTATCTAAATGATGGTTGAAGGGGAATAGAGGTCACGCGTAAAAAAAGACAGTTGTCAAAATTCCTCATGCTATTTAAAGGTGGCCTGATCATTTTATCTTTTTTGTAATCCTTCCAAACTTTAAAAAGCACGTATATACATAATAATGAACATATACAGATTTATGTTTTTTTTTAAATATAGATAGGGGAACTTTGCTCTTCAACTTGTACATACTGATCTAAAATTTGCTTCTTTTTTGTTTTTAAAACTCAGGTGTTGAGAAACTTGACCTGTGGGCCAATTCCAGCCCAAAGCCTGTTTTTTTTTTTTCTTTTTTTAATATACTTTTGTTTTAGATTCAAGGGTACATATGCAGGTTTGTTACATGCGTAAATTACATGTTGCAGGGGTTTGATGTACAGATTATTTAGTCGCCCAGGTAATAAGCATGGTGCCCGGTAGGTTAGTTTTTCGACACTCATCCTCCTTTCACCCAGCCAACCTCAAGCAGGCCCTGGTGTCTATTGTTCCCTTCTTTGCATCCGTCTGTACTCAGTGTTTAGCTCTCAGTTATAAGTGAGAACATGTGGTGTTTTGTTTCTGTTCCTATGTTAGTTCACTTAGGACAAAGATGTCTAGATCCATCCATGTTGCTGCAAAGGATATGACCTTGTTCTCTTTTATGGCTGGGTAATATTCCACATTTTCTTTATCCAGTCTACTATTGATGGGCTTCTAGGTTGATTCCATGTCTTTGTTATTGTGAATAGTGCTGCAATGAACATATGTGCACATGTGTTTTTATGGTAGAAAAATTTATATTCCTTGGGGTATATGCCTAGTAATGGGATTTCTGGGTCATGTCAGAGAAAAGAGAGAAGGGAGAGTTGGTGTAGGCTGGAGTGCACATAAAGACTTCATGGAGGGGAAGGAACCTGGTCTGGGCAGGAAGAAATGGTAAGATTAACAGAAGAGAGGCCATCCCATGCGAGTGAAGTAGGGCCTGGCTTCTGTCTTCCCTGCAGCCCAGCTGCACCCCACATGCCCATGACACAGGGAAGGCAAGTTCAGTTTTTGTAAGTAGTTTAGATGCTGAAGTTTTTCTTTCAGCAAGTGCAGACTAGGCTGGTGGGGGCTGAGGACACACTGATGGATGTGGAGGCTAAACTGCTGTGGGGGGGTGGGGGGGGGTTGGCAGGATGGTTAATAGTGGTAGAGAGGAAGTGCCACAACAGCCACATTTCTGTGCAATGGAGGAAAATCTGTTCTTGGCTAAGGCTGTCACCAAGAAGGCGCTCTTCCCGTCACACAGCCAGGGCGTCCCCTTTTTGCTGGTCTTGGGTGGGAAAAATGTAGCTCAAAGGAGAAGAAGGTGGAAGATGGTGTTAAGGAAAAAATTATTCAACAACATTTTTTGTTTGTTTGTTTGTTTTTGAGACAGAGTCTCGCTCTGTCCCCCAGGCTGGAGTGCAGTGGCATAGTCTTGGCTCACTTCAACCTCCGTCTCCTGGGCTCAAGCAATTCTCCTGCCTCAGCCTCCTGAGTAGCTGGGATTACAGGCCCGCACTACCACGCCTGGCTAATTTTTGTATTTTTTAAAGTAGAGACAGGGTTTCACCATGTTGGCCAGGCTGGTCTTGAACTCCTGACCTCAGGTAATCTGCCCGCCTCAGCCTCCCAAAATACTGGGATTACAGGCGTAAGCCACTGTGCCTGGCTGACAACACTTGTTAAAGCACAGTAAAGAAGACGTTATTCAAGATATCACAATAGGAAAAGGGACCACCACAATGGGATTTTGCCACAGGGAAGAGAGACTGGGCTCAACTCCAAATACAGCACTCACACGTGAGGTTTATAGCCAAGGAGCAAGTTGGGAGGAAGTGGATGGAAAATTGCTAAGAGGAAACCTCAAGGGTAAGGGAGATTCTGGCTAAACGGACCTAACAGGATCCTTGCTGAAGATGGGCCAGGGTGACCAGACATCACCTGGAGGATGGTGGAGGATGAAGAGCCTGGTCAGATATGGAGGGTGATCAGGTATCAAGGGTAGGGGGATTCTTACAAAACTGACTTGGGGCCAGGTGCGGTGGCTCACACCTGTAATCCCAGCACTTTGGGAGGCCGAGACGAGCGGATCACGAGGTCAGGAGATCGAGACCATCCTGGCTAACACGGTGAAACCCCGTCTCTACTAAAAATACAACAAAAATTAGCCGGGTGTGGTCGTGGGCGCCTGTAGTCCCAGGAACTCAGGAGGCTGAGGCAGGAGAATGGCGTGAACCTGGGAGGCGGAGCTTGCAGTGAGCTGAGATCACGCCACTACACTCCAGCCTGGGCGACAGAGCGAGACTCTGTCTCAAAAACAAAAAACAAAAAACAAAAAACTGACCTGGCAGGGTTCTTGCTGAAGCTGGATTTTTACAAGGAGGTGCACATACGGACCTAGGAGAAGGCTGAGAGCCTGACTAAAGTTTGGTTAAGCAAAGACTCTTTGTCAATGGTCACTGACCAGGGAGCTTCAGAGCCCTTAGGCTGGAAGTCGGTACAGGGGCCCAGAGCACACATGGGGAGGGATATGCTTCTCGCCGGGGTAGGTTATTTGCACAGACGCAGAGCACCAGAGGGAAGGAACCTCCTTAGGAACTATACAAAATCAGGAACGACAGCATTTATTGAGTGCTTATGAGGCACTGGTAATGTTCTGAGCATTTTACAAATTAACTCATTGTATTAGTCAGGGTTTCCAGAGAAAACAGAAACAATAGCATAAATATAGATAAAGATATAACAGGAGATTTGTTATGGGAATTGGGTCATGCGATTATGAAGGCTGAGAAGTTTCACAATATGCTATCTGCAAGCTGGAGGGCCAGGAAAGATCATGGTATAATTCAGTCTCAGGCCAAAGGCCTGACTGAGTACCAGGAGCTCCAATGTCCAAGGGCAGGAGAAGATGGATGGCCCAGTTCAAGCAGAGGGAGCACCATTGCCCTTCCTCCACCTTCTTGCTCTATCTGGGTCCTCCAAGGACTGGATGATGCCTGCCCATGCCGGGGAGGGTGGCTCTGCTTTGCTTAGTCCCCTAATGCAAATGCTCATCTCTTCTGGAAACAGCCTTGCAGACACACCGAGGCTCTATTCTATTCTGGCATCCCTTTACCTAGTCAAGTTGACACCTAAAATTAACCATTACACTCATCTAGCTCCATGACAATTCTATTAGTATCATTTCTCTTTATTAGGTGAGGAAGATAAGGCGTAGAGCAGTTATGTAAAATATGCAACATCCTTGCATCTTAGACACATTGACTACCAACCTATGCGCTAAGTGAGGGGCTTTCTCTGAACTTTTGGATTCCCTGGGCCACACTGGAAAAACAATTGTCTTGAGCCACACATAAAATACACTAGCACTAATGATAGCTGTTGAGCTAAAAAAATAACAAAAAAATCTTGCAATGTTTTATGAAAATTTATGAATTTGTGTTGGGCGGCTTCAAAGCTGTCCTGGGCCGCATGGGGCAAGCAGGCCACAGGTTGAAGAAGCTTGTGCTGAGTAAACTACTTTGTTATATTAGCACTGGCCAGCTGTGTGTCCTTGGGGAAGTTTCTTAACCTTTCTGTGCCTCCATTTGTTCATTACAAAGTAGTTGTTGTACTGGTTCTTTATAGGGGAGGTGTGCAGATTAAGCAAGATGTGCATGCAAAACCCTTGCATGGGGCCTGACTCTCCCCAAAAGTCAGTTGTTATTATTTCTCCTATGCCATCTACCTAAGTGAAGTCTGAGAATTACAGAAGAAGAGGCTGAGGATTTTTCATATATAGGTTCTAACTGTGCAGGCTGGCATGGGAACAGGTCGGGTGGGAAGCACCCCAGCAGAATCTGAGGGCTACCAGCAGCCTCAGTCTGGATGAGAACTGAGCCCATGATTTAACAGAGAATGCTTCACTATTCTCTGAAGAGGAAGAACCAGCAGGCGACCCAGGGACCCTGGGGATGGTCATTTCTAGGGTGTCGTATCATAATGGTGAATTTAACTCTCCAAGATTCTCCTCCTTCCAGGTGGTATGTGTTCAGTCATTTTCAACAAATCCTTTTATTGCCCTCATGAAATTGTGGACTAAATACTACCTCCAGGCATGGTTGCAGAGAGCTAGCTGGACAGGAGGGACCTGCCTCACTGTTGCAGGTGCCCAGTGCGAGTGGCCAGGGAGGCAGCGGCCCTGATTGCGTTGGTACCAGACCTGACTCTGCATCAGAATCAGCTGAGGGGTGGCTGGCATGCAGCCCGGGACCACCTGGGGACTCTGATTCTGCAGGCATGAGGGTCAGGAGTGAGTGTGCAGGGCCTACAAACATCACAGGTAATCTGGGCTTGTGGTCTTCACACCCGGCTCTGAGAAACTGTCTTGGACAGGAGACTGCCTCGGAAAGGCAAATTATCCTCAGTGTGCTACAAGACATTCTACAGCTGAAGTGTACCTGTGAATATGTCTGTTGGAATCCTTCCCAAGAGATATACCAGCTCTATAAAGACACACGCATCTTTAGGTGTAACCAATGACATTTCCCTGCAGAAACAGATGTATTACCAGGTTCCAACTTCCTGCTGCTTTGAGTCCTTGTCTTGAAAAGAAGTTCAATTGGAATTTTAAGACATAAATATTTGGCATACATTCTTCTCATCAATTGAATTCTCTCTGCAAATGGTTCTCCCTGAGTCAAAGCCTTCAAAAGTCCTTCAAAAGAAGTACTGTAGTCAGGGTTAGCTTGCTCATTCTTTAGAATCCTCCAGGGGTGAATACGTGGGCTGGATTCAGTTATGACACGTTATGGGCGAGTCATTTGAGGAATGTGGGAACATAGTTTTGACATTTTAAGCACTGATAACATTTGAAATCAAGGCGGATAACGACTTTTATTAATTACCCCGTCTCCTCCTGCTCTTCTGGCCTCTGCCCCTCACCAGCTGTTAAACATTTGAGAAAATGGTAAATGAACATGGTTATAAGCAATTATGAGTTTTTCTTTTTTAAGGGACAGATGGAATCAAGGTTTCTATTTTAAGAGGTTTTCAAATTTAGGTTATGTCTACACCATGCCACGTTATTACAAGAGAACCATATGTTTTCTTTCAGTGTCACTGAAACTTCATTCTAGAATGGGCCTGGATCCACAGTCAGTGCTGTGTATGGGAGCAAGTTCATAGATGCTTCACTTGTACAGAATACTTTGCAATAATTCCACCTTTTCCCACCTTTCCCCCCATTTTTAATAGTGAGGCAAGGAGGAGAGATGAAGGAGCTGCTTCTTGGGGAAAGAGCAGGGCCTTGCAAGGTGCATGTTGTTGCTGCGCACTTCATCAGTCATGGTGTGTGCAAACTGGCAGCCTCATCACAAATCATTGCCAGAATCCAGTGTCCCATCTATCTTCATTCAGTTAAGCCTCCTTGTGAATAGGTCCTCAAAGAGATTGGGTTCATGGTGGAACAATACGGACGACATACTCCTTGTTCAACTTGGAACCAGAGCAGCAGCCAAAAATGGTTGGCTCTCGCGACGACAGTCCCCCGGACTGAGCTGAACCTCCATGGCTGGTGTGTGGCTATTGCCCTCTTTTACACGGGCAGCTCTGTCTTCCAACCTGGCAGATGTCTAATGTCTTCAAATAAGCCTTAATGAAATGCCCAGCAGGTGCCACTAATGGTTTTGACCCCAAGAAAAAGAAATGCGAGTTGAGTGGTAGGGATTTAAAAGCAATAATCGTAGAACAAGTATTCCTAGGCTTTTCTTTGCAAGCCAGTTTGACTGTGGCCCAGGGTTATCGTGGGTTGGTGACAGGAGTTGGCTGGGACAGGCATGGTGCAAACAGAGCAGGTTGTGGTTGCAGTTCTGCGGGGCCCCTGCTCCACCAACTGCTGTTTTTTGCCCCATCCCCATCTGCATGGGGCCTGGAAAGGCAATGACATTATCGTACTGAGCTTTGGCGTTCGCAGCCATAATGTTGTGGTTGTGTTTTGTATGCATGTAGGAAGCTGCCTGGATGTTGTTTTAATTTTCTTAAGGCACTTGGATTTTTTAAAAACTCCTTTTTGTAGCAAAGGTAGCATGGCATTTTTAGTTAATGAGCTTGTACCCTTTATCTTGTCCTGCTCTAAGGTAATTGGATCTGCTTATAAAATATAGGCTCTTAATTGCTATTCTTAAAAGGCCATCTTGCTAGGAAGGGTCTGGTTAAGTAATGGCTTTTTAAATTAATAGTAAGCAAGGCAGCTACTCGACTCCTTCCACTGAGACAAAGAGGAACCTGACCTCTTGAGAGACCCAAGGAGACTCTCAAGGCTTTAAGAGTAAAGAAAAGCACAGGGCTTGTAGTCAGATCGCCCTGGCAAAGAATCTTGCTTCCACTGTGTAGCAATGAGTAAGACACTCACCTGCAAGTCATAACTTCCTCGTGTTTAAGGTGGGAGTGATAATACCCACCTTACTGGGTTGCTACAGTGATTAGAGATAGTTTGTAAAGCATCTGGCATGGTTCATAGCCTGTGGTAGTTAGGTGGCATTCATTACTAGTTGGCTGTGATTCCACAGAGCCTGCCCTTGGGGAGAGTGACATGGGTCCTAGAACAAGGAGCTATAAACCAAGGAACCATCGTGGGCTGTCTGGAGACAAGCAGGGGGAACAGCACATCATGGCTCAGTATTTGTGTTCCTACATTTCTCAGACTGTCTGTTCAAGCATTTTGAATAATACACAGCTATAGAAACCAGAGATAATAAAGCTTTAGCGATGGCTCCTTCTCTGGAGACCTTCCAGGATAGGTAACTCCCACTGCCCTCCCTGGAGGGATTTGCTTACATTCCAATTTTAAAAACAGATCTCTCTCTGTAATGGAGAATGGAAGTTACCAGCAGCCCTATCTAAGATCAGGGTTTTGCCATTTTGGGGTTCCTGTCCTGTGACATGCAGGCGCCATTGGACCTCACCATGTCACCTTGTGGAGGTTGGGGTTTTAGAAAAACTGATGCTAGCAACTGCTCCAGCTGCTGCTTTTGCTGTGAATAATACATGGTCTTTGTCTCTGATCCAGGTGTCTTGTGTCTTCTGTCACTATATGTGTATAAAATGGTGGCAGGTTAACTTATTAGCCTACGAAGCAGGATACCATCTCAGGCCCTTCTCAGTTTCTGATTAAACACTTTAACACTTGGTTCTGGTTCTGGAAAGCAAATAATTCTCCCTACCCTGAAGGGTTGTTGTTAGGACTAGAAGGACAGGAATATACGTAAAAATATACTACTATTTTTATATAGTAGTATATTTATACTACTATTTTACGTATAAGAATATACATAAAAAGGCCAGGCGTAGTGGCTCACGCCTGTAATCCCAGCACTTTTGGGAGGCCGAGACGGGTGGATCATGAGGTCAGGAGATCGAGACCATCCTGGCTAACCCGGTGAAACCCCGTCTCTACTGAAAATACAAAAAAATTAGCTGGGCGTGGTGGCAGGCGCCTGTAGTCCCAGCTACTCGGGAGGCTGAGGCAGGAGAATGGTGTGAACCTGGGAGGCAGAGCTTGCAGTGAGCTGAGATCGCACCACTGCACTCCAGCCTGGGCGACAGAGCGAGACTCTGTCTCAAAAAAAAAAAAAAAACATAAAAAATATAGACATAGTGGTAGATGGGTAGATACATAGATAGATAAAAAGAGTGATGCCTGGTACATACCTGGCTCTCAAAAGATGATGGTTTGATAGCCAGTTATTATTGCATCTGCTGAGACTATTGTGTGGCAATTGCATATGCAAATGAGGATGAGATGACACTGAGAGAGGTGGAAGATGCATGGGAAGCAACATGGGCTGGGAGACCCGGTCTACCCGCAGGGAGCTGCATCCAGTAGGCAGAGGGAGCAATGGAAAAGTGCAGCAGCAGCACAGCCTTGCTCAGCTTTCAGCTGGGCAGTCCTGACAGCGTGTAGGGGAGAAAGGAAAGAACAGTGTGGGTGGAGGCTGTTAGGGGTGACTTCCTGGGGGCAGGTGAGAGTGGTTTCAGGCCAGGGTGGATGAGGAAAGGGCGGGGGGCATTTCAGGCTGGAGTACTGCCTGGGCAAAGGGGCAAAGGAAGGAATGAGCCCACGTGTGCTTGCCTTCCTTCACACCTGAGCTTCAGTTAGCCGCCAAGTGCTGCACATTTCTTTCCTAGATACTGCTCAGATACAGCCTCCTCTTTCTGATGCTGGGCTCGCTGCCATCCTACTGGCCTTAGCAGCTTCCTGGCGACAGTCCAGGAACTGTCCTCCAGCTGTGTTACTGTCCTCAGCCAGCCTCCCCAGAGCCACCAGGGTGCTCTCTGGAAATGCAAATCTCCCTTTGCTTAAACCACTTACGGGTTTTATTGTCTTCAGAATGAAGATGAACTTCCTCGGTGTGGCTCACCAAATCCTTCCTGGGCTGGCTTTGTCTTGACAGTGTCACTTCATCTTTTTCTAGCTCTCGTGCTCCTGCTACACTGCATGGTCTGTGGCTTTGTGAATGAGCCATGCTGTGTTCTGGTGTGACTTTTCATAGACCACCCCTCTTACTTGGACACCACTCACCTCCTTTTTGGCAATCCAATCCCTACTCACCTGCACACAGGGTACTGAGCCCGTGTGTCTTGTGCTTCTGGTGTTTGCGATCATCCCTGGCTCGCCCGCCTGGCTCCCTCGCTGGTGGTAAGCTCTCTGAAGGCAGCAGCCAAGTCTCACTGGACTTGGTTTCCTCTGTGTTGAGGACTGCATCTGACTCTTTACAGGTGCTGATGAATAATTATTTCTGAGATCAGCCTGGCTGAAGATGGAAAAGGCATTTGGGAGTGGCTGGGTCCTGAGTAGATGTGGTGGGTGGACAGAAGAGGAAGCCGTTGGAGGTTCAGAAAGCCAGAGAGGAGACTCTTAATTGGATTGGAAGGAGAGGAGCTAAGATTTGCTACTTTTTCACATTTGAAGAAGGTAAAATGGCAGCACATCCTTCTTTGTAGTTTGAATTAGTGGCACTGAAAGATAGTCTCCTGCTTCCAGCACAGATACTGAAGAAAACTGAACATCTTTGCCTGCACCTGCTCACCTCCAGCTCTGCATGTCTATAGCTCCATGTGCCAAGGCTGGCTGTTGTGTTGTGTGCAGGTTGCTGCAAACTGTGACCCTGTGGGCATATAGGAATTCTTCCGAGGGGGTGCTCGTTTTGAGGTCCTCCAAGGTGGCTTCTTGGGGAAGAAATCAGAACCAAATTTATAGGCAGGAAACTCCCCTCTCTAAAAGCATATCCTCTTGTATTCAGATTTGAAGGACAGGAGTGTCCTGGCATGGGCTCACAGCATCTTGGGTGATGCTGACATGGTGCCCACTACAAAGATATAAGGCAGGTCCAAGAAAGGGGAGCCCCTCTAGGGAAAGGAGGGCTACAAGTGAAAGATGAGGTCATATTGCTTGATAATTTGGGCTATCAATTTTCAAAGTTCTTTTTTAACCTTTGACACTTGATGTGATCTTATCTGAATATTCTAGCCTTGCCTCAGCTGTGCAATGGCACCTGAGAGAAAGATTTCATATTACTCTTGGATCTGATTAGTAAAAGCCTTCAGACCCCCATCCCCAAGTCCAAGGAGAAGTTAACCATAGAAGGGCAAATCTGGGCTCTGGGGCCCAAAGCCTCTCCCCCTGAGATGAGTCTCCTCCCATGGCACTTTTTGGATGACTCGTTTCCTTTATTCAGAAGGGCTGCTATCGCATTTCAGATCTTCTTGAAGTAGAAGCAGGTCTCACCTCTTTTTCTGGTATTCAGTGGCACTTCTTAGAGGAATTGCTTCATTTTCCCCTGTTATGAAGATCTGTATGCAAACCTACCTCTTTGGCTAGATTGTAAACTGCTCGAAGACAGGGACTACATCTTTTTATCTCTTTCTAGTCTGGCAGAAGTTTACTAAATATTAGAATGAATGTTGGGTGATCTGGGGCAGCCTGATTCTCTCAGTGCCTCATTCTCCCTTTTCTCTACCGTGCCATGTGTCAAAACATTTCACTGGTGTCTTGGTTGCAGCCAAGTGGAACATTCTGTTGACAGAATGGGATTGCCTGTGGCAATTTCCTCAATGCAACATTCAGGACCGCTTTAATTTTTCACATTTTATGAGGCTTTCCCTTCCTGAAATTGCTTTCTTGTGGCTTTGGCTAATAGTTTCACACCTGATGCCAGAAAGGGAGACAGAGCCTTAATGGGTGAAAACACAGGTGTAGTGGAAATTGCCTCTAAGTAAACTCCAAGACTGGGTGTTGGGGGATGATGTGGTAGGAATGGCTTCACTCAGTTTGCATGGGTGTTGAAATGATATATACGTTTCTTGCCTCTCAATTGAAACATATTCACTGGGTCCCTAACATGAAATAAAAAATCTTTTTAAGGCCTCTGCCAAACAAGAAATCTATAACTCTATTGTCTATTAATTCATTCAACAAGCCTAATTGTGTGTCTCCTCTAGTGGTCGAAGAGCAAATTAAAGGTGGTTTTGAGGTCTCATTCATCTCTGCCTTCCCAAGGTTCCTCATTGTTTCCACTTGGTGTATGCTCAGTAAATGTTGTCCACCTGCTGTTGAATGATGCGTCTTTTCCACCTGGGATTTCTTATGTCCTGTGGCATTAGGACCATAGCGACAACCACATCTCCCTAGCAACAACTCTGGGTGATAGAGATGGATCATACCATAATTGCAAATCCCAGACCTCTGAAAAAGAATGTGATTATTTGGCGGCAGAGCAATGAAAACAGCAGATAAAAGAAGTGTTATGGAAGGACAAATTAGCAGGATGCCTCAGGCCTGTTTAATCCTTAACAACCCACTTCTCATTGCCTTTGTCTATCAAAAATAGTGAATGCCAAGGGTTTTACCCCCTCCCAGAGGTCCAGAACAGCGTCCGGACTCAATACAGTTTCTAAAATATTGGGAGATATTTTTAGAGTCATTCAAACCTTTTTGTTGTCATTTTGTGTTGGCAGTTCACAGGACTTGTGCTGTTTGATCTCCAAACTGTCTTTTACTCCTCAGTCTGAAGTGGGGATTTAAATATAAAGGGGGGGAGGGGGGATGGAGGAGACACACAAAACAGATGGCGGCCTTGCTGCTGCGACCTGTAGAGATGACATTCCTCTGACAACTTCCTTTCTCCCCAGAGTTCCCTTTTGGGTAACGCAGAGCAGAGAATTCTCTTATTGATCTTGAAACTGAAAGAGTTAGTTCCCAGTCACTGCAATTGACAAAGGCTTTTGCAGCTCATTAACTGCCGGATTATGTGGCACAATTCATTAAAATTCTGTTTCATTGACTGCATTTGTAAATAGGCTTGGGGAAGTTTATCACTTTTGCCTCTTGCAGAGCTTTCCTTCAATGAGTGCATTTTTCTTCCCCTTTCTCCTGGTAGAAAAAGTCTGAAATAATTTGCCACAAGATGTATCATTTAAATGTAAACGAAAATGAAATACTGGCTAGGAATTACAGGTTTGGATTTTTTTTCTCTCCATTTGCTATGATCTGATTATTTGGGTTACTTTAATAAATACATTTGCTTCAAGCTCTTGCCACATTACTTTTGCATAAATCATCAGACTTCTTAGCAGGCCTCTGCGCTGTAATTGCTTTTATTTGAATATAAGCAGAAAGGGAAAGATTAAAGGGAACTTAAAAAAAATCTTCCTTTTATTAATACCTAAGCATTAAAGAAGTTATTCTCTGTAAAGCACTCATTTTAAGATGAACCCAGAACACAGGACAAAGAGCAGGAAACCAGGCTCTGGGCGTCACCCTTCCCTTTCAGGTGTTCCATGGAGCCATTTGCTTTCCCTAGAGGAGGCATTTTCTCTAAAGGACCATGTAGTATATATTTTCAGGCTCTATGGTCTCTATTGCAAGTACTTAGCTGTGCCATTGTAGCACAAAAATAGCCATAGACCCAGGTGCGGTGGCTCACGCCTGTAGTCCCAGCGCTTTGGGAGGCTGAGGAGGGCAGATCACGAGGTCAGTAGATCGAGACCATCTTGGCCAAGATGGCGAAACCCCGTCTCTACTAAAAATACAAAAATTAGCTGGGCATGGTGGTGCGTGCCTGTAATCCCAGCTACTCAGGAGGCTGAGGCAGGAGAATCACTTGAACCTGGGAGGTGGAGGTTGCAGTGAGCCGAGATCGCGACACTGCACTCCAGCCTGGGTGACAGAGTGCGACTCCATCTCAAAAAAAAAAAAAAAAATAGCCATAGACCTGGGGTCTTCAGCCCCTGGGCTGTGGACCAGTACCAATCTGTGTCCTGTTAGGAACAGGGCTGCACAGCAAGAGGTAAGCAGTGGGTGAGTGAGCGTTACCACCTGAGCTCCTCCTCCTGTCAGATCAGCTGCGGCATTAGATTCTCTTGGGAGCGCGAACCCTGTTGTGAACTGTGCATGCGAGGGATCTAGGTGGTTGTGCACTCCTTATGAGAATCTGACTAATGCCTGATGATCTGAGGTTGAACAGTTTCATCCCCAAACCATCCTTACTCCCAACACCCGTCCATGGAGAAATTGTCTTCCATGGAACTGACCCCTGGTGCCAAAAAGACTGGGGACCGCTGCCACAGACAACACTTCCATGAGTGAGCATGGCTACATTTCAATGTGCTTTTATCTATGGATACTGAAGTGTGAATTTTCTGTAATTTTCAAGCATCATGAAATGCTTTCCCTGCTCCTTACCCTTTCTTTCTAACCATTCGAATGTGTAAAAACCATTTGTAGTTTGAGGGCTGTCTAAACATAGGAGGCAGGTGGGATTTGGCCCACTGGAGGGTTCTAGTTTGCTGACCGCTGCCCTGGAGCACTGGTTCCCAGCTGTGGCCCCTGGATTGGTGCATCAGCATGACAGGGAGCTTGTGAGACCTGTTGAAGGTTAGTCTTGATTTGAGAATGTGGGAGTGTCCCAAACACCACAGTCTGTAGTTGGACTAAGAATTCCTTTCTTTCTTTTCTTTTTTTTCTTTTTTTTTTGAGATGGAGTCTCACCCTGTCACCCAGGCTGGAGTGCAACGGCATGATCTTTGCTCACTGCAACCTCTGCCTCCCAGGTTCCAGCTATTCTCCTGCCCCAGCCTCCTGAGTAGCTGGGATTACAGGCACGCACCACCATGCCCAGCTAATTTTTGTATCTTTAGTAGAGACGGGGTATCATCATGCTGGCCAGGCTGGTTTTGAACTCCTGGCCTCATGATCCGCCCACCTTGGGCTCCCAAAGTGCTGAGATTACAGGCATGAGCCACTGTGCCCGGCATGGACTAAGAATTTCTTCAGACACCTGCTTTCATTCCTCTGATACTTACAAGAAGGTCTTGTTGTCTGCCCTGGGTCATCCTGGCCACGCCATGAGGGGTTGTGGGTGGGAATGTGGGGATCTCTTGCCAAGGGCGTTGCTGTGGTAAACAATGGCACTTATGTGTTTGTTATTGGCCGATTTTCATCAGAGGCAGAGCGGGTAAAGTCCTTACATTTCAGCATTTCCTGAGTGTTAGAAATGAGATTGAAGTGCCTTTACTGCAAAGCACCTGTGGGTGCTCCTTGCACTCTGGACAGAATGTCACTTGAGAGCCATGCTGTCCTGCAATTCAACAGTGTCATTTCAGCCCTCTCTCAATACCCAGTGAATCTTGGTTAGGAAGAGTAGCTTGGATTGTCTAATCAAACTTCTTTGCAGCTGAGCTCGACAACACTGATATTTTTTTTTAATTTGTAAAGTCTTTTTTTTTTATTATTATACTTTAAGTTCTAGGGTACATGTGCACAACATGCAGGTTTGTTACATATGTATACATGTGCCATGTTGGTGTGCTCTACCCATTAACTCGTCATTTACATTAGGTAGATCTCCTAATGCTTTCCCTCCCCGCTCCCCCCACCCCATGACAGGCCCCGGTGTGTGATGTTCCCCACCCTGTGTCCAAGTGTTCTCATTGTTCAATTCCCAACTATGAGTGAGAACATGCAGTGTTTGGTTTTTTGTCCTTGAGATAGTTTGCTGAGAATGATGGTTTCCAACTTCATCCATGTCCCTACAAAGGACATGAACTCATCTTTTTTTTATGGCTGCATAGTATTCCATGGTGTATATGTGCCACATATTCTTAATCCAGTCTCTCATTGATGGACATTTGGGTTGGTTCCAAGTCTTTGCTATTGTGAATAGTGCCGCAATAAACATACGTGGGCATGTGTCTTTATAGCAGCATGATTTATAATCCTTTGAGTATATACCCAGTAATGGGATGGCTGGGTCAAATGGTATATCTAGTTCTAGATCCTTGAGGAATCGCCACACTGTCTTCCACAATGGTTGAACTAGTTTACAGTCCCACCAACAGTGTAAAAGTGTTCCTATTTCTCCACATCCTCTCCAGCACCTGTTGTGTCCTGATTTTTCAATGATTGCCCTTCTAACTGGTGTGAGATGGTATCTCATTGTGGTCTTGATTTGCATTTCTCTGATGGCCAGAGATGATGAGCATTTTTTCATGTGTCTGTTGGCTGCATAAATGTCTTCTTTTGAGAAGTGTCTGTTCATATCCTTTGCCCACTTGTTGATGGGGTTGATTGTTCTTTTCTTGTAAATTTGTTTGAATTCTTTGTAGATTCTGGATATTAGCCCTTTGTCCGATGAGTAGATTGCAAAAATTTTCTCCCATTCTGTAGGTTGCCTGTTCACTCTGATGGTAGTTTCTTTTGCTGTGCAGAAGCTCTTTAGTTTAATTAGATCCCATTTGTCAGTGTTGGCTTTTGTTGCCTTTGCTTTTGGTGTTTTGTTCAACATATGCAAATCAATAAATGTAATCCAACATATAAACAGAACCAAAGACAAAAAACCACATGATTATCTCAATAGATGCAGAAAAGGCCTTCGACAAAATTCAACAGCCCTTCGTGCTAAAAACTGTCACTAAATTAGGTATCGATGGGACGTATCTCAAAATAATAGGAGCTATTTATGACAAACCCACAGCCAATATCATACTAAATGGGAAAAAACTGGAAGCATTCCCTTTGAAAACTGGCACAAGACAGGGATGCCCTCTCTCACCACTCCTGTTCAACATAGCGTTGGAAGTTCTGGCCAGGGCTGTCAGGCAGGAGAAAGAAATAAAGAGTATTCAATTAGGAAAAGAGGAAGTCAAATTGTCCCTGTTTGCGGATGACATCATTGTATATTTAGAAAACCCCATTGTCTCAGCCCAAAATCTCCTTAAGCTGATAAGCAACTTCAGCAAAGTCTCAGGATACAAAATCAATATGCAAAAATCACAAGCATTCTTATACACCGATAACAGACAAACAGAGCAAAACCACGAGTGAACTCCCATTCACAATTGCTTCAAAGAGAATAAAATACCTAGGAATCCAACTTACAAGGGATGTGAAGGACCTCTTCATGGAGAACTATAAACCACTGCTCAACAAAATAAAAGAGGATACAAACAAATGGAAGAACATTCCATGCTCATGGATAGGAAGAATCAATATCGTGAAAATGGCCATACTGCCCAAGGTAATTTATAGATTCAATGCCATCCCCATCAAGCTACCAATGACTTTCTTCACAGAATTGGAAAAAACTACTTTAAAGGTCATATGGAATCAAAAAAGGGCCTGCATTGCCAAGACAATCCTAAGCCAAAAGAACAAAGCTGGAAGCATCACACTACCTGACTTCAAACTATACTACAAGGCTATAGTAACCAAAACAGCATGGTACTGGTAACAAAACAGAGATATAGACCAATGGAACAGAACAGAGCCCTCAGAAATAATACCACACATCTACAACCATCTGATCTTTGACAAACCTGACAAAAACAAGAAATGGGGAAAGGATTCCCTATTTAATGAATGGTGTTGGGAAAACTGGCTAGCCATATGTAGAAACTGGATCCCTTCCTTACACCTTATACAAAAATTAATTCAAGATGGATTAAAGACTTAAAGATTAGACCTAAAACCATAAAAACCCTAGAAGGAAACCTAGGCAATACCATTCAGGACAACACTGATTTTTAATGATGCAATCCTGATCCCATATGGTACAATGACAACACCAATAACTACCGATTGCACTGAGCCTCTGCTAATGTTCCTGGAATTCACGTATATGAACTCAGAGCCTTGAAATAGGACCCTGAGAATGGAAAATATATGTTGATGTCCTAATCCCGGAATGAAGACTCCTAGTTTAAGTAGTTTTGCTAAGAACCTCTCATAGTTGGGAAGTGGCTGAGTCACTTTGCACATTCAGATTGATCAGAATCAAACGTTTCTGTTTTTTTCCTTCTAGGTCACTCTAGGTTCAGAAATTACTAATTTATTACTTTTTCTAAGAAGCAGGAATCAGGAAAATATAAACTGCTTGAAGTACCAGTCTTCTTTACGAAGTCTTCACGTGCCCCAGGAGTCCTCCAGTTAGGGTGCCATTAGCCAGGAGAGCTCCTGCCCAGGTAAGTCCTCCCTTCGTGACTGGGAAAGAACCACCTCTATGACCCTTTAGGTTATGCAGAGCTGTGGCTGAGGGCACTGGCTGCTTGTGACGGGCCCATCCACTGTATTCCTTAAGCATGGCCGAAAGTGGAAAATTGCTCCTACAGATCATTGGCTCCATTTCTGTGACTTTTTTGCATGCTAGATGGGTAATAACTGCATGACATTACGGAATGTCATCTCCTGTCTTGTAAAAGAAAATGAACATCTACTTGCTTTAGGCTTTGCAACTGGAATTGTATTTACAGGGCTTGGGACCAAATACTGGCGTGAAGATAGCCTTGCAACATTCCTTCTTTCTCCCTTGTAGGAGCATAAAGAAAGCTTAGAGTCAAACACTTCTAGACAACAGTGGGAGGTGCACATTAGGAGACAACAGCCGCTCCCGTATCTCTGCATTCAAATGTAGTACCATAATGATCTTCTCCCTAAATTCACATCCTCTCCCTCAGCTTTTCTGCCAGTAAATTCAGGCCTGGAGGCTGAGACTGATTGCCTGGGGAAGGGGGAAAGGACCATTGCCTGCAACAAAAGTGCCAGTTTTAGCTTGAGTTTCAAACTAAAGGTTTTAAAGACTTGAAGACCAAGCTAACAAGAGAGAAAAAGGGGTTTTATGGGCTTTCCCCAGATTTTCTTTTTACATATTGTCCCCAACTACCCATTCTCCGTCTTTTTCTTATTGATAGAATTTGTACCCAGCCACATTGACACCCAGAATGGAGCTACCTTGCCCAGCTTCCCTTACAACCAGGCAAGGATGTCACAATGTAGAACCAATGGGATGAAGGCAGAAACGTTGTGCGGCAGCTGCTGAGAACCTTCCTTAAAACCTAGTCAGAATGAACCCTATACAACCCTATACCCATCTGCCTTGGCATACAGTTGTTGAATCCTGGGCTGCGAGGACAGAGGTCCCTTCCAGGGGTGATGGAGTGGTGAGTAGAAGGGAGCCTGGGTCCTGAGGACTTAAGGCAGAGTTGCCTTACCAGCTGTGGAAGGCAGAGCTTGGGCCTCATGACTTTTGCCCTTGGCATTATTCATGGATATGTTACATTACATGGCAAAATGTAATTAAGGTACCAATTAGTTGACCTTAAAATCGGAAGATTGTCCTGGATTCACCAGGTGGACCTAGTTTAAATTGTATGAGCCCTTGAAAGGGAAGATCTTTTTCCAGCCCGTCGCAGAAGGGGAAGGCAGAGATTTGAAGCATGAGAAGGATTCGCCATGCAATTATTGGCTTGAAGATGAGGGCATCTGCATGTCAAGGAGATAGGGATCTCAGTTTCACAACTGCAATGAACTGAATTCTGCTAACAACCTAGATGCACTTGTAAGTGGATTCTTCCCCAGAGTCTGCAGACAGCCCAGCCCAGCCAACACTTTGAAAGCCAAAGTGGATTTTAGCTTTGAGAGTCCCTGAGCACAGAACGCAACTGCGCCACACTGTACCAGGACTTCTGGTCCATGGATGCTGTGAGCTAATAACTTTGTGTCTTTTAAAGCTGCTGCATGTGTGGTGATTTGCTATGCAGCAATAGACAATGGACAGGCTAGCCTGTATGTAAGTGAAAAACATCGTTTGTTTTCTTCTCAATTGCAGCCCAACCTGATCACAACTAATGCACAAACAAATAATCCAAGGCTGAACTGTTGACTGTGGAGACAGGAGATGCAGTGAAGAATATTTCTATTTGAGTGACCCAGGTGGAGGAAGAGAGTGGAGGCAAGAATATAGATGTAAGCATCCTTGACCTCCCCAATTCATTGCTGGGCAGGAGGCAGATAAACAGAGGCTTCCAGAAGGGTTCATGTGAGTCCTGGAGCAGAAGGTTTGTCCATGCATCTTCAGACATGGCCTGGAAAGATTACTCACCTCTCAGAAAAATCTGGGGGGCTGCTGCTTCTCATATTGAGTTAGAAGGCAGAGCTTGGACACTGGACCAAATTGAGGACTAGCTAAAATGCGGATGGGGCAAAAACAACTTTCTATAAGATATGCCCAACAGAGTGCCATGTCGGTTTACCATTGCCAGGGCAACACTCGAGCGGTACCACCTTTGTCCATGGCAATGACTCAACCACCTAGAAATTACCACTCTTTTTCAAGAAATTTTTGCATAATCTGTCCCTTAATTTTCAAAGTAAATATAAGTGTGAGTACAAAACTGCTTCTGAGCTGCTGCTCTGGGCACACTGCCTCTGGGGTAGCCCTGCTCCACAAGGCACAACACCTCTGCTGCTGCTTCAATAGAAGTTGCTGTCTAGCACCACTGGCTCACCCTTAAATTCTTTCCTGGGCAAAGGCAACAACCCTCCCAGGTGAAGCCTCGATTTTGGGTTCACCTGCCTTGCATCAGTATGACACGCAAAAGCAAAGAGAAGATTCTTGGCGGTGGGTGTGAGATGTGATTCTCAGGTTCCCAGGGTCTTGGGCAAGCTATTCCTTGGAGCTGGGCATGCGATGGGTGTGATGGCAGCCTTGGGCTCTCCAAAGAAAGGCAGCCCCAGCAGGACAGTGGAATTGGTGGGGAAGAAACACAGCCTTGCAGGCCATGAGTCCCCCTAGCCACAGACACCTACCTTCACAGTGGGTCCAGCAGGGAGCCAGCCACTCTCTCAGAGCACCAGGACCCTAACCTTTCCCAGTGTCCACCTGCTGCTGGGGAGTAGGAAGAAGCAGGATGTTCTTGAGGAGAGGAGACATTCAGGAAGACTAATTACCCAACTGCCTCCGACTGACAAGATTGAGCATTTACAGGTATCTTGCAATCAATAAGAGTTCAAGAGCAAGATAAGCTGAGGTACAAAAAATAATGATGGTCACCTTTTGTTTTGTTTTGTTTTCTCGTTTGGCTCATATTGTATAGTTTTCTAGCTTATAATGTAAAGATTTATCCTTTCCACATTTTTGTTTTTTCCCCATAATTTTCATTCTTTATTTTAAAAGACTTTCTTCTTACTGGAAAAAAAAAGCATAATTCTATGTCCAACACTGTACTGAATGCTGTGTTTTTTTTTAAACTAAATACATTTTAATAGAAAACAAAATGCAAAATAACTCTTTTCAGAAAACAAATATTTAATCCTTTTCCCACAAATTAGAACTTGCTTTATCCTCAGAGCACCATTGAATTATTTAGTTTATATTTTCTTCCTTTTTAAATTCTTCCTCCTCCTCTTCTTCTTCTTCTCCTTCTCCTTCTTCTTCTTGTCGTCCAGGCTGGAGTGCAGTGGCGTGATTTTGGCTCACCACAACCTCCACCTCCGGGTTCAAGTGATTCTCCTGCCTCAGCCTCCCGAGTAGCTGGGATTACAGGAATGTGCCACCACACTTGGCTAATTTTGCATTTTTAGTAGAGACAGGGTTTTAGCATGTTGGTCAGGCTGGTCTCGAACTCCCAACCTCAGGTGATCTGCCCACCTCAGCCTCCTAAGTGCTGGGATTACAGGCATGAGCCATCGCACCCAGCCACACTTTTCTTCTCTTATGGGCCTCACAACACAGCTGGTGAGACAACACCAGTCCTCAGGAATAAGTTGGTGTCCATACTGGGGAATTAGGAGCTACAGGGAGAATTTGAGGCATTAAGAAGGGAGTCCATGTGACGGTCTTATGATATTTCTGTAGAGAAATCAGCCCATGCATTAACTGGGCAAGGAGGGCCTGCACTGGGGGCTGGAAATGACTGCTTTCTGCTGTGGAAGAAACCTAGAAATAACAGGGAAGCTGGGGAGAAAAAGATGCCCACTCCAAGTACAAGACCATGAGTACTCTTCCAGTCCACATGCCAGCAGGCATGAGAAGGACGAAACTTGGCGCACCAATTTTGGCCTCTGACAATGTACTGGGTGCACCCCAGAAAATCCAGACCCTATTCAGACATGCAGTTCCCTCGATTTGGGGATCTGTCTGGGCTTGCCATCCTCTTGCAGCACTGCCTGGGCATATCTGCTCCAGGTTTCTCTGCTCCACTGTGTTTGGGCGCCTGATTCTCATGGGGCTGGGCACGCAGTTTGGATTTGCTTACACTTCACCGATCTTCTATTCCTTTCAATCCCTAGGATTTCTGGTCCACTTCACTGAATCTAGCGTGAAGGGCTTTCTCTCCATGCTTAGCCTGATTTCAGACCTTAACAATGTGCCCTGGCCAGGAAAACCCTTCCCTGGCCTGTCCTGATAGACTAGGGGGCCAGGGAGCAAGACTCACAGTATCCAAAGTTGGGACTCCCTTTAAGGAGAAGGGAACTAAAGAAGCTAAGGAACTGGTTCTAGGTTGCATAGATCATGACTGGAACTCTTGTCTGTGTGGCTGCAAATTCCATGTTCTTTTCCCTACAATGTGGTGGTGGTTGGAGCTGGCAAACCCCAATGCCCTCATGGGCCAGGAAGATGGTGCAAAGCCTCCATGGTGAAAAGAGAGAAAGTAGAAACTGTGGTCTCCAGTTGGAGAGTGCAAGTCCTGCCTAAAGTCATCCAAGTTAAAAAACAAACAAAAAACACTGAACTGGCCAAACAATACAACTCCTGTCCAGGCTGAGCCATGAGACAAGCGTTTTGTGATTCCTGCTCTACTGTTACCTACCTGCTGGAGAGCCATCTAGTCCACTTGGCACTGAGTGGCTTGATCTTACAGTTCAGCTTTGCATCCCCAGAGCCAAGCACAGTGCCTGGGATGTACAGGTGTTGCATAAGTGATTGTTGACATTGCATGTATATTTGTAAGGGACCTTAAATCTATCCTGGAACAAGAGGGATTAAAAGTTTTTTTTTTTTCTCTTTTTTTGTGACGGAGTCTCACTGTGTCGCCCAGGCTGGAGTGCAGTGGCGTGATCTTGGCTCACTGCAAGCTCTGCCTCCCGGGTTCATGGCATTCTCCTGCCTCAGCCTCTCAGCCTCCCGAGTAGCTGGGACTACAGGCGCCTGCCTGTACACCTGGCTAATTTTTTGTATTTTTAGTAGAGACGGTGTTTCACCCTGTTAGCCAGGATGGTCTCGATCTCCTGACCTCGTGATCCACCCGCCTTGGCCTCCCAAAGTGCTGGGATTACAGGCGTAAGCCACCGCGCCCCGCCGGGATTAAAAGTTTTAAAGAAGGGCCAGGCATGGTGTCTCATGCCTGTAATCCCAGCACTTTGGGAGGCCGAGGTGGGATGATCACCTGAGGTTAGGAGTTCGAGACCAGGCTGACCAACATGGAGAAACCTCGTCTGTACTAAAAATACAAAAATAGCTGGGCATGGTGGTTTATGCCTGTAATCCCAGCTACTTGGGAGGCTGAGGCAGGAGAATCACTTGAACCTGGGAGACGCAGGTTGCAGTGAGCTGAGATCGCGCCATTGCACTCCAGCCTGGGCAACAAGAGCAAAACTCTGTCTCAAAAAAAAAAAAAAAAAAAGTTTTAAAGAAGTTTGAACAAACAGCCCTATGCAAAGGCTGAAACCTTCACCCTTTTTTTAATTTAGTTGGCCTTTTATGCCTGTTCTAAACAGGACCAATGTAGGGGGACCCCAGTTCTCCCATCTGACTGGTCTCCACTTTGTCTTCACTGTAAAACCTTCTCAGCTTCTGAGTCACCTTCTATGACTTTGTTCATCCGTTTTCCACCCAGAATGCCCTACGCAGTTCTTTAGAAACATTTTTTTTAAAAAAATCTCATTTCAAAAGCTTGTTAACAAAAGTCAGAAAATACAGACATGTGCAAAGGATTTTAAAATATTCATAACCATATCCACCTAATTTCTGTTAACATACTGATGCATAGCCTTCCAGATCTCCTGTGCACATGTGTGCATGCACACACAGACACACACACTAATAACATCACACCATAATATACATATTGTTTCATAATCTGTTTTTTTTTTATTATACTTTAAGTTTTAGGGTACATGTGCACATTGTGCAGGTTAGTTACATATGTATACATGTGCCATGCTGGTGCGCTGCACCCACTAACTCGTCATCTAGCATTAGGTATATCTCCCAATGCTATCCCTCCCCCCGCTACCCCACAATAGTCCCCAGATTGTGATGTTCCCCTTCCTGCGTCCATGTGTTCTCATTGTTCAGTTCCCACCTATGAGTGAGAATATGCGGTATTTGGTTTTTAGTTCTTGCGATAGTTTACTGAGAATGATGATTTCCAATTTCATCCATGTCCCTACAAAGGACATGAACTCATCATTTTTTATGACTGCATAGTATTCCATGGTGTATATGTGCCACATTTTCTTAATCCAGTCTATCATTGTTGGACATTTGGGTTGGTTCCAAGTCTTTGCTATTGTGAATAGTGCCGCAATAAACATACGTGTTCATGTGTCTTTATAGCAGCATGATTTATAGTCCTTTGGGTATATACCCAGTAATGGGATGGCTGGGTCAAATGGTATTTCCAGTTCTAGATCCCTGAGGAATCGCCACACTGACTTCCACAGTGGTTGAACTAGTTTACAGTCCCACCAACAGTGTAAAAGTGTTCCTGTTTCTCCACATCCTCTCCAGCACCTGTTGTTTCCTGACTTTTTAATGATTGCCATTCTAACTGGTGTGAGATGGTATCTCATTGTGGTTTTGATTTGCATTTCTCTGATGGCCAGTGATGATGAGCATTTTTTCATGTGTCTGTTGGCTGCATAAATGTCTTCTTTTGAGAAGTGTCTGTTCATGTCCTTCACCCACTTTTTGATGGGGTTGTTTGTTTTTTTCTTGTAAATTTGTTTGAGTTCATTGTAGATTCTGGATATTAGCCCTTTGTCAGATGAGTAGGTTGCGAAAATTTTCTCCCATTCTGTAGGTTGCCTGTTCACTCTGATGGTAGTTTCTTTTGCTGTGCAGAAGCTCCTTAGTTTAATTAGATCCCATTTGTCAATTTTGTCTTTTGTTGCCATTGCTTTTGGTGTTTTAGACATGAAGTCCTTGCCCCTGCCTATGTCCTGAATGGTAATACCTAGGTTTTCTTCTAGGGTTTTTATGGTTTTAGGTCTAACGTTTAAGTCTTTAATCCATCTTGAATTGATTTTTGTATAAGGTGTAAGGAAGGGATCCAGTTTCAGCTTTCTACATATGGCTAGCCAGTTTTCCCAGCACCATTTATTAAATAGGGAATCCTTTCCCCATTGCTTGTTTTTCTCAGGTTTGTCAAAGATCAGATAGTTGTAGATATGCGGCGTTATTTCAGAGGGCTCTGTTCTGTTCCATTGATCTATATCTCTGTTTTGGTACCAGTACCATGCTGTTTTGGTTACTATAGCCTTGTAGTATAGTCTGAAGTCAGGTAGTGTGATTCCTCCAGCTTTGTTCTTTTGGCTTAGGATTGACTTGGCAATGCGGGCTCTTTTTTGGTTCCATATGAACTTTAAAGTAGTTTTTTCCAATTCTGTGAAGAAAGTCATTGGTAGCTTGATGGGGATGGCATTGAATCTGTAAATTACCTTGGGCAGTATGGCCATTTTCACGATATTGATTCTTCCTATCCATGAGCATGGAATGTTCTTCCATTTGTTTGTATCCTCGTTTATTTCCTTGAGCAGTGGTTTGTAGTTCTCCTTGAAGAGGTCCTTCACATCCCTTGTAAGTTGGATTCCTAGGTATTTTATTCTCTTTGAAGCAATTGTGAATGGGAGTTCACTCATGATTTGGCTCTCTGTTTATCTGTTGTTGGTGTATAAGAATGCTTGTGATTTTTGTACATTGATTTTGTATCCTGAGACTTTGCTGAAGTTGCTTATCAGCTTAAGGAGATTTTGGGCTGAGACAATGGGGTTTTCTAGATATACAATCATGTCGTCTGCAAACAGGGACAATTTGACTTCCTCTTTTCCTAATTGAATACCCTTTGTTTCCTTCTCCTGCCTAATTGCCCTGGCCAGAACTTCCAACACTATGTTGAATAGGAGTGGTGAGAGAGGGCATCCCTGTCTTGTGCCAGTTTTCAAAGGGAATGCTTCCAGTTTTTTCCCATTCAGTATGATATTGGCTGTGGGTTTGTCATAGATAGTTCTTATTATTTTGAAATACGTCCCATCAATACCTAATTTATTGAGAGTTTTTAGCATGAAGGGTTGTTGAATTTTGTCAAAGGCTTTTTCTGCATCTATTGAGATAATCATGTGGTTTTTGTCTTTGGCTCTGTTTATATGCTGGATTACATTTATTGATTTGCGTATATTGAGCCAGCCTTGCATCCCAGGGATGAAGCCAACTTGATCATGGTGGATAAGCTTTTTGATGTGCTGCTGGATTCGTTTTGCCAGTATTTTATTGAGGATTTTTGCATCAATGTTCATCAAGGATATTGGTCTAAAATTCTCTTTTTTGGTTGTATCTCTGCCCGGCTTTGGTATCAGAATGATGCTGGCCTCATAAAATGAGTTAGGGAGGATTCCCTCTTTTTCTATTGATTGGAATAGTCTCAGAAGGAATGGTACCAGTTCCTCCTTGTACCTGTGGTAGAATTCGGCTGTGAATCCATCTGGTCCTGGACTCTTTTTGGTTGGTAAGCTATTGATTATTGCCACAATTTCAGCTCCTGTTATTGGTCTATTCAGAGATTCAACTTCTTCCTGGTTTAGTCTTGGGAGAGTGTATGTGTCGAGGAATGTATCCATTTCTTCTAGATTTTCTAGTTTATTTGCGTAGAGGTGTTTGTAGTATTCTCTGATGGTAGTTTGTATTTCTGTGGGATCGGTGGTGATATCCCCTTTATCATTTTTTATTGCGTCTATTTGATTCTTCTCTTTTCTTCTTTATTAGTCTTGCTAGCAGTCTATCAATTTTGTTGATCCTTTCAAAAAACCAGCTCCTGGATTCATTAATTTTTTGAAGGGTTTTTTGTGTCTCTATTTCCTTCAGTTCTGCTCTGATTTTAGTTATTTCTTGCCTTCTGCTAGCTTTTGAATGTGTTTGCTCTTGCTTTTCTAGTTCTTTTAATTGTGATGTTAGGGTGTCAATTTTGGATCTTTCCTGCTTTCTCTTGTGGGCATTTAGTGCTATAAATTTCCCTCTACACACTGCTTTGAATGTGTCCCAGAGATTCTGGTATGTTGTGTCTTTGTTCTCGTTGGTTTCAAAGAACATCTTTATTTCTGCCTTCATTTCGTTATGAACCCAGTAGTCATTCAGGAACCCAGTAGTCATTCAGGAACAGGTTGTTCAGTTTCCATGTAGTTGAGCGGTTTTGAGTGAGATTCTTAATCCTGAATTCTAGTTTGATTGCACTGTGGTCTGAGAGATAGTTGGTTATAATTTCTGTTCTTTTACATTTGCTGAGGAGAGCTTTACTTCCAAGTATGTGGTCAATTTTGGAATAGGTGTGGTGTGGTGCTGAAAAAAATGTATATTCTGTTGATTTGGGGTGGAGAGTTCTGTAGATGTCTATTAGGTACACTTGGTGCAGAGCTGAGTTCAATTCCTGGGTATCCTTGTTGACTTTCTGTCTCATTGATCTGTCTAATGTTGATAGTGGGTTGTTAAAATCTCCCATTATTAATGTGTGGGAGTCTAAGTCTCTTTGTAGGTCACTCAGGACTTGCTTTATGAATCTTGGTGCTCCTGTATTGGGTGCATATATATTTAGGATAGTTAGCTGTTCTTGTTGAATTGATCCCTTTACCATTATGTAATGGCCTTCTTTGTCTCTTTTGATCTTTGTTGGTTTAAAGTCTGTTTTATCAGAGACTAGGATTGCAACCCCTGCCTTTTTTTGTTTTCCATTGGCTTGGTAGATCTTCCTCCATCCTTTTATTTTGAGCCTATGTGTGTCTCTGCACGTGAGATGGGTTTCCTGAATACAGCACACTGATGGGTCTTGACTCTTTATCCAATTTGCCGGTCTGTGTCTTTTAATTGGAGCATTTAGTCCATTTACATTTAAAGTTAATATTGTTATGTTTGAATTTGATCCTGTCATTATGATGTTAGCTGGTTATTTTGCTTGTTAGTTGATGCAGTTTCTTCCTAGTCTCGATGGTCTTTACATTTTGGCATGATTTTGCAGCGGCTGGTACCGGTTGTTCCTTTCCATGTTTAGTGCTTCCTTCAGGAGCTCTTTTAGGGCAGGCCTGGTGGTGACAAAATCTCTCAGCATTTGCTTGTCTGTAAAGTATTTTATTTCTCCTTCACTTATGAAGCTTAGTTTGGCTGGATATGAAATTCTGGGTTGAAAATTCTTTTCTTTAAGAATGTTGAATATTGGCCCCCACTCTCTTCTGGCTTGTAGGGTTTCTGCCGAGAGATCTGCTCTTAGTCTGATGGGCTTCCCTTTGAGGGTAACCCGACCTTTCTCTCTGGCTGCCCTTAACATTTTTTCCTTCATTTCAACTTTGGTGAATCTGACAATTATGTGTCTTGGAGTTTCTCTTCTCAAGGAGTATCTTTGTGGCGTTCTCTGTATTTCCTGAATCTGAACGTTGGCCTGCCTTGCTAGATTGGGGAAGTTCTCCTGGATAATATCCTGCAGAGTGTTTTCCAACTTGGTTCCATTCTCCCCATCACTTTCAGGTACACCAATCAGACGTAGATTTGGTCTTTTCACATAGTCCCATATTTCTTGGAGGCTTTGCTCATTTCTTTTTATTCTTTTTTCTCTAAACTTCCCTTCTCGCTTCATTTCATTCATTTCATCTTCCATCGCTGATACCCTTTCTTCCAGTTGATCGCATCGGCTCCTGAGGCTTCTGCATTCTTCACGTAGTTCTCGAGCCTTGGTTTTCAGCTCCATCAGCTCCTTTAAGCACTTCTCTGTGTTGGTTATTCTAGTTATACATTCTTCTAAATTTTTTTCAAAGTTTTCAACTTCTTTGCCTTTGGTTTGAATGTCCTCCCGTAGCTCAGAGTAATTTGTTCGTCTGAAGCCTTCTTCTCTCAGCTCGTCAAAGTCATTCTCCATCCAGCTTTGTTCCGTTGCTGGTGAGGAACTGCGTTCCTTTGGAGGAAGAGAGGCGCTCTGCGTTTTAGAGTTTCCAGTTTTTCTGTTCTGTTTTTTCCCCATCTTTGTGGTTTTATCTACTTTTGGTCTTTGATGATGGTGATGTACAGATGGGTTTTTGGTGTGGATGTCCTTTCTGTTTGTTAGTTTTCCTTCTAACAGACAGGACCCTCAGCTGCAGGTCTGTTGGAATACCCTGCCGTGTGAGGTGTCAGTGTGCCCCTGCTGGGGGGTGCCTCCCAGTTAGGCTGCTCGGGGGTCAGGGGTGAGGGACCCACTTGAGGAGGCAGTCTGCCCGTTCTCAGATCTCCAGCTGCGTGCTGGGAGAACCACTGCTCTCTTCAAAGCTGTCAGACAGGGACATTTAAGTCTGCAGAGGTTACTGCTGTCTTTTTGTTTGTCTGTGCCCTGCCCCCAGAGGTGGAGCCTACAGAGGCAGGCAGGCCTCCTTGAGCTGTGGTGGGCTCCACCCAGTTTGAGCTTCCGGGCTGCTTTGTTTACCTAAGCAAGCCTGGGCAATGGCGGGCGCCCCTCCCCCAGCCTCGCTGCCGCCTTGCAGTTTGATCTCAGACTGCTGTGCTAGCAATCAGCGAGACTCCGTGGGCGTAGGACCCTTGGAGCCAGGTGCGGGATATAATCTCGTGGTGCGCCGTTTTTTAAGCCCGTCGGAAAAGCGCAGTATTCGGGTGGGAGTGACCCGATTTTCCAGGTGCCGTCCATCACCCCTTTCTTTGACTCAGAAAGGGAACTCCCTGACCCCTTGCGCTTCCGAAGTGAGGCAATGCCTCGCCCTGCTTCGGCTTTTGCACGGTGCGCTGCACCCACTGACCTGCGCCCACTGTCTGGCACTCCCTAGTGAGATGAACCCGGTACCTCACATGGAAATGGAGAAATTACCCGTCTTCTGCGTCGCTCACGCTGGGAGCTGTAGACCGGAGCTGTTCCTATTTGGCCATCTTGCCATTTTTCCCCATAATCTGTTTTTTGGTACTTAAGATGGTAGGATAATACCATCTTCTCATATTGATAAATATTTCTATAAGGTGTTTTTAGTGTTTGCTTACATCTGTTGTGCACATAGTTTATTTAACTAACCCTCCTCTGTTTGGCAATGTGGATTATTTCCAACTTTTATTTGTAATAAAAAACTGCACTGCAGTGATCTTCCTTATGATTAAATTTCTGTACCCATCCTTAATTATCTTTTTAGGATGAATTTCCAGAGGGCGAATTGCACTTCACATCTAACTCTTTCAATGCTTAGTGTCAAGCTGCCCTGCAGAGAGGTTCTGCAGATGTGTGCATGCTCATCAGTGTACACCAGTGCCCATTTCCTTGCACCCTTGGCAACACCAGATATTGCTATTTTAAATTAAATACCTTTTTAAAATTTTTTTCTATTTTTTAATTTTTTTAAAAATTTAAGTTCTGGGATACATGTGCAGAACGTGCAGGCTTGTTACATAGGTATACATGTGCCATGGTGGTTTGCTGCACCTATCAACCCGTCATCTAGGTTTTAAGCCCCACATGCATCAGGTATTTGTCCTAATGCCCTCCCTTCCCTTTCCCCCACCACCTGACAGGCCCCAGTGTGTGATGTTTCCCTCCTTGTGTCCATGTGTTCTTATTGTTCAACTCCCACTTACGAGTGAAAACATGTGGTGTTTGGTTTTCTGTTCCTGTGTTAGTTTGCTGAGAATGATGGTTTCCAGCTTCATCCACGTCCCTGCAAAGGACATGAACTCATTCTTTTTATGGCTGCATGGTATTCCATGGTATATATGTGTCACATTTTCTTTGTTCAGTCTATCATTGATGAGCATTTGGGTTGGTTCCAAGTCTTTGCTTTCAATTAAATGCCTTTTTACTTTTAATTTGAAACATGCTGTCATTTCTTCAATTTGCCTTTCTTTGGTAACTACTAGTTGATTATTTTTCATATGTCCTTATGGATTTGTGTTTCTTCTTTTGGAAATTTATTGTTCATTTCTATTCCTTTTCTATTGGAGGTTTTGTCTTTTTTACACTGAGGGAGGTGAGTCACAATCTTTTTTTTATGTCCCCACCTCCATGACATTGCTAAATACCCAGCCATAGGCAACCTTATACTTATTTTACTTTTAGGATCTTCCTGTTTGATACCTTATAGCCTTTCTTTCTCAACTTGATCGAAAGCTCCTTGAAGGCAGGATCATGTGTTCAGTAGTTAAACTGCGTGATTCAACATCATCATCGCAGGAATGTGCCATTCAGAGTAGCTGAGGTTTTGCCTTTGAAGCATGAGATCTCATGAGCTACCGAGAAACATCTCATGTTTTTCACGAGGGGTTTTCCTCATTCCTCCTCAACCACATGGCATAGGACAGCCTTGGGACTGAAGAGCCTTTCAAGATCCTCTGAGGTTCAGCTAATGATTTGCTCCGAAGCTATTCTTTCTTGAGGCACTTGTTCACTCCCTGTCTTTTCTGCTGCTAGAACATTTCTATTCCATGCATTCATTGATCAGACTTCAGCTCACAGCCTACTTGTTGATAGCATCGTGTTGTGTGCTGGGGGCTCCCTTGTCTTTAAGGGACATGCTCTTTGCCTCCTGAGGATTGTGGTTTAGTGGAGACAGACACCTGGGGCAGGGAGCAAGGCAAGGGCAGAGGGTTGAGGGGGCTCTGGGGTGGTGAAGGAAGGCATCCCACATGACTTCAGCAGTCAACTGGTGTTTTATTGCAGTATTTGGCACATCTTACCACTCTCCTGTCTTGACGTCCTCCCTTCCCTTGCCTCCTGAGATGTCACACTCTTCAGGTCCCCTTTCTTAGTCTCCATGCAGGAGACTCTTTGTCTCTTTGCAGAATCATCCTTCTATATGAGGTCAGCAAGTGCAGGAGCTCCCCTTCTCATCCTTTTCCCTCTTCCGCCCTCCTGTCCCCTCCGTCCTCTCTTTTCTTCCTTCTCCTTTCGCCTCCTCTAGTTTCCTTTCTGTCTTGTTTTCTTCTCTTACTTCTCCTTCCTCTTCTCTTCTTTTTCTCTCTTTCCTGGCAAATGTCTTCCACATCTATGGCTTAAATTACCAAGTGTATATCCAGTCCATACCTTGCCCCTGAGCTCCAAGCTCGCACGTCAGACTGCTTACTCTGACTGTCTGTCATACCTCAAACTCAACACAGCCAAGGCTGAACTTCAGAGCTTCCTTCACAACCTGGCCTCTTCCAGCGTTCAGTAATATCCATCTAATTATGCACATCAACAATCTAGATGCTATCCGTTCTACCTCCCTTTCCTTCCACCTTTAAATCCTTTCCATCTCCATGTCTGGTCGATATTTCTGGAATACATCATTCTCTCCCACCCCACCATCACTACCCTAGTCCAAGCTGCCAACGTTTCTCCCTGACATCTGTAAGGCCTCCTACTTAGTCACTACCCTCACTCTGGCACCTCTCCCACTGTCCTCCACTCTGGGCCTTCAATACTATTTTTAATGCAAATCGTGTCATGGCACAGACCTTGCTTACCATCCCCCTTGGCGACCCCTCACTCTCAGCGTAATGACCCACAGCCTTTGCCTGATCTGCAAGGCCTGGTCTGGTCCCTACCTGCCCTCAGACCTTGTGCTTCTCATTCTCCATGCTTGTTAGCAGTCACTGTACCGCCATGCTCTGCCTTGACACAGGGCCTCTTCCTGGGTGTCCCTTGGTTGACCACCTGCCTGTGACCATCAGCTCCTACCCAGTCTCCAGCTCACAGAGCAGAAGACATTGCTTCTCAGAAGCATTTCAGACCCCAGCCCAGGATAGTTTCATTTTAAAAATATATTCTCATGGTGCCATATCCCTTCCTCCTAGGGCACTCAATCGACTTGTAATTATACATTCAATCTTGTGGCCTCTACTTTAAAGCCTCCCTCCTCCTGGACGGTGAGCAGATTCCATCTAGTTGCTGCCCAATGTGCTGGCCCTATCTCTTAGCACAGGGCTGTAGGGTACAGGAGATGCTGGCCAAATGGATGGGTGTCTGGTCCACGCCACCAGCTTCATCTCATCCTACCCTATTCTATGTGCTCCAGCTAGGAAATGGGGTACACAGGGCTGAGGGGGTGAGACTGCCTGAAGGAGAAGTCATCAGTGTACTGTTTGCAGGCTTCAGATAAAAGCCTATATTCACAATGGTTTCTAAAGAGTTGGGTTGTTTGTTTTCTTTGGAAATTAATTTATCTGTGAGAGTTGCAGCATCCTATAAACCCTAAGGGATGGTGATTATCTGCTAATTAACTTTGCTGATTAATGGTTAACTGGCATTTGACTTCGTTGTGAAACTCCTAAGCCCACCCACTTGCCTTTGTGTCGTCATATCTGCTTTTGGGAAGATTTCCCTGACTTATTTCCTGCTTTGATCATACACTGTCTCCTGCAGAGCCAAATTTGGAGAAGACGTTTCTTCTTCAGGGTGGTCTTGCTCACACATTTCATACATCAGGAAGTGACAGGCATGAAACCCGCCCCCTGCCCCCTCCTTTCCCCCACCAGCCCCACTGGGTTTCCTCCACTAGCTTTCCTGCTCCTAACTTGGGTGAATGATCTCTGTTTACTTGTGTGAAAGTCAGAGGTGTTAAGGAAAATTATCTAACACTTGCAAATAAGGGGAAAAGATGACTGAATATATTTTCAGTGTCATGCTAATGCAGTGCTTCTCCAAGTATGGGCTGAAACACTAGGGAATCCCAAAACCCTTTCAGGAGCTCGGTAAGGTCAAAACTAGTTCTTAATAACAGGAAGATGTTACTTGCCTTTTTCACTATGTTGACATTTGCACACTGATACAAAACCAACAGTGGGTAAAACTGCTTGTGCCTTGGTACAAATCAGGGTAGGGCAGGAAACTTTGCTATTAGTCGTTGTATACTTCCCCTACCACCACCTCTCAGCAAAAAAAAAACAAAAAAAAACAAAACAACAACAAAACCCAGTTTCACTGACAAAACCAGTGGTGATATTAATGAATTTTTGGAAATAGTATAATGAAGTATGTCAACATGTGGAAGATCTTCACAATTCAATGGACTGATATTTTCTAAGTACTCATTGTGAGACAATCACACATGGGTAAGAGATCCATTTAAAGTGTAAGATAGACCCGCGGATTTTATTCTAACAGAGTACAAAAGTCCACTGATATGGCTTTAAGTTGCATGTTGCAAGTCACCTGTAGAAACTACCACTTGTCCGGTGGTACTTTAGAGAAGTATCAAATAAAACAATCCACAGTTATCCAAAAATGCTATTAAAATATCCCTCCTCCCTGTTTCAATAACATGTCTTTGAGAGGCTGGATTTCCTTCACAGGCTTCAACCAAAACAACATATTGTAACAGGTTGAACGCAGGAGCAGCTACGAGAATCCAGCTGTCTCCTATTAAACTAGACATTAAAGAGATTTACAAAGATGTAGAACATTCCTACTCTTCTCACTAAACTTTTTTTTTTTTTTGAAAATGTAGTTAGCTTTCATAAAAGCATTTTGTTTATGGCAAATTATAGTAGGTTTATTATTGCTATTTAAAAATGAATAAAAACATTTTAAAATGTTTCTAAGTTTTAATTTTTACTATAGCAAATATCGATAGATGTGACTCACATCAGCAAAGCTCTTTGGGGCTTTAATTCATTTAAAAAGTTATTTAAAAGGGTAAAGAGATACTGAGACCAAAAAAGCATGAGAACCACTGTGCTGGAACATTTTTTAACAAGTCAGCTTAAGGATTATCTTCTCTAGTGATGAAACTTTGTTTGCACAATGATTAGGACTCAAACATTACTCAGTTCTGTAAAACTGGTAAGATGTGACAATTTAGCTGTCAGTTTGAAAAGATAACCCTGAAAGTTATGGTTTTATTATCCTATAAGGAATTAATCAGTTTTATTTTTTTTTTGTCTAACTTAGCAATCTTGTCTCAACATTTCTTTCTTTTCCATTGAGCGTGAAAGATCACTTTTACATATTCTGTTTGGAACCAGACGTGCCTTTCTGCTGGATCCTTCATTAATCGGTTAAATAGAACTTTGACGTGTGCTTACTATTGGTGTGAAAATTGTGTTTGTTAAATACATTATGAGAGTTTCATTTGGACAAGGGACAAGGGTGGAAATGCTGGTGGAACTTCCTCTCCTGCCTCAGTTTCTCAGTATGCACATTGGAAAGAACATCAGCCTTGGAGACACCGTGAGAGCCCAGGTCTGGCCACTTCTGGCCGTGTGGCCCTCTGCTGTTGTCTGATCTCTGAGATTCAGCTGTCTCCCCATGCTCTGGGGATTACAGGGCCAATTGCCTAGAGTTGTGATGAGGACTCAGTGAAGCACATATGTAAAGCACCCAGCAGAATACCCCATCTTGTCAAAGCCACAGAAACCCAGCGGGTATTAGTTTGCTGCAGCTGCCATAACAAAGTACCACAGACTGGGTGGCTTAAACAAAAAAATGTATTTCCTCACTGTTCAGGAAGCTGGAGGCCCACAATCAGGGGGTCAGCAGTGTTGGTTTTCTCTTAGGGCCATCATGGAAAGACCCATTTCAGGCCTCTCTCCTTGGCTTGCAGATGCCACCCTGTTGCTGTGCCTGCATGGCCTTTTCTCTGTGCACACGTGCCCCTGGTGTCTCTACAGGTGTCCAAATGTCCTTTTCTTATAAGGATGCCGGTCAGATTGGATCAGGGTCCATCCTAACAGCCTCATTTTATCTAGTTACCTCTCTAAAGTTCCTATCTCCAAGGGCAGTTGCATTGTGAGGTACTGGTGGTTAGGGCTTTGACATATGAATTTTGGAGGGATGTGATTCAGCCCATGACACCAGGTAACTTAACTATTACAATACAAGCATGTAGCAACCAACCTGAGCACCTCACCAGTGTTTGACTCTAAACAGCATTTCACTCACGGGTTGGGCGTGCTCTTGTGTTGGGGCTCAGCTGTAGGCTGGAGAGGCGATCCCAACTTGGGTTTCCCATATTTCTTCGGGTTGGCTGGTTGTTATCTCATCTATGCTGGGATGACTGAAATGACTGGGCTCTCCTCCCCTGTGTCTTATCTTCCAGCAAGCTGGTTGGGCCACGTCCTTCACTGGTCCTACAGTTAATTTGTCCACTGGATTTCCTTTAAGGACTTCGGGAACAGCCTAGCAAGGAGAGGACAGCATTCATTCTGGGCTTTTGAGATCTGCTGCTTAAATGTTCCTTTAAGCACCCTCACAGACACAAGGTGATGGCACAGGGCACACCAGACCAAGTTCAGGGTGCACAGAGATTTAAAGCCTCTGCTTGCGCCATGCCCCTCTACCTCACATTGGCTCAAGCCAGTCATACAGCCAAGTCCCGAGTCAGAGAAGGAGGGCCCTGCAAAGGCATCCAGCAGAGGATGGGGCTGTGTGTGGCAGGTGGGGGGAGAAAAGCATCCATTAATGCCATCAGCTACCACAGGCCCATAGCTCACAGCTCTCCTAAACCCTTCTTAAATCTATCTGAATTCTATTTGCTTCTGTCTTATAAAAATGGTGAAGGAAATAAGTGCTTATCAAGTTTCAACTCTACACTACACATTTTGTTATACTATACCACTTAATTCAGAGTGGTCCAACCTGTGGCCCATGGGATGCATTCGGCCTAGGATGGCTTTGAATGTGGCCCAACACACATTCGTAAACTTTCTTAAAACATTATGAGATTTTTTTGCAATTTTTTTTTTTAGCTCATCAGCTATTGTTAGTGTTAGTGTATTTTATGTGTGGCCCAAGACAATTCTTTTTCCAGTGTGGCCCAGGGAAGCCAAAAGATTGGACACCATTGATTTAATTCTCCCCTCAGCCCCAGGAAGTAGGCATTATTATCCACCTTTAACAGATGAGAAACTGAGGCTCAGACAAGTTAAATAACTCATTCCAAGTGACTCTGTGTATTAATCAGGGTTCTTTTAGAGGGACAGAACTAATAGGATATATATATATATATATATATACACACACACACACACATATATATATACACAGAACTAATAGGATATATATGTATATATACAGATATATAGGATATATATGTATATATACAGATATATAGGATATATATATGTATATGTACAGATATATAGGATATATATATGTATATGTACAGATATATAGGATATATATATGTATATGTACAGATATATAGGATATATATATGTATATGTACAGATATATAGGATATATATATGTATATGTACAGATATATAGGATATATATATGTATATGTACAGATATATAGGATATATATATGTATATGTACAGATATATAGGATATATATATGTATATGTACAGATATATAGGATATATATATGTATATGTACAGATATATAGGATATATATATGTATATGTACAGATATATAGGATATATATATGTATATGTACAGATATATAGGATATATATATGTATATGTACAGATATATAGGATATATATATGTATATGTACAGATATATAGGATATATATATGTATATGTACAGATATATAGGATATATATATGTATATGTACAGATATATAGGATATATATATGTATATGTACAGATATATAGGATATATATATGTATATGTACAGATATATAGGATATATATATGTATATGTACAGATATATAGGATATATATATGTATATGTACAGATATATAGGATATATATATGTATATGTACAGATATATAGGATATATATATGTATATGTACAGATATATAGGATATATATATGTATATGTACAGATATATAGGATATATATATGTATATGTACAGATATATAGGATATATATATGTATATCCTATTAGTTCTGTGATAGGATATATATATACACACACATACACACACACATATATATACACACACATATATATGTGTGTGTATATATATATATAAATAGGATATATATATCCTATTCTGTGTGTGTATATATATATCTCCATATATATATATCTGTATATATATATTCCTTTAAAATTGACCCATTTTCTTTCAGACTTTTATTATTGACATCAAAGCTGGCTTATGAGTGCTTTAGATATGAAAGATTTCTATCTCAACATACTGTTAGGATATGATATATATGATCTATCATATCCTAACATATATATGTATATATGGAGATATATATGGATATATATATATATGGAGATATATATGGAGATATATATGGATATATATATATGGGTGTGTGTGTGTGTGTGTGTGTGTGTGTGTATATATATATATATATATATATATATATATATATATGAGTTTATTAAGTATTAACTTACACGATCACAAGGTCCCACAATAGGCTGTCTGCAAGCTGAGGAGCAAGGAGAGCCAGTCCGAGTCCCAAAACTGCAGAACTTGGAGTTTGATGTTCGAGGGCAGGAAGCATCTAGCACGGGAGTAAGATGTAGGCTGGGAAGCTCGGCCCATCTTGTCCTTTTCACGTTTTTCTGCCTGCTTTATATTCGCTGGCAGCTGATTAGATCGTGCCCATCAGATTAAGGATGGGTCTACCTTCCCCCACCCCCTTACTCAAATGTTAATCTATTTTGGCAACACTCTCACAGACACACCCAAGATCAATACTTTGTGTCCTTCAGTCCAATCAAGTTGACACTCAGTATTAACCATCACACTCTGCTCAGACGAATTTCTAAAACCTAGATCTGTGTGACTGCAAAGAGCTTTTTCCCTCATCAGAGCTTTCTAAACCTTTCCATCAAAATTACTCTACAGGCAGAGGAAAGTGAATTCATATCCCTAGGGTGCCTGAGGGCTACTGCCCAAATTGCCCATCACAATATGAAAATTCTTCATAGTTGTAAATTTTATCTTAAAAATGAATATAAATTTGGCATTTGACTCTATAAGATAGATTTCAAATAGAAAAATCCCTGGTATTTTTAAGCATGATATATGCTCCTGGAGTACATGCATGTGTATGGGGCATTTCTCGGTACCTCTGGCACACAGCTGCATCCCTCAGAAACTTGCCCAGCTCAGTCTGGGAAGCATGACATGGCACCAAGCATCCTGTCTGGAACAATGAAATGAAATTGAACGGCAGGGTTTGCCTGGTTGTTAATATGCCCCATTGCAAATGGATGTGACAGATTTTTGGCACCACCTGTCACATTTTTGACATTCCCAGATACTTCACTGGTTCTACAGTTAATTTGTCCACTGGGTTTCCTTTAAGGACTTTGGGAACAGCCTAGCAAGGAGAGGACAGCATTGATTCTGGGCTTTTGAGATCTGCTGCTTAAATATTCCTTTAAAATTGACCCATTTTCTTTCAGACTTTTATTACTTACTGACATCAAAGCTGGCTTATGAGTGCTTTAGATGTGAAAGATTTCTATCTCAACATACCGTTAGGATACGATATTGTCTGTGCCATCAGGGAGCTCAGTTTCCTGTTAACATTAATATTCGAGATTACCTTGTGACCCCAAGGTAGAGCTGGAATTTGAGGTGGAAAAATTTTATATTTTTGGGCTTCGAGGCAATAGGTAAATGAGTCTCTGATTAGAATCTCGAGCCTCTGATTAGATGGTGATGAGAGAAACATGGACTCCTTAAGTCTTTCAGAAATGGGGTTCTTGTTATATCCTGAGACCATGGAATAAGTATTAGCATTAGGGGATTCAGCTCCAAATCTGTGGTTTATAGTAGACTCATCTGGTGCCCAAATTGCATCCTTTTATCTCCCTTTTGAGTTCAGCCATTGCCAGATGGATAGTGCAATGCTGGCTTTGGTTCTTTTTGTGCTGATGGTGTCTGGCCTCAAGCATGCTTCCCTTGATTTGGCTTTCTGCTTTAGGGCTCTTTCAATAGTGGAGTAGTAGAAGCATGCACAGCCAATGTGTGCAGAAGTACAGGCAGTTAAAACCTCCCAGGACAATCCTGCGGGACAGCACCTCATGGACAAATGCTCCTGTTTCTCCTCCTTTGGCAGATAACCCTGGGGGTCATTCTGTGCACTGCTGAGGGGGCCTTTTGGAATATGAGCTTTGGTTGCCCATAGCAGTGACCTTGGTGATGGCCCCTACTGCTGGCTTTTCATTCCTGCCTCACTCTCCCTAGCTGCTGCTTCCTGGGATCACCGCATGCATCACCACCTGCACCCAGGCCTTTGTCTCAAGCTCCATTCTCTAGGGAGAACAGGCTAAGACACTGTCCTCTCTGGCTTGGTTTCTTTGGGCAAGTTTCTTCACTTCTCTGGTCTTGCTCAGTTGTCTCACCTATCCGAGGGCTATTGATTGCTGAAGTCCCTTCCAGTTCTGGAACTCTATGGCTCTATTTGACTGTTTCATCTTTCCTGGGGATATCCTTCTTTCCTTTATTCATTCATAAGCCAACCCTTTGACATTCCAGTTGGCTGGTTTTTAAATTTCGGATGAGTCACTTTAACGCCTAGGTGCTGGAGAATGTTGAGAAGCATTATCCCTCCCTTGGTGACCTTTTCTTTTCTGTGTAGGACACTCATTGCATTGCATTTTTGAAACAAAAGGCAGGCATCCTTTTTAATCTGACTTTAGTGCCAAGACACTGATGCCCGCTGTGGGGCTCATAACCAAATATTTCATACTGACAATTTTTCTCTCTTCTTTTTTTCTAAAAAAATCCTACCTCTTTTCCATTTGGTTTTGATTAATGAAAGGCTGCCCATGGTCAGCTTTGCATTTCTGCCTCCGTTCCCCCAGCTCCCATCACGTAGAGAAGATCACACAATCATTTGAAGATCCTTTGCTGTAGCTTTGTGACCTGTGTAAATGATGATGTTGAGAAGGAGTGGTGGTAGGGAGAGACTCACTTCATTTTCATCTTTTACTGAACATTTTCTGAATCATAGGAATCCACCCTAATTCCTGATGCTACAAATTATTGTATTGGGCCCCAAATGATGTGTCCAGCTTGCAGGAAATGGTGCCGTTTATCAAGTACATGTGCTAGACCATAGACTAGGCATTTTACCTAAATCCTCACAGTAACCCTGCAAGAAGCGTATGTTGTCCTCATTTTGACTAGCAGGGAAACTGAAGCACATTTCATCGACTCTAGTACTCTAGTGCTTACTTGTACTCAGGTGTTGCTTAATAAATATTTACTGAAGAAATGAATGAATGAGGCTTAGAAGATTTTGCTAGGTGGCCTAGCTGGCTGAGATTTAAACCCATGTCTGGCTGTGTGCTAACCCTGTCTTCCCATGAGGGCACCTGTTTTGCTTCACAGAGTGTCTACACTGTCCAGTCATTCTCACCACTGCCCTTGTGAGCCAAGAACCTTTCTGCATTGGTACACTACATTGGTTCACATGTCTCTATCAGCCCCCAATGTCTCCTTTCTGTTTATCCAATTGCTTGCCTTCCTTCAAAGTCAGATGTTGGTTACAAACAAACACACACACGCACACACACACACACACACATACACACGGGGAGAGAGAGAGAGAAAGAGAGAGAGAGAACAGTGGAGATTATACTGCATCTATAATCTGGTAATATTTTCGCTTGGCACAAAGTAATGTAAATTCTGTAAATACCACCCTTTAGGGTGCTGTGTGTGGGATGGCAGGGTGGATCAGGATTTTGGGTTGACTCACAAGTCATTCTACTGGAATGCTAGTAAACAGCTAAAGGGCTCAGGTTCAGAGAGCTGGCTCTAGTCCAATTTCTGACTCTGTCATTAGAAAGTCAACCTCCCCAAACCTTAATATTTTCACTTGCAAACTGAGGGAATTGGCCCCCTCAATTTCAATTCCCTTACATGCTAAGTTATTTGATTCTGTGAAATCGAGAGCAATGAAATGAATAATGATCACAATGTCCATTTATAGAACAAGCTTTGCCCTTAACAGGTGCTCACTACAGTGCCATGTTGATCACAGCTTCTGTTGGAGGAAGGCAGGGCCACGTTGACCTCCAGAGCTGTACCATGACACCACTCCTGGCTAATTTTTGTATTTTTAGTGGAGAAATGGTTTCACCATGTTGGTCAGGCTGGTCTTGAACTGCTGACCTCGTAATCTGCCCACCTTGGCCTCCCAAAGTGCTGGGATTACAGGCGTGAGCCACCGAGCCCTGCCGTAAATGCATTTTAATTTAAGTTGAAGTTGTCTGGGTTATCAGTGATGTGTAGACAGACTGCTATCCATGAAAAGGCTGATTCATGTCTAAAACACTCTCAATTCTAAGGTGCAGCCCTTTGTCGTACCTCCTATCCCAAACTGAAAAGTGTTTACTTGTATTTTCTCCCTTGAAAGACACCAGGTTATAATTTTGTTCCCCTAGTTCCACAACACTTTGAAAAGTACAGCTCAGTCTTTTAGCTACCTCATCTTGACCAGAAAATACTTCATAGCAAAAGCAACCTTGAGTGCTGGTCTCAGCTCTCAGGGTTCCAGCCCTTTACTGGATCTCAACCAAATAATCCTCACTATCTTGTTAGTGGATTGATGCTTTCAAGAAAATTTTTTTCTTTGTCTTTTGACTAGCTTTTTAAATGGTCTTTAATGGGAAGATTAGTCTTGCCTGGTTCACCCTTGCTGGAAATAGAAACTTACTGTGTGTCTTCAAGCAAATTACTTAATCTTTCTGAGCCTTAGTTTTCTAATAGCATTATTACTTTTTAAAACTATTGTTTTGGGTGACAGTTCTCACTGATACAGCTCTTTAGCATCTGTTCTTAGATCTCTATTATAACACGTTCCCAGAAAGAAATTAACATTTTCTTCTTGAATGGCAACTTTGGCATTAGCAACAAGTCATGGGGCCAAGACTAGTGAGATACTCCACTGAGCATTTTATTCTTGTGTTTTTATTCTTGTTTTATTTATGTGTTTGTTTTATTCTTGTGTTTTTGTGGAATCCATAATGCGGATGAACACGCTTTTATTTTTTTTTTTCTTCTCCATTATGCTTCCAAAGACTTGAACATGGCATTTTGTGCAATGCATGTGAGTGGGAGATGACACCCTTGCTCAGCCATTGAGGTGGGAATTGTTAGTAAATTACATTTGGCTGCTCCACAGATGAGATGGAAGCAACAATACGAGTAGGTATCTACTTGTATAATATAATGCATGTTGGGATTAAAGCATGATCCCATTTGCACAAGTTGAAAGGTTAAATATGATACACATTTTGATGTGATAAGGCAGGTCAAGCTTGTAAATAATTTTCTTCAAACTTGATGATTTAAAAAAAAATCACAACTGTCTTTTTACTTTCCAGGTATGGAAAACTAGAACAAGATATGGCAATATATAGTATTTGTTGAGCACTGACTAAGTGAGAGAAACTTTTTGAAAGGCTTCAGAAGTGTCAACTCACATGACGCCTTATTAAGCCCACCTTTCAGATGAGGAAAGTGAGGCACAGGGAGGTTGCCTGCGTTTGTACGGTTAGTGCATATCTGAGTCAGGAGCCAAAGGTGGGCAAACTGGGCCCTTGTTCAGTCTCTCATAGTGTTAATTTCTTTCTGACCTGCACTGTAATTCTGTAAGCCCAGGACTAACTCTCCACGATTTTCTGCCTTCCGTGGGGTGAGTGGAGTATCATAAATATGAAATATCTAGAGCCATGTCTGTTCAGCTTTATGTATAGCTTGGCTCAGCAGGGTGGATGAGTCTGGGTTCCTGAGGCTGTGGTGTGTACGCATAGACCATCCCACCTTTCCGAGGGCACAGGGACTGTAATGCCCCCCCAGCTCCCTTCCTCAATGCTTTATAGGTTCTCTTTATCCTGTCTGACCCTTGATTGTAAACCCCAACACTTGGTTTGGGAAGGAGGCAGCCTCTCCACCCCGTGGCTGGACTATAGGGTCTGTGATGCGAAGTGGTGAGAAGTACCTTAGTGCCTATGGGGCAGCAGGAAGCTTGGGGAAGGGCTGATCTAGGAGCTGGCCTGGGCTCTGGTAAACTGAATGGCTTTGGAATCCAGGAAGCTGGACTTCAGATCCTGTATAGACCACTCACAAATGATGGGGCTCTGTGGGCATTATTCGTTTCTGTCAGTCTCAGGGTTAGCATTTCTCAGATGGAGCTAAAACATCCTTAATATGGTTGTTGTGAGACTGAATGATAGAAAGAGCTCTTAGATTGTTCCTGGCCCATTTTAGAGGCTCCATAGATGCTAACTATAATAGATCCAGATTTGGATTTCCCTGCTTGGGGCGGTTCTCTTCTGTAGCTTTGCTCTATTCCAGTGTGGGCCAGAGACCAGGACCACATATGCTACTCCAGGTGCAAGTGAACTACGGTTTTATGGGAGGGAGGGATAATGACTCCTCTCTGCTTTCCAGGCTGCCCTTCCTGACATGGCCAGCAGTTTGTTGGTGTGTTTGGCAGCTGCAGCGCATTGGTCTAACATTTTCTGGGCACAGTCTATAAAGACATGCCCATTCTCAATCTGAGTAGAAATTGACAGCACAGAGCTCATTGCTTCAGAAGTACTGTTTGAACCACCTGCTTCCCAAGTGCAGCATCCCTCACCTATTGAAGCTCTCCTGGGGCCCTTTCACTTTCTCACTCAGCACTGAGGGTGTCTGCCATTGGACCCCATTGGATTTCACTACCTGGAAGTGCTTGGTGGCAGCTGTTGACCTGGTTTCTTTGTGCTTTCCCAGTTCTAGAGGTTTTTGGCAGTGGTAAATACTCTTGCTCCCAGAATGAATTCCAAAAAAAAAAAAAATTCTCCTTTATTACTGCAGCTCAAGTCTCCAATCTGGATGTTTGGCATGGAAAGAGAATTTTCCCCAATCCTAGCGTGTATTTTCTTTTAAGTACTATTGGGAAGATGGATGGTGCAGGGCAGAAAGACCATGGTCTTTAGAGTAGAAATGGGATCTGAATCCCCACTGTGGGACTCTGAGCATGTTACTTGGCCTTGCTAAGCCTCAGCTTCTTTATCTGTAAAATGGGCTAATAATATCTGCATCATAGGGATGTTAGATGAATAAATGAGATATCCTAAGCTTAATTAATGCTAATGCACTTATTTTTTAGTTGAAGGGTTAGCCAAGCCTTTTTTTTAGAGATAGGGTCTTGCTCTGTCACCCACATTGGAGTGCAGTGGTGCGATCATAGCTCATTGCAGCCTTAAACTCCTGGCCTCAAGCAATCCTCCCATCTTAGCCTCCTGAGTAGCTGGGAATTCAGGCATATGCCAGCACACCTGGCTTTTTTTTTTAAACAATTATTTGTAGAGACATGGTCTCAACTATGTTGTCCAGGCTGGTCTCAAACTCCTGGGATCAAGTCATCCTTCTTCCTTAGCTTCTCAAAGTGCTGGGATTACAGATTCGAGCCGCGGCTCCTGGCCTGCAAAGCATTTGAAATTGCTAAATAAATAAATATAGAAAAGACTTCTTTTGGCTTATATACTTTCTCGAAGACTTCTAAAAGAGTAGGTTACCATTTCCCCATGTCGGGAAGACAGCTCCCTGCCTCGTGCTCCCAGTGTGTTATACTGGGTGGGTCTATACCATATAATGTTCAGCCACATGGACCCTAGAGCCAGGCTGCCCTCTTTAAATCCTGCCTCCACAGCTTGCTGATTGTGGAATTCTGAGCAAGTTGCTTAACCTCTCTGTGGCTAAGTTTCCTCACTTTTATAATAAGGGTAGCAATAGTAGCCACTTAGTGTTGTTGTTGCAAGGATTAAATATATTAATACATTCAAATTCTGGTAACCGTTTTTGGCAATAGTTTGTTAACTGGCTTTCCTCTTTCACCCCTACAGTCTCTCCTCGAAATAGCAGACAGCAGGGTGGGGTGACATATGCCTGTAATCCTGGCACTTTGAGAGGCTGTGGTGGAAGGACCACTTGAAGCCAGGAGTTCAAGACCAGCTTAGGCAAAATAGTGAGACCCTGTCTCTACAGAAAAAAAAAAAATTAGCCAGGCATAGTGGTGTGTGCCTGTAGTCCCAGCCATTCAGGAGGCAAAGGAGAGAGGATCTCTTGACCTCAGGACTTTGAGGCTGCAGTGAGTTGTGATTGCATCGCTGCATTCCAGCCCGTGCAACAAAGCAAGACCCTGTCTAAAAGAAAGAATGAACTAGCAGACAGGGGTCCGTCCAAAACTCCCAGTGAGTTCAGTCTAGCCCAGCCCCACGCTCCCTCCCTCCCAGTCTCACTGGCCCTTGCTCTCCGCAGGACAATCCGAGCACCCCATTTTCCATCCTCTCTGGAGAGATTTCCCCCCAGATATGTCCACCTGGCTCCCCTACCATGTTGAAATCTGCTCCAACTGCTTTATCAGAGAGGCCCTTCTTAGTCACGGTGTGGAAATCAGCTCTGCCACTTTGCCATCTTCCAACTCTCTAACCTGAGTTCTTTGAAAACAGTGCTTACCAGTGCCCAGCACATTTTAGACTTTCGTGTTATCTGCTTATGACCTGTCTCCTCCTATTACAATGTAAACCATATGAAGGCAGGCATTGATCTGCTTTGTAACTGCTATATCTTCGTCATAGAGAATAGTGCCTGGCATATGGTGTAAATCCAAAAAGTATTTGTGATTATAAGTAAATGAACAAATTATCTGAAACCCTACTGATTGGTGGTCTGCTGGTGTCTGAGTGTTGACCATGAGCGAGGCATGTAGCAGGCCCTCACTCAGCAACCAGGCTTGTGCTGAAGAATGCATACTTATACAGTGGGTGCTGGGGGTGCTGGGAGCACTGTCATCCTGCCAAGCTCCATGCTTGATGGGGCACATAAGACCAGGGCAGGAGATGGGAGATGCTAAGAGCAACCCTTAGCCTTGGTTTCTTTATCCAGTGAATCAATAAATAATATTTACCATGTGGACCACTGAATGCTATAGAGCTCCATGCCTTACAGACAGTCATTGCTAAGCTATAGCTATTTTGAAATTCTGGATTTTGACCTCTGTTTACAAACTGGGTTAAGATACTCACTTCTCCCTAAAAGAGTTGCCTCCGTATGAATTTTGTTTTTAATGAATTCACCCATATATCCATTTAATTATTTCACAAGCATTTAATGAGAAGACACTAGGCACAGAGCATCTCAGGGTGAGGATAATGGCTATTGTTTATCAAGCATCTGCTAAACACCTTTGCCACCCTCCCTCAATTATTACAGTACTGCTGAGAGGTAGTTGTTCTAATGCCCCTTGCATGAAGGAAAAAAACAGAGACGCAGAGCAGGTGATTTGCCCAGGGTCATGACTAGTAGACAGCGGTGCACATTGCGTCTTGCACTGTGCCAGACAGAGTCATGTCCTGGGGTCTGTTCCTCCTGACCACCCCTGTCAGGCTCCAAGTGCTCCTGACATTGTGAATGCAGTGGCTTTTCATCATTCAAGGCGATGGAGATGGTCCCAGGAAAGCACATCCAGCTCATCCCAGCTCCATCTTTCTTCATTCATAAACTTTCCATGCTTCTCCAAAAGAGGCCTGGAAGACAGAGAACTCGACTTTGCAAAGGGTTTGGGAAAGCTGAGCATGACGCTTAACACAAGGCTCCCAGCCCAGCCAGGCCATTCGCCATCTGCACCATGTTCAGCCTCCTCTGCAAAGGTGGGTGGATCCAGGACTTTCTTGTTACCTCCTGGCAGGTGGTGGACTGGGCATTTGGCACCGAGCTGTCCCTGTGCAGCGCGCTGGGCAGATGCAGGCCATGAGATAGGTCAGCTTGACTTTCAGGTAGTCATGGCTCCACGTTTGGTCCCACGATATCTTGGTGTTTCCAGAAGCAGAGCTGGCCCAGGACCTCCAGGAGCCTGAGGAGGCTGTCTGGTGGTGGGATGTCTAGAGAAGCCACAGGGCTTGGTGTTTCTCCAGCCCTCCTGGGAGCTAATGTGGCTTATGGCACCCTTCCTATTAGGCTGATGATGGAATGTTAGCTGCAGATAGCGGTGTTTAAGAATAATTAACTGTCAGCTCTGGGCGAGGTACTGGGGGCACAGAGACAGAAGATGTGGTTCCTGCCCTCCAGGCCTCACAGGTTGGAGTTGCCAGATTTCTTTTCAGAGACATAGACAGCAGCATCTGCTGCTAAGCACCAGATTTACTAAATAGCTGTGGTTCAGCCACCGTGAACTACTCTTCCTGGTGAGCAAACGACACTGCTCCTTTATCTGAGATGGGAAGACGCAGAGGGAAGAGTGCAGGCTGCAGTTTCCAGGGAGTCTCAATCCTGGCTGTGAAGATGTCGAGCTCATGCTCCTCCCTGGAGGCGCTGATTGGATTGGGCTCGGCAGGGCCCAGGCATTGGCATTTTTGAAGCTCCCCGGGTGCTAACATGCCCACCTTTGTGAGCATGTTATGATTGGAATCATGTGGGGGAAATTGTTAAACATCAGAGATATCCTGGGCTCACTCTAGATCTGTGAGTCACAGCCTTCAGTGGGATGGGGCTTGAGTGCCTGTGGTTATTTAAAAAACTCCACTATTGTTCTTTCATACAGCTACAATGGGCAATTATGAAATAGATTTATTTTTGCACCTTAGTTGGGCAAGTTGCCTTTTTGAGGGTCAGCCATCTTCTGTGAAATGGGCTGATCTGGAGCGGGCTGCAGCAATTCTGCCAGATCAGTTACCACCTATACTTAGCACATGTTCATGAACCTGGGCGTTCAACAAACTGTCGTCCTCACTGGTATTTTTAGCCTTTGAGTGGCCAGTGGATTCTAGCTTGGTTTACACAATGGATGTGATTCACCTGAACATTTTCTTGTTCTATATGTGGAATCTAAATGGCCTGTGACTCTTGTCCTGCTGCTCATGCAGCCATCCAGAACTGTAGATTTTCTATTTTGGATGAAAATAAATTGTGTAAATGGAATTCATTTTCCTATCAATTTGTCTGGGGTTCTGATCTCATCTATTCACTCAAGAAACCCAGGAGAGAATGATGTTTATTACGTGTTAGGCATGGCTCCAGGCTGGAGACCCATCGAATGCTTCAAGGGACCCACAGTCTTTCAGAGAGGAGACAGGTGTATCAGCAAATAATGATGCTAACTATTTTGTGAGATTTCTAAGATGCCTAGATGAAGAAGCACTCATCCTCTCCACTTTTTTTTTTTTTTTTTTTTTTTTTTGAGACGGAGTCTCTGTCATCCAGGCTGGAGTGCAGTGGCCTGATCTTGGCTCACTGCAGCCTCCACCTCCTGGGTTCAAGCAATTCTCCTGCCTCAGCCTCCCAAGTAGCTGGGACTACAGGCACATGCCTCCACGCCTGGCTAATTTGTTGTATTTTTGTAGAGACGGGGTTTCACCATGTTGCCCAGGCTGGTCTCGAACTCCTGAGCTCAGGCAGTCCACCCACCCTGGCCTCCCGAAGTGCTAGGATTACAGGCATGAGCCACCGCACCCAGCCTTTTTTTTTTTTTTTTTAACAAATTTTTACAACAGCAAGATTGCAATGCATTTTGAAACAACAAATAAAGTGACTCTTGAATGCCTCAACATTGGTTGCTATCTCCTCCCCCAGAGTTCTAAAATCAAGACATTTTTATTTATGTTCAACAGAAGTCTTAATTGACAGATATAAACTGCTTTCTTTTCTGAATGGGGCATTCTGGTGTGGGGGGAAGACATGCAGTTTTGTGGGTGGGGTCTTGGTGGTGGTGGTAGGGGTCTCTGCTGTGTTCTTTGTGTATTGAGAAGAAGAAAATGGGATTAAGAGATAACTGTGTGTCTGGAAGGGTATTCTGAAGGGAAGTCTTTTGGCTAGGCAAGCCAGAGAGGCAGAGATGCTTGATTTTTAGATAAGTAAATAAATCATTCTACAACTATTAACTGAGAACATTGTACCAGGCTTGGTCACGGATGTAAAAATATCTACTTTGTTTGCACCTGGCCCCAAGAACTCCATTCCAGAATCTTCTTTCCCTTCACTCAGTGTTTTGAATGCAAATATTTGAATAAGAATTATACCCACACTAAGGAATGTTCATTGAAAATGCACTTTTCAGAATAAACTCTGATGTCCAATTTAATTTCTTGGTCCATTTTCTATGAAGTGGAGTTAAACTGTCTCCAATTGTTTCCACTTTTATTTCCCTGAAGTTATTTTTTATCTAAATCAATTCTTTTCATGTAAGTTTTGCTCTGGAGGTTTAATTTTTTGGCCAGTTTTATTATGAATATGAAATTTTACTGATTATGGTCTCCATCATTGTGAGTTTTCTTTTGTGGTCATTAATTCCACAAAATCCTATTTTCTGGGTCAAATTTTGCATGTATAAATTTTACTGCCTGTGATGGTAGCCATTGCTGGTTTCATTTTGTGTTGATTATTTCCACCGGTATTACTTGCTATGGGTTGGATAAAAGACTGATTATATTCATTTCTTCACTAATCTGTCAGAAAATAAGGGCAATTCCCTGCACACAATTCCAATTGTGTCCTGCTGTCCAGTCCAGTCTATTGTTTGGCGAATCCACATTTTCCACCTATTTCTATCACTTTGCAAACTAGGAAGGAATGTGTTCACACTGCTCTTAGACCAACACGTAGATCTGTTGCTGAGGTCAAGACAGCAGATTTCTAAGTGATCTTTGCACATTCCTGAGCCTGCTCTCACTCAGTGACATCACTTGATTCTGGGAGAGAGCCATGTATGTCTGGCCCCTCACCACGTCCACTGCTGTGGATTTACTCAGATTCTGTAGCCCAGGTGAGAACTCCACAGGGAGCCCTCAGGGCCTTCCCTGTTGAGACTCTTGTCCAACAAAGTAACAGGATTTATCTGACGAGATGTCAGGAGGCATAGACAAGTGTACTCACGAACTCCCTTTAGGGAGAACACTGGATTCCTTTGGAAGAATTACTCTGAAAAGTCTCTTAGAATAGACAAAGAGAACTTATGCTCAACTTCCAAAACATAGTGGTGGAACCAGCAAGCAAAAATGAAGAAGAAAAGCTGGCAGGAGATCCTAGGGGAGGAACGAGATGGAAGAAACGATGAAGCCTGGGAGAATTGGGCCATCACCAGCTCCATCAGAGATGTCACCCAGAGTCCCAGATCAAGTTGGCTAAACTCACCGAAGCTGGGGTGGGTTACATTTCCTGCAGAAATCAGTGAAGGGGCTTCAAGGAGGTTTTCTCAAGAATTTGTGGCAATTGTAGGAAGGGCTTTGTTCTATAAGCCACAGAATCAGAGACTCAGGCCAAGTTTAGTTATTTTTCAGAGGACTGTAATATCTATATTGACATTATAAAAATATATATGTACATGTATTGGGTATATTTACTATTTATTTCTACTTGTAGATATCTTGAGGAGGCTTATAGAAAAATATGAAAATTATTAGATGAAGAAATCAGGGAAGAGAGAAAAACTAAGGAAGGAAGTAAACTTTCATAAGGTTAGTGTACAGAAATGGAAAGGAACATAGATAATTTCAGATTGTGTAGACTGCATATTGGTGTAAAGCTTCCTGTAGCCAAGGCAGGGAGCAGGCAATAAGCAGCTAAAACCATTTTATGATGTCTCTAAGATACACATAATACCTAAAGGACCAGTGACCTCAATTCTTTTCTGTTTCCCCAAAGTATTTAATGAGGTTAGTCAATTTTGGTAGCAAAGGCGACTATTTAAAACTGAAATATGTATGTTAAACTTTTAACAACACTTCTAAAATTTAAATACAATTCCCAGATGTAGTCTTTAGCTCTAGAAGAAACTTAAGAAATGAACATCTCAGAGAGGAGGCTTCCCTCTTGGATTAATTCACTAAGTGTTTATCTACACCTGCTGGGTACCAGGCCTTGTGCCTGTGAAAGCATAGGCTGTGTCACTGTCTTTCCTGACATAAATACAGGCTGTTAATGGTGGACTAGACATGTCTTAGTTTATTTTCACCCTGTTTATTTATTCCATAAACTTCTGCTGTGTCTGCTATGTGCTGGGCATTGCTCTGGTTGCTGGAGGCACAGAGGATAAGTGTGCTACCTTCCTGAGCTCAGAGTAGGGGGCAAGTTAGTGCACTGAGATGGCAACAGTGAGGAATGGCCCGTGGGGGGCTAGAGTGTCTGGGAGCTGTGAGCATGCCCCATCCGTTTGGGTGGCTGTTGGCCACGGGGAGGGCTCCCTGTTGGGAAGATATTGATTTACTCCTCTCAGAGCTTGCTCTTTGGTCCTTCCAGGTTGTTGTGCCAAGCCCCTATTAACCCACATAGGGAAGGCACCAGGTTCAAGAGGCCAAAGAAGAGATTTAGAGTCAGCACACGAGACACAAGGTTTTACAGGGGGCTTATATACAGAGGAGAGAGCCCAGCTGGGCAGAGAACCATCTTACCTACAGTCCAGGGGTGGCAGCCTGGACAAGGCAGCCTTACGGCCTAGCAGCAGCAGGCTAAGCAGGAAAACTGCAACCTCCTGCAAACGGCATGCACTTTATATTGCATTTTCACTTCACACCCTCCCCCTAAAAACCTCCACCTGGTAACCTTCCTTTAACCCAAAACTCAGGGCCTCGATCCCGTGTATAGCCCATGTTCCATGGAACAGGCTGGGCACTCAGATGTTTATCATAGATAAAGAATGAATCTGCAGGTTGGCCACTCCTGGATTTCCTAGCTCGGAACACACATTCAATTGCATCTGCCACACAGGGTTATTCTAAGCATATGCTTAAGTTATGGCTATCAGGTGCATTTACCCTACACAGGTGCAGCTGTGAGGGGTAGACCCTGACCCTGTGTCATGTGTACACTTTAAGCCATGCTGGAGGGATGTCTATGCTGTCCAGATGATTCTGGGCTTTTTCACTCAAACTTGCTTATCAGATATGGGCTCAGAGACTCCCACTTGGTGTGATTATAGAAGGAATAAGACTCAGCCCTAGGCAAGGGCGGTGGCTTATGCTTGTGGTCCCAGGACTTTGGGAGACTGAGGTAAAAAGAACGCTTGAGCTCGGGAGTTCCAGACCAACCTTGGCAACATAGCGAGACCTCGTGTCTATAAAAAGTAAACAAAATTAGCCAGTCGTGGTGGCATGCGCCTGTGGTCCCAGCTACTTGGGAGGCTGAGGTGGGAGGATTGCTTGAGCCTGGGAGATTGAGGCTGCAGTGAGCCAAGATCACGCCACTGCACTCCAGCCTGGACAATAAAGTGAGACCCTGTCTCAAAACAAAACAAACAAACAGACAAACAAACAAACACCCAGCCCTGGTGTCTGGCTTCCGAGACAAAGATATTACCAATGGACACTAACTCTCTAAAATGCATTCACAGAGGGCCAGGTCAGATGTGGTCATGAGGAGTGAGGTCGTCCCTCTGTTGTCACTTCGCCTCCCACTGCACCCACCCACACATTTTGCAAGCCTTGGACACCGACAGCCAAATAAGAGCCCAAGTTTCCTTTTCCAAAAAACATGAATTGAAAGATAAGGACCCAACATACAAAGACAATCATCCTCTCCTGCTCAAATATATATATATATCTTTTGCTGTCCTTAGGCCTGAGTGACAACTGAGTCCCCCTCAGTCCATCCCTGGAACCATGATGATGGCAGCACCTACATAACATTCACTACTTACTCTGGGTATGCCACATTTACAAGCACCCTACATACTTCGTGAGATCTCATGATGTTCCTGTGAGATAGGTATTATTATTATCTCCATTACAGAGGAAAAACTGAGGCACAGGTAGGGGGTCTGTGAGATAGGCATTATTATTATCTCCATTACAGAGGAAAAACTGAGGCACAGGTGGGGGTAAGCTGGGATTTGTAGTCTGGCTCCAGAGTCAGGACTCTTTACCACGACCGCGACATGGCGCTGGCTCTCAAACAGCCAGGGATTGGGAGGGCCCCAGCTGTCAGCTGGTAGAAGACCTCTGGATGCATGGTTCTGGGGGGACCTTACATGGCCCAGTACTGACAGTGTCCGTCAGGTGTGGTAGTGTTGAAATGGCCTGTTCACCAAGACCATCTAAGGTGTCCCTGGGGCCAATATGCAAGTGGTGAAATTCCTGTTGGTTGGGTTGGGGATTTTGCAGGAGGGTCTGACAGAAGCACTCGCACCCCTAAGGACACAGGTATGTATATTTGTGAAAACTCATTGATCTGGCGAGGTGCAGTGGCTCACATTTGTAATCCCAGCACTTTGGGAGGCTGAGGTGAGCAGATCACTTGAGGTCAGGAGTTTGAGACCAGCCTGACCAACATAATGAAACTCTGTCTCTACTAAAAAAACAAAAATTAGCTGGGCGTGGTGGCACACACCTGTAATCCCAGCTACTCAGGAGGCTGAGGCAGGAGAATCACTTGAACCTGGGAGGTGGAGGTTGCAGTGAGCCAAGATCACACCACTGCACCTCAGCCTGGGTGACAAAGCGATACTCTGTCTCAAAACAACAACAACAAAAAACAACTCATTGAACTATATGCTTTAAACAGGTGCATCTTATAATATGTAAATTATAACTCAATGAAGTTGATTTTAAAAGAGGAAAAAACATGCCCCAAACGTTAAACATCTGGAGTCCCACACCCCACATTGCTCAGGTGCCCTCTGTGCCCCATTAGGCAAAGCTCTCTCTGGCCATGACTTCCCCTGATAATTCACAGTTGGTGTGTGACAGCTGAAGGAGGCTTATGTAGGTGTTTAGTGATGGCCATGGAGCCGGGAGTCCTCGACCAGCTCTACTCCGATCTATTTTATTCCCTAAAACTGCCTCTTGCTGCTGCCACAGAGCTATCGCTGGAGCTGCGGGAGGGAGGCAGCCAGCTAAGCAGACCTAAGACAGTGGGGATTTTGGGACTGGAGCTGCAGCTTTATGGGGAGACCACTTTTCTGGGAGAACTCCTCTTACATCACCGGCCATCTGATACGTGGAAAGGTAACACTTGGGACCTTCTCCTCAAACACTTAGACATTCAGTGCTTATCTGAGGCCCAGTAACACCAGATTTTCATGTGGCCAAGCATGAGCAAATGCCCCTGGCACCGCTGTTTACCAGCAGCAAAATTGCGGGCATCTGTGTCTCAGTTTTCTTCTCTGCAAAATGGGTACAATGAGGCCTGGCTCACAGAAGGTGCTTGGGGTTGATGACTCTCCAAGATGCTCATATTTCTCACCTCATTCCAGGTGCTCTCCTCTGAGATGTGTCTTCAGTGATGCCACCTTCTCTGCCTCCTGTCCCCTGAAGACTTGCAGCCCTGATGGTCTCAATCACACTATGTGATAATGTTGCTTTGGTCTGTCACTGTGGTTGGGTCAAGTGCTTTTGTCAACTGGAGTATAAACTCCTTGTGGGCAGTGACGGACTTTTATTCTACCTTCTCCGTCACACTTCCCATAGTCCTCATATAATTGCCTGGCTATATTTTTTCCATAGCACTAAACCACCATTTAGAATGATCTTATTATGTATTGTTTTCTAACTTATCACCTGTCTCTCCAACTAGATTGTAACCTTTTGGTTATAATCCATTTATTATCTTACCCCTGGAATCTAGGGTGGTTGGTGGCAGAGACCTCATAGGCCCTACATAAGTGTTTGGGAATGAATGAACACCTCCCTTAAGCCTTACTATAGAAGGAATAAGACTCAGCCCCGGCAGGTGAGGTGGCTCACGCTTGCAATCCCAGCACTTTGGGAGGCTGAGGTTCAGCATCTCCCCACTCCCAGTGCAGATCTGAGTGGATTATGGGCTCAGCACATACTTTCTGGGCTGTTAGCTGGCTTATTGAATTACATACAGGGCCACCCCTGTCAACAGATGGTCACGGATGAGATTATGAAGGTCCCCAGGGGTCTGGCAAGAATGGGACACGGGGGACATGGCTGACTTTATGGGCTCACTTGTGGTTGCTGATAGAAGTGATATCAACACAAATGGTTTCAGCTGTAAAGGGTAGCACCATCTATCACTAGTGTCTGAAAACCGATTTTTATGAAAGGGAATTTTAATGGAAATGCCAGGTTTGTGAAATGGAAGGCAAAGATAAAGTTGAGGGGATGCTTTGAGGCCTACAATTACTTTTTATTTTTAATTTTTTTTTTTTTTAGATTTAGGAGGTGAATTCTAAAGGGAGAATTGACAGGTTTTATCCCTCTTCAATTTTCAAATGGGATATGTCTTGCTTCCTCAGTAGAATTCTAGGTTAGGCCATCAATTTCCTTTCAAGGAGAAACCCATTGTGTGGGAATCACCTTTGTCCTGATCTATATGACAAGAACAGGATATTGCTGCAAGTTGTTAGGGATCAACATGACCGGCATCTAATTCTCCCTGTGCTATTTCTGCTCCCTCTGCCAAGAGTGGAATATCCTAGAGTCAGTGAGTCTGGCTCTGAGGAATCCCCCTCTTAGGGCGTGCAGGACTTCCACCATCTGCTGCTCAATTATGTCAGCTCACAGGCCTGAAATTCCATTGAAACTTGCCTAAACTCACAGGGCCTGTTTGTGGTGGGGCTGGAGTTTGCTGCCTTCTGGACTCTGGATCTTAGCAGGTAACCAGTATATTATGTAGTCCTGCCTCTCAGAAGGAAGAAAGCAGCCAGAGGCGAGAGCCCTTTCTTGTCCATGGGCCAGACCCTGTTAGCCTGGTGGGTCTCTTCTATAGCAGCTATCATTTATTTGCACATTGCCTTTAATAGAAACTATATGAAATCTGGCCAGGTGCAGTGGCCCACGCCTGTAATCCCAGCACTTTGGGAGGCTGAGGCGGGCCGATCACGTGAGGTCAGGAATTAGAGATCAGCAGGGCCAACATGGTGAAACCCGGTCTCTACTAAAAATACAAAAATTAGCTGGATGTGGTGGCGGGTGCCTGTAGTCGCAGCTACTCAGGAGGCTGAGGCAGAAGAATTGCTTGAACCTGGGAGTCAGAGGTTGTGGTGAGCCTAGATCGTGCCACTGCACTCCAGCCTGGGCAGCAGAGCGAGGCTCTGTCTCAAAAAAAAAACAAAACAAAACAACAACAACAACAACAAAAAACCCAAAACAACCAACGAACTGAACAAACAAACAAAACCTATATGAAATCTAGCAGATCCCAGAAAATCTCAGAATGTGGTTCCTGATCCCACTTGATCCTTGGAGGCAGGGCAGCCACAAAAAGACAGGAACCTGCTGAACAGAACCTGGCACCTAAAGCAGAAGCTCTAGATGTCAGCAGAGGTCGGGAGCTCTGTAAGTTGCAGTGGTGATATTAGACTTCCTGGAGGAGGCAGACTTAATGGATTTCAAAGGATGGGTGGCAGTTTGGGAAACTGAAAGTTGGTAACCTAAGGTAACTAGTTGGCCATGGTAGAGCCAGGGGGAGTTTAGCGTAACCACCATACGTGCTAGTAGATGGGCAAAAGTATGACAGAGAAGAACTGTAAATTCACATTTGGGACTGGAGCTGCAGCATTATGGGGAGACCACCTTTCTGGGAGAACTCCTCTTACATCATCGGCCATCTGATATGTGGAAAGAATACTTGGGAGCTTCTTAGACATTCAGCTTCCTGATTCAGCCCTGATTCAGCTTCCTAGGTGACTCGGTCCCTCACCTCCACCTGGCCCCTGTGCTCTTCTTGGCATCCCAGGACATCCAGCCTCAAACTGCCTGGTCAGTGGGGTCTGGGGTGAGAACCACACACCTAATTATAGGAGCCATGTCTGCAGCTGGAGAGTCCCCGGCATAGACCAAGGAGTGAGGCTTGAGTTTTTATCTGCTTGAGTTTATTGAGCATTTATCTGCTCCTGTCTGGATCCTATTTCTTTGACAGGGAGAAGCTCTCACCTTTGCAATGTGGTAACCATCCCGGGACAAAACCTGATGCAGCCAGGGAACAATGCCGTCTGATTGTGATGAGGCTTTCTCCAGCCCTCTCCAGCTGAACTTGCCATTGCTGCCAAGAGGCAGTTGTATAGGGGATCACATTCAGTTGTTTAAGATTCAAACAAAAAACCCAGCTTTGTACCAATGGGTTAGAGAACTTCCCATAAAAGTCAGCAAAAGAAAGAAGTAAAAATAGGAGGCATGCCCTCTTTCACTGTCAGTAAAGGGCCATGAGCCTGGCAGGTCATGGAATTTGAAAGCAGAGAATGTTAGGGATGGGCTCCATTGCCTTCATCTCATCCTTCCTCTCCTTTCAGCAATAAGGACATGTTTTTAAATGGTTTTGCTCTTGGATGCTTTTCTCTCTATCACTAAAAATGGCTTATGCTGAAAAGAAGAAAAAAATATATTCATACACCATATGCTGAAAATTGCTGTTGCAAAAACCTGTGTTTAGCTATTCACTGGAACGCCTGTGGTCCTGGGCCATAGTCGTCTCTATAATTTCCCTCAGAAGAAACATGCTAGGAACCGTATTTAAGAGACATTTAAGCGTTGTGTCTTTCTCTGGTGTCACTGATAATGAAATATAAAAATACTAACATGCTAGGCATTGTGAAAACCTGTCTAATCCCTGCAAAAATGTATGAGTTGTTATTAACCCCATTTTACAAAAGAGATTGGGTAAAGTACCCAAGGTCAGCCAGGTGGGGAATATCAGCTGACATTTAAACCTAGGTTCTCTTGGCTCCAAAGGCCCTGAGTTTTTGTTATGATGTTGCCTCTCATCTTCAAGAGGAATGAACAATGCTTTTAGCAAAGAATTCTCAGTTTCTCTCCAACCTGGTGATTTCTAAGAACATGATATCAATAGCATTAATTAATAAGTCACCAATCTCCTCCAGAAAATCCACTGATGGAAAATTGTAACCTTGTAAGTGACACATTTTTATTTAATTACTCAAACTCCAGAGATGGAATGTAATTTCATGCTACGTCTCCTTGGCTCACTTACTGCTTTATAGCAACTGTATCACTGAAAGTATTTAAAAGAGAAATTGCTCCAGGGGATATAAAAATCCTTAGATGTTTGCATCTAAATAAACTGGCAATGCCATTAAAGGATAGATAAAGGAAAATTATTAAGCAGTTTGTAATTAAAATATCGATTCTTTCTGCATGAATAAAAAGCAAAAGGTATTAATTAGCGATTAACATAATCTGAGATTAGGCTAGGAAGATACTAAAGGAAAGCACTCAATCCAATATTGAGTCATATATTGTTTTCCAATTAGAAGGTTTATATTTGAGGAAGAATTATAAAAAGGTAAGTTCGTGTTTCTACTCAACTTAAAGCTGGATTTTTTTTTTAAACAGTTTGGGACTTTTTCTTTCTTTCTTTCTTTTTTGCATATCCATGAGTTCTGGGAGCTTCCAGTATGAGCAGAAAAACATGGCTATTTTGTTTTGGAACTGCCTGGGGGTCAGGAGGCAATAGGATCAAAGCTTCACAGCCTGAGTACTTGTCATTATGGCCCGTGAGCCTTCAGGTGGTGGGCCAGCCTCTCAAATCTCACTCCTATATCTTCACCCACGAGGGACAGTTCTTTCACTTTGAAACAAAACATTTTATTCCACTATGAGATTCAGCTTAAAAGGCAAAATTTTCAGGGAGTATAAGTGACTGTATCAATGACATCTAGCAGGCCATTTCCTGCAGCCAGATCTGTTTTTTTTTTTTTTTTCCCAGGGGGACAGTGGGTTCAGGCAGGACAGAATTTGAATACTTCATCTGCCACTCCACAGCTGGGTGCTCTGGACAAGCCCTGCACAGCTTCAATTTCCTCTTTGAAAAATCCGCATAGGCATTCCTCCCTCCCTACTCTCATATGGAGCAACATTTGAATAGCACCTGAAGAGCACTTCAAATCCCATTGCTCATCAACTGCTAGTTTCCTTCCCTCTCCTGCAGACAGGCCAGCATCTTTGCCTGCAATCTGTGCAGTGGCTCAGAGCCCTGCACTGGTGTGATGCTCTGCCGTTGTGTTTGATGACTTGAACGAGGGTCTCTGCATTTTCATTTTGCACTAATCCCTGCAGATGATGTAGTGAATTCTGCTGCAGACATCCTTCTCCCTCCTGACAATTCTGCCAGAGGCTATTCTGTCCTTACCATCAATCGGTCCACTAAGAATTCTTTCCTTCTTTGGGGGCGCCTGGCTGACCTCCTTTGCTGGCTATTCTTTGAAATAGTCATGTTGACATGCAAACTCATATAGATGAAATCACCAATATAAATAATCAAACAGCCATAGAATGGGTATTAATTTCAGTCTGTAAAACAAAGCTGTTTTCTTTTCCTGTTATAGCGGTTGTCCAAGGGGCTTGACTGGGTTTCTCCCATTCCCATTTGTTGTGTTGAAAAATGAGTGCAGTGCTCCAGTAGAATTTACATGAAACAAACATTGAGTTGATAGTATATGAAAGAATTTAATATACTGCAGATTATGGAGTGCATTTGCAAACTCTTAATGTTATAGAAAGATGCTTACATAATCAGAAAGAGAAAAAATAAAAAACATTCGGAAAGTGAAGCAAAGTGGCGTTGCTGCACGGGGGGCATCCTGTACTTGGAGTGTGTTGGGACAATTGGGAATACATGGTGTTTCCAGTGGCCTAAAGTGTTGGCCATATCCCTGAGCAAGCTGGGACAGGTTGTCTTAGAAGTTGTCCAAGAGGACCCCAATGGAGAAGGCCCTTCTGCAGAAAGAAGCTGGAGGTGACTTTGGGTGTTTAAGAGCCAAGGAAGGGCTTTTTTTTTTTTCCCAATCAAGAGAATGTCAGGTACAAGATTCCTCCTAGGGACAGGCATCTTTGAAAAATTTATGCATGATTCCAATGAAAGAGTTGACTTTAAATCTCTGCTAAACCCAGAGAACTCTGATGCTAAGCCATCCAGAGACGATGCATCAAATGTGAACTTTTCTGCTCTTCATGTTTTCTTCCTTCCTTGAGCTCCAACACTGGAGTAGTCAGAAACTTAATTAGCAAGGCATATGGAGTCACAAAAGGGGAAGATGGAGAATGAGTGAAGCCTATCCAAAACATCCTCCTATCTCACCTCTGCCACTGGCTTCTTTTGCGGCTTCTTTGGTAAAGTAAAGGGAGGATGGCTGAGTTTCTCAGGATGGCCAGCTTCTTTGCCACAAGGCTCAGCTGGGTTCTGGCCACTGGAGCAGTCAGTTTTCATGGCAGGGGCTGTACTTTCTGCCTCTTTCTATTAAGTCAAGATTTAACTGGCAGGACCAAATGGATGGAACTCCTCTGCCCATCACACCAGGCAATGTGCCACCCCTGCAGGTGGACCCCATTGGGGCATGTGCCAGGTAAGCAGAGGTCTGAGGATTAGGTCCAGACACCTGTCACCAAGCATCAGCACAGTCCCTAGGGCTGAGCCCCTCCTATGTGATGGCAGGGAAGTCTGTTGGCCATGAGGCATTACCATTTCCCATCACATGCTCTCAGGCAGCTGCTGCTTCTGGCTGCTGGTGACAATTTTTGGTTGGATTTGTCTCTAGATTTTTTGCTTATTGAAAAAAGGTTAGACATGAACCCCTCCTCTTGGAGTGGAGGCTGTCAGAGCCAAACACTAGCAAGTCATTTGCTGTACCCTTTATGGCTGAAGAATCTGGGTCTGTTTTTGCATTATCGAGCCGTCCATTTTCATCTACTCACCAGTAAGAAGTCTTGCCTTCCCCTAACTTTTGTCAGGCTGGTTCTCAGACACACATTCTGAAATGAGTTATATCATGATTAATGAATGAGACGAGCTCCGCTTGGGCCAATATAGGTATTTTCCTCAACAGCAGGACCTCTGTTTCTTAGACATGTGCAAAGCACTGAATGTTTGTGCACCCCATCCTCCCCAATTCATATAATGAAACCTAATCCCCAAGGTGATGGTGTTAGAAGGAGGGGGGGGCCTTGGGAGATGATTAGGTCATGAGGGTGGAGCCATTGTGAATGCAATTAGTGACTGTCTTAGTTTATTTTATGCTGCTATAATAGAATATTAGAGACTTGTTAATTTGTAAAGAAAATACATTTATGTGGCTCATGGCTCTAAAGGCTGGGAGGTCCAAGAGTGTGGCACTAGCATCTGGCAAGTGCCTTCATGCTGTATCATCCATGATGAAAGGCAGAAGGGCAAAGACCATGAGAGCAAGAGAGGGAAGGAGCCAAAATCATTCTTTTTTTTTTTTTTTTTTTTGATGGAGTTTCTCTCTTGTTGCCCAGGCCCCAGGCTGGAGTGCAATGGTGCGATCTTGGCTCACCACAACCTCCGCCTCCCAGATTCAAGTGATTCTCCTGCCTCAGCCTCCCAAGTAGCTGGGATTACAGCATGTGTCACCATGCCCAGCTAATTTTGTATTTTTAGTAGAGATGGGGTTTCTCCATGTTGGTCAGGCTGGTCGTGAGCTCCCAACCTCAGGTGATCCGCCCGCCTTGGCCTCCCAAAATTCTGGGATTACAGGCGTGAGCCACTGCGCCTGGCCTAAAATCATTCTTTTATCATAACCTACTCCTGTGATATAACTAATCCACTCCAGGGATAAACCACTTCTGTAATGATGATATTAATCCATTGGTAAGGGCAGAACCCTCATGACCTAATCATCTTGTAAAGGTCCCGCTTCTCAACATTGTTGCATTGGAGATTAAGTTTTCAACACATTAACTTTGGAGGACACATTCAGACCATAGCAACTACCTTATAAAAGAGGCACCAGAGAGCTGCGTGCCATTTGAGGAAACGGAGAGAAAATGGCCATCTGTGAGTCAGGAAACAGGTCCTCAACAGATACCAAATCTGCCTGTGCTTTGATCTTGAACATCTCACCCTCCAGAACTGTGAGAAATAAATTTCTGTTGCTATAAGCCATCTCATTTACAGTAGTGTATTATAGGAGCCCAAGTGGACAAAACATGCATGCATGTCTGCAATCATTAATATAATGTCCTCAGTACTTTGTCAGCATCAGACCCCATTAATGTTCCCTCCCAAGTATTACTCTCACTGAGATAAATTTTCTGTTAATGGTAGAGATGTTGTCATAGAGTTTTTCATTACTTGATGTCATACAAGATCTGGAAGAGGGATCCTTTTTGATCCAGAAATCTTAAACAAAACACCAAAAACTTCCTTTGTTTTATCCTCAATTGCTAAGATTTTCTCTCATAGATAATGTAAATCACATGATTTATATGCTATTCCTTCTTGTTTTGACTGCCAGGAAAATCAAGAAGGTAGTTGAAGACTAATTTTTAAATCTTATTTTATTTTATAAATTATTTTTATTTTAATAGTTTTGGAAGTACAGGTGGTTTTTGGTTACATGGACAAGTTCTTTAGTGATGATTTCTGAGATTTTGTTGCACCCATCATCTGAGCAGTGTATGCTGTATCCAATATGTAATCTTTTATAACTCCCACCCTTCCCCCTGCCATGCCCCCAAAGTCCATTATATCATTCTTATGCCTTTGCATCCTCATAGCTTAGCTCCCCCTTATAAGTGAGGACATACAATATTTGATTTTCCACTCCTGAGTTAGAATTCATTTAGAATAATGGCCTCCAGTTCCATCCAAGTTGCTGCAAAAGACATCATTTTATTCTGTTTTATGGCTGAATAGTGTTCCAGTCTCTCTATATACCACATTTTCTTTCTTTCTTTTCTTTTCTCCTTCCTTCCTTCCTTTCTCTTTCTTTCTTTCCTTTCTTTCCTTCCTTCCCTTTTCCTTCCTTCCTTCCCTTTTCCTTCCTTCCTTCCTCCTTCCTTCCTTCCTTCCTTTTCTTTCTTTTTCTTTCTTTCTCTCTCTCTCTCTTTCTCTCTCTCTCTCTCTTCCTTCCTTCCTTCCTTCCTTCCTTTCTTTCTTTCTTTCTTCCTTTCTTTCTTTCTTCCTTTCTTTCTTTTCTCACTCTATTGCCCAAGCTAGAGTGCAGTGGTGTGATCTCAGCTCACTTCAACCTCTGCCTCCTGGGTTTCAGCGATTCTCCTGCCTCAGCCCCCTGAGTAGCTGGGACTACAGGAGTGCGCCACCATGCTTGGCTAATTTTTGTATTTTTGTAGAGATTGGGTTTCACCATATTGGCCAGGTTGGTCTTGAACTCCTGACCTCAGGTAATCCACCCGCCTTGACACTCCAAAGTTCTGGGATTACAGGTGTGAGCCACCATGTTCAGCCTACCACATTTTCTCTATTCACTCCTTGGTTGATGGGCACTTAGATTGATTCCATATATTTGCAATTGCAAATTGTGCTGCTATAAACATGCATGTGCATGTGTGTTTTTAATATACTGACTTCTTTTCATTTGGGTAGATACCCAGTGGTGGGATTGCTGGCCAATGGTATTTCTACTTTTAGTTCCTTGAGTAATCTCCATACTGTTATCCACAGTGATTGTACTAGTTTACATTCCCACCAGCAGTATAAAAGTGTTCCCTTTTTGCCACACCCATGCCAACAACTATTATTTTTTGACTTTTTAATTATAGTAATTCTTGCAAGAATAAGGTGGTATCTCATTGTGGTTTTAATTTTCATTTCCCTGATAGTAAGTGACACTGAACATTTTTTCATATGTTTGTGGCTGTTTGTATATATTCTTTTGAGAATTGTCTATTCATGTCCTTTGCCTACTTTTTGATGGGATTATTTGTTTTTTTTTTCTTGCTTTGTTTGAGTTCCTCGTAGATTTTGGATATTAGTTCTTTGTTGGATGCATAACTTACAATTATTTCCTTCCACTCTATGGGTTGTCTGTTTACTCTGCTGATTATTTCTTTTGCCATGCAGAGATTTTTAGTTTAATTAGGTCCCATTTATTTATTTTTGTTCTTGTTACATTTCCTTTTGGGGTGTTAGTCATGAATTCTTTGCCTAAGCCAATGTCCAAAAGAGTTTTTCCGATGTTATCTTCTAGAATTTTTAGGGTTTCAGGTCTTAGATTTAAGTCTTTGATCCATCTTGAGTTGATTTTTCTATAAGGTAAGAGATGAGGATCCAGTTTCATTCTTCTACATGTGGCTTGCCAGTTTTCCCAGCACCATTTATTGAATAGGGTGTCCTTTCCCCACTTTATGTTTTTGTTTGCTTTGTCAAAGATCAGTTGGCTACAAGTATTTGGCTTTATTTCTGGGTTCTCTATTCTGTTCCATTGGTCTACATGCCCATTTTTATACGAGTATCATGCTGTTTTGGTAACTATAGCCTTGTAGTATAATTAGAAGTTGGGTAACATGATGCCTCCAGATTTGTTCTTTTTGCTTAGTCTTGCTTTAGCTAGGCAGGCTCTTTTTTGGTTCCATATGAATTTTAGGATTGGTTTTTCTAGTTCTGTGAAGAATAATAATGGTATTTTGATGGGAATTGCACTGACTCTTTAGATTGCTTTGGGAAGTATGGCCATTTTTGTAATACTGATGCTACCCATCCATGAGCATGGGATGTGTTTCCATTTGTTTGTGTCATCTGTGATTTATTTCAGCAGTGTTTTGTAGTCTTTTTCTGTAGAGATTTTTCACCTCTTTGGTTGAATATATTCCTAAGTATTTTATTTTTTGCAGCTGTTGTAAAGGGGATTGAGTTCTTGATTTGATTCTCTGCTTGGTCATTGTTAGTATATAGCAGTGCTGCTGATTTGTGTACATTGATTTTTGTATCCTGAGACTTTACTGAATTTGTCCGATCTAGGATCTTTTTGGGTGAATCTTTAGGGTTTTCTAGGTTTATGATCATATCATAGGTGAAGAGCAGCAGTTTGACTTCCTCTTTTCCAATTTGTATGTCCTTTATTTCTTTCTCCTGTTTGACTGCTCTGGCCAGGACTTCCAGTACTACGTTAAATAGAGGTGGTGAGAATGGGCACTCTTGTCTTGTTCCAGTTCTCAGGGAGAATGCTTTCAACTTTTTCCCATTCAGTATGATGTTGGCTGTGGATTTTGTTACTTTGGCTTTTATTGATATATGGCTTTTATTACTTTGAGGTATGTTCCTTCTATACCAATTTTGTTGAGGGTCTTTATCATAAAGAGATGCTTAATGTTGTCAGATGCTCTTCTGCATTTATTAAGTTTATTGATTTCTGTTTTTAATTCTGTTTTTGTGATGTATCATATTTGTTGACTTGTGTATGTTAAACCATCTTCACATCCCTGGTATGAAACCCACTTGATCATGATTAATCATAATGTATTATCTTTTTGACATACTGGTTGGATTTGGTTAGCTAGTATTTTGTTGAGGATTTTTGCATATCTGTTCATTAGGGATATTGGTCTGTAGTGTTCCTTTTTGTGAAGTTCTTTCCTGGTTTTGGTATTAGGTGATAATGGCTTCATAGAATGATTTAGGGAGGATTTTGTCTTTATCTTTCTCTATCCTTTTCTCTATCTTTCTTTATCTTGGAATAGTTTCAGTAGGATTGGTATCAATTCTTCCTTGAATGTCTGATAGAATTCAGCTGTAAATCCATCTGGTCCTGGCCACTTTTCTCGTTGACTTTTTAAAAAATTATTATTACTGATTAACTTTTGCTGCTTGTTATTGGTCTGCCCTGGGTTTTTATTTCTTCTTGATTTAATCTAGGAGGGCTGTATATTTCCAGGAATGTATCCATCTCCTCTGGATTTTATAGTTTATGCATGTAAAGCTGTTTATAGTAGCCGTGAATGATCTTTTGTATTTCTGTGGCATTGGTTTTAACGTCTCCAGTTTCATTTGTAATTGAGCTTATTTGGATCTTCTCTCTTCTTTCCTTGGTCAATTTTGCTCATGATCTATCAATTTGCTTATCTTTTCAAATAATCAGTCTTTTGTTTCATTTATCTTTTGTATTGCTTTTTTGTTTGTTTCAATTTTATTTAGTTCTGCTCCGATCTTTGTGATTTCTTTTTTTTCTTCTGGGTTTGGGTTTGGTTTCTTCTTGCTCCTCTAGTTCCCTGAGGCATTACATTAGGTTGTCTACTTGTGCTCTTTCAGATTTTTTGAAGTAGGCATTTAATGCTATGAATTTTCCTCTTAGCACTGCGTTTGCTGTATCCCACAGGTTTTGATAAGTTGTGTCACTATTATTATTCATTTTGAAGAATTTTACAACTTCCATCTTGATTTCATTGTTAACCCAAAAATCATTCAAGAGCAGATTATTTAATTTCTATGTATTTGTGTAGTTTTGAGGGTTCCTTTTGGAATTGATTTTCAGTTTTATTCCACCGTGGTCTAAGAAGATACTTGATATGATTTTGATTTTTTAAAATTTATTGAGACTTGTTTTGTGGCCTATCATATGGTCTGTCTTGGAGAATGTTCTATGTGCTGATGAGAAGAATGGGTATTCTGCATTTTTTTTGGGAAGAATGTTCTGTAAATATCTGTTAAATCCATTTATTCTAGAGTATAGTCTAAGTCCTTTTTTTGTTGATTTTCTATCTTGATGATCTCTCTGGTGCTGTCAGTGGAGTACTGAAATCCCCCACTATTACTGTGTTGCTGCCCATCTCATTTCTTAGGTCTAGTAGTAATTGTTTTATGTTTGGCAGCTCCAGTGCTAGATGCATATACATTTAAGATTGTAATACCTTCCTATTGGACTAATCCTTTTATCATTACATAAAGTTCTTCTTTGTCTTTGCCTTTTTTTTTTTTTTTTTTTTAACTGCTGTTGCTTTAATGTCTGCTTTGTCTGGTATAAGAATAGCTACTCCTGCTCGCTTTTGGTTTCCATTTGTGTGGAATATCTTTTTCCACCCCTTTACCTAAAGTTTATGTGAGTCCGTAGGTGTTAGGCGAGTCTCATAAAGATAGTAGATTTTTACTTTTAATCTATTCTGCCATTCTGTATCTTTTAAGTGGAACAGTTAGGCCATTTACATTTAATGTTAGTATAGAGGTGTAAGATAGTGCTCTATTCATCAGGTTAGTTGTTGTCTAGATACTTTTTTTTTCACTGTGTTATTGTTTTATAGGCCCTGTGAAATTGATGCTTTAAGGAGGTTCTATTTTGGTGTATATCAAGTTTTTGTTTCAAGAGTTAGAACTCCTTTTAGCATTTCTTGTAGTGTCAATTTGGTAGTGGCAAATTCTCTCAGCATTTGTTTGTCTGAAAAAGACTTTATTGTTCCTTCATTTATGAAGCTTAGTTTTGCTAGATGCAAAATTATTGGCTGACAATTACTTTGTTTAAGGAGGCTAAAGATAGGATCCCAATCTCTTCTGGCTTGTAAGGTTTCTGCTGAGAAATCTGCGGTTAATCTGATAGATTTTCCATTACAGGTTACCTGATGCTTTTGTTCTTTTGTCTCAAAGTTTGTTTTTTGTTTTTTTTTTTCACAGAGTCTTGCTCTGTTACCCAGGCTGGAGTGCAGTGGCACCATCTCAGCTCACTGCAGCCTCTGCCTTCTGGGTTCAGGCAATTCTTCTGCCTTAGCCTCCTGAGTAAGTGGGAGTACAGGTGCGCACCACCACACTTGGCTAATTTTTGTATTTTTAGTAGAGGGGGAGTTTCACCATATTGGCCAGGCTGGTCTCGAACTCCTGACCTCCTGATCTGCCTGCCTCAGCCTCCCAAAGTGCTGGGATTACAGGCATGAGCCACCGCGCCTGACCTCACAGCTCTTAAGATTCTTTCCATCATCTTTACTTTAGATAACCTGATGACTACGTGCCTTGGTGATAATCTTTTTGTGATAAATTTCCCAGGAGTTATTTGAGCTTCTTGTATTTGGATGTCTATAACTCCAGCAAGGGCAGGGAAGTTTTCCTTGATTATTCCCTCAAATAAGTTCTCCAAACTTTTAGACTTCTCTTTTCCTTCAAGAACACCAATTATTCATAGGTTTGGCCATTTTACATAATCCCATATTTCTTAGAAACTTTGTTCATTCTTTTAAAATTCTTCTTTCTTTGTCTTTGTCTGATTGGGTTAATTAAAAAGCCTTGTGTATGAGCTCTGAAATTCTTTCTTCTACTTGTTCTAGTCATTGTTGAAACTTTCCATGTGTTTTGTGTTTTCCTAAGTGTGTCTTTCATTTCCAGAATTTGTTTTTCTCTTTATGATTTCTATTTCTCTGGAAAATTATTTGTTCATATCATGAATTGTTTTTTAAAATTACTTTGAGTTGTTTTTTACCTTTCTCTGGTATCTCCTTGAGTAGCTTAATAATCAATCTTCTGAATTCTTTTTCTAGCATTTCAGAGATTTCTTCTTGGTTTGGATCCATTGCTGGGGAGCTAGTAGTCTTTTGGGAGTGTTACAGAACTTTGTTTTGTCATATTACCAGAATTGCTTTTCTGTTCTTTCTTATTTGAGTAGACTATTTCTTAAAATTGTTCTTGAATTTATTTTTGATTGGACCGTTTTTTAAAATTTCTTTTTTTTCCTCTTAAGAATCAGACTTTAATGTTTATAATTTATTTTAGCCTCATTTGATTCTTGCTGTTTGTAGGGGTGAAGACTCTGAATAAGTTCCTTAGTTACAGAGAGTCTTTGTGTGCTGGCTTTCCCAGATGCTGGTTGCAGTATTTATGTACTTGGTGTGTGGGCAAGTTTACCGTCTTCGATGGAGTTGGAATGGTAGGGATCTCTTAAAGCTTGTTATCTTGTGGTATGTGCTTTACTTATTTATTTAATTTTTACAGAGTATTTGATTTACTGAGTTGATAATTCATGCTTCATGCCGATAGGGGAAATATCCTTGGGTAGGGACCAGTTGTAGCTAAGACAGGTGGGTAAATGTAATACCCAATGATGGTCAGAAGTCCAAGCCTTGATGAAGGTGGTTGGGGGATCTCTCAATTAGATGTGCTAAGGTTTTATCAGGGTGAAGAATGGGAACTACCCCAGCTCCCCTGCTAGGCCAGCAGGAAAGCTAACCAACTCACAGCCTTCACCTGTCCCAGTGTTCTGGCTATTCAGATCAGACAGGCACCTCTTTTCATCTGTAGGAATGTTGATGTCCCAAGTAGGGAGGAATTGTGACTTGCAGACTAATTTGAAACAACTTTCTTTGCTCATCCATAAGAAGCAGCTCCTCATTCATTCAATTTTGTCACGAGATTGCAGCAATTCAGTCACATTTTCAGGTTCCATTTATAATTCTAGTTCTCTACTACTTCCACCACATCTGCAGTTACTTTCTCCACTGAAGTCTTGAACCCCTCAAAATCACCAATGAGAATTTGAATCAACTTCTTTCAAACTCCTGTTTTTGTTTTTTTTTTTTAACTTTTAAGTTCAAGGGTACACGTGCATGATTTGCATTTTTGCTACATAGGTAAAAGTGTGTCATTGGTGTTTGTTCTACAGGTTATTTCATCACCCAGGTATTAAGCCTAAAATCAATTAGTTATTTTTCCTGATCCTCTCCCTTCTCCTACCCTACACCCTCCAGTAGTACCTAGTGTGCATTCTTCCCCTCTATGTGTTCATGTGTTCTCGTCATTCAGCTCCCACTTATAAGTGAGAACATGCGCCATCTGGTTTTCCGTTCCTGTATTAGTTTGTTAAGGATGATGGCCTCCAGCTCCATCTATGTCCCTGTGAAAAACATGATCTCATTCTTTTTTATGGCTGCATAGTATTTGGCAGTGTATATGTACCACATTTTCTTTATCCAGTCTATCACTGATGGGCATTTAGATTGATTCCATGTCTTTGCTATTCTGAATAGTGCTGCAATGAACATATGCATGCATGTGTCTTTATAGCAGAATGATTTATATTTCTTTGGGTATATACCCAGTAATGGGATTGCTGGGTTGAATGGTAATTCTGTCTTTAGGTCTTTGAGGTGGATTTGTCATACTGTCTTCCACAATGGTTGAACTTATTTACACTCCGACCAGCAGTGTAAGAGTGTTCCTTTTTCTCCCCAACCTCACTAGCATCTGTTATTTCTTGTCATTTTAATAATAACTATTCTGACTGACGTGAGATGGTATCTCATTGTGGTTTTGATTTGCATTTCTCTAATGGTCAGTGATATTGAGCTTTTTTTCATATGATTGTTGGCCATATGTATGTCTTCTTTTGAGAAGTGTCTGTTCACATCCTCTATTCACTTTTTAATGGGGTTGTTTTTTTCTTGTAAATTTGTTTAAGTTCTTTATAAATGCTGGATATTAGACCTTTGTTGGATACATAGTTTGCAAAAACTTTCTCCCATTCTGTAGGTTGTCTCTTTACTCTGATAATAGTTTCTTTTGCTGTGCAGAAGCTCTTTAATTAGGTCCCATTCGTTAATTTTTGCTTTGATTGCGATTGCTTTTGGCGTCTTCATTATGAAATCTTTGCCCGTGCCTATGTCCTGAATGGTATTTCCTAGGTTTTCTTCTAGGGTTTTTATAGTCAAACTCCTGTTAATGCTAATATTTTTCCCTCCTGTCATAAATCATAAATATTCTTAATGGTATCTAGCATGGCAAATTCTTTCCAGAGGTTTTAAATTTACTTTGCCCATATCCATCAGAGGAATCACTATCTATGGCAGCTATAGCCTAACTAAATGTATTTCTTAAATAGCAAGACTTGAAAGTTGAAATTACTCCTTGATACATGGATGTTGTGTTAGCAAGCATGAAAACAATATTAATTTTCTTGTACATCTTCATCAGAGCTCTTGGGTGAACAGGTGCCTTGTTAATTAGCAGTAATATTTTAACAAATATTTTTTTCTGAGAAGTAGGTTTCCTCCAATACTGGGCTTACAATATTCAGTATACCATGCTGTAAACAGATGCACTGTCATCCAGGCTTTGTTGTTCCATTTATAGAGCGCAGACAGAGTAGGTTTAGCATAATTTTGAAGGGACCTAGGATTTTCAAAATGGCCAATGAGCACTGGCTTCAACTTGAAGTCACCAGCTGCATTAGCTCCTAACAAGAGAGTCAGCCTGTTTTTTGAAGCTTTGGAGCCAAACTTTGACTTTTCTTTAGCTATGAAAATCTTAGTTGGTATCTTCTTTCAATGTAAGGCTGCTTGGGCTGTAATGAAAATCTGTTGTTAGTTTAGACATCTTCATCAATGATCTTAGCTACATCCTCTGGATAACTTGCTGCAGCTTCTATATCAGCACTTGCTGCTTCACCTTGCACTTTTATGTTATGGAGGTGGCTTCTTTCCTTAAACCTCATGACTCAATCTCTGTTAGCTTCTAACCTTTCTTCTGCAGCTTCCTCATCTCTCTCAGCCTTCAATAAATTGAAGAGAGTTGGGGCCTTGGTGTGGATTAGGCTTTGGCTTAAAAGAATGTTGTGGCTGGGCCAGGCGCGGTGGCTCATAGTTGTAATCCCAGCACTTTGGGAGGCCGAGGTGGGCGGATCACGAGGTCAGGAGATTGAGACCATCCTGGCTAACACGTTAAAACCCCATCTCTACTAAAAATACAAAAAATAAGCTGGGTGTGGTGGTGGCACCTGTAGTCCCAGCTACTGAGGAGGCTGAGGCAGGAGAATGGTGTGAACCTGGGAGGCGGAACTTGCTGGGCAACAGAGCAAGACTCCATCTCAAAAAAAAAAAAGAAAAAAAGTTGTGGCTTGTTTGATCTTCTATTAAACAAGCCACAGACCATTAAAACTTTCTCTATATCATCAAGAAGGGTGTTTCACTTTCTTATTATTTGTATGTTTACTGGAGTATCACTTTTAATTCCCTTCAAGAGGCTTTTACAACCTTGATAGCTGTTTGGTGCAAGAGGCCTAGATTTTGGCCAACCTTGGCTTTCAAAATGCCTTCCTCACTAAGCTTAATCATTTCTAGATTTTAAGTGAGAGACCTGTGATTCTTCCTTTCACTTGAACACTAAATGCCATTGTAGGGTTATTAATTGGCCTAATTTGAATATTGTTGTGTCTCACAAAAAGGGGAGGCCTGAGGAAAGGGAGAAAGATGGGGGAATGGCTGGTTCGTGCAGTCAGAATACATATACAACGTTGATCAGTGAAGTTCACCATCTTATAAGGGTGTGATTGGTGGTGCCCCAAAACAATTACAACAGTAACATCAATGGCCACTAATCACAGATTACTATAGTGATGTAATAGTAATGAAAAAGTTAGAAATATTGTGGAAATCACCCAAAGGTGACACAGAGACACAAAGTGAGCACATTCTGTTGGAAAATGGCACTGACAGACTTGCCTGAGGCAGGGTTTCCACAAATTTTCAATTGCTTAAAAAAATGCCATATCTGTGAAGCACGATAAAGCAAAGTGCAATAAAGTGAGGTGTGCTTGTATATTTGAGAGGTGTGGGGGGATTCCTGGTGCTTTTCTAATTATATAACATAAGAAGGTCATAAAGAGCTGTTTGAGATGTGAACATTGGAAGGATACTCAATCATATTTTTTTCCAGGAAAAATATATTCAAGCTTGTATATATCCTAATAGGATTGATAAGCAAACTATAGTTTTGAATGTGAAATTGACTAATGAGAACTTTGTTTGCTAATCCTTTCACATGTCATTGGAAATAGACTTAAATATTTAGGAAATTTGACAATGGTAGTGCTTTTAGGAGCAAAGCCTTAGTAAATTGGAGGATTGGGGGGATGTTCTATGAAGTGCATAGACAGACTTCAAATCACGGTGAAGTTGCTGAAGTGACACCAATGGATTAATTGAAGAATTTTCATGACCATATCTGAAGCAGGAATCATATATCAATCTCATATTTAAAGAATGGACTGCTCTTCTATTTTACAAAATGATTTTCCATTTCGGGGTTGAAGTGTATATTGGTAAAAGCAAAATTTAGAGCTCCCTGAACTGCTAGAAAATGACTGGAGTTTCATAAAACTCATAAACAGCATGGGATTGCTGCCTTACCTCCAGGAGGAAGGGAGCACATATTGATTAGTTTTCTTTCAGGCATCTGCTGTAAATTTGAAATAAGCCAGCTCCTAACAGGGTTATTGATGCTGTGATTGTTTTTCTTTTTGCCTCCCACTTTAGATGGTGCTCTCAATTATGTGAGTGCCCAAAGAAAATGAGACAAGAGAAAGATAGAAAAAGGGAAATGGCAGTAGGAAATGCCCACCACATTTAAGATACAGAGATCAGCACAGTGTGGTGGAGGAAGCACAGACTTGGGCAATAGGCAGGCTGTGGTTCAAATCTTGCTGTGCCCCAGCTCACCTGTGTAGCTGCCCATCATCACTCCTGTGCTTCCTTAGCAAAGCGAAGGGAGCAGAACACCTCCGTCCAGACTTGGCCTCCCTGGATCCCAGCCTGACAGAGTGGTCTTTCTGATACACCAGGAATGACAGGAAACGGGGTTCTTCTTGTGGGCTTGGTAAGACTCAATGTAGTCACTTGGGACACCAGAAGAGAATGAATCATTGAATTACACACTGAGAAAACCTATTACTTCCAAAACCCAGCCAGCATCCACTCTGGCTGAATAAAGCCATTAGATGGGTCAGTTCATTGTTTTAGCCAAGTGGATAATTCTCTCATCCTGAAAGAACGATCGCTTTGGGTTTATGTTCTAACTCACACAACATGCAGGGTTTATAAGTTAGAGCGTTAATTAAAATTTTATTACTTGATATAAATCAATGTTTCAAAGTGCCTTCTATAAATGTAAGGCAATCTTTAAAAAAAGTCTCCATACCAGCCTAGAAGCTGCCATAACCTGGCTTTCAGAGGCATTTTGACCACCAATAGGTTGAAATTGCCTTTTGAGGGAATTGGATGAGTCACATCCTGATATTTGACTGACAGGTTTTCTCCTGAGGAAAAGCTGCAGCTGTGAGAACAAGGATGGATTAGTTGGGCTGAGTTTGTGAGTTCGCCTTTTCATAACTGAAATAGATACATATTTCCAAGGGAATTAGTGATTAGAAATGGTGCAGTGGCCTGGCCAGCTCCAGTCTGGTGGTGTACCTCTCATGGGCTGTGCTGCTGTCTCTGCTCTCCCTTCTGGGGCAAGACTGCTGTGTCCTTCCTCGGTGATTCCTGGACCAATTCCTACATTTGATGCATGTGGTTCTCTGAGCTGGGAATAGCCTGCAGGGTTTGCTTGGTTGAAGTTTCCATATTCAGCTTCACTCGAGGCAGCTCAGAAGTAAAGGCTATGCTTATGTTGGCGAGGAGTATACTTTAATGTTTAGAATTGAAAAATAGACACCTCAAACCTCTATATTTATAAAAGTAAATGCTTCTGAGGCAGGGAAAGAATTGCAACTACATCATAAGAACCAAACCTGTAGTTCAGCCCCCTCCATTCAGTTTCTCAGTATTTGTTATAAAGCCTGTGAGACTGATCACCTCAACAATCAATCAGTGTTGGTTCTTAATTTGTAGTCATCCTACTTTTTCCTAAGGCCAAGGCCTCATTGTCAGTCTCCCTTTGGAATCTTATGATAACTTAAAAAAAGACCAAGTCACACTTGGCTCACAGGTCTTCAGGGATGTCATTGATCCTTGCATAGATCCCAGGTGGAATCTGGGATATCTCCTGAGCACAGTCTTCTCTCAATTTCAGGCTCTTTCTGTCATCATCACAAATAGGGCGTCTGCAAACTGGAGTCAGCCTGTCTGTGACTGTCACTTGGTCACATATGTTCCCATTTCCCATTATCTCCTAGTGAGCTCATGGCATCTTGGCACATTCACCCTGATGTCTTGCATTTGAGTATACCCATGCTATATCAGACAAGTAAACTGCATGATATAGATGACACATCAGTTAAGTGAAAATCCAAATATTTTAAGGCAAAGGGATTTGGCATCATCTGTGGCTTCACTGAATGCTAAGAGTTTGTAGAGCAAATGTGAGTAAACTTGCTTAGTCCTGGAGCAAACCTGACTCCACATTCTTGGCTCTGATGTAGGTCTCCCAGGTCTGATGGAACCCCGCTCAGCATTATTGTCATAATGTGGTTCTGTTGTTGGTGGGTTCTCACAAGACCACCTCCCTGGGAGTAACTGGCACACATCACTGCTGGGCATCAATGTCTGCTCTTCCTTCCCTTGTGGACACATGGACATCACACTGCCCACCCTCTGCAGTTAGATTGTGCCTGTGAAATGAGGGTAGACATGATGTGTGCTGATCTGGGCTGAGGCAGTGACAAGCCTACATGTGATTCTCTTAGTTTCTCTCTTCTCTGCTGCAGTGAGCTTGGAAAACTCCTGCAGATGTGCAGATCCATAAGACCAAAGCACCCTGGATCACCAAAGTCCCAGGGAGCCACCCAGCTCCACACAGGAGTGAGCAAGAAATAGACTTCTGTTATGTTAAACTATTGATATTTTGGGGTTGTTACTATAGTGTATGCTTGTCCTATCCTGATAACTGTGATAAAAAGCACATTGGTATGATGTGGTATGTGTGTGTGGGTGTGTGCACATAGCTGTGAGTGAGTCTTCAAAGGGACATGCAAGAGTGAGTCCTCAAAGAACATTCCACGGTTAGATGAAGATGGTGACCTATAAAAGGAAGGGCTTGGTTTTCCAGCAGGACTCAAGGAAACCCATCACTGAGAAGTGGATGCCATAGGACAGAAATCCAAAGTAGTAGGAGGGCTATAGAGGAACATTCAAAGCAGAAAAATGTATAATGTATATGGATTTACAGATTGGTCTATGATATTTGGTTTGTAAGAAATGGAACAATTCATCATGTTTCAAAAGCACATCAAACCCAATTTAAGCAACCACTTGGCAAGGATGTTTCTAAGGGTAGATGCTCACACCCCCTTGGGCCTTATTATTTTAGTGCATGATTTTAAAATGCCAGGGCTATTGCCTGAGGGTTATCTTGGGTGACCAGAGCCAGCTCTGCCCACTGGAAATGTCAGAACTAACACACCCTTCTCAGGTGTTGGTGTCTCTCAGCCAGTGAGCGAAGGGAGCGAGTGCATGGATAGGCTTGGCTTCCTGTGCTGTGTGCTGTGGGCTTACTGTGTCCCAGAGCTCCTGCGCAGGGCTAAGCTCCAGTCACCCACACTGGCACCCTGTTTGATAATACACCCTTTGTTGGGCTTCTTTTCTGACTTTTCTTCTTCTCCACTCCCCTGCTGAGGTATCTTGGGGTCACTTTCCAAAAAACTCTGCATGCTCAAATGCTTATCTCAGGCTTTGCTTCTCAGGAAAGCCAAACTATGACAATTTTTTTTTTTTTTGAGAATGACTGTCCACATCAGCTGATGTAAAAGGAAACCAAGAAAAGTGATTTTGCATTCTTGCATTGAAAAAGAGTGATGATCATGTACATATTGGCTCCTATTGGCATTGTGCTCCATAATTTGTAAAATGGAATCAAAATGACCACCTTGTGAGGCAGATTTTATCTCAGTTTTACAGAAGAACTATTGGAATTTCAAAGAAGTTTCGTGACTTTGCTAAAAGAGAGAGTTTGCAGCCTGTGGAGTTCTGGTTCTGGGCGAAATGGAGATCATGAGGAATGGGAAACAAAAGGGGAATCCTTTGGAGGCTGTCTTGCGGGTCGTGCCTCTGCCTGTGCCTTCCCACTCCAGAGAATTCAGCTGATCATCTCCATTCAGCAGCAGGGGCTATGTTTTTGTGAGACTTGGTTTGGCATAAAATAGGTACACTTTGTGTCCCATTCTGTGCAACTCAATTCATGAGGTTCTGAAGGTCCTTCCCACAGATAACCTCACTTCGAGCCTAACCAGTATTTTTATCCTTAATTTTACACAGATCTTCATACACTTGGGTCCTGGATTTTAATTTGGAATATATGGTTTCCATACTAGTTTGTTAGGGCTGCCTTAACCCAGGCCCATTGAGTGGGTGGTTTAAACAGCAGAAATTTATTTTCTCACAATTCTGGAGGCTAGAAGTTTAAGATCAAGGTGTTGGCAGGGTTGGTTTCTTCTGAGGCCTCTTTCCTTGGCTTGCAGATGGCGGTCTTCTCCTTGGGTCTTCACATGGTCTTCTGTGCTTGTCTGTGTCTTAATCTCTTCTTCTTATAAAGAAACCAGTTATAGTGGATTAAGGCCCACTCATTTTATTTGGATAATCTCTATAAAGGCCCTAGCTCCAAATACAGTCACATTCTGAGGTTCTACAGGCTAATATTTCAAAAAAGGAATTATAAAGGGATACATTTCAGCTCATAACAGTCTTTATAAATCAGGGTTCTGGGAATTTCATTCCAAAAGAAGTCTGACCTCACCTTTTCTACCAGCATTATTGGGTTGGAAGTTCTTTGGCAGCATATCTTCAGGAACTCTTTAATTTTTTTTCATGTGTAATAGTGTTGATTATGCACCTCCTATGGGTTAGGCCCTATGAATGGAAGATGAAACATGCTTGAATAAGGGTCAAGATGTAGTGGGAGAGGGTGAGTCTGTGTGTCCTGTGCTAAGAGGTATGGTATGCTAGAGCTCGAGCAAAGACAAAGGCATTCCTTTTCCCCTCTCTCCACCAGGTCTGTCTGATGTCCTATTCACAGCATTCCTCTCGGTGTTTCTGGGTGCTAAACTGCTCATATCCCTGCCTGCCAAACAGGATGTCTCAGCCCCTCTCCACCAGTGAGCTGAGGTCAGCAGAACTGAGGATCCTGAGCTGACAAGAGAAGAAGTTAAAGTTGGGAAACTGCTCCCAGGGAGCTCTAGGCAAGGCCTGAGGCTGGCAGCTTAATGGGGCTGAAATAAGGATTGGGCAGCAGGGCTGGCCAGCCTTAGCTTCCAGGGCCTGTGAAAAGTTCACTGATGGATGGAAAGAAAGCTACACTTTTGCTCTGAAATGGCACCTTGGGCATAAGCAAACAGCAGAATTTCCTCCCAGGAGTCTGCAGCTTTGAATTCACTTTTGGGGTCAGCTTTGTTTAGATGATTGCAGGAGTTGAGTCCTTTATGAGTCAGGATCTGGTCAGGAACATGGAAACAATACTATGTATTTCATAAAGGGAATTTAATATGGGAAGTTGGACACACAGGTCTTAGGAGGCTGAATAAGAGCAAAAAGGAAACACTAGGTAAGAACAAAGATGTGTATGAAGAAAACACTGTCCACCCCTAAGGCTGTGGGAACAAAGGGAGAGGTTAGGATTAACACAAGCTAGTAGCCCAGAGAAGGGTCCCTGCAGAGCCTGGTGCTCCCCAGCTGGAGCTGCTAACCAGGAGATGGAAGGCCCTGCAGAGCTGGGGCTGAAGCCTTAGCACCTTAGCTCAGAGGAGAGTGTCAGGGAAGCTCAGACCTCTGAGGAGACAGCACTGCCTGACTGCTACTGGTACCTTGAAGGGGTCAAAATAAAGTTGGTCTGTAAGTGCTAAAATGCACTGAAGACTGAAATCAACTATTGTTGCTTGAAATAAGGCCATTCCTGGGGACAATATGGGGCCGTTCCTGGGGGCAAGGAAAGGGGATAGAGCACTTCTCTGCTTCCCCAGCTCCTGTCTGCCAGTCTCCCGCTAGTGGCCGCTCCGGAGAGAGTTCACCTGACAAAGGAGAAATGAGGTCAGCTGAGTCAGAGTTCTAGGGCCACAAAGCAGAGGCTATTTGGAAGCAAGAGATGATCTTAGTCATTTTGGGCTGCTATAATGAGATATCAAAAATCTGGGTCGCTTATAAACAACAGAAATGTATTTCTCACAGTTCTGGAGGCTGGGATGTCCAAGGTCAAGGTACAATGGCTGATTTGGCACCTGGTGAAGGCCCACTTCCTGGTTCATAGATGGTGCCTTCTTGCTGCATCTTCACATGGTAGAGGGGGTAAAACAGCTCTCTGGGCTCTTTTGTATAAGGGCAGTAGTCCTGTTCATAAGGGATACACTCTTATGACCTAATTAACTTCCAAAGATCTCATCTCCTAATGCCATTGTCTTTGTGATTAAGTTTCAACATAAGAATTTGGGGGGGACACAAACATTCAGATCATGCTAGAAATCATACCTTAGTAGCTGGCACAGGTTGGACCAGTTCAGATCTGAGCTGAGCACCTTGAGTTATTCCTAGGAAGGGTAGAGTCTCTGTCGCTAGTGGTCAAAGAACATGGAGATCAGAATCTTGACTTGAAGGTTAGCTTATGAAGTTCTCCTCTGGTGCAGTGTGAGGAATAAGGACTTAGGAACCACACTGATGTGGATTCACATCCTACCCACCGCTCACCCAGTGTGAGGCTGTGCATGACATTCAGTGCCTCTGTGTTAGTCCATTCTCGTGTCACTATAAAGAAATATCTGGGCTGGGCACAGTGGCTCATGCCTATAATCCCAGCACTTTAGGAGGCCGACGTGGGCAGATCTCAAGGTCAGGAGTTTGAGACCAGCCTGGCCAACATGGCGAAACCCCACCTCTACTAAAAATAGAAAAATCAGCTGGTCATGGTGGCAGGCGATTGTAAGCCCAGCTACTCAGAAGGCTGAGGCAGGAGAATCCTTTGAATCCGGGAGGTGGACGTTGCAGTGAGCTGAGATTGCGCCATCGTACTCCAGCCTGGGTGACAAGGTGAGACTTAATCTCAGAAAAAAAAAAAAAAAGAAAGAAATATTTGAGGCTGGGTAATTTATAAAGAAAAGAGGTTTAATTGGCTCTTATTAAAGGTTCTGCAAGCTGTAAAATCATGGCATCATCATCTGCATGGCTTCTGGTGAAGGCCTTAGGAAGCTTCCGGTTATGGTGGAAGGTGACAGGGGAGCTAGCATGTCACATGGCGAGAGTGAGAGCAAGAGAGAAAAAAGAGGGAGGTCCCAGATTCTTTTAAACAACCAAATTTCACGATGACGAATTGAGCAAGAACTCACTTACCACCACGGGGACGGTGCTAAACCATTCATGAGGGATCTGCCCCCATGACCCAAACGCTTCCCACCAGTCCCCATGTTCAGTATTTGGGAATCACATTTCAATATGAGATTTGGAGGGGACAAATATCCAAGCCGTATCATTCCACCTCTGGCCCCCTAAATCTCATGTTTTTCTCACCTTTCAAAATACAATCATGCCTTCATAATAGTCCCCCAAAGTCTTAACTCATTCAAGCACTGACTCAGAAATCCCAAGTCCCAAATCCCAAGTCTTGTCTGGAGATGAGTTCCTTCCACCTATAAGCCTGTGAGATTAAAAAAAAGTTATTTATTTTCTAGATACAATGGTGGCAAAGGCATCGAGTATATATTCCTATCCCCAAAGAGAGGAATTGGCCAAAAGAAAGAGGCAACAGGCCTCACTCAAGTCTGAAACCCAGGAGGGCAGACGTTAAGTCTTAAAGTTTGAAAATAACTCTTGACTCCATGTCCCACATCCAGGACACACTGCTGTGAGGAGTGGGCTCCCAAGGCCTTGGGCAGCTCTGCCCATGTGGCTTTGTAGGATGCAGCCCTCAAGGCTGCTGTCGTGGGTTGAGTTGAGTGATTGCAGTTTTTCCAGGTTGAGGGTGTAAGCTGCCCATGGCTCTACTATTCTCAGGTCTGGAGGCTGGTGGCCCCATTCCCATACCTCCACTAGGCAGTGCCCTTGTGGGGAACTCTGTGTGGGGCCTCCAACTCTGGCCTAGCAGAGGCTATCTTCAGGGGCTCTTCTCCTGTGACAGAGTTCTGCCTGGGCACCCAGGCTTTCCCTACATCCTCTGAACTCTAGGTGGAAGCTGCCAAGCCTCCTTCACTCTTGAATTCCATGTGCCTGCATACTTAACACCATGTGGAAGCTGCCAAGGCCTATGGCTTGTGCTCTCTGGAGTGGTGGCTCAAGCTGTATCTGTGGCCTTTTGAGCTGAGGCTAGAGCCAGAGCTATGAGGATTCTGGGAGCAATGTCCCAAGGCTGAGCAGGGCAACGACCCCTGACTTTATTCTTTCCTCCTAGGCCTTTGGGCCTGTGATGGGCAGAGCTGCCTTGAAGACCTTTGAAATACCTTCAAGACCTTTTTCCCATTGTTTTGGCTATTGGCCCTTGGTTCCTTTTTAGTCATGCTAATCTCTCTAGCAAGTTGTTGTTCAGCAGCCTGCTTTTATTCCTCTTCTGAAAATGCTCTTTCTTTCCCTACCACATGGCCAGGATGCAAATTTTCCAAACTTTTAAGCTCTGCTTCCCTTTTAAATATAATTTCCTTTGCTCCCATATCTGGTCATAGGTTGTTAAAAGTAGCCAGGCCACATTTTGAACATTTTGCTGCTTAGAAATTTCTTCCACTAGATACCATAAGTCATCACTCTTAAGTTCAAACTTCCACAGATCCCTAAGATGTGGACACAATGCAGCCAAGTTCTTTGCTGGGGTGGAACACAGGTGACCTTTACTTCAGTTCCCAATAACTTCCTTATTTTCATCTGTGACCTCAGCAACCTGGACTTCACTGTCCATATCTCTATCAGCACAATCATTTGACCAGTCTGTAGGAAGTTCCAAACTTTACTTCATCTTCCTGTCTTCTTCTGAGTCCTCCAAACTCTTTCAACCTCTGCCCATCACCTAGTCCTAAAGCCACCTTCACATTTCCAGGTGTCTTTATAGCAACACCCTACTCTTCAGTACCAATTTTTTGTAGTAATCCAGTCTTGCATTGCTATAAAGAAATACCTGAGACTGGGTCATTTATATAGCAAAAAGGTTTATTTTGACTCACAGTTTTGCAGGCTATACAAGAAGCATGGTGCTGGCATCTGCTTGGCTTCTGGTGAGGCCTCACGGAACTTATAATCATGGTGGAAGGCAAAAGGGAGCTGGCATATCACAAAGTGAGAAAAGGAGCAAGAGACAGGGGAGGAGGTTCCACACACTTTAAACAACTAGATCTTGTGTGAACCAGTTGAGAAAGAACTCACTTATCACCAAGGAGATGGTGCTAAACCATTCATGAGGGGATCTCCCCTCCACCACCACGATCTAATCACCTCCCACCAGGCCCCATCTCCAACATTGGGGATTACATTTAAACACGAGATTTGGAGGGGACACACATCCAAACCCACATCAGCCTCTAAGCTTGCCTTCCTTTTCTGTTCACTTGTTTCCACCCTCTTCTGTTATTCCTTTTCTGTTAACTTGTTTTCACCCTTTCAATGCTGCACAGTTCATAACATTTCCCATCTGAGGTCAGGGTGGAATTAGAGTCACAATCATGCCTTCTTGTCCTTGTTGACCAAAAGCAGACTTGTGATGCTGGATTCCTGGCCATCTTTGTCAGGCATATGCGTTTCTCTCAGGAGTGACACAGGGAGGTAAAGAGTGACCTGGGGCAGGGCTATTCAGTTGGGTGACACCAAATCCTCTCATCATTGTCATGTGATGTGAACTCTCAAACAGAATAGGGCCAGCCTTGGAATCTCTGTGGAGTGAAAAGCGTGATCCCTTTTCCTAGATAATTAGGCTTTTATTTGCTCCTAAGCTAATTCACTATAAGAGGGGAAAATACCCCTAAGGTATTGCATTTTAATTCTAATTTTTAATGCATGGTTGAAAGCTCAGTTGGCATGGTTTCAGTCCTGGTGATGTGCTGGAAGAGCTGTGGTGTCTTTGTGAGGGGATTTAGATGCAATCTTGTTTTCCACCATTGAAGAGAACCCTTTGTTCCTGGGAATGCCCTCACACACACATCAGTACACACATGCACCCTCTACACAGATGTTAACACACACAAAATTAGCACAAAATCTTGCAGGAAATTTAAAAAGAGACCCAGATAGAGAAATGAGATTTGCTAGACAGGCTGTGGTGAGGATCTAAACTGCCTGGGCTGCATTCTCTCTCTGTTTCTGTCTCTCTCTCTCTCTTTTCATTTTCTTTAAATGTTTCCTTTGTGAGAGATAATTCCTTGACAGAAACAGCCTTCATTTCCTTTTAACTTAGAATAGCATTTCCGCCAAACTGCTCAGGGGAACGTTAGTTCTGCAGGAGTCTAAGTGAAGTTATGCAGAAAAGACCATTGTGCAGCCAAATAAATTTGGATTGAATCCAGTTAAACAGGTTTCTTTATCACAGAATTCCTCAGAGCCTTTGTAGGACTAATGTACTCTGTGAACCACCAGAGCGGACTCCCATTCCAGGATTCCTTTCCAGGTTTATCAGCCACCTAACCTCTTCTTCCTTTCTTTTCTCATGTGGCATCTTCCACTCTCAGTGTCCCAGGGCTGCCACTTTGAGACCCATGTCTCTGCATCCTGTTCCTCTCATTTGTGATAAGGTATGGTGGGTGAGAGTGGCACTGTTCAGGGTCGGGAACTTTGCTCTTTGTCTGGGGTAGGAAACTTGACTCTGGTCATAAAAATCTAGGAGGGGATGGGTCCTAATTCCAAGCACTGGTTTGCCAGTGTGTGTGAATGTCCCCAAGAAAAGATACCTCCCCGCTGGGAGCCCACCTCATGTTTTAAGCTCTGGTAATAGGTCCTGTTTATTATAGAGTATAGGTGGCTCTGAGTGTAGAGGTGGAGGTGGGTGTAGGAAGATAAGGTAGTGTGGAGAGGAGCTCAATGTCCAAATATTTTGTAAAAACTCACGTCATTGAGCTGGGTTGAGCCAGTGCTATCCCACTTTTCATTCAGCTAGGAGACTTGGGGTCAGCAGTTAATTTGTAGTTTAAAGGTCTTTGGTTCTCCATGTTTTTGGAGACCTCAGGAGGCCAAGTCTACTGGGAGTAGGTATGGAGTAACCACATGTTCTGAAGCACCCCTTCACACACATATCCACAGAACACATCTCAACGCATACACATCCGCATGTGCACAGACATATTCAAACCTAAGCCTGTGTCAGGGTGATCATCTCAGTTAGAAAATTGCAACATTTGCCCATTTGCTGTTTTAGCCTGTTAAGACTCAGGAAAATGAGATGTGGCAGAAATTTTTGAAATGCTAATTTGGGGGATAAAGAAGCATTTGGTTGATCAATCAGAACTATCCCCCTGCTACATTAAACTGGATATTTTCAACTTCCATGCTTTTTTTTTTTCATAAGCCCAGGGAAAGTTCATTACTCCAAGGACAATGACAGAAAATGCACAGTGGGCAAGAGGGAGATTTACCTAATTTGTTTTTAAAGGAGTGTTTGGAATTGCAAGCACCAAGGATAGGCTGGAGGCAATTAGCAAGGCACTGAAGGAATCATGTCTGAGAAAGAAAAAGAATGCAGCGGTATCAGTTACAGTGTACGGAGGAAATTGTCAGCTATAAGCCAAGAGGTAGTAAGCATGACTTCTGTGTGATTATCAGAAAGTCTAGTGAGTCTGCTTCTTAACCAAGGAACCATCAGACCAGGCTTATGCACCACTCTCAGGAGAGTTGTGCCTGATACAGCAGTGAACAAAGTTTGGGATGCATGAGGAGACTGCTGCTGATTAGAGAAAAAAAAAATGGTCAAAAGGCAAGATGGAAGCTGGATTAACAAAGGTTTTGGAGTCTGTTACATCCTGGGTTCAAATCATGGCTGAGTCACTTACCAGCTGGATGAAGCACATTATTTTTTTGAGCCTCGGTTTCTTCATCTACAAAATACGGACAATGATGCTTCCTTAGTAGAGTTGTTTTGAAGCTTAGAAATAACATGTGTATAGTGCATGTCTCAGTGCTCAGCACGTGGATGATTAAAAAATAGAAAGGGTTGTGAAGATGATGAGGCTGTGTCTGTAAGCGTATTGATTCTCAGCTGGGGATGAATGGTGCCCACTGTGAGTTGGCAGAGATGACTTCAGAAGGGAATTCATTTCTTTCTGGGGAGAAGGGAGAGTGAGATGAGGTCACATACATTTCCGATGGAATAGCTTTATGTGAGAGACTATGATACAAAATCTTTCTTTTCATTACAGAATATAAATACACTTGCTGAAGGATAGAAAGTAGGTGGATGAAATCAAATAGCTTAAAGGTAGCATAAAAGAAAAATAAAGTACAAAACCAGATTTAAAAAAGGACACCATTTTATATCCAGTAAATCCATGCAGCATCTGATTTACCATTTTCCCGATTGCCTTTCAGAGTTTATTGGAGCCTACAGTATCTGTGAACCAGATGACCAGCTTTAAGCTGGGGAGGAAGGGGACTATCTCCCTCTTCTTGTCTTGCTGTGATATCCAGAAGCACAAGCCAGATAAATGAATAGAATGGCTGGGGCATGCATTCCTCAGCTTTCCCCAGAGCTGGCCCCATTCCGTGCACCTTCCTTCTTGCTCTGGGCTTGCTTTGGGGTGACCACTTGCTGCATTTGCCTCCCAGATTGTTGCCAGTTTATCAGTTTCTTTGCACAGAACTCTGCCTTTCTCCCTGCTTTATAATCTGTTGCCTGCTCTCTGATGTGACACCTGGAAAGGCTGTGTTTCCATGGGTGACTGCTTCAGCTGGGCTTATCAGCCCACTCCAGGGGCAGCCCTGGCGGAGCTGCTTTCCCTCTCTGGGCTCTGGTCCTGGGAGGTGGCTTCCAAGAGCATTCTGCACTCTGGATAGATGGAGTCTGAGTAATAATGGGATTAAAGAGAGAGGAAGGAGGAGAAATGAGACTTAGGTCACTAAGTTCAGGCTAATAATATATAAGGCTATGGTTTATATAATTATTTTAATAAAATAAAGGCAGCTTCTGGGTTGAGAATTCTCAAACTGTGGTCTGAGGACAAGTGGCAGGTCCCCAAGTCCTTTCAATGGGATCCCTAAGGTCAGAACTCTTTCCATAGTAACACTAAGATGTTAGTTGCCCCTTTCACTCTTATTCTCTGATAAGTGTGCAGTGGAGTTTCTCAGCAGCTCCATGATAGGTGATGGCATCATTTTTCTGTGGCATGTACTTTTGTATTTCAAAAATTTCTCAGCTTGAATTTCTCATTTGACAAACATTGACAGATAAAAGCTACGTAAACAAAAGCTCTTTGATGGTTTTCAATAAATTTGGGGTCCTGAGACCAAAATGTTTGAGACTTGCTGTTCTAGATTATGGCTGTGCTTTCTACTGAGGGGTGCGGTTGGGAGAAAAATTCACCAGGTGTGGGGTTATGAAGATTTCCTAGGCTTTGTCATTACAAGAATGGATGTAGAAGAGACACTTGGCCATTGCGTTAGTTATACTTGTTCATTCCTTTGCTTATTGCACAAGGCATTTGAGTGTATTGTTTTAAGCATACAGACTCTGGTGTCAGACTGCCTGCATATGAATCCTGGTTCAGCCACTTTGTTACTCCGTGACTTTGGGCAAGTTAATGGATCTCCTTATGCCTTGGTTTCCTCATTGCGAATGAGGATCAAAATCCTTTTCTCCAGGGATTATTGTGAAGGGTAAGCTGCTCAGCCAGTGCCTGCCTGTGCTGGTAATTTTCCATTTGCCCCTCTCCTTTCTTCCCCTAATACATTCTCCTCCTTTCTTTACCTTGCTCTGGATCCTGGGAAGGTGAAGGGAGGGCTAATCCCTATGGACTCCATCATTTAGATTTCTTTGCCTTCTGGCTTCCTGTTGAGTTTGACCAATGGAAGGCACTGGCAAGATATGAGAGGTAGAAGGAGAGAGAGATGGGGGTGTTTGTTCCCCTACTTCCTTCCTGCTTTGGTGCCAGTTGTTGCACGGGCTGAGTCCCTTCCAGTCCCAATTGCAGCCATAGTTTCTATAGCTGGACCCTTTTCATGGCTCAGGGGCTCATGAAGCCCTGGCTACAGCCTCCTCTCCTTCCCTTCAGCCTAGGTATGTTGCCTGTCCTGGGGCATTGGGCTATCCTTCCTGTTTCCCTTGCCTCTGTACATCTGCTTAAGTACACCTGTAAATGGTCTTTTATTAAGCTCTTTGCAAGATTCCTGTGAGCACACCTTGTTTCTGCTGCATCCTAGCCTCTCAGGAGGCATTAGTGGCCACGATGAGTCTGACCCTGGCACTCACTGCTCTAGGTGCTACCTTGCGGGCTGCTACCAAGGCTTCCCAGATTTTCCTCTGTGCTTGCTCCCATGCTAGGCACAGACAGGGCAGTGGTTGCTCTCAAAAAGCTTGTGCAAAGGGACTAGACGTTTAGGAATCAAAGAGTTCAGCAGAAACCTGAAGCCATAAATGCCAAGTGGCAATACGGCCAATGCTGAAATAAGTTCTCCTGGAGTTCAGAGGAGGAAGAATGGGCTGTTAGGAAAGGGGTCACTTTTCAACAGGGTGGGAAAAGTGGATCTGCAGGGAAGCTCCGCGGCTGAGTAAGCATCACTCAGATGCGTAGAGGCAGAGAGGGAACATGTGATTGACGTGACAGTAGCCTGTGGAGAAGGTGGAGTGACCCAGCTACAGTCTTGTCCCAGGGATGGACAGGGGAATGAGGGCTTCTTCCCCTTGGAGTCACTGAAGGTTTGTGTGCAGTGGCTGGAGTGAAGACAGCGGTGGAGGAGGTGTACAGGTGGTCCACATGTTGTCGGAGGAGGAGGATGTGAAGGCAGGTGGAGGTGATGTGACCATCCAAGGGAAGATCTGGGGGGGCCCGGACTGGGAAATAACAGGAAAAGGATAGGGGAGCTGGGCAGGAGAGGGATTCTGAGGCTGAGGGCTCCTCTCCAAGCTCGTCTGACTGCTAAGCCCACGTCCTCCCTCCGCAGTGTGTCCCTCTCCCCAGCCCATGACAGGGTCAGCAGATGCTTCTTCGGACCCTGGGGTGCAATGTGTTATTTCTGTCACAGACTCCCTGAGTAACTGTGTGCTGGTTGCTTTTCCTCTCTGGGCATCAGTCTCTTCATCTGGAAGATAAAGGTGTAACATGCATGATCCGTAGAACCTCCTGGTTTGACATCTTGTGAGTCCATGCTGCAAATATCACATTGACTTTCACCCCCTCTGATAGTACTTCATCTCCAGGAGAGATTTTGCTTTCAAAAGAGAGACTGATAAGAGGAAGGACTAACATTGTTCTCCTGCTATTTTGTAGGTACTGTGCTATGCAATGTTCATATCTTATTTAATTGTCCTAACACCCTTCCTTCAGTTAGCATTGAATTTGGCAGAATTAACAGAAAACCTGACTCAGTGTGGTTAAATCAATAGAGTGAATTTTTCTCATAGAACAAGAAATCTGGAGGCAATTACCTGTTGGCCTTAATTCAATGGCTCAGATATGTCAGGACAGGCACATGTATGCTTGTCTTGGCCTTTCCTTCACGGCCACAGAAAGGCTGCTGCAGCTCCAGCCACCATCTTCGTAAAGGAAGGGTGTGGGGGAAGGGACACTGCCAGGTCTGTCCATTGGTCCTTTTTTTTTTTTTTTAAATCAATAAAGGAAAGCATTATTAGTTTTTCTCATTGACAGAAGAAAAGAATGAGGCCTAGAGAGGTTGAGCCACTTCTAAACACCAAGAGTCAGCATGACTCTGCCCCAGAGTCTCAGCTCCCTTTCCTTTCCAGTGCTGGGTTAGCAAAACTGGTTTGCAGGTGCCTTACTGCACCAGGAGGCCTCTGCATCCTAGCGCAACAAATATCAAGGTAGGTTAGCGACTGGAGGGGAATCCTCACTGGGGGATGTCCTTTTTTATTCCTGGAAGTGTCCTGAAGCTGGGTTTGTGTGCTGGGACCAGACCTCCCTTTCTTGATGGGAATAAATGATACTAACAGTATTCAGGAAAAGAGCACAGCATTTAATTATGATTGAGAGATGGGCAACCTTCTTCCCCAGTCGTCCTGCCCAAGCCTGCTTGGTGAATCCTGTTCCTCCCTGTCACCTGCTGCATCCCCCCTCTTTCCTTCTTCCTGAGTCTCCTGCATGGCTCCCTGATGCCCAGGAGGAAGATTCCTGTCCACACTGAAGTGCACCACTTGCTGAGTCAGCTGCGCCCCACCCTTGACCACGGGTGAACATGGTTTTTTTTTGTGTGTGTTTTTTTCCTCTACTGGAAAATTACTGGATAATTATTTTTTTGGTAGGGATTTAGTTGAAATGAAAACAGAGTCCTTGAAACAAATTGCAAATTATAACAAATTTGGAGAATCGGAAAAATGAAGACCAAACTTCTGGTTTTTTTATTCGTATTTCTGTTGAGAAGCGGCAGGAAGGCCAAGGCCAAGTTGAGGGGATGTCAGCCCAGGGCAGTATCCTCATCCCTCCCCTCCCAATGGTTTTATTCCAATAATGTTTGGTTTCAAACGGGGCTTGTGGGAAGACCATTGTACTCATAACTAGGCCATCTGGGATGGGTTGTGTTGGTGTGAGTGGGACCAGGGGCGGGACTCTGGATGTATTTTCTTGGTCACTAGCGTTCCAGTGGATGGATGGAGGGGCTGTTTCCTGAGTTTAGAATGAAATCTGACATGAAACTGCCTTGCTTCAGCTCTTCCTGGCTCCTGCCTACTTTCAGGACTCAGCCCTGCCTCCCTCCTTCCTGCCGCACTTGCTGAGAGGAACACGGTGAACTACTGGAGCACAACACACTGTTTCTCAGGGCCCTTTGTTCACGTTCTCCCTGCAGCACCCTTCTTAACTACACCTGGCTGGCACTCACTCACCTGTCAGGACTCAGGAAGCCATGCCTCAGTTCGCAGAACTAGCAAGGGGCTTCTTTGGGCTCCTGCCAAGCTTCCATGATGCATTCCTCCATAGCCCTGAAATTTGCTCTTTGCTTTTCTTTCTTTTTATGGATTTGTGAGATCCGTGAGAACAAGGTCTATGCCTCGTTCGTTTTGGAATCCTCAGCCCCTAGCACAGTGCTTGGCTCAGAATGGCCCTCAATAATGCAGCACTGAATGACTCTAAACAAACAGCAAGGGTATACAATTTGTTTTTGGCAGAAGAGCAGCCAAGGTCCCTCTGCACAATGGATCCTCTGTAAGCCAAGCTCTGCTGCTGTGGATATCCAGCCTTCTGCATGATCCTCTCTTCAGACAAAAATGGTGCTTGAGCCGGTGCAGCAAGCATGCCCTTCTGTATTCCTCTCTTGAGGCTGTTCGCATTTAATATTTGTGCCTAGACGCACCCGTTCCTGCTGGAGGGTTTTAATAGCCCACTTGACATTTTCTATTTTTTGGATGGTTGTTTCTATTAAATTGTTGTAATGAAACAAATGAACATTACTTGTTTTTTTTTCTTTTCTTCTTCAAAATCTCTTTCTAAATGGACTGTATATCAAGCTTGCAACAGCAGTAGATTTTTTCCTGAATGACTGAGCCAGGCAGTGCCTTGAAAGAAACAGCATTCAAAGTGGGCATTAGAACCAGGCCCCCAAGAAGATGGACTCCAGCTGTTTCATTTCGGAGGTGAGGTAATGAGACTAGAGATGAAGTAACTGCTCCTCACATTGTTAGTGACAGAGTTGGCCTTATAACCCAGGAACGCTTATCATTTAAGAGTTTATTTATTTTTTAATTATCAATAACATTGTCTTGTAATAAAGGCTCTTCTTAACTGCTGAAGTCCAGGAATAAGAATAAAAAAATTAGCCCAAATTTTCAGCACCAGAAATAATATTTTAGTACCTTTATTGGTCACTTGTTCTTTGTGTACATATTTTACACTTATTTTAATAAACACGTATACATAAAACATGTAAAGTATGAAGAAGAAAATGAATTACCCAAACTCAAGTCCCTAGAGTTAAGTGCTGCAAGCAATTGGATATGTGGTTTTGCAAAATGTTGTTTTCTTTCTCTAAATAAATATAAAGTGGGATCACACTATATATCTTGTTTGGTGACTTGCATTTTGCATCTTGCTAATATAGTGTGAACAGCTTTTAAACCAAAAAGTACCCACAGCCTCATTTTTGATGACTGGATAGCAGCCTATACATATGCCACAATTTATTTATCAAAATTGTTATTATTAGACATGCAAGTTGTTCCCTATATTTTTCACTATTATACATAGTACTTTGATAAATATCTTTGACTATGGAAGAATGCAGTTTTTCACTCATTTGTTATTTTGTCAGAATAATTTGCATGAGAGTAGTAATTTACAGGTCAATGTGCTTGCACATGTTAGAGATATTTGACGTGGACCTTCAAATCGCATTCCAGAAGAGCAATGTGAGGTTATTTCTTACAGAAGCATACGAGAAAGCTCATTTTCCACATCCCTGCCTTGCTGCATTCAAATGTACTTCTCATTTCATCAGTTTTGGTGAATTTGTGTCTTTGAAAAATCAACCAATTCACTGAAATTTTAAAATTTATTATCATACAGTTGTACATAGTTTTCTCTTATAATGAACAAACAACCATTTCATGCTTGTGGTTGTAAGCCCCTTCTCATTCTCAATATGTTATTAAGAAAAGCAGAATGCTCTGGGCAGATTTCAAAATCGTTAGTTTTCTCTCCCTGCTGCTGTAAGCAAAAGTGGATTTTTTTCTTCAGTATTTACTGTGAGAACTTGGGAGAGCTCCTGGAGGTAAGGCTCACAAAAGTGTGGGGATCCCTGTAAGACTAGGTCCCCCTGGAGTTTATAAACTCTCAAACTTCGTCCACACAGGGCCTCCAGCAATTCATGAATTATAGTTCAGGTTTTCCTACCTTGGCACTGCTTCTGGTGGAGTTTTCTCCTCCTGGGATTCTGCTCCAGTGAGCTGTGATTCCTTGTGTCCACCTGGCTGTCTCATCAGTTTTGGGGGCAGCAGTTTGCCCTGTCACCTGAGTTCTCTGATGGATCTGAGAAGAATTGCTGACTTTCAGTTTTTTCAACTCTTCCTTTGTTGTGAGGATGGGAGTGACAACGTTCAAGCTCCTTGCATGTAGGACTGGAAACAGGAAGACCTCCATTCTCAATGTTTTCTGTTGTTGTTTGTCTTCCTTCCTCCTTCCTGCCTCCCTCCCTCCTTCCCTCCCTCCCTCCCTCCCTTCTTCCCTTTCTCCCTTTCTTTTCTTTCCTTTCTTTCTTTCTATCAATTAGCTTTGTAAGATGTTCCTCTATATTGTTGGTCTTTTCACAAATTCTTTTTATTCATTCTGCTTTTTAGGATTTGAATAAATTACTTCCAGTTTTTATATTTAATAATTCCTCCCTCTTTCTTTAGGTTATATTTTGCTGTTATTCTAGCTGTTCGAGTGAGACAGTTTATTTTTACTGTTATCTCTTGCATTTACTTCTATTCCTTTGTTCTGTTAATCTCTTTAGGGAAATGGATTATCCGTATGCCTAGGTCATAAGCTTCTTTAGCTTCTTTTGGGCGAAGATCTTGTTTTCTTCAGATCATGGCACAGTGCTCAGCTCAAGGGGAATGATCCATAGTGGCTGAATGCATAAATGAAGGAGTAAATGCATGTTAGGTTTAAGGTGTCTGTCCTCCTATCCCATATATTTTTTCTATTTAAATTTATTTTGCCATTTCTTCAACATTTTGCATTTGAAAGTGTTGCTCCTTTTGGCCCAAATGTACTATATATGCAATTTTATATCTCACTTTGTAAAATTTAATCTGGTTATCATATTGTTAAATAAAATTTTTATAATGTTATTATGGATTCATTTCTATTCATTGGGTGTGTTATATTTTACTTTAACCTATTGATGTAAATTTGAGATAGTGCCAATTATTTTTGCTATTAAAAGAAATTATATGAATATTTTACAAAGTATTATGGAAAACTTTCTTCATGATAAAATTACTGTAGTGACATTTATGGGTCAAAGACCTGAATATTTAATTGTTAGATTTTGACAAATGGTTTTTCAAAAGGGTAATACAAAATGTGGCATCCACCAGCAATGTGTGAATGTTAATTTTCTGTCCACAGATTTGCTAATTTGGGGTGCTGTCTACCCCTGCCTTCCAACTCTGCCTCAATACTCCTGACACTACACTGTAACACCCCATCTCTCTTTAGATCTTGGAAACCTTTTTCCAGTTTCTTGAATGGAACAAAGGTGAGAGTGAGAAAGATCAAGAATTAAGATGATACACTTGGCCAGGTGCAGTGGCTCACGTCTGTAATCCCAGCACTTTGGGAGGCTGAGGGGGGCGGATCACCTGAGGTCAGGAGTTCGAGACCAGCCTGGCCAACATGGTGAAAACCCCGTCTCTGCTAAAAGTACAAAAATTAGCCGTGCTTGGTGACGGGCACTGTGATGGGTGCCTGTAATCCCAGATACTCAGGTGGATGGGGCAGGAGAATCGCTTGAACCTAGGAGGCAGAGGTTGCAGTGAGCTGAGATTATACCACTGCACTCCAGCCTGGGCGACAGACGGAGACTCCATTTCGGAAAAAAAATAAAAAAAGATAATTTACTTCACTTACTCTTCTATTTTTTTTAAACTAAAATTGATTGAGCCTTTTTAAAGTTACAAAGTATAAAGGAGAAAATAAGGCCCAAATGATCCGTTTATTCTTGAATTTATTTCTCAAGTTGGAAAAGCCAAACAGGGTGGAGTGGAAGAAAACGGACAGCAAAAGCCTCATTTCCCATTTTCTGTTCCTCTCCTTGGAGGCAATTACTTATGAATATGTCTTTGATTCTTTCCAGAATACACATGCTAGCAAACTTATTACATTTCAGTATTCCAAGATGCTTTAGTGTTGACCTTTTTTGTAGCTGTCACCTGGCTGGAGTGGTTCTGGGAGATCCTACATTGTAGGAGGCATTGTTTCTTAAACTAAACAATTTCATCAGTACAAATGTATGGGATGCATGCGACATTTTGTTACATGTATATAATGCATAGTGATCAAGCCAGGGTATTTAGGATGCCCATCACCAAGTATAATACATTTTTGTCAATTATAATCACCCTACTCTGCTACCAAACATTGAATTTATTCCTTTTATCTAACTGTGTGTTTGTACCCTTTAACCCACTTCTCTTCATACTCCCTCCTGTTCCACTCACCCTTCCCAGTGTGTTATCTATCTTCCACTCTCTGCCTCCATCTGATAACATTTTTAGCTTACACATATAAGTGAGAACATTTGATATTTGTCTTTCTGTGCCTGGCTTATTTTACATAAGATAACAACCTTCAGTACCATCCATGTGCTGAAAATGACATGATTTCGTTCTTTTATATGTCTAAGTAGTATTCCAATGTGCATATATACCACATTTTCTTTATCCATTTTATCCATTGATGAACACTTAGGTTGATTCAATATCTTTGCTATTGTGAATAGTGCTTCAATAAACACGCAAGCACGGATATCTCTTTGATAGATATATTGATTTCTATTCCTTTGGGTAGATACTCGGTGTGGGGTTGCTGGATTGGATGGTAATTCTATTTTTAGTTCTTTTAGAAATCTCCATACTGTTTTTGATAGTGGCTGTAGTAGTCTTTATCCCACAGTTTATAAGAGTTCTCTTTTCTCCACACCCTCACCAATATCTGTTATTTTTTCTTTTTAATAATAGCCATTCTGACTGGATTAAGATATATCATTGTGGTTTTGGTTTGCATTTCTCTAGTGATTAGTGACATTGAGTATTTTTTCATACACCTATTGGCTGTTTGTAGGTCTTCTTTCGAGAAATGTCCATTCATGTCTTTTGCCCACTTTTTAATGGGATTATTTGCTTCTTTTTCCTGTTGGTTGTTTGAGTTCTTATATATTCTGGATATTAGTCCTCTTTCAGATGAATAGCTTAAAAATATTATTTAATAATATTATTAAATATTATTAATATTAATATTAAATATTATTAAATATTATTAAATAATATTTTCTCCCATTCAACAGATTGTCTCTTCGCTCTTTTGATTATTTCTTTTGGTATACAGGAGCATTTTAATTTCATTAAGTCCCATTGGTCTATTTTTGCTTTTGTTGCCTATGCTTTTTAGGTCTTAGTCATAAATTTTGTGTCTAGTCTGATGTCCAGGAGAGTTTTCTCTAGGTTTTCTCCTGGTATTTTTATAGTTTTGGGTCATACGCTTAAATATTTAATCCATTTTGAATTGATTTTTGTATATGCTGAAAGGTAGGAATCCAGCTTCATTATTCTGCATATGGCTATCCAATTTTCCTGGCATCATTTGCTGAAGAGGGCATCCTTTCCCCAATGTAAGTTCTTGTTGGCTTTGTTGAAAATCAAATGGCTATAAATATGTGGCTTTATTTCTGGATTCTGGATTCTGTTCCATTGGTCTGTGTGTCTTTTTTATATCAATACTGTGCTGTTTTGGTTACTATAGCATTATCATATATTTAGAAGTCAGATAATGTTATGCCTCCAGCTTTGTTCTTAATGCTCAGGATTGCTTTGGCTATTCAGGCTTTTTTTTGGTTCTGTATAAATTTTAGAAATTTTTTGGTAAGTCTGTGAAGAGTGACATTGATATTTTGATAAGGAGTGCGTTGAATCTGTAGATTGCTTTGGGCAATATAGCCATTTTAACAATATTAGTTCTTCTGATGCATAAGTATGGCATGTTTTTCTATTGTCTGTGTTCTCTTCATTTTTTTCATTAGTATTTCATAGTTTTCCTTGAAAATATCTTTACCTTTCTGGTTAGATTTTTCCCTAGGTATTTTATTTTATTTCATTTTAGTAGCTATTGTAAATGGGATTGCTGTCTTGATTTCTTTCTAGGCTAGATTGTTACTAGTGTATAGAAATACTACTAATTTTTGTATGTTGCTTTTGTATTAAGCAACTTCATTGAATTCATTTATCAGATCTACAAAATTTTTGGTAAAGTCTGGGTTTTTCTAGATACGATTACATCATCAGCAAAGAGAGATAATTTTACTTACTCTTTTCTAATTTGGATTCTTTTTATTTCTTCTATTGCCTGATTGCTCTGGCTCGGACTTCCTGTACTGTGTTGAATAGCAGTGATGAAAGTGAGCATCTTTGTTTTTTCTCGACTTTTCCCCAGTCATTGTGATGTTAACTGTGGGTTTGTTGTATTCAGTCTTTATTATGTCGAGGTACTTTTCTTCTACCCCTAATTCACTAAAAGTTTTTGTCATGAAAGGATGCTAAATTTTACCAAATGCTTTTTCTGCATCTATAGGGATGATCATAGAGTTTTATTATTATTATTATTATTTTATTATTATACCTTAAGTTCTGGGGTACATGTGCAGAACGTGCAGTTTTGTTGCATAGGTATACATGTGCCATGGTGGTTTGCTGCATCCATCAACCCATTACCTACGTTATGTATTTCTCCTAATGCTATCCCTCCCATAGTCCCCCACCTCTGGACAGGCCCTGGTGTGTGTGATGTTCCCCTCCCCATGTCCATGTGTTCTCATTGTTCAACTCCCACTTATGAGTGAGAACATACAGTGTTTGGTTTTCTGTCCTTGTGATACTTTGCTTGGAATGATGGTTTGCAGCTTCATCCATGTCCCTGCAAAGGACATGAACTCATCCTTTTTTATGGCTGCATAGTATTCCGTGGTGTATATGTGCTACATTTTCTTTATCAAGTCTATCATTGATGGATAATGGGTTGGTTCCAAGTCTTTGCTATTGTGAACAGAGCCGCAGTAAACATACATGTGCATGTGTCTTTACAGTAGAATGATTTATAATCCTTTGGGTATATACCCAGTAATGGGATTGCTGGATCAAGTGGTATTCCTGTTCTAGATCTTTGAGAAATTGCCACACTGTCTTCCAAAATGGTTGAACTAATTTACACTGCCACCATTCCTATTTCTCCACATCCTCTCCAGCATTTGTTGTTTCCTGACTTTTTAATGATCACCATTCTAACTGGCAAGAGATGGTATTTCATTGTGGTTTTGATTTGCATTTCTCTAATGAGCAGTGATGATGAGCTGTTTTTCATATGGTTGTTGGCTGCATAAATGTCTTCTTTTGAGAAGTGTCTATTTATATCTTTTGCCCACTTTTTGATGTTTTTTTCTTGTAAATTTGTTTAAGTTCTTTGTAGATTCTGGATATTAGCCCTTTGTCAGATGGGTAGATTGCAAAGATTTTCTCCCATTCAGTGGGTTGCCTATTCACTCTGATGATAGTTTCTTTTGCTGTGCAGGAGTTCTTTAATTTAATTAGATCCCATTTGTCAATTTTGGCTTTCATTGCCATTGCTTTTGGTGTTTTAGACATGAAGTCTTTGCCCATGCCTATGTCCTGAAAGGTATTGCCTAGGTTTTCTTCTAGGATTTTTATGGTTTTAGGTCTTACATTTAAGTCTTTAAACCATCTTGAGTTGATTTTTGTGTAAGGTGTAAGGAAGGGATCTAGTTTCAGGTTTCTGCATATAGCTAGCCAGTTTTTCCAACACCATCTATTAAATAGGGAATCCTTTCCCCATTGCATGTTTTTGACAGGTTTGTCAAAGATCAGATGGTTGTAGATGTGTGGTGTTATTTCTGAGGCCCCTGTTCTGTTCCATTGGTCTATATATCTGTTTTGGTACCAGTACCATGCTGTTTTGGTTACTGTAGCCTTGTAGTATAGTTTGAAGTCAGGTAGCATGATGCCTCCAGCTTTGTTCTTTTTGCTTAGGATTGTCTTGGCTATGCAGGCTCTTTTTTTGTTCTATATGACCTTTAAAGTAGTTTTTTCCAATTCTGTGAAGAAAGTCATTGGTAGCTTGATGGGGATTGCACTGAATCTATAAATTACTTTGGGCAGTATGGCCACTTTCACGATATTGATTCTTCCTATCCATGGGCATGGAATGTTTTTTCATTTATTTGTGTCCTCTCTTATTTCCTTGAGCAGTGGTTTGTAGTTCCCCTTGAAGAGGTCCTTCACATCCCTTGTAAGTTGGATTCCTAGGTATTTTATTCTCTTAGTAGCAATTGTGAATGGGAGTTTACTCATGATTTGGCTCTCTGTTTGTCTGTTATTGGTGTATAGAAGTGCTTGTGATTTTTGCACATTGATTTTGTATCCTGAGACTTTGCTGAAGTTGCTTATCAGCTTAAAGAGATTTTGGACTGAGACAATGGGGTTTTCTAAATATACAATCATGTCATCTGCAAACAGAGACAATTTGACTTCCTCGTTTCCTGTTTGAGTATCCTTTATTTCTTTCTCTTGCCTGATTGCCGTGGCCAGAACTTCCAATACTATGTTGAATAGGAGTGCTGAGAGAGGACATCCTTGTCTTGTGCCAGTTTTCAAAGGGAATGCTTCCAGTTTTTGACCATTCAGTATGATATTGGCTGTGGGTTTTTCATAAATAGCTGTTATTATTTTGAGATGCTTTCCATCAATACCTAGTTTATTTATTTTTTATTTTTATTTATTTATTTATTTTTGAGACAGAGTCTTGCTCTGTTGCGCAGGCTGGAGTGCAGTGGTGCAGTCTCGGTGTAACCTCCGCCTCCCGGGTCCATGCCGTTCTCCTGCCTCAGCCTCCCAAGTAGCTGGGACTGCAGGTGACTGTCACCATGCCCGGCTAATTTTTTTTGCATTTTTAGTAGAGATGAGGTTTCACTGTGTTAGACAGGATGGTCTCGGTCTCCTGACCTTGTGATCCGCCCATCTCGGCCTCCCAAAGTGCTGGGATTGCAGGCATGAGCCACCGCACCCTGCAATACCTAGTTTATTGAGAGTTTTTAGCATGAAGCGGTGTTGAATTTTGTCTAAGGCCTTTTTTGCATCTACTGAGATAACCATGTGGTTTTTGTCACTGGTTCTGTTTATGTGATGGATTATGTTTATTGATTTGCATATGATGAACCAGCCTTGCATCCCAGGTGTGAAGCTTGATCGTGGTGGACAAGCTTTTTCATGTGCTGCTGGATTCTGATTGCCAGCATTTTATTGGCCTCATAAAATGAGTTATGGAGGATTCTCTCTTTTTCTATTGTTTGGAATGGTTTCAGAAGGAATGGTAGCAGCTCCTCTTTGTACCTCTGGTAGAATTTGGCTGTGAATCTTTCTGGTCCTGGACTTTTTTGGTTGGTAGGCTAATAATTACTGCCTCAATTTCAGAACTTGTTATTGGTTTATTCAGGGATTCAACTTCTTCCTTGTTTAGAGTTGGGAGGGTGTATGTGTCCAGGAATTTATCCATTTCTTCTAGATTTTCTAGTTTATTTGCATAGAGGTGTTTATAGTATTCTCTGATGGTAGTTTGTATTTCTGTGGGATCAGTGATGATATCTCCTTTATCGTTTTTTATTGTGTTGATTTGGTTCTTCTCTCTTTTCTTCTTTACGAGTCTGGCTAGTGGTCTATCTATTTTGTTGATCTTTTCTAAAAACCAGCTCCTGGATTCATTGATTTTTTGAAGGGTTTTCTGTATCTCTATCTCCTTCAGTTCTGCTCTGATCTTAGTTGTTTCTTGTCTTCTGCTAGCTTTTGAATTTGTTTGCTCTCACCTCTCTAGTTCTTTTAATTGTGATGTTAGGGCGTCAATTTTAGAACTTTCCTCCTTTCTCTTGTGGCCATTTAGTGCTATGAATTTCCCTCACACACTGCTTTAAATGTGTCCCAGAGATTCTGGCACATTGTGTCTTTGTTCTTATTGGTTTCAAAGAACATTTTTATTTCTGCCTTAATTTCGTTATTTACCCAGTAGTCATTCAGGAGCAGGCTGTTTAGTGTCCATGTAGTTGTGTGGTTTTGAGTGAGTGTCTTAATCCTGAGTTCTAGTTTGGTTGCACTGTGGTCTGAGAGACTGTTTGTTATGATTTCAATTCTTTTGCATTTGCTGAGGAGTGTTTTACTTCCAATTATGTGGTCAATTTTAGAATAAATGTAATAAGGTGCTGAGAAGAATGTATATTCTGTTGATTTGGGGTGGAGAGTTCTGTAGATGTCTATTAGGTCCACTTGGTCCAGAGCTGAGTTCAAATCCTGAATATTCTTGTTAATTTTCTGTGTTGTTGACCTGTGTAATATTGACAGTGGGGTGTTTAAAGTCTCCCACTATTATTGTGTGGGAGCTTACGTTTCTTTGTAGGTCTCTAAGATCTTGCTTTATGAATCTGGGTGCTTCTGTATTGGGTGCATATACATTTAGGATACTTAGCTCTTCTTGTTGCATTGACCCCTTTACCATTACACAATGGCCTTCTTTGTCTCTTTTGATCTTTGTTGTTTTAAAGTCTGTTTTCTCAGAGACCAGGATTGCAACTCCTGCTTTTTTTGTTGTTGTTGCTTTCCACTTGCTTGGTAAATAGTCCTCCATCCCTTTATTTTGAATCTATTTGTGTCTCTGCACGTGAGATGGGTCTCCTGAATACAGCACACTGATGGGTCTTGACTCTATACAATTTGCCAGTCTGTGTCTTTTAATTGGGGCATTTAACCCGTTTACATTAAATGTAAATATTTTTATGTGTGAATTTGATCCTGTCTTTCTGATGCTACCTTGTTATTTTGCCTGTTAGTTGATGCAATTTCTTCATAGTGTCAATGGTCTTTACAATTTGGCATGTTTTTGCCATGGCTGGTACTGGTCATTCCTTTCCATGTTTAGTGCTTCTTTCAGGAGCTCTTGTAAGGCAGGCCTGGTGGTGACAAAATCTCTCAGCATTTGCTTGTCTGTATAGGATTTTATTTCTCTTTTGCTTATGAAGCTTAGTTTGGCTGGATATGAAATTCTGGGTTGAAAATTCTTTTCTTTGAGAATGTTGAATATTGGCTCCCACTCTCTTCTGTTTTGTAGAGTTTCTGCAGAGAGATCCACTGTTAGTCTGATGGGCTTCCCTTTGTGGGTAATCCGACCTTTCTCTCTGGCTGCCCCTTAACATTTTTCCCTTCATTTCAACCTTGGTGAATCTGACGATTATGTGTCTTGGGGTTGCTCTTCTCGAGGATTATCTTTGTGGTGTTCTCTTTATTTCTTGAATTTGAATGTTGGCCTGTCTTGCTAGGTTGGGGAAGTTCTCCTGGATAATATCCTGCAGAGTGTTTTCCAACTTGGTTCCATTCTCCCCATCACTTTCAGGTACACCAATCGAACATAGATTTGGTTTTTTCACATAGCTCCATATTTCTTGCAGCCTTTGTTCATTTATCTTCATTCTTTTCTCTAATCTTGTCTTCTCACTTTATTTCGTTAAGGTGCTCTTCAATCTCTGATATCCTTTTTTTCTGCTTGATTGATTTGGCTATTGATACTTGGGTATGCTTCAGGAAGTTGTCATGCTGTGTTTTTCAGCTCCCTCAGGTCGTTTATTTCTTCTCTAAACTGGTTATTTTAGTTAGCAATTTGTCTAACCTTTTTTCAAGGTTCTTAGCTTCATTGCATTGGGTTAGATCATGCTCCTTTTGCTCAGAGGAGTTTGTTATTACCCACCTTCTGAATCTTACTTCTGTCAATTCATCAAACTCATTTTCCATCCAGTTTTGTTCCCTTGCTGGCAAGAAGTTGTTATCTTTTGGAGGAGAAGAGGTGTTTTGGTTTTTGGAATTTTCAGCCTTTTTGCACTGGTTTCTCCCCATCTTCATGGATTTATTTAACTTTAGTCTTTGATGTTGGTGATCTCAGGATAGGGTCCCTGAGTGGACGTGCTATTCCTTTCTGTTTTTCGTTTCCCTTCTAACAGTCAGGCCTCTCTGCTGCAGTTCTGCTGGAGTTTGCTGGAGGTCCACTCTTTACTCTGTTTGCCTGGGTATCACCAGCAGAGGCTGCAGAACAGCTAATATTGCTGCCTGTTCTTTCCTCTGGAAGCTTCATCCCAGAGGGGCACCCGCCAGATGCCAGCTGCAGCTCTCCTGTATGAGGTGTCTGTCGGCCCCTACTAGGAGGTGTCTCCCAGTCAGGATACACGGGCGTCAGAGACCCACTTGAGGAGGCAATCTGACCCTTAGCAGAGCTTGAATGCTGTGCTGGGAGGACCGCTGCTCTCTTCAGAGCCGTCAGGCAGGGATGTTTAAGTCTCCTGAAGCTGTGCCCACAGCTACCCCTTTCCCCAGGTGCTCTATCCCAGGGAGATGGGGATTTTATCTATAAGTCCCTGACTGAGACTGCTGCCTCTTTTTTTTAGAGATGCCCTGCCCAGAGAGGAGGAATTTAGACAGGTAGTCTGGCCACAGTGGCCTTGCTGAGCTGCGGTGGGCTCTGCCCAGTTTGAACTTCCTTTGTTTATACTGTGAGGGTAAAACCACCTACTGAAGCCTCAGCAATGGTGGATGCCCCTCCCCACACCAAGCTCAAGTGTCTCAGGCTGACCTCAGACTGTTGTGCTGGCAGTGAGAATTTCAAGCTAGTGGATCTTAGTTTGCTGGGCTCCATGGGGGTGGGACCCACCGAGCCAGACCACTTGGCTCCCTGGCTTCAGTCCCCCTTCCAGGGGAGTGAACAGTTCTGTCTCACTAGTGTTCCAGGCACCACTAAGGTATGGAAAAAACAAACAAACAAACAAACACTCCTGCAGCTAGTTCAGTGTCTGCCTGAATGGCCACCCAATTTTGTGCTTGAAACCCAGGGCCCTTGTGGCATAGGCATGGGAGGGAATCTCCCGGTCTGCAGGTTGCAGAGACCGTGGGAAAAGCACAGTATCTGGGCCAGAGTGTACCATTCTTCATGCGCAGTCCCTCACGACTTTCTTTGGGTAGGGGAGAGAATTCCCTGACCCCTTGTGCTTCCCAGGTGAGGCGACACCCCACCCTGCTTCAGCTCATCCTCCATGGGCTGAATCCACTGTCCAACCAGTCCCAGTGAGATGAACCAGGTATCTTGGTTGGAAATGCAGAAATCACCTGCCTTCTGTGTTGGTCTTGTTGGGAGCTGCAGGCTGGAGCTGTTCCTATTCAGCCATCTTGCCAGCAATCCCAGATGATCATATAGTTTTGTGCTTCATTTTGTTGATGTGATGCAACCCATTTACTGATTTGCATATATTGAGCCATCCTTTCATTCATGATCAAGTGGGAGAATAAATCCCACTTGATCATGGTGCATTATCTCCTTGATATGCTGTTGGATTTGGTTTGCTAGTATTTTGTTGAGAATTTTTGTGTCCATGTTCATCAGGGATATTTTGTGGTGCCCTTGTCTGTTTTTTTAATTACAATAATGCTGGCCCAAAGAAGGAGGTAGAGAGAATTCTATCCTCTTCCATTTTTTGTAATGGTTTCAGGAAGATTGGTATTAGTTTTTCTTTGTACATTTAGTAGAATTTGGCTGTGAATCCATCTAGTCCTGGGCTTTTCCTTGTTGGGAGTCTTTTTATTACTCATTTCATCCTGATATTCATTACTGGTCTGATCAGGTTTTCTGTTTATTCCTGATTCAATCTTGGGAGGTTGTATGTTTCCAGGAATTTATCCATTCCTCTAGGTTTCCCAATTTGTTAGTGTATACTTGTTTATAATAGTCACTGACGATCTTTTGTATTTCTGTGGTGATATGGTTTGGATTTGTGTCCTCACCCAAATCTCATTGTCAAATTGTAATCACCAATGTTGGAGGAGGGGCTTATATGGGAGGTAATTGGATCATGGGGGGCAGATTTCCCCCTTGCTGTTCTTGTGATAGTGAGTTTTCATGAGATATGGTTGTTTAAAAGTGTGTGGCACCTCTCCCCCCTTCCTCCTGCTCTGGACATGTAAGATATGCCTCCTTCCTTTTCACCTTCTGCCATAATTGTAAGTTTCCTGAGACCTCCCCAGCCATACTTCCTGTACAGACTGTGGGACTGTGAGCCAATTAAACCTCTTTTGTTTATGAATTACCCAGTCTCAGGTAGTTCTTCATAGCAATGCAAGAATGGTACCAATACAGAAATTTGGTATCAGGAAGTGATGCCTTGCTATAAAAATACCTGAAAATGTGGAAGGAACTTTGGAGCTGAGTAATGGGTAGAATTTGGAACAGTTTGGAGAGCTCAGAAGAAGACAGAAACATGAGGGAAAGTTTTGAACTTCCCAGAGACTAGTTGAATGTTGTGACCAAAATGCTGATAGTGATATGGACAATGAAGTCCAGGCTGAGGTGGTCTCAGATGCAGAAGAGGAACTTACTGGGAACTGGAGTAAAGGTCACTCTTGCTATGCTTTAGCACAGAGACTGGTGACATTGTGTCCCTGCTCTAGGGATCTATGGGACGTTGAACTTGATACTGGTGATTTAGGGTATCTGGCAGAAGAAATTTCTAAGCAGCAAAGCATTCAACATGTGGCCTGGCTGCTTCTAACAGTGTATGGTCATATATGTGAGCAAAGAGGTGATCTGAAATTCGAACTTATATTTAAGGAGAGCATAAAAGTTTAGAAAATTTGCAGCCTGACCATGTGGTAGAAAAGAAAAACTTATTTTCTGGGGAGGAATTCAAGCCAGCCACAGAAATTTGTGTTAAGTAACAAGGAGGTGACTGTTAACAGTCAAGACAATGGGGAAAATACCTCAAAGGAATTTCAGAGACCTTTGTGGAAGCCCCTCCTATCACAGGCCTGGAGGCTTAGGAGGAAAGAATAGTTTCATGGGCCAGGCCTAGGACCCTGCAGCCTGCACAGCCTCTGGACACTGCTCACTGCATCTCAGCTACCCCAGTTTCAGCTGTGGCTAAAAGGGCCCCACATACATCTCAGGCTGCTCTTCCAGAAAGTGCAAGTCATAATTGTTGGTGGCTTTCATGTGGTTTTAAGCTGTGGGTATGCAGAGGGCAAGAGTTGAGGCTTGGGAGCCTCCACCTAGATTTCAGAGGATGTATGGAAATGCCTAGATGTCCACGAAGAAGTCTACTGCAGGGGCTTTTGAGTTAATGCTGGAATGAGTTAAGACTTGGGGGACTGTGAAGAAGAGATGACTGTATTTTGCAATGTGAAAAGGACATGATATTTGGGAGGGGCCAGGGGCAGAATGATGTGGTTTATATTTATGTCCCTGCCCAAATCTCATGTTGAATTGTAATCCTCAATGTTGGGGGAGGGGCCCTTTGCCATGATTGTAAGTTTCCTGAGGCATCCCCACACATGCTTCTGGTATGGCCTGTGGTACTATGAGTCAGTTAAATCTCTTTTATTTAGAAATTACCCAATCTCATGTAGGTTTTTTTTTTATTTATATAGCAATGTGAGAACAAACTAATACATGTGGTATCAGTTGTAATCTCTTCTTCTTCGTTTCTGAGTTTTCTCTCCTCTTTTTTTGGTTAGTCTAGCTAAGTGGCTTATCAATTTTATCTTTCTGAAGAATGAACTTTTTGTTTCACTAATTTTTTGTGTTTTTCTAGTCTCTGTTTCATTTACTTCTGCTCTAATCTCTGTTATTTTTTTTTCTTCTGCTAATTTTAGGTTTTGCTTATTCTTGTTTTTCTAGTTCCTTAAGGTGCATTGTTATTTTTAATTAAACATTTTTGGTAATTGTAGAAGACATCCAATAGGTGCATTGTTAGAATATTAATCTGTAATCTTGCTACTTTTTTGATGTAGGCATTTATTGCTATAAACTTCCCTCTTAGCACTGTTTCTGCTGTGTCCTGCAGGTTTTGGTGTGTTGACTTGCATTTGTTTCAAAAATTTTTTTTATCTCTATCTTAATTTCTTCATTGACCTAATGGTCATAGAGGAGCATGTTGTTAATTAGGGTTATGGTAATCTATTTTTATAGTTTCCAAAGTTTATCTTGGAATTCCTTTGTAGCTTTATTCCACTGTGGTCTGAGAAGATACTTGATATAATTTTGATGTTTAAAAATTTGTTGAGACTTGTTTTTGGCCTAGCATGTGATCTATCCTGGAGAATGTTCTAAGTGCTAATGAAAAAAAGTGTACATTGTGCAGTTGTTGGATGGAATATTCTGTAAATGTCTGTTAGGTCCATTTGGTCTAAAGTCCAGTTTAAATATAATGTTTCTTTGTTGAAATTTCTGTCTTGATGATATGTCTAATGCTGACAGTAGGGTGTTTAAGTCCCTCAGTATTATTGTGTTCAGTGTATCCTTCTCTTTAGGTCTAGAATATTTGCTTTATGAATCTTTGTGCTCCAGTGTTGGGCCCATATATATTTAAGATTTATATATCCTCTAGTTGGATCAATCCCTTTATATAATTTTCTTCTTTGTCTTTTTTTTTTTTTTACTGTTTTTGACTTAACGTCTGTTTCATGTGATATACATATAGCTATTAATGCTTACTTCCTGTTTCTGTTTGCATGGAATATCTTTTTCCATCCCTTTACTTTCAATCTATATGTGTCTCTACTGGTAAGGTGAGTTTCTTGTAAGAAACTTATTACAGTTGCTTATAAGAAACTCACCTTACCAGTTATAGTTATAATAAGTTATAGTTAACGTATTGTAGTTGGGTCATGTTTTTAAAAGTCCATTTAGCCATGATATATCTTTTTTTCTTTTTGAGACAGAGTCTCACTCTGTCCCCCAGGCTGGAGTGCAGTGGCACAATCTCTAGCCATTCGATATCTTTTAAGTGAAGCATTTAATTCATGTTCGAGGTTATTATTGATATGTGAGGTTTTGTTCCTGTCTATTTATAATTGTTTTCTGGTTGTTTTATATATACATACTTTCTTCATTTTTCTCATATTGTTTCTCAGTGTGGTTTGGTGGATTTCTATAGTAGTATCATTTGAGTCCTTTCTTTTCCTCATTTGTGTGACTGCTTTACCAGTGAGTTTTATACTTTTATGTGTTTTCATTATTGTAAATATCCCTTTGGTTTCAGGTTTAGGACTTTCTTGAGCATTTCTTGTAGGGTTGGTCTAGTGGTAATGAATTCCCTCAGGATTTGATTGTCTGGGAAAGGCTTTATCTCTCCTTCATTTACAAAGGATTATTTTGCTGAGTATAGCATTCTTGGCTGACAGTTATTTTCTTTTAGCACTGTGAATATGTCATTCAGTTCTCTTCTGGCTTGTAAGATTTCTGCTGAGAAATCCACTGTTAGTTTAATGGAGTTTCCTTTAGAGGTGACTAGATGCTTTTTTCTTGCTGTTCTTAGGATTTACTCTTTATCTTGGACTTTAGGCAGTTTGACTATAACGGGCTGTGGAGAAGATCTTTTTGCATTTGTATCTTCCTGGGGATTGCTAAGCCTCCTGTATCTGGATGTTTATATTTCTTGCCAGACTTGAGAAGTTTTCATCTATTATTTCATTAAAGAAGTTTTCCAATCCTTTTATTCTCTATTTGCCCTTAGGGTTACTGACAATTCTTTTTGGTTGCTTTATGTTTTCCCAAATGTTACAAAAGCTTTGCTTATTCTTTTTTATTGTTTTCTTTATTTTTGTCTGACTGGATTATTCAAAAGACTTAAGTTCTGAAATTCTTCTACTTGAAGAAAGAATCTATTCAACTATCTATTGTTGAAGCTGTTGAATGTATTTTGTGTTTCATTCAATGATGTCTTCAGTTTCAGAAGTCCTCCTTAGTTCTTTAATAGAATGTCTATTAATGCCTCTTTAATAGAATGTCCATTAGAATGTTTCTTTATTAAATTTCTCATTCTTATCCTGAATTGTTTTTCTGACTCCTCTGTATTATATTTCAGGATTCTCTTGTGTCTTGCTAAGTTTAAAAATCAGTAATTAAATTATTTACCTGGGACTTTATAAAGTTGTTCTTGATTGGTGTCTGTTGTTTAAGAATTATTGTATTCTTTTGAAGGTACTATATTTCCTTGCTTTTTTATGTTTCTGTGTCTGTGTCCTTACATCGATATCTGTGCATCTGGTGTAACAGCCACTTCTTCCAATTTTTTGAATCTGCTTTTATAGGGGAGATTTTTTTTCCCTATAGATGTATCTACATTGTTGGTCACATTGGGTGCTTTGGCTTTGATTTGGGGTGCATGTATGGATGTAATCTCTGTATGATTTCTTTGACTGCAAACAGTGCCACTGGCACCTGTGATTTCCTTGTTGGCTTTAGAGTGGTTATTACTGGAGTCCGTGATAAAGTTTTGCCAGGGACTGGGATGCCAGGGTGGGTCAGTCTTCAGGTTCCAGGGATGGCAGTGGTGTGCTGAGCACACCTGTCTTTGGGACTCAGGGTGGCATACACTGGTACCAGTGTTAGTTGGTCCAGGAAGATTGATGCTTGGGTCTCCAGGTGGCTTGCTCAGAGGCCAGTAATGGCAGTGGTGGGCTGGGTGTGTTGGTGGGCTCTTGGGTCCGTGGGTAGCAGATGTGATGTGCAACAAGGGCAGTAGTGGTGGTGGACCAATCCACTGGAATCCAAATGGACCATGTTGATGCTGGTGGTGACCATGACAGGTTGGGTGTTTCAGTCACTTGGCCTGCTGGTGGTGCATGAGGGTGGGTGCCAGCTGTGGTGGTCATTGGCAGGTTGTGATGGCCTGACCTCAGACCCTGGGAGAAGTGTTCAGGTGCAAATGGTGATGGACTGTGCTGGGTGGTTTCCAGGTTCCTGGATGGCATGCTCAAGTACTAGGGAGAGAGGACGAGGCTGACAGACTTGTCCTCAGGCCCCCTGGTAGTACATTCAGTCACTGGCTGAGATAAGCAGGGATGGAGTGATCTCCAGTCCATGGGCAGAATGGTCATGTGTGAGTGGTGATGGCTGTGCTGCAGGCCTTCCACTGGGGAGGGTGAGGCTATTCTCAGTGGGAGCAGTGTAGACAGGTAGCTTTGGGATGCATGGTTTCCTTGTACCTTGGTTCTACAGCAGCCTGCAGTGGCGGTGGTGGTATTCATCTTTGTGGTGTGTGAAATCCCAGCCTGTCTTCTCCCTCCTTGGCTAGGCAGTGACAATAGAAGCATCAGCCCTGGCCCCAAGGTAAGATGCAGCCATTAGGAGTTTGGGCCGTCAGAATGGTGCTGGCTGCAGGCCTGTGATCTGGGAAGGCAGGGCCCCTCTGCTGGAGTGACATATGTGGGTTGCAGTGCGGAGTGTGGTTTCTTGCCCTTTGGTCCTAAAGCAGCCCACAGCAGTGGCAGTGGGGTTTGTCTTCATGGCATGTGAAAGTGCCTACTCTCCCCTCTCCCTCCTTGGCCTGGGGTGGCAGCAGTCCAGTTGGACGCAGGGCAGGACATGTTTCTTTGGGGGCTTAGCTCTCAGATTGGCACCAAGCTGCAGCTTCTCAGGGCTTGGAAGCCTGTGGGATTCAGTGTGAGCTTCCTCTCTGGAGCAGTGCCTCTGTGCAATCTCTAGGCACCTCTCTGTGTTAGTCTCAAGGCCTGCATGGGTCAAGGGGCTCTCCCACATCTAGAATTGTAAAAGTCTGTGGCAGGACGGAGGAGGCCTGGGGGACTCTCACTTTCCCTTTCCTCACATTTTGGTTCCCAGCTGATCCTGGTTGAGCAGGCTGCCTGGCTTGCCTGTCCTTCTCTTCTTCAATAGCTTCCTGACTCTTGTGTGTTGAGTCCCAGTGTCTCTCTTAGGTGATCTATTGATCTAAAGTGGGAATATCTACCTGCTGGTTTTGTTTCTCTTGTGGAGGAGGTACACATGGCTACATTTAGTCAGCCATTTTGAACTGGGTCCTTTAAATTTTTGGTAGAATGGTTACATGTGCATCTTAGAGTCAGTGAAACAGGGTGTATCTATGCCCATCTATTTTTATCTACATAAAAGGGTCATATTATTCACACTGTTTCCCATCTTGCAGAGAGGCTAAATAAATATTACCAGGCCACACCTCTAGTAATGGGAGGAGCCAGAATTTGAAACAGATTCATCTGTTATGAAAGCACATATTTTTAATCACTGTCATATCTGCCTCCCGGAGGGCACACTTGGGACCAATAGAGGCACCAGGGAAGCAGAGCCAGAATCAACGTAAGCAACAACTCCAACAGTTCAGCCTGTTCAAGCAATTGCCTGCCTTGTGAAGGAGTCAACCAGATGCAGTCACATTTTGGCCAAATGACCTTCAGTTCTAGGTTTTATGAAAATAATTTATTTGGGTCTCAAATTTAGAGTAGGGAAGCTTTCCCAGGACAAACTCAAGGGCAGGTTAAGCAGCTGGTAGTTGAGTGTGCTTTAAGTGGAAGGCACAAGCCAAGGTTCTTGCCTCCACTCTGCCCAAATTCACCATGAAACGTTGAGCCGATTGTGTGTTTGTGCCTCAGGTTCCTCATCTGTGCAATGGGAGAAGCTGGACTTAATGTACATGGATAAACCTTCTAGCTCATTGATTCCATGACTAAGTTTTTTTGAACTTATAATTTTGCTGGGTAGGAAGAAAAATCTTATTAGATACCAAGGTTCAGGAGTGGAAACTTTTCAGCTCAGACTAGGTAGTACTGGGAACTTTTCCTATTTAAAACTCTTGAAAGAAAACACACTGCCATTCTGCCTTATCTTTTTAAGACTTTGGGGTGGCTGACAGCAAAAAAAGTGAGCAAAGGTGGAGAGGTCTGGGATCAAAGCAAGCTTAATCTATAACCAAAGTAGTGATGTGTCATATTCCTGATTCCCAATGCTGAAGTCTCTTACTTGCAGATTGTTCCCCTGGCTTTATTTCTGGGGTGTCATAGCTAAGATCTTCACCCCATGACAGTGGCCTAAGCTTCCAATGGGTTGAATCAGAGTTTTTAACCATTCCATAGGAGACCATAGGTTTGGGGGATAAGGTTGCTGACAGCAGGAACACATTTTCCACTTTTATTTGCATGTGGGTTACACAGTCTCCTTCTGGCTACTTGCCTCATTCATTTATTCTACTAATATTTGTTGGGTACCTACTGTGCATCAGGCAATGTCCTGGATACGGAAGACAGGAAAACAATCTGTCCTCAGGGAGGTCTCATACCACCAGGAAGACAAACGAATAAGTCCAGGAAGTGATTGTATAAAGTTCTGGGGAAAAATGAAGAAGATTGAAGGCCCAGAGTGTCCAAGTCGGGGCTGAGGTGGCCGTGGTGGCTATCTTAGATAGGATGGCTGAGTGAAGCAGCATCTGAGTGAAGGGAGAGTCTTTCTAGGCAGGGGAATAACAAGGACAAAGGCCTTGAGGGGCAAATAAGCTTATTATGTTCCAGAAACAGTAAGAAGGGAAGAGATTAGTGAGTGATGAGCCCAGAGAGCCCTGTTGGGGCCAGGTCCCGTGGCCTCGCCGGTCATAGGAGAAAGCCTGCCTGGTTTATTTCACTTAGCATAGTATCCTCCAGGTTCATTCATATTGTTGAAAATGACAGGATTTCCTTTTTTCAAAATATTGATTAGTATTCCATTGTGTATACATACCATGATTTCTTTTTTTTCTTTTTTTTTGAGACAAAGTCTTGCCCTGTTGCCAGGCTGGAGTACAATGGTGCGATCTTGGCTCACTGCAACCTCTGCCCCCCAGGTTCAAGCAATTCTCTTGTCTCAGCCTTCTGAGTAGCTTGGATTACAGGCATGCTCCACCACGCCTGGCTAATTTTTTGTATCTGTAGTACAGATGGGGTTTCACCATGTTGGCCAGGCTGGTCTTGAACTCCTGACCTCATGATCCTCCCACCTCAGCCTCCCAAAGTGCTGGGATTACAGGCGTGAGCCACTGCGACTGGCCCCATGATTTCATTATCATTCATCCACTGATGGACACTTAGGTTGGTTCCATGTCTTGGTTATTGTGAATAGTGCTAAAATGAGCATGTGAGTATATGAACATGTTGGACAGTATATCTCTTCGACATACCGGTTTTATTTCCTTTGGGCATACACCCAGAGGTAGAATCGCTGGATCATATCATAGTTTTGTTTTTAATTTTTTTGAGGAACATCCGTACTATTTTCCGTAATGGCCATACTAATTTACTTTCCCAACAACAGGGTACAAGGGTTCCCTTTTTCCACATCCCGAACAATACATCTTTTGTGTGTGACTAATATTTATTGATTGTCTAGGTACTAAGCATTCTTCTTCTAGGCATGTAGATGTAGCAATGGATAAGATAAGTCTTTGCCTTCCTAGAGTTTACATTTTGGTGGGGGTAGACAGATGACAGGTAAGTAAGCAAATAAAATATAATATAAAGTCAGGTAGTTGTAAGTGCTATGAATAAAAATAAAGTAGAATAAGGAAATACAGTACAGTGGCGATGCAGTTTTGGGTGGGGTGGTCTAGGAAGGCCTTCTGAAGGGGTGGCTTTGGTCGTATAACTGAATGAATTGAAGAAGAGAGTTGTGTGAAGGTCTGTGGTAGGACTAGTCGAAAGGGACTGCAGTGCAAAGGCCCTGAGGCAGGAGTGAAATGGCATCCCTAGGGAGCCAGCAAGGAGGTCATAGTGGCTGGAGCTGAGTGGGAGCTGCTGGAGGGCCTGCAGGCCTTGGCAAGGAGTTGAGCTTTCATTCAGTGGAAGCTGGGGAGCTGACGACTTTGAGTGGAGGAATGACATGATCTGACTTAGGTTCTCAAAGGAGCAATCTCACTGCTGTGTGGATAGTGGATTGTAGGGGTTGGTAGAGTGGAAGTGAGGAGACTGCTGAGAAAGCCTGTGTAGCAGGGGAGAGGTGGGGCTGGCTTAGGATGGTGGCAGAGGATGGGAGTGGTCAGATCCTGGGTGCATTCTGAGCCACAAGATTTACTGATGGTTTGACTGTGGGATGAGAGAGAGATAGTCAAGGGTACCTGTAAGAGTTCTGGACTGAGTAATCAGTCAACTGCGATGAGAGGGAAATAGGGCCAGGAACAGATGGGGCGTGGTGGAGCTGGGCAGGGGGCTCAAGGTAAACCCTTGGGAACCACACATTTAGATGGAATTTAAAGCCACGGGACTGGACGAGCTCATGGAGGAAAAGAGTTAGCTATGGAGAAGATAAGGTTGCCGCATGTGCTGGGCGTGACGCTCTGCTTCTCTCCGTTTTTTTGTTTTAACATGAGGGAAATAACTGATATAAAATTCCTTCTCTAGTGGAGCTAACTTGTCACATGGCAAAACCTCTTTCCCCCATCAAAAAGGGTAAGGTGCCTTTGTTATCTCCACACACCAGATGCAGGCACTGAAAGGGCTGTGTGTGGCTCATGTGCTTATCAGCAGCTTTTCTTACATAAAGCCCCTCACACTTGTCTTTTTGTCCTTTCTCTTCCCCTTTTGCCTTGTTAACCTGTGTTGACAAAATATGCAGTGAGGCCAAAATCAAAGCACACAATATTTTTATTCTCCCCGCAAGAATGTTTGCCCCACAGATCTGCTTTTAGAGGAAGATAAAGAAGAAAATACCAGTTTGCTCCTGGCTTGTACCAAAAACCACGTTGCGCATTCTTCCAGCTACACTGGAAGAGTGAGAGGCAGCCCATCAACTTCTCGGAGAGTTCTGTGCTTGAAAGAGTGTTTGTGGTTTGCCTGTTTCTCCAACAGCAGATTTGTAAGGGAAATCTGCTGTTGGAGAATATTCAAAAAGTTTGGTGTGGAAACCAGGTATTACTGGTTTCTTGCCTCCACTCTGGTGCTGGTCACCAACAGATTCTTGTCCCCTTGAAGAAATGGTGCCAGGGACACTCTGGGTGCTTCTCTGGCAGGAAGAACACTTCTACCCTGGGAACCCCAGGACCATGCAGAATCCCCACGCCCTCTAGGGGTCCTAAGTAGCCAGTGCTTCAATGTGCTCCTGGTGGAGGTCCCAAGGTGGCACGAGGAGACCACATGAGTTCTCCTGAAGACCCTTTAGTATTTCCTCCAAGTTTCATTTTCCAGACTCTGGTATTCTCCAAGGCACCAAGGAATGGCATTTTGTTTTGACTGAAGGTAAGATTTATGGCAAATAAGATAAAGATTCTTATCTTAAAGAAAATTCCAGGAGGGCATGCTGGGGTTTATTGGTGAAGTGGGACGGTCAATCTGCACGTCTCTCTCCCAGCTTCCTCATAATGACTTTTCAATGCTTTTTACATCCAGTGGAGACTCTCTCCAAAATGCTTGTTTAAACCCAGGTCACCAGAGGGTGCGTCTGATCTGCACTGTCAGCTGTGGTAGCCATTAACTACCATGTGAAATGTGGCTAGTCAGAATTGAGATGTTTTGTAAGTTCAAAATACACACCAGATTTCAAAGGCTAAGTATGGATACAAAAGTAATATACTTTATTAGTATTTTTGTATATTGATAACATGCTAAATTGATAATATCTGGGAGATGTTAGGTTAAAAATATTGTTAAAGTTAATTTTATCTGTTTCTTTTTATTTTTATGCAAGAAAATTTAAAATTACATCAAGTATAGCTTGTATGCTATTTCTCCCTAGACATTGCGGTGCTAAGGAGCAATAGAGGAAGTCCCCTTGGAGCCACAGGAGACTTGCCATAAGGAATGGTGTTTCCAGAGTGCAAATGTGGCCTGCCACTCCACAGTGTGAAACACTCCAGAGGCCCTGCAGTAAAGCCCAGTCCCAGTAGCACGACTTGCAAGGCCCACTATGAGGCTCTGTGACTCAATTACCTTCTATTAGGCTCCACCTCCCAACACAGTTGCATTGAGGATTACTTTTCCACCACATGAATCTGGGGGAAACATTCAAACCATAGCAGGATGTTTCATAAAAGGGTGCTGTGGTCTGAATGTTTGTGTCCCTGTCTAAATTCATATGCTGAGATCCTAATTCCCAAGGTGACAGTGATGGGAGGCAGGGCCTCTGAGAAGTGATTAGGTCATGAGGGTGGAGCTCTTGTGAATGAGGTTGGAGCTTTTCTAAAAGATGCCTCAGAGAAACCCCTTGCCCTTTCCACCATGTGAGAAAGATGCTGTCTAAGAACCAGGAAGCCAGCCCTCACCAGACGTTAACTCTGCCAGCACCTTGATCTTGGACCTCCCAGAACTGTTAGGAATAAATTTCTGTTGCTTATAAGCCACCCACTCTGAGGTATTTTCTTATAGCAGCCTAAGGAGACTAAGACAGGGGTGAAGCATTTTCTTCTCTTGCAGATTGTCAAAACAACAACGACGGTGACAATGGCAGCACCTGTTGGTTGGTATCCAAGGTGTCATGCCAAGAAATTTCACACTTGACTCTCCTCTTAAAAGGCCATTGTATTAGTTCCTTTTCATACTTCTATAAAGTACTGCCTGAGACTGGGTAATTTATAAAGGAAAGAGGTTTAATTGACTCCCAGATCAGCATCACTGGGGAGGCCTCAGGAATCTTACAATCATGGCAGAAGGTGAAGGGGAAGCAAGGCACCTTCTTTACACGGTGGCAGGAGAAGAAATGCCAAGCGAAGGGGAAAGAGCTCCTTATAAAACCATCAGATCTCATGAGAACTCACTCTCACGAGAACGGCATAGGGGAAACCCCCTCCATGATTCAATTGCCTCCACCTGATCTCTCCCTTGACACGTGGGGATTATGAGGATTACAATTCAAGATGAAATCTGAGTGGGGACACAAAGCCTAACCATATCAGCCTTCTCTGGTTTTTTAAAGTTGTCCATGTGGTCTAACCCTTGAGTCTTCATTCTCTCCTCAATATGAGATAATAGCAACATTCCTCCCTGGTTCTCTGGGAGAGCAGCTAAGGGTCAAGTGCTTTGTTAGGCGAGTGGACTGAAGCTAATCCATGTAGGAACGGAGGAAGGAAGCAATGTTTTTGGGCTTCTTCTATGTACCAGGGACCGACTGACTCTTCAGATCCATGTTTCATTAAATCCTCATGACAGCCCCGCGAACAGGTGTCATCATTGATATCTAACAGACAAGGAAGGCACATCGTTGTGAGGCTAAGTGACATCATCAAGGGCCTTAGGAAGTGGCGGAGCTGTGCTTAGAGTTCTTGTCTATGTCCTTTCTTAATTTAGGGAGTTTCTTTTCCTTTTGTCACATTCCCGCTGTTACTCCCTGCTGCTGTGTCATGAGTAACAAGTGTCAGTTTCTTGCTTGTCACTTGTAATTTGCTGCTTTTGATTTGCTCTAAGCGGAAGATGAGAAACTCCAGCGTGTTCAATTGCTGTTCAACAGGGAGGCCTGGGGCAATTGCTGTGTGTCTTGCTCTGCATCTCTAGGCCTTTAAAGAAACCCAGGCTGTTGACTCTCAGGCACCAGGCAGCACATACGCTTTATCCGCTGCGGCTACTCCTCCAGGTTTCGGTATTCACCCAGGACCCCTCCCACCTGCCAGCACCAGTCGGAGGTTGTTGTTCTTGTCTGCCTGGTGTTTGAATCCTCTGGCTCCCAGCAACTAGTGTAGGCTGATTTTTTGATTTGATGCTGTGTGCATTCTCTTTTCTGGCTTACTCTCTTCCTCTCAATGTGCCCATTTCCTAATTTTTTTTGCATTTGCAGCTCTGAAGAAGTGAGAGTTTTGCTGTCAGCCCCAGGCCCACAATTCTACTTCATGGACTAGATTAGACTCCAGGGACATGTGGGACAATCAGGAACTGTATTTAGTGGCTTGGCCACTCAGGGGCCAAGTTCTTTGCCTTCTTAACTGTAGCTGGATTCTGGAGACTTAAAGTTGTCTGAAGTTTGAAACATTATTGCGTGTAACTGTGGCTAGTTTTCAGAATGTATTAATAAATATATACATATTTGCTTGGACAATATAAGTATACTTGAAATTTTAAAGGTATGTGTGCCTGTGGGTTTAGGTGTGTGTGTGTGTGTGTGTGTGTGTGTGTGTGTATATATATATATGTATGTATGTATGTGTATATATATATACATATATATATATAATTTTTGATGTTGTATTCTTGTGCTCAAACCACTGGACTAATGTGTCTAGTTAAACCATTGAAATAGAAGTTTCACTGGGAAGAATGGAAATGGACCCCAGGCCCACCACGGTGGAGGGGCACCGGGATGGAGTTCGTTATCTTTAAAGTAAACTTAAGCCCTATGACTGGGCCTGCGTCCTCAGCCCAGGTTGATGTGGCTGTGGGATCAATTAGAGGAGTCACGGAACCCTGCGTCTTTCTTTGGGAAAGCTTCCCAGGATCCCTGCTTCACTTTGCCCAGGTCTTTTCCTGCACTTCCTGTTTTGGGCTGGGCTGCCTCTGCTGCTGGCCTTTCCTTGTGGCTTCTTCCTGGGTCTTGCCCAGGGTCTGGACGGTGGTACTCAGGAGCCTCACTGAGCTCTGGTGTTCCGTGGCAAAGCCTGCCTGGAAAGCGGGTGGGAGCTGGCCAGGCCAGGGACCCGGGGGCCAGAGAAGAGGGAAGAAGGGCACTGTAGGGCCAATAAAAAGGGAGGCTGGGAACATTCAAACATAGGTTTTCTTTTCTTCACCATTTTTTTCCTGTGTGTAGGTAAAAATCATGCCAGTCAGCATAATTCCTTTGTCAGGTGGAATAAGGATAAATGGATTTAATTTCTATTTTTGGATGCTGTTCTGTCTTTGCATTCCTTTTGTCTGAAACCCTTGATCAGCTGGAAGGGTTTGGCAGTACCGCGTTTCAGAGCAAAGCGATGAATAGAGAAATAATTCATAAATAATAGATTCTAGTCTGAGGGAAATAGATGGCTGGTTTTCAGTTCTAAGAAGAAAAGGAGGGCTGCAAACAAATATTAACAGTACTTGACGCAAACATGAGGAGTTGTTTCCATCCCAGGCTTTCTCTGTGATGTCAATAACAGATAAACGGCCCACAGAGCTGACCAGCCGAAGACCAATGTGCCTCTCCTGACTTGTTGCAAATGCACAAAAACCATATGCGAAGCCATTTAGTTTTTGCTTTTCCTTTGCCAGGAAGAAAAAGTGAAAGGGGGCAAGTCAAAGTCTCTTCAAAATCCGATTTGGCTTTTTCCAATGGGATCATCTATCTTCCTTGTATCTAGTTTTGCCAGTTAAACACTAATGATGCACATTCGCAGATATGATCTGTGAGTGCAATTTATTTCTGAATTCAAGCCTTGCTTCTTAAGAGTATTTGCTATAATGGATATACTGGAATAATATCATGGATTAAATAAAAGAGGCACTTTAGGGAAAACAAATCTGCCAGTGGAGACTCCAGTGGAGAAACAATTTTTACTTGTCTCCTCACATCCAAATTCAAAAGGCATTTTCTAGGGAATTTCAGCTTCTGGGGATAAAAGTGTTGGGAAATTAACTGACCAGTTAATAGTTGCTACTGTATATTAAATGTGCCTGACACTGCATTAGACCTGTTATATTCAGGATCACGTTGAACACTCATAGCAGCACTGCTAGCTGCCTATCACTACCCCGCTGTACACATAGAGAGTTTGGTTCCTGAGCTTTCTGAGCTCACCTCTTCTTCTTCTTTTTTTTTTTTTAATTATCCTTTAAGTTCTAGGGTATGTGTGCACAACATGCAGGTTTGTTACATATGTATACATGTGCCATGTTGGTGTGCTGCACCCACTAACTTATCATTTACATTAGGCATATCTCCTAATGCTATCCCCCCGCCCCACCCCACGATAGGCCCCTGGTGTGTGATGTTCCCCATCCTCTGTCCAAGTGTTCTCATTGTTCAGTTCCCACCTATGAGTGAGAACATGTGGCGTTTGGTTTTCTGTCCTTGCGATAGTTTGCTCAGAATGCTGGTTTCCAGCTTTATCCATGTCCCTACAAAGGACATGAACTCATCATTTTTTATGGCTGCATAGTATTCCATGGTGTATATGTGCCACATTTTCTGTATCCAGTCTATCATTGATGGACATTTGGGTTGGTTCCAAGTCTTTGCTATTGTGAATAGTGCTGCAATAAACACACGTGTGCATGTGTCTTTATAGCAGCATGATTTATAATCCTTTGGGTATATACCCAGTAATGGGATTGCTGGGTCAAATGGTATTTCTAGTTCTCGATCCTTGAGGAATCGCCACACTGACTTCCACAGTGGTTGAACTAGTTTACAGTCCCACCAACAGTGTAAAAGTGTTCCTATTTCTCCACATCCTCTCCAGCACCTGTTGTTTCCTGACTTTTTAATGATCACCATTCTAACTGGTGTGAGATGGTATTTCATTGTGGTTTTGATTTGCATTTCTCTGATGGCCAGCGATGATGAGCATTTTTTCATGTGTCTGTTGGCTGCATAAATGTCTTCTTTTGAGAAGTGTCTGTTCATATCCTTTGCCTACTTTTTGATGGGGTTGTTTGTTTTTCTCTTGTAAATTTGTTCAAGTTATTTGTAGATTCTGGATATTAGCCCTCTGTCAGATGGGTAGATTGTAAAAATTTTCTCCCATCCTGTAGGTTGCCTGTTCACTCTGGTGGTAGTTTCTTTTGCTGTGCAGAAGCTCTTTAGTTTAATTAGATCCCATTTGTCAATTTTGGCTTTTGTTGCCATTGCTTTTGGTGTTTTGGTTATGAAGTCCTTGCCAATGCCCACGTCCTGAATGATATTGCCTAGGTTTTCTTCTAAGGTTTTCATGGTTTTAGGTCTAACATTTAAGTCTTCAATACATCTTGAATTAATTTTTGTATAAGGTGTAAGGAAGGGATCCAGTTTCAGCTTTCTACATATGGCTAGCCAGTTTTCCTAGCACCATTTATTAAATAGGGAATCTTTTCCCCATTTCTTGTTTTTTTCAGGTTTGTCAAAGATCAGTTTGATGTAGATGTGTGGTAGTATTTCTGAGGGCTCTGTTCTGTTCTATATCTATATCTGTTCTGTTCTGTTCTATATCTATATCTGCTCTGGTCTATATCTCTGTTTTGGTACCAGTACCATGCTGTTTTGGTTACTGTACTCTTGTAGTATAGTTTGAAGTCAGGTAGTGTGATACCTCCAGCTTTGTTCTTTTGGCTTTGGATTGTCTTGGCAATGCGGGCTCTTTTTTGGTTCTATATGAACTTTAAAGTAGTTTTTTCCAATTCTGTGAAGAAAGTCATTGGTAGCTTGATGGGGATGGCATTGAATCTATAAATTACCTTGGGCAGTATGGCCATTTTCACGATATTGATTCTTCCTATCCATGAGCATGCAATGTTCTTCATTTGTTTGTGTCCTCTTTTATTTTGTTGAGCAGTGGTTTTAGTTCTCTTTGAAGAGGTCCTTTGCATCCCTTGTAAGTTGGATTCCTAGGTATTTTATTCTCTTTGAAGCAATTGTGAATGGGAGTTCACTCACGATTTGGCTCTCTGTTTGTCTGTTATTGGTGTATAGGAATGCTTGTGATTTTTGCACATTGATTTTGTATCCTGAGACTTTGCCGAAGTTGCTTATCAGCTTAAGGAGATTTTGGGCTGAGATGATGGGGTTTTCTAAACATACAATCATGTCATCTGCAAACAGGGACAATTTGACTTCCTTTTTTCCTAATTGAGTACCCTGTATTTCCTTCTCCTGCCTGATTGCCCTGGCCAGAACTTCTAACACTATGTTGAATAGGAGTGGTGAGAGAGAGCATCCCTGTCTTGTGCCGGTTTTCAAATGTAATGCTTCCAGTTTTTTCCCATTCAGTATGATATTGGCTGTGGGTTTTTCATAAGTAGCTCTTATTATTTTGAGATACGTCCCATCATACCTAATTTATTGAGAGTTTTTAGCATGAAGGGCTGTTGAATTTTGTCGAAGGCCGTTTCTGCATCTATTGAGATAATCATGTGGTTTTTGTCTTTGGTTCTGTTTATATGATGGATTACATTTATTGATTTGTGTGTGTTGAACCAGCCTTGCATCGCAGGGATGAAGCCAACTTGATCATGGTGGATAAGCTTTTTGATGTGCTGCTGGATTCAGTTTGCCAGTATTTTGTTGAGGATTTTTGCATCGATGTTCATCAGGGATATTGGTCTAAAATTCTCTTTTTTGTTGTTGTGTCTCTGCTGGGCTTTGGTATCAGGATGATCCTGGACTCATAAAATGAGTTAGGGAGGATTCCCTCTTTTTCTATTGATTGGAATAGTTTCAAAAGGAATGGTACCAGCTCCTCCTTGTACCTCTGGTAGAATTTGGCTCAGAATCTGTCTGGTCGTGGACTTTTTTTGGTTGGTAAGCTCACCTCTTCTTAAAAAGGCTTAGCTAAGAAATACCACTGTCAATGATGGGTTTTCTTTTTTCCACATGATGGTTGGCGTCACCCCTCTTGCTCCAGTGACCATCACCTTCTGTTAGTGGTGTCTCCATGACAACTGACCAACTTCTTTTCCCCAGCCTAGGATTTCCCTCTTCTCTGTAAGTCCCTGGAAGGTAGCTCATATCAGACAGTCCAGACTACTGGGCAGGAGTGGGACCTAGTTCACAAAGGTTGTTCAGGTTAACCTTCTAGAAAGACATAAACACGCCTTTGCAGAAAAGTGCTCAGAGCCTCCTTACAGCCTTCCCTGATGTAATCCACTCATCAAGCACTTTGAATTCACTTGGCATCTCTGCATTATGTTTGTGTTATCCATTCAATTCCCATGGAATTACTCTTTGTTTTGGGGCAACGCTATTCTTTTACTTCTTGTATGTTTTCTGAGTTGCTTCTCTATCTTTTGCGAATACAATGGTGATGGTGTTTCATTTTTTTTTTTTTTTTTTGGTTCACAGCAAAAGTGAAAGGAGAATACAGAGATTTTCCATATACTCTCTGCCCCTGCATATGCATAGCTACTGTAATTATCCACATCCCTCACCAAAAGTGATACATTTATTAATTGATGGATCTGCAGTGACACATCATAGTCACCCAAAGTCCATAGATTACATGAGGGTTCACACTTGGTGTTGTATATTCTGTGGGCTCAGATAAACGTACAATGACATATATTATATATATATATTTATTTATTTATAGTATATATAAATACTATATATAGTATATATAATATTATATATACTATATATAAATATATGTAGTATAAATAATATATAATATAGATATATAATATAATATAATATGTTATAAATATAAATATATTTATATAATTTAATTTATAATATATAATATATAATATATAATTTAATTTTATAATATATAATATATAATTTAATTTTATAATATATAATATATAATATGTAAATTATATATAATTTAATATATCTAAATTATATAATTTAAATATAAATATAATATAAATATATCTAACATAATATACATAACATAAATATATATAGTATATATAGTACATATAAATATATATAGTACATATAGTATATATAAATATATAGTATATATAAATATAGTATATATAAATATATAGTATATATATAGTATATATAAATATATAGTATATATAAATATATATAGTATATATAAATAATATATAGTATATAAATAATATATATTATTAAATATAATAATAATTTATTATATATACTATATATTATTATGTATTATATTATATATATTATTTTATATTTAATATATATTATTTTATATATTATATTTAATATATATTTTATATATTGTATAATTTTATAGTTTATATATTATATATATTTATCTGTAATATGGGATAGTAATGGCCAACCCACAGGGCTGTGGTGAGGAATGTTCCTGGCAGAGTGCCGGGCTCATGGCGGGTGCTCGATGAGTTAATTCTTTCTTTCTGTAAATATAAAATACCTCACTGATCTCTGAACTAAAGCAGTCTCACTTCCTTCCAATATTTCAAATGGGGTGGGGCAGGGAGTTAGTTCCTTGAGTAGTTCAATTAATACTAGTTTCTACTGTGTGTTAGGCATTTTGCTAGGAGCTCTGTTCAAGAATTAAAATTCTGGACCAAGTTTAATTCTTGTATTTACTCTTCAGGGCAGTTGCGCACTTTTACAAATGAAGAAAACAAATCCGGGGAGGTTGAATGTCTTGCTTCATATCATGTGGATGGAAAGATTCAAATCCAGGATCTTGTTGAGCTTGTTCTTTGCATTTTGCCAAATTTCCTACTAAATATCAAGCATTTTGATGGGCACTAGGGAATAGTAGAGTTGAAAATAGCATGGTACCTTTCCCCATAAAGCTTATGGATTAATGGGAGGAAGAGGACAGATATTTACAGGGCTTTTAGAAAACCATGTGGAAGTTCAGAGACAGGTGTGCCCAGTATGCCATGGGAGACAAGTAAAGAGGTGCTATTGAAGGGTGGGTGGACCATCTGTGGGCCTTTGGTTTCCTTGGAGTCCATTGTCTGTGGTCTGGAGTTAGATTCTAATCATCAGGCAGGACATCAGGGCTAGCTCCATAGAAATGATTTACTGGCCACATTTACAAAGACTCCCTCTCTGTGTACTCTTGGTCTGTAGGTAAAGCCACTGGAAGTCACTTTGAAAGACTTGTGCCTCATTGAAAAAGACACATCTCTGCATGGTTTTCATTCATTTGCTTCATCTCCCAGACAAGCTTTCTTTTTAAAGGTGAGAAGAGCCCATTTCCCTGCCACCTGTCAGTGTTTAGCTTGCCACTGTGGCTTATTACCGCTGCCATCTGCTGCCAAGGAGAGATATGCATGATCTGGGTAGGTACTCATAAAAGTCATTAGAGGAATGGAGGCGGAGCTGAGGATCCAAGTGGAAACATTTACTATCAGCACAATAACAGTCCTTGCTCTCCTGCCTCCTTCCCTGATACCCAGCAGGGTCACCACTCCCTGGCCCCAGCTGGCCACCGCCATTGACACATATTCTCCATACCCTTCTTCATGCCACCCCATACTTGGCATGGACTCTGTTTCATTTCATCACTCAAAGTCATTGCAGAGCAGGTACAGGGACTATTTAGAAACTATGAAGCAGTTTGACAATATGTTAACTTTTATCTCGTGTATTGACTAGTGGAGGCAATTTGATGTTTAAGGAGACATCACATCCTCTGAATTTTCTGCTGTTAAAAATGAATGGCTTCAGTATAATTCAGTTGAGTTAATTCATTCCTACAGATCTTTCCTGGACATCATCAAGGGCTACAGAGATGAATAAGATGAGGCTCCTGTCTTAAGGAGCTCACAGTGGTTGTGTTGCATATGCTTGCAAGTGTGTGCATGTATGATGTAATCAACAATTACAAGTGAGATAGGATGTGTCCTATGAGGGGAAGAAGTTTAGATGCTGTAGTGTCCTCAAGGAGGGACATAAATGTCCTCATATAAGTTTGGGGTCAAAGAGTAAAGAGGGGTGGGTGAGACATGTGATCAGATATGCATTTAGGAAAAATAATCACTCTGGCTGCAGTGTGGAGGGCTAACTAGAGCAGCCCCAGAGTAGAAGGTTTCTGAAATAGTCCAGGTATGAGATGGTTTAGGATGTTGGTAGAGATAGAGAAAAGTAGATGGTTCAAGAGATACTAGGAGAGTAAAACCAGTAGGTTTAGTGATTCATTTGATATGGCAAGTGAGGAAAAGGTGGTGTCCGGATGACACTAACACTTCTGGCTTAAACAATAGGTTTGTCAGTAGTGCTATTGAATGAGATATAATTCCTGGAAGAGAGCAGAATGAGAAGCTGGTGGAGAAGAACAAAAGTTTAGTTGTAGAGCTTTTGTGTGTGAGATGTTTTAGCAACAACCAAGGGGAGACGCTAATTAAGCAGTTTTACTTGAAGACCTAGAACAGAGAAAAGAGGTCTGGGCTGGTTTTATAAATGTGTGAGTCTTTTTTTGTTTTGGTGGTAACTGCAACCGTGGGATGGAAGACAGTGTTGACTGAGACAAGAAGAAATGCCTGGGATGAGGTTTTGAGGGCTTCCACTATGTTTGGGCTGAGAAGAAAGATAAACTTGCAAAGGAAGTGGAAGTATGGCCAGAGAAGAAAAAATAGAACAAGAAGGGTGTTAGGTTATGAAAGTTTAAGGAAAAGTCTTTCAGAAGAGAGGAAAAGACAACAGTGTCAAATGCGATTGAAAGGCCCACTAAGATGAGGCCTGGAAAATGTCCACCGTGGCTGCATGGACATCATTGGAAATATTAGCAAGGGTTATTTAGGTAGAATAATGGGCATCAGATACAGATCAGAGTGGACCGTGGAGTGCATGGGGTATGAAGGCACGAGTGAAGACAACTCTTCCTTAAGGGTTGACTGTAAAGGGGACGAGGGAGACGGGGGAGTAGCTGAAACTGGACTCTGGCGACTCAGATGCTTAAAAGCAGAGAAAGATCAATCAGAGAGAGGTTGTGAGTATTGTAAGGAAAAGGGAAAATGATAATAAGAGATTCCATAGGTGGTAGGCGGCAGTGGGATCCAAAGATCATTTGGATGGATAGTTGTGTCAGCTCTTCTGCCGTAGGAGAGAGAGAGAGAAAGGGGGGTTTCCTTCACATCTGTGTGTTTGATTGTGGGATTTTCCTGTCTAATAGCATCTGTTTTCTCTGTAAAGCAGGAGGCAAGATCCCCTGATGAGACAGAAGAGTGTGGGTGGGTAGCAGGGGTGGAAGTTTGAGAAGAATAAAGTTTGAAAAAATTACTATGAAGTAAGGCAAGAGATGATGTAGTAGGTTTGCTTGGCAGAGTGCAGGCTCACTTGAGGTTAAGGATCAATAATGTGCAGTGGTCTTAAGCTGCCATGGTTGGCTTTTCCTGCTTAGACAGAGGCTAGGAGGTGGCACTCAGTTGGATTTTCCTGGGCTTGGGTTTTATCTGGATAGTACGAATAAAAAGCAGCAGATGGTTCAGGGAGCCTAAGGTATGGGCAAAAATATTGTTAAAATCATGGACCATGGAGTCCAAGTTGAGTTAGTAAATGAAGAAAGAAGAAGGCTGATGACTAGAGAGAAACTATAGTTCAAGAACTGTCAGAGTGAGAGGAGTTGGGTGAGCAAGGTGGAGGGTAAGAGATTGTGGCTGACAGTGTTTGCATTAGTGATTCTAGAAGTATAACATTTACTGAAGCATGAGGGGGAGGGGAAGAGAGGACCATTGGAAATAAGTAGGTCAAGAAACAGAATTAAGAGGCCATCTGTGGGGTCATCCATTTGGCTGACATCACCCAGGATGATGGCAAAGCCTGAGGAAGAAAAAGCACATAAATGCAAACCTTCAATGAGTGAAAGGGAGGGGCTGGGAGATTGGTAGATTAGAGCAACTGCAAGCGGAAGGAGGATGCGTGCTGTGTATTCAACCAAGAAAAAGTAACAAATAACTGTCAACTTCCCTTCAGAAGGTGTTAGTAAATCGTTAGAGCTATTCTTAAAGCATTTATTCACATACTTTAATTTTTGTAAAGGACACATTTGGAATTGCAGCTGAGTTCACATTGGTGGTGCCTCCTCACACCTGGTGGTGGACCCCAAGCTGTCATTTTGAAAAATGTCATGTACTTCTATGCACAGGATTTTTTCCACCCCTCCAAAAAAATTTCTCATATTGAAGCCCTAACGTCCAATGTGATGGTATTTGGAGATGGGGCCTTTGGGAGGTATTTAGGTTTAGATGAGATCATGAGGATGGGGCCTCATGATGGAATTATAAGAAGAGACCCCAGAAAGCTTGTTTCCTCTCTCTATCTCCACCTGTATGCACCCAGGAAAGGCCATGTGAGGGTACAACATGAAGGTGGCCATCTGCAACTCAAGAGAGCCCTCACCAGACACTGACCCTGCTGGCGCCTTGATCATGGATTTCTAGTATCCAGAATTGTGAGAAATAAATTCCTGCTGTTTAAGTCTATGGTATTTTGTTATGGTAGTCTGAGCTGACTAAGACAGCTCTACCCTCTGCTTCAACCAATCTCTGAATAAGTGGCGGTCATCTGTGATGAGCTGGGTCAAAGCTCAGATCTTTCTGGGAGTTTGGGGTGGACCAAGAGGGCATCTCTCCAGGTGGCTTGAGCCCTGAGAAGTAGACTTTGAGGCTGCAGGTAACCATTTGATGGGCAGCAAGAAAGCCAGTTTTCTGACAAAGAAGAGAGAGGTCGATGCCCTGAGAGAAAGAGCTGGGGGACAGGCAGCTGATACTCCCTGGGATCCAGATAAAAAGACTTGTGGCTGGTGATTGTTCTTCCTGGGACCAGTTAGTTCCTTGCTTTTGATTTCCACAGATTAAATCTTAACTATTTGTTATTGCAAAATTCTATGTCTTATTTTTCCTTATAAAGCTAGCTTGAGTTCATGTCTATAATTTGCAAACAATAAAAAATTCTCCAGTAAGCCCTTTGCTGTGATGTTTCCCCTTTTTACTGTAGTCCTCCCTTGATATCCATGGGGAGGGGGTTGGTTCCAGGACCCCCTAAAGATACCAGAAATCTGTGGGTGCTTGAGTCCCGTGTGTAAAATGGTATAGGCATTTGCTTATAACCTACACACATCCTCCTATATGCTTTAAATTATCTCTAGATTACTTATGATACCTAATACCATGTAAATACTGAATAGCTGTTATACTGCATTGTTTTTATTTGTGGTTTTTATTGTATTGTTATTTTTCACTGTTTTTTTTTTTTCCTGATTATTTTCAATCTGCAGTTGGTTGAACCTGGGGATGCACAACCTGTGGATATGGAGGGATGATTGTATTTACCTTTTGGTGCTGCACAATCTTTTATAAAGTGCCTCAGAATCCATTGTGGACCAGGTGAATTATAAATATATGAAACAAATTTGGGTATTTTCTTCTGAAGCTGAGTAGAAGCTGCTGAGGTAGGCCTTGAAGTGTCTTGGGTGCCACAGACAATAGGAAAAGTCCATGCTCTAGAGATGGTGGTGGCTGACCTGTGGTTCCCGCAGTTGTAGAAGTCTGTCTTCTGTCACAAAGGAAAATTATGTTGGCCTGACACAACTTATTTTTAAAGCATTATTAACTTTTTCCTAGTTTGCGCTCTCTTTGCCAGGAATTGCAGATTGGTGAGTTATTTGTGCTTTTCCTCGGAACACACCACGAATAGTCTCAATTATGGCTCCAAACAATTGTGATTGCTATTATTGCGATTTATAGAAGTGCTTAGATTTCTAAATATCCTTTTATGACTCTCTATTTCTATGGTAACCTAGACAGGCTCTTCAGTACACATGGGCACCTCTTTGGGAAAACATGATAGAAGAAAATCTGAATTTACGGAAGAGATAAATAAGAGGTTGACTATTCACATGGTTTTATAGAGGATTCACAGAGAGCGGGTTCCCCTAGTGCATTCGGTGCATTCCCTCTTCTCTTTACAGATCATGAACAATGTCTTACACATAATAGGCTCTGAATGAAAATTTTGTTGATTGATTGATGAGCCACTTGGGAAGGAGAGAAATGTGAAGCTAGGGTCATAGTTTGCTGCTGCCAGTTGGAGATAAATCAGAAAGGAAGAGAAAGCATCTCTGAGCAAATAGCCACGTCCGTGGGGAAATGGGACTCTATTTTAAAAAATATGATTCACATACAGTTTTTAGGAAGCTACTTGCTGCATAATCCAAGATACACATGAATTTTTCACTTCAATGTCCTCAAAGACCTAAGAGAGCCTTGCCCTGGGTCACAGCATTGAGCAGTCAAAGAAGGAAGTGGGCATGCATTCTGCTGCTATGCTGGGACCCAGCATTTTTACAAAGAGGAGCTACTCTTTATTTCCTCAGGCTGAGATCACTATGGGGAGGGGTTGCATTTTGCAATCCCCAGACCTTGAACAGCATAGAGGCAGAGGCTATGCGGACTCTCTTTCCTGCTGGGTGCCTGTGTTTGTAAGGATTCCTGGTTGCGAAGAGTAGATATCCACTGGAGCTGGTTTCAACAAGAAAGGGGGGGTTTATCATAAGGAAGCAGAGTTAATGTCCTGGACTCTAAGGGCAGAAATGGAAGTGGCGTCTCAGACAGGGTTGACCCAGGAGGTGAAAAGTTGTCAGAAACACAGGCAGCTCCTGTCTGCACATGTGTTCTGTCCTTTTATTTTTTTCATCCAGTTCTGGGTTTACCTGTCTCTGCATGCACATGGGAGCACACCCCGGAGAAGGAGGCCACTGACACCATGTAGACACCGCAGACAGGGTCAACTCCAGCCTTCATGGCAAGCCTGTGATGGTGTGCCTGTGGCAACGAAGTAGCTCTGAGAAATGTAGTGGAGTCGAGAGCTACCAGCAGATAATTTGGATTCAACATGAGCTCACCAAGTACCCCTTGCACGCCTTTCCCTGAGATAGGTGCTGGGAGACAAAGTAAGTCTGAAGCAGCCTCACCCTGTCAGCTTGTTGTTTGGCTGGTGATATGGCTTCACTGTGTCCCCATCGAAATCTCATCTTGAGTTATAGTTCCCATAATCCCAATGTGCAGTGGGAGGGACCTGGTGGGAGGTAATTGAATCATGGGGTGGTTACCCTCATGTGGTTCTCATGGAAGTGAGTGAGTTCTCATGAGACCTGATGGTTTTATAAGGACCTTCCCCGCTTTTGCTTGGCACTTCTCCTTGCTGCTGCCATGTGAAGAAAGATGTGTTTGCTTCTCCTTCCACCATAATTGTAAGTTTCCTGAAGCCTCCCAAGCTCTGCAGAACTGTGTCAATTAAACCTCTTTCCTTCATAAATTACCCAGTCTTGGGCAGTTCTTGATTAGCAGCATAAGAACAGACTAATACAACTGGGGAAGTGGACATGTAGAGAGATATGTAATGGAAATGACCAGGCTGGAGACAATCACAAATATTTTGGAGGGGTTCAAAGGAGGGGTGTGTGGCATTTCTGTGTGCATTTATTCATTCAATAAACCTTCCTTCATTTGTTCTTGAGGGTTTCTGTGGCCAGGAACTGCTCCAGGGCCTGGCAGTGCAGCAGTGGAGCTGGCAGACAGGGCCTCTGCCCTTGGGGAGTTTTCTTTCTGAAGGAGGAGGTGAACAACTGGCAAGTGAGCAAAAACATAAATAAGATAACTTTAGAGAATAATAGGACTGGGAAGGTGAAAATGGGGTGCTGGGATAGAGCCCTCAGCAGCCCAAGAGCACCTCCATGATGAGGCATCATGCCATGCTGAAGAGCGGGGAAAAGCACTAGAGGCAGAGAGAACAGCAGGTGCACAGGGCATGAAGGAAAATGAGCTTGACATGTGTGGGAAATACCAAGGGGCTGGGGCAGGGAGGAGAGGGCATGAAGGTCAAAAAGGAGAATAGAGGCAAGGTCACCATGGGTCTTGTAGGACCTTGTAGGCTGTGATCAGGACTTTTTAAGTACAATTGGAAGATTTCGAAGATTTTTGTCAAGGTTGGCCTTGTTAGTGTTGGGAAAAGACCATTCTGCCGGCTTGTGGAGGATGAGTAGTGGGGAGCAAGGGAGGAGTGGGAGGCAGTGTGGAGAGGGGAGGCACTGCAGGGGCTGGAGTTGGTGGTGCTGGGATTGGAGACGTGCTCAGGTTGAGGGTGTATTTTGGAAGAACCATTAGGACTTGCAAAAGAGTTGGATGTAGAGAGTGAAGAAAAAGGGGGACACAAGGATTTAATTCATGGGCTTTTAATACAGCAACTAGGGAAATTGTGGTGCCCTGTACCATGGAATGGAAAATCAAAAGTTCTACCTGATCCTATTCAAAGTGAATGTTCTCTTGGATGTCAGAGAACATTCTGGGTAGACAGAGAAGGAAGGGGCCTGGTGCCCTAGATCAGTGCTGTCCAGTGAAAATACAATGTGAGCCCACATATGCATTTTTTACATTCACTAGAAGCCACATTAAAAAGGTAAAAATGAAAATGTAAATTTTCATTTTTGGGTAGACAGAGAAGGAAGGGGCCTGGTGCCCTGGATCAGTGCTGTCCAATGAAAATACAATGTGAGCCCACATATGCATTTTTTACATTCACTAGAAGCCACGTTAAAAAGGTAAAAATGAAAATGTAAAAGTCATTTTGATATATATTTCATTTAATGCTGTATTTCCCAAATATTAAAATTTCAACATGTAATCAATATAAAATGATTAGTGAGATATTTTACATCTTTTGGATACTAATTCTTCAAAACCTGGAGCACATTTTCCACTTTCAACATATCTCAAACTAGCCTGGCCACATTTCAAGTGCTCAGTAGACACGTGTGGCTGGGGGCTACCATGATGAATAGTGGAGCTCTAGAGAAAGTTGAGGTTCAGAGATTTGCATTTGGGAATTACCATCACATAGAAGGCAGCCAAAGTGTTAGATTACCTAGGAACACCAACACCTAGAGAGTGCAGATAGAGAAAAGGCTCAAAAGCGAGCCCAGGGCACTCCAAAAGTCACAGGTTGAATGGAGGAGGAAAAGCCAGCGAGAGACTGGGAAAGAGTGAGCAGACACATTAGAGAATGTGGGGTGTGAGAAATCAAAGCAGCTAAGACACAAAGTGATTTCAGGACTCTGGAAGGCCCCATGGCTAAGTCTTGAAATACGAGCTGGCAAACAAAGGGAAAAGGGTATTCTGTTAGGGACAGAAGCAGCAAAGGAAAGAGAGCAAGGGTGTGTGGAGGGGTCCAGAGAGTGTGGATTGAATGCAGTAGCTGAGGGGTGCAGGGGGGATGGTCCAGGTGGGGCCACTGGAGCTCAGAGAGTCTCATGCCCATGCTCAGGACTTGGGGTTTTATTCTGTGGGTCAGTGGTCTCAGCCACATTTGCAGCCATGGCATTAGACTTGCGTTCCCATGCACCATGCTTCCCTACTCACGCTGGGGTCAGATACAGTCCTGTTCACCAGGGCTAGTGCCTGCTTTCTCTCCTACTCAAGAACAAAGAGTGAGAATCAGGATCTTTTAGGGAGAGTTGTTCCATATTGCAAACAAAAATCTCATTTCTAAATTTTAATTTCTATTAATAATGAATTACTGGCAGTACACCTCACAGGTGATTGCAACTTATGCCTTGGTGTGTCCCAAGGCAGCAGCTGAGAACTTCTGCTGTGGGCCTGGTGGGGCAGCCTAGAAGGCTTCCAGGAGGAAAGAGGCAGCATCCTGCTGCACTTTTGAGAGGCAGCCCCAGCAGTGTGGAGGGTGTCTCTGCCTGCTGGTTGTGGACTCCTGTCCTGGACCACTCCTCCAGCCCCTCAGTCCCTCTGCACCCTTTCATCTTTTAGTTTCACCTTCCATGATACACAGATCAAAAGCTGTACCCTGCTTGATGGCTCAAGATTCCTATATAGTCTTCTTTGTCCGCAGATTATTAATTAACACTTTACTATGCCAAACACATGCATTACAGATCCCACCGACAGTCAGAGAAGGGTGTGAACAGAACACAGCAGGTGTGAGCTCAGTAACTTTAAGCTCCACTCATGCATGTTTTTCTAATGACATACCATGGGCACCATTGCCCAGATGAGATCTGGACACTCAGGTGGTTTGGGGCCTGGGAGACAGTGCTGGGAGGTGCCAGGGTAAAGGAGAGCATGATGCAGTCTTTAGACCTGATCTTCTCTGCATAGGTCTGAATCTCACGGCTGCCCCCATACCCACAGGCTGCAGGCTGCTCAGAGGAAACCTGAGATGTTGAGGCCGAGGTCCCGGCTCCATCTCCATGCCTTTATTCTTTTATTCACTCAAGTTATCAACATATTGAGGGCTTATTCTATGCCAGACATGACTTATCAGTGGTTAAAAAAAAGGACACAGCCCCTGATCTCACAAAGCATACAGTCCAAGGGAGAAGACAAATATTAAACATACCAGTAAGTAAATTATTTGAAACTGCAAGTGCCACAAAAGGAAAGCACCAGGTTCTATTGGAGAGGACTGTAGGGTGTCTCTGGCATTTGGAGAAAGTGACATTTAGGCTGCCTAAGGCCGCTTACTACTTCTTGGCTAAAGAGACCTTGCCTGGCCCTGCCTCTTTGGGTGACTGGTTGTAGATGGGCCAGGCAGGAAAGGACCAACTGGCATGGTGGACAGGGGCCACTGCTCTGGGACTCAAAAGACTTAGTTAAGCCCTTGAGGGGGGCACTTGATGTCCCCAGCCTTTCGTTTTCAAGCAGTGAGAAAAATCCCTGCTGGAATTGCCTTCTGGAGCTCAGACAAGGTCTCACTGGTGAATGTGTTCTGGGAACCATGTGACACCACGTAAATACATGATGTTATCACATACAGAAATGTCATTGTTGCACCAGCTCCATGCCAGGCGCTGGGGGAGATTCAATGGTGTACAAGACCTAGCCCTGATTCACAAGGCCCCTGACCTAATGGTGAGCTGGAGCTACGCGTACAAGGCAAGAGCCTGTGCGTGACGTTTCCCCCAGCAGTGTCCACAGGCGGTGATAGCCGAGCGGTATCTGGAAACAGCAAACAGATTCCCTTTGCTTCTTGAAGAAGCCGCACCCTGGCTTTGGTCCTGCTGCCCCCATCCATTGACAATGTAATGATATCTAGAAACTCCAGGTGGATTGCGACTCCCTGGGATCAAACCCTTCAGTGCTCACTTGGTCCCTTGAGGAAGCCACACTCTGGTCCCACAGCCCTGGTCCCAGATGGTGGTGGTTGGGCTGCCTCCTGCCGTGGGCCCCTGGAAGCGTGAGCTTCACATTCCTCATGTTGGCAGGCCCCCTGCCTGGTTTGCCTCCCTGCCTTTAACCTCTCGAGTCATGATTTTGCAGAGCTCTGCTTCTTTCCATTGTCCACACTTCTCATCCCATATGTTATTTACTGTTTTCTCTGTGCTGAATTCATTTCTCACACATACCCCCTTTTCTGCACTTAGCAGGCACCATTCGGAATATTTCTTTATGTCTGTAAAGAGGACTCTTTAGTTACAAGTCACTGAAATCTGATCAAACCAGCTGAAAGTGGATGTGATTGTTGTGGTTGTTCTTTGAGGGGCCAGTATGGACTTACAATGCTGGGAAATTCAGGAAGTGAATCTGGCTTCAGGCACAGGGTATGTCATCCGGAAGCTGTCTCTTCTATTGATGGTCTCTGTTTCCTCCACGAGAGGCTTTATTCTCAGGCTGACTCCCCTGGGGTGGTGCACAGCTGCTGTCAGCTCCAGATTACGTTAATGAGGAGGGGGCACTTCTTTTCCAGTAGCTTCAGCAAAAGTTCTGGGACTGACTTGGCCCAATTCCGGAAGAGGGGAGACAGAACAGCAACAGATTCTACTGAACATGATTGCAAGGGTCCCTTCCATGGAATGAAGGGAGCCCAGCCCTGTAGGCCCTGAGGATTGCTGTTCCTTGGACACCATATCTTTATAGCAGGTCTCAGTTCCCCCAGCTCTAAAGTTTGGGTTGAAACACCAGCTGTTTTCTAAGCTTAATACTACATTTACAAATGCTTTGGACACAGAGCAAAGGGTGGGGAAATACGATATTTTTTCCCTGACGTACTTCTCTTTTTGAAGATAATTGGTGAGGATGGGAATTCACATTTGAAATCAATATTTTGGAAGACTTAATGGCAGCATGACAATTGCACATTTGTGGATCTCCAAAAGGGCAGCTCTGTGCAAATCAGAGAAGATAGAGCAAAAATCGGTAATTTCAAGTCTTGTTTGAGACAGATCATTCACAGAGAATTTTAACAAGCAAGGAAGCTGCTAGGAGGGACTCCCTTTCATGTTAGTTTTTCTTGTAAGATTCTTGATAGCAGATTCAGGGTGCAGCTGTTGAAAAGAGGGTTCATCAATTTAAAAGCTGCAGTGACTTCCCTTGCCTATAGAAATCAATTTATTCTTATTATTTTTTCACCAAGATATGTAAAGCCCTTTGCAATCTGGCCCAATCTGCATTCCTGTTCACTTTGCTACAAACAGCCATTGTCCTGGGAATGTTGCTTGTTTTCTAACATTTCTTCGTGCCACCCATGTTAATGGGCACCCACGATGTGGCAGGCCCTGTTCTAGGCACAGAGCAGACAGTGGTGAGTAGAGCCACACCCCTTCCTCTGCGTGTTGTCCTCAGGGACAGAAGGAGCAAGGTACAGCAGCGAGGCCCCGGCGTGGACTCAGACAGCAGGGGCAGAATGAGGCTCAGCCACGTGCCAGCTCTGTGACTCTGCAGAAATAATTTCTCTTCTCTAAGCCTCAGTTTTCCCTTTTATAAAATGGAGTCAGAATGTCTATTTTTAGCTTTGATGCCAGAATTAATAAGAAAATATGTGTAAGAACGGGCGTGGTGGCTCACGCCTGTAATCCCAGCACTTTGGGAGGCCGAGGCAGGCGGATCACCTGAGGTCAGGAGCACAAGACACAGTTGACCAACATGGTGAAACCTCGTCTCTACTAAAAAAATATAAAAATCAGCCAGGCGTGGTAGTGGGTGCCTCTAATGCCAGCTACTCAGGAGGCTGAGGCAGGGAGAATTGCTTGAACCCGGGAGGTGGAGGTTGCAGTGAGCTGAGATTGCGCCACTGCACTCCAGCCTGGGCAACGAGCAAGACCCTGCATTAAAAAAAAAAGGAAAGAAAAGAAAAGAAAATGTGTGTAAGGAGGCTTGGCATGCAGTTGGTGCCAGTTTGCTGTAGCTTTATAATTAAATTCAACCTCCCTCTGCCCAGACCCTCCTTCCTCATTGGGCTTGTTGGTCAGTTTGGACACAGAGCCCCTGAACACAGGGTGTCTTCTTGGGAATGAGGTTCTAAAGTCGTCTTCTCTGATGCGTGAGAAACTCTGATTTCATTAGTCAGGGGAAGCATAAGACTTTGAAGTAAGAGCGGTGTTGCGATTGGAACTGGGGTTCCAAGTAGGCAGCTCTTGCCGTAATCACACAAAAAGTGATGGGAGAGGAGGTAGTGAGTGGAGGTGAGCAACCTCAAAGTAGCCTGTGCTGTGAGCAGGAGGGGGAGATTTTGAACCTGGGGGAGAAGCGGTGCTGCATTGGAAGAATGGGAAAGGTAAGAGAAGGGAGGTGGTTTAAGGGGGAAGATATGGAGTTCCGTTTTAGCCAAGAATTCTCGAAAGCTCTCTTAGTCATTTGTCGCTATCAAGGGATGAGGTGATAGGACAGGTTGTTTCAGTCCTCCTTAGCTCACGACTCAGTCACATGAAGCCCTTGGCACAGGACGCTGAAGAATGCAGCAGCCTGTGGACTCCAGCAAAGCAGCCGAAGGGGGCAAGGCACGAGTCACTTGGTGCCCTTACCACTGCCCCTGGGCACTCAGCAGGGTCTTCTTGGGCCCTGAGTTCCCCACAGGGTGAAGAATGCTGTATAGTGGACCATGGCTTGGCTGTTAGCTGGGTCCCAGCTCTGCTTGACTATGTAAAGAGGGAAGCCTAGGTGTTGCGACTTTGGACAGGCAGTGCTCTCACCCCACACCTGGGCTCTGTCTCCTGAAGCCTTTGTCCAGTTGCTTTGGCCAGAAGCTAGGAGTGCTCTTTCCTGGCTGCCACAGAGGGGGTGGGACTTGTACATACTGACATATTGGCATATTTACTCAATACATTATGAGAACAGAGCCTTGCATCCTTTTGGCTCATTTACTTTATCTTACTTAGTGAGATACATTTTAATAATACCTGACACTCAGCACCGTTATGGTCAGCAGTTGCTGAGCCAATGTGTGGATGAAATTTTACCCTCTTGTCAATGTTCCCATTACCTATAAATACTTGAATACTATCCTCTCTAGAGTTCACAAAAGGACTTTAAGACAGTGTCTGTATGGCAAAATGGATGAAGATGATGGGCATATAGCAGGGAAGATGCCCAGCAGGCAGCTGAGAAAGTGGATCTGGAGCCAGGAGTCACAGTGATGGCTGATGGCCCGGCTCTGGGGGCAGTCATCCTAGCAGATGATGGAAGAAAGAATGAGCTCTTCAGGCAAAATATGTAAAGACAGAGGAGGAAGAAGAGGCAGAGAGGAGAGGGAGCAGAACAGAAGGGAGAAGAGAGGCACGGTTCCTTAGTAGCCTTACCTCTGACTCTAACCCTAACCCTGATTCTAACCCTAACCCTAACCCTGCTCTTGGCTGTGATGGAGCCAGAAAGGAGGTTTTATGGATGTGTAAGTCAAGGAAAGCCATTATAATTTGGTCCTGGAGAGCCGTGACCAAAGAGTAGGGCTCAGAGCCAGATCTCAGAAGGTTAGGCTGAGAGCTGGGGATTAAGGAGTGGAGATGGTGTATGTAGCAAAGTGAGCATCCTGCTAAACAGCCTGAGAATGAGGCTTTTGTATGGAATAGGGCGGGACAAAGAAAAGCTCAGTGAAGCAGAGCCAGGCTCCTGGAACCCATAGCTGGAGTCACTGTCCTTCTGGACTTCTTGGTATGTGAAGACACACGCTTACTGTTCAAGACTACTGGAGTCGGGGTTTTCTGTTTCCTGCAGCTAAATACATCTTAACTGGATCCACTCTTTACCAGAAAGTAAACTCCACGGGGCAGGAACCTCAACAATCTCATTCATTTTTGAATACCTAGGGCCCAGGATAGTGCCCAGCCCATACAGATAAATATGGTTGGATGAAATATCTGTAATAAGGTGGTTCTAATAATGTTATTAGTAGAGAGTGGTGAAGTTGATTAGACAAAGAAACAGGTACCTACCTTTGGGGGCTTCTCTGAAATCACAATTTCCCTGTGAGGGACCCAGAATGTGAGGGCTAAGAGGGCATCAGCTACTGCCAGACAGCGTCATGTATGGCACCATCTCTTGTCTGTCACTTCAGGGGCATTTTTCTTGAACAAAAGGCCCAGAACAATGGTTATTAGCCAGAGATGAATAGGAAAACTACTCGTGCCTGTTTGAACTATGTAACTACAGAAAGATGTTGTTGATGTCTCGGCAACATCTTCTGGCTCATTTACTTTATCTTACTTAGTGAGATACATTTTAATAATACCTGGCATTCAGCACCAATATGGTCAACAGTTGGTTGCCTATAAATACTTGAATGCTATCCTTTCTAGAGTTCACAAAAGGACTTTAAGACAGTGTCTGTATGGCAAAATGGATGAAGATGATGGGTATATGGCAGGGAAGATGCCCAGCAGGCAGCTGAGACAGTGGATCTGAAGAGATGTGATTATGAGTTAGTTCTGCACCATCCACTGGAAATATAATGCCACCTACATCAGAAAATTAAAGTTTTCTAGTAATCACATTAAAAAAAGGAAAAAGAAAGGTGAAATTAAATTTAGTAATGCTACTTTATTTTTGGATACAAATGTATCCAAAATATTATTTCAGTGTGTAATCAATATAAGAAATGATTAATGAAGTAATCTACATCCTTTTTTTCCATGAGTTACTGTGGCTGAACTTTGAAATCCGAGTTGCCAGAGGAAGGGGTACGATGGAAAGACTCAGCCTTGAGGGCGTCTCTGATTCTAGCTAGACCAGTCACTTGCTCTTTGTACATTGGCCATTTATTTCCCTCTCTGGGCTTCCATTGCTTCATCTACCGAAGGCCCTACATACATAGTGGCCTGAAGCTTCAGAACAAATATGTGCTGTAGGTACTTGTACCTCATATGATCTGGGAGGAAACTGAGGCTTTAAGAGGTTGAGTACCTTGCGGTAGGTCTCACACGGTGTAAAGGCGGAGGCAAGATGGAACCCAGGTTTTCCCGACCCTGGAGGGGTGCTCTTTCCCCATCATTGCTCTTTAAACTCTCTCCTTCCTTTTGGACCAGAGAACATTTCACTCTTCTAGGAGCAGAGACTTCCCAGGAAGTAAACGCCTGCTTTCCTTCTCGCTCAAGATCCTGGTCAGAGCTTAAGACATTTCCTCTCAAATCTCACAAACAGAATCCAATGGAGGCCGGGTGTGGTGGCTCATGCCTGCAATCCTAGCACTTTGGGAGGCTGAGGTGGGCGGATCACGAGGTCAGGAGATAGAGACCATCCTGGTTAACACGGCAAAACCCTGTCTCTACTAAAAATACAAAAAATTAGCCAGGCATGGTGGTGGGCGCCTGTAGTCCCAGCTACTCAGGAGGCTGAGGCAGGAGAATGGCGTGAACCCGGGAGTCAGAGCTTGCAGTGAGCCGAGATTGTGCCACTACTCCAGCCTGGGCAACAGAGCGAGACTCCGCCTAAAAAAAAAAAAATCCAGTGGAAACCTGGGAGGAGGCAAGGTGGGGCTTTGGGGTCTGGGGAAGGTATCCAGTGCCCATGTGTTTTTTTCTAAGTGGCCTTGCCTTAGAACGCAGAGGAAGGACTTACTGCCTTAAACCAAGGAGGTCAGGGCTTTGCTTGACATCTGTAGTGAAGTCATCTCTTCACTGTCAGTAAGACTCTGTCCTTGCTAACAGTTCACTGGTGACTTCATATCTACCGCTGCAGGGCCCTGGGAGGAATACATTGTTTTCTAGGAAGGGAGACCAAATTTTACTTCAGCCTAGTGGTGGACCTTTCTGCTTAGCAATACTGTGGGAAATTCAAAGGCAAAATTAGCTTGAGCATTGTTGGCTCAAATAATTTCTTCTTAGTGGAGTGAGTGAAACATGGTAATTTAGTAATTGACAACCATTTTTCCAATAATAACTGAAATAATAATTCATAATTAGAAGAGGTCTAATATAGGAAGGCATTGAAACCAGATGCAAAACATTTACCCTCCCTACTGCCACCCCTTACTTCCTTTATTCCCACTGACTAATTTGAAATATTTCACATTTCCTTTTCTCCTGAACAAAGATGAAGAGGGCTATTTTACCCTTCAGTAAAAATAAGTATAATTTTCTTCTAGCAGGCTCACCAGCAGCTCGCCGCTGCTAACTTACCACAAAGGCCAATTAATAGACAATCACCATTGTTTCCTAATCTCACCTACCGTGTGAGTGGCTATGTGTTGAAATGAAGTTGATCTGAGAGGGACCAGTTCTGGGCTGAGCTGCTCTCCTTTTCACAGAAAGCATAATGCCCACCTGAGGGGATTCCAGAGAGGCAGGTGGCTGGTTCCTCATTAGCTCACCGAGCCCTGCTCTGTCCTCATTGCTTTGACAGAGACTTGAGAGGCGTGGCAGCTCCAGCTTTGAAGGTGTCTGTAATTAAGCACTTGCCGCTGGTGCCCTGGGCTTCCCAGGGTGAGCCTCGGGATGAAGGGCCCTCTCGTGGGTGGCGTGGCTCTGTGGTGGCAGAAGAATGTGCAGAAGTGGTTAATGTAGCTTCTAATTTCTGAGATAACTCCTGCGCACTAAAGACTTAGCATCCCGGGAATTTATTCTCAACATTAATGGAAATAATTTGAGAAACCACTTTCAGCTGTCCATGCTCATGGGCCCTTCTGTTTCATACTGCCTACACCCAATTAACTAATCATTTTTATAGCAGGAACAACTTAACCTGAAAGGAGAACAAGCTATGTGCTGAAAGGTAGGAGGAAGCAAGTCCTCTGGGAGTTTCTGCTGTTCTAGTGAGAGAGGCTGAGGGCAAGAGCAGGCCTGAGCTCTCTCACTTACAGACCTACCTTCTTCAAGGGGCAGGCTGGGGTGGCGGTGGGGATCTGAGTGGGGGTAGCTGGTGCTGCATCTCTCCAGGCAGAGATGTGAGGCTGCTACCACCAGGATATGGGGATGGCGAGACAGGGACAGGAGCAGAAGTGAGATTCCCGTCTGTCTTGCAGTATGCACTGTGCCGCTGACCATTGAGGGGCACCATGGAAAGGCTGAAAAGGGAGAAGGATGGTCCTTTCTGATCTTCTGTAGTGCCAGGCTCCTGTGAAGTCTGGTAGCCAAGCTAAGAGATCACAGACCAAGAAGACTAGGATGCAACCTCTTTGTTTTTTCTTCTAAGTCCTTGTGGTTATTATCAGTGTTGACCTCAAATGTAGGCATTTTTGGTACCCTAGTATACCTTCCCACCAGAGGTGACAGATGCAATACCTGTAACTCCACCATTTGGAGTCCCAGGCAGAATACAATCCCCCTGGGAGGAGCAGTGCTGTTAACCAGGATCTCTATGGATCCAGCAAGACCTGGTCAAGGCACTGTAGCTTGGGACTCAGGATAGGCATCAGAAAGGAGAAGCAACAAAGAACCACAGAAGGAGATCTATAGTACACCCATGTTGTGAAGTAAGAGTGTGTGATCTAGAGAAAATAGAGCAAGGGGATGTCGGTGGGGAAGAGTGGGGTGGGGGTGTTACTTTGCATTGCATGATCAGGAAAGGCCTTTTTGAAAAAGTAACACTTGAGAAAGGACTGAAAGGAAGTGAGAGGGTGCATATATATATGCAGATATCTGTGGAGAAGCTTCCTGAGCTGGAGGAGCAGCAAATGAAATGGCCAGAAGACAGGATTGTGCGTGGGTTGTTTGTGGAAGAACAAGATCAATGTGGTTGAACTAGAGAGTGTGACCAGGAGCATTACAGGAAAGATGATCAGAGTTAGTGCACAGCCCCATGGGCCACTGTCAGGAATTGGCTCTTGTCAGGATGGCTATGTGAAGAACTGAGTGGCATCATCATTCTGGCCATTGTGGTAAGTAGACCTCCGGGCACAAAGGAGAAGTGAGAAGCTGGGTTAGCAGGTTCCTGCATCAACACACTAGAGATAACATGTGTTTGGGTAGGATAGCAGGTGGGGAGATGGTGAGTGGCTTCTAGATGATTTTGAAGGTAGGTCCAACAGTAATTGCTAGTAGATTAGATATGGGATATTAAAGAAAGTGAGTGGTATGGGAGGACTGTGGTGTTTTTGGCAGCAGCAGCTGGTATGATGGAGATGTTATTTACTAAGATGGGGAAGTCTGCAGGGGAAACCGGTGAGGGAGGTAGTGAACGTTGAGATTTTGATCGAATACTCAGTAGACACTCAGATGGAGATGTCCAGTGGCCAGTTAGGTACACAAATTTGTAGTTCAATGGAGAGGTCAAGCTGGTGATCTACATTTGAGAGGTAATAGCATTATAAATGGTATTTAAGGTGACCACTTTGGGAGTGGGCATAGATAGAAAAGAGAAGTCTGAGGACAACTCTGGGAGCTGGGGAGGACAGACAGGAAGGGTGGAGGAGAACCAAGAGAGAGCACTTTCCTGGAAGCAGGCAAAGAAAGCATTTTAAGAAGGAGGGAGAAATGGCTTGAAATCAGGCTGAAAGGTCAGGTTTAGATAAGGGCCTACAATTGATCACTGGGTTCAGCAGCCTGGAGGTTGTCAGTTCCCTTGACAAGAGCAGTTTTGATGGAGCACTGGGCAGAAGCTGAGCTGGAGTGTGCTCAACAGAGAAGCGAGGGGGGAAATGGGGAAGAGTTCCAACAGCTCTTTCTGAGTTTTGCTGAAAAGGGGAGAAGAATAATTCAAAGTAGCTAGAGGCAGATATGGAGCCAAAAGCATTTTTTATTCATTTGTTTTCTTAAGATGGGGAAACAGCATCATGTTTGTACACCAATAGAAATAGACATGACCCACTAGCGAGTAGAGCGACTGATGATGGTGGAGTGATGGGAGAGAACAATGCCATTGGGTAGGTGTGAGGGGCTGTGAGTGGGTGCAACCTCAGAGGACCAGAGACTGGCCATAGCAGGGGCCCAGAGCCTCTGGAGCAGGAAGCAGGAAGGGTGCAGCATGCAGAAGGAGGCAGCAGGGGAGCTTGTGACAGTTTCTCAATGGCTTCTACCTTCCAGTAGGATGAGAGGCAGTAGAGGAGGAGAAACGTGAGAAGGAGTGGGAGAGTGAAAGGACTGGGTATGTAGTAGCCTCTTTAGGCAGCAGCAACAGTTAAAGTGAATAGCTGTGTTTCTGTCCAGCCACATTCCCCAACCACCAGGATTTGAGTGCGGCGATGTAGACCAAAGAATTGAACTAGGGTCAGGTTTTTCCAGGCAAAAACAATGAGGGGAAACCAGGGCAAGGACTGTGGGGATATGGTGTACACATGGGAGCGATGGTGAGAAACACGTGGAAGCGAGTGTGAGAGGACAGGAGGCGGCTGAGATGAGACAGTGACCAGATAATCCATCAGTGAACTGTGAGTCCCACCACCATGGGAGACGAGGACCAAAAAGAGAAAGAAACATTCAGAAACAGTTGAAGAATATGGGGGATTTTGCCGAATCCTGGCTGGAGGTTTGAGAATGTGATGGGAGTTTTGGAGGTGAGAGGTGGGCTCGGCTTAGGGATATAAAGAGCTGCAGGGGATGAGTCTCAGGGAGAAGTCCAGCATTATAGTGGGGTTGGGGCACTCAGGTTACACAGGGCAGGTGATGAGGTGGGCACTGGTGGGTGGAAGTCAGATGGTGGTGGCAGTGCTGTGAGTGTTGGGTGGAAAGAAGTGGGGAGGGGATTTTGCATGCCACATAGAGCCAGGTGGAGTCCTCTTCATGCCCTTTATTAGGGATTTGGGCACTGGGTGGTATTATTAGGATCACAGAGCTCTGAGGATCCTTCTTTCCCTCATGAACCAAGGTTTGGGTATATATAACTGCATACTGAGTATCTGCTTTGGGACATACCCTTAATTTTCAATTCAGTAATATCAAATCTGAATCTATTATGCCCCCCAGAAACCTCTTTTCCTACTGTGATTTATATGGGAAAATCCCCCTCCCGTCAACCTGTTGTGCAACAGGAAACCCAAGTTACCTCCCTGCCTGCTCTCTCTCCCCACTCCACATTCAGTCGCCCACCAAGTCCTTTTGATGAACACTCACTGGGTGTCCAAATCGGCCCGGGAGTCTCCCCTGGCACGCATGCTGCTCTAATGTGAATGACGATGACAGGGCTGCCCCCTTGGGTTGCTTCCTTCCCCGATTGCTCTACCTCTCTTTCCGCCAGGGGCCACCATGATCTTCCTAACCCACACTGCTCATCTTGCCAATCCATTGGCCACCCTTGCCTGGAAGACAAAATCCAAATTACTGATTTAATGTGGCTGTCATGCCTTGTACTGGCTCTCATCCACCCCCACCGTTTTTTTCCTACCCCACATTGCATTTTCAACCAACCCCATGCTGCATTGTCTCTGGAAGTCCACATCTTTCTCCAACACCGAGGGATGATTTTGAAGTAGGGAAGTCTTGTGGCTTCCCCTGCCCCTGCTCTCTATCCCGTATGCAATTTTGTTTTTCCCAAGGCACTCAGTGTCACTTGCCATTGTATATATTTATTTGTTAATTTGTCTGTCTCTGCACCTGAGGACGTAGCTGGAGTAGAGTCCAGTGTGTCTGTTTTGACCCTGGCTGTATTCCCAGAACCTAGAACAGGGCTCAGCCCCTGGAAAGCACTCAATAAATAGTTGTTGATGGATTGATTTCCAGCTGCAGACACCATGGGCTCCTTCATTGGAAGTGACAAACCCACCCCAGGCCAATGAGCAATTCAGACAATTTATTGGCTCCTAAGACTGAAAAGTCTTGCAGTAAAATTTAAATGTGTCTCTCTCCCTTGCTGCAGCAGGCTCCCATCACCAGGGAAGCACAGCATCTCCCAGCCACACCTTACCAGCTTGCTGACCAAACAGAAGAACAAAGACCCTCCTGGTAGTTCTAAGGGAAAGGTTCCAGGGAAGATCCTGGCTTGCCAGACTCACCCCCTCCCCCGAAGTGGGGGTGTTCTGGAGTGGGGGCATCGGCCTCGCCTGGCAGGGAAGGGGACTTCTGGGGGATGCTGTGCTGCTCCTCTCTGTCCTCCTCTGCCTTGGCACTAGGAGCAAGAACAGATGGAGGAAGCTGAAGGCAGTTAGTGCATGGCATAGGACTATCTGCAGGTTCTGTTTTCTTTGGGTGGCTGGGTCCGTGAAGGCAGGCCCACATCTTTGCGGAGGAGGTGAGAGAACACTTGTCAGAGGGTATCTGATGAATGCAGAAAGACAAGTGTAGGAGTTTGTGGTATTTTGATTGATGACAGCAGATTCATATCAGTGTCAAAAATGTATTAGGAAGATACAAAACACCAACACTTCTTAATAATGAAAATAAATTAGGCTCAACTAAAATAGTTGCTGTTGTTTTTCCAATGCAGGGCCAAATCATGCAAGCCAAAGGCTCTTAGAATTCTCAGAAAAAAAGAAGAACGAATCTGTTAGAAAAGCAATTTGCAAAACACTCATTAGTCCAAAAGCTTCCCTGAGAATTCTCCTTCCAGACCTTTAATGGTCCATGAAACTTGAATTCAATAAAAAATGATTTAACCATCAAGCGGGTGAACTGGGTAGACTTCTTTGCTCTCTCATTATGGAGTTTATTTTTTGGAGGCTGTCTGTGTAAATACTATTTGTTTTGCTGAAGTTCAAAGAAGCTTTGCGTGAAAGTGGTGTTTTGCTTCATTGGAAGAGCTAGTGCTGGTTCATCTGCTGTCTGTGTCACCCCCTCCCCTGTCCCCACCTCCCCCTGGCTGCTCTTGCGTCCTCCTCCAGCCCCAGTGGAGTCCCAGCCACCTCAAACCCAAGAGCTGTGACTTACTGGATGTGCACAGTGAGTCAGCTAGTCTGGGGAATTTTGAGAGCTCGTACATTAGATTCTTGCTTTCCAATCCATTAATTTTGTTGTTCTAGGCCTGTTGGGAGCCCTGTTGCTGCTTGTAAGAATAACAGATCACTGCTGATACTTTCGGCGTCTGTTACCCACGGCGGCTGTTTTGTAGACACTCTGTCTCTGCAGCATCGCTGGCCTTTTGTGTGCTTGTGCATGGTGGTCACAGCTTTACAGCCAACTCTGTGGGCATCCTCCTTAAGGACAGGGCATATTCTGCTTCTGCATGGGCTGGAGGGCTTTGAGCCCCACTCTCCTCTTCTCATAGGAATACTCAGCCTATCTTCTGCGATGAAAGAACATTGAAAATGCTTCCTGAACATTTTACAAAGACTTTGAGGAATCTTCCCAGGACATAGTGATTTGGAATTTTCTTCTATTTGGTTTGCATCCCTTGCCATCACCCAGGAGAGGCACATCCATGAACCCAGCCCTGGGCAGCGGCTTGCTTCTGCTGGAAGGACTTGGGATTCTTGATGGCGGCCACTGCGGAACAGCCTGGTGTGGGTGGGGTCTGCAACAGGCTGCTCAGGGCAGGGGAGGTGGACACATGATGGATATGGATGGGGATGGTGTCTGCTGTCACACACAGGGTCCAGGTGTGTGGCCCAGACTTTGAGGCTAGCAACCATCTTGTTCATTTAGGGTGACTTTTCTTCCCTTCCTGCTCTGATGTGTCTTTTCTGGCAAGTGTTCTCCCAGATGACTTGCCAGTGCACTCATAGTTGGGAATCCAGGTGATACAGTAGAGAAAATGAGGGCTTTGGGACTCAGCCCTGCTACTTACCAGCTGGGTGACGTTGGGGAAGTTACTTAACCCCTCTGAGCCTCCATTTTCTCCATTTAAAATGGGGATAGGAAGACCTGCCTCTGGTTTGTTGTAAAGACTCAATTAACTGAGATGAAATATGAAAGCTCTTGGCGGAAGGCCTGGCGTATAATGAGTGTGCCAATCTGTAAGCTGCTGTCTTTCAAAACCAGACCCTCTTGGCACTGTGGTCCTATGGCAGGATTTCTACAGACTATATTTCTGCATTGCCAGCTGCTTCCTGTTAGGCTCCACACTAAGGGGTAATACAGGGAGAGAGGAGGGCAGGAGAGGACAGGCCTTGCTCTTTCCTCTTTGCCTTTTGTTCCTGCGAGCACCACCCCAGTGATGCTTCTTCACTGGTCAGTGTGGTGCTTCCAGCTTCCACCTTTGTCCCAGCATGCCCGGAAACAGCCTCACCGGCTCCCTCTATGGTACCAGCAGAAGCTGAACAGCTCCCTTCTCTTACAGGGATGAGTCTCTGCCTGGTGGAGACTTGTCCAGCATACTTCTAGGTTCTGATACTCCAAACTTTGTCTTTTCTCTCTCCAGCTCTAGGGATGATTGCTGGTTTCTGCAGTGACTAGTTCTATGCTATCTCCACATTCCTTTTTGTGCAGAAAAGAGTTAATACAGCAGGCCCCGCTGCTATTCTTAGAAAGACCTGTTTGCTACGTTGGCTTTTGGCTGGCATGTGGGAACTTGGATTTCGGGAGAGTCTCCATCATTCCTAAAACTGAGAAGACTGCCTAAGCTCTTTGTACAAACCATATGGTTTATGCTGAATACCTGCTTTCCTCCTGGAGTCTGGAATTTTGGTATGTGCTAGACAGAGAGTGACTAGCCCCCAGTAGAAACCCTGGGTGCTGAGTCTCTAACAAGCTTCCCCTGTAAAAGACATTGCCCACTGTTGTCACAACTTGGTGTTAGAGGTGTTGTGTCCTGTGTGACTTCACTGGAAGAGGACTCTGGAAGCTTGTGCCTGGTTCCCCTGGCCTTTGCCACCTGCACCTTTTCCCTTTGCTGATTGTGCTTTGCATCCTGTGGGTTCTCCTGGTGAATCACCAAACCTGGGGGTGGGGGAGTCTTGGGGACCCCAGCATCCCTTTTCACGCTTTCAGTTCTCAATGCTCTTATAAGCAATTATTTACACGATATTAAATTATCTCTTTTGAAATCCATAGTGTGACTTCTCTTTTTCTGACTTGACCCTGAAGTTATCAAGAATGTTATCAAGAGTAGTCCCGGCTGGGCATGGTGGCTCACGCCTGTAATCCCAGCACTCTGGGAGGCCGAGGCAGGTGGATCACCTGAGGTCAGGAGTTCGAGACCAGCCTGATCAACATGGAGAAACCCCGTCTCTACTAAAAATACAAAATTAGCCAGGCGTGGTGGTGCATGCCTGTAATCCCAGCCACTTGGGAGGCTGAGGCAGGAGAATTGCTTGAACCTGGGAGGCGGAGGTTGCAGTGAGTCTCTAAAGTCTAAGATCTTTAGAAGCCATGTCTGGAGCGTGCCAGTGCACTCCAGCCTGGGCAACAAGGCAAAACTCTTTTTTTTTTTTTTTTAAAAAAAAAGGAGTGGTCTCATGAAATGGATTTTCAAATAGGAGATTTTGGAATTGGTTTGGTGGTAACCTTACCCTTAAATGTAGTGCTGAGCTCTTGGCCCATTGCAGTGGGATACTAGCACCTCCTGACATGCAGTGGCAAGAAAACTACCTTGAATTATCGCTTGTGCTGATCTGATGAAGTGCCTATGAAGCCAGTGCCCTGTGTGTTGGGGGTCACAAGGCTGCTGCCCTTGACTACTTCGGCATAATAATGACTGCAAGGACTGGTTGAGGGAGGCTACTTTTAAGTGCACAGGTGCACGCACAGAAAGAAAACAAGTTTAGGACTCTAAACTCCCTGCTCATATTAGGGCCAGAAAACTGGAGTGCTGTTATGGCAGCCTTAAAATAATATCGAATTTCTCATTTCTTTAGGATCAATCTTGCTGGAAGACTGGACTCAGATAAAGTTGAGAATTTTAAACCTCTGAGTCCCTGTACCTCCCTTGCTGGCTTAAGATTAGCTTTCCCTTGCATGAAGACCTGGAAGAATCTCTTCTGAGCCAGTTACCATCCAAGGGGGAAGCCTCATTCCCTTCAAGTAGTACAACAATGTCCAGTTATTGCCTCAGAGGTAGTCTACACTGTAGTAGGCAGACTAACACCCCTGAAGATATCTACATCCTAAACTCTGTAATCTATGAATATGTTACTTGGCGTGACAAGAAGAACCTTGGGAATGTGATTACGATAAGGACCTTGAGATGGAGCGATGATCTTGGATTTTCTGAATGGGCCCAATGTAGTCACACGGGTCCTTAAAAGTGGGGAAAAAAAACGGTAGAAGAGGGTCAGAGAGAGATGTGACTATGGAAGAGTGATCAGAGAGGTGCACACTGCTGGCTTTGAGGATGGAGGGAGGGGCCCCAGCCAAGGATTGCAGGCAGCTTCTAGAAGCTGTAAAGGGCAAGGAAACAGTTTCTCCCCCAGAGGTCCCATAAAGGAAAGCAGCCCTGCTGACACCTTGATTTTAGCTCAGGGAGAACCGTGTTGAATTCCTGACTCACTAAACTTTAAGGTAACAAATATGTGTGGGTTTAAGCTACCAAGTTTGTGCTAATTTGTTATGGTAGCAATAGAAAACTAATACATATACCTGTAACCGAAGTCAGGGTTCAGCGTAAGGGGAACAGCCACAAAGTCTGACCAAGCAGGAGATGGCTTGTCTTCCAAAGTAATTGCACAACTTGGCTAATTTATACCAGTAGAAACCTAGGAATATATAGACATGGCTTCTAAAGATGTTAGACAGAGGAGGATGACATTTAATGGTAGATTGGGAGGAATTTATTGATATGAGTACACTTATTAGAGATTTTAAGTTTGATGTGTTAGCTTGCGCACATGGAAGTGGATCTTATAGCTTGCTTGATTCGTTGAATAAAGCCAAAACCTGTACAGAGTGTTGCATATTTAAATGAGGTTGGGATGCCTGCACTGTCCTGGGAGGAGGCAGAGAAGCAATCCAAAGGCTTAGAGAGGCTGGGATGTTGAAGTGGGCTTATTATGAGCTCTTGGCAATACCTCCTGCCTTCCCCTACAGCTCCTAAAGGGGCCCAGTGGACAATCCCTGCATGAAGACTTTGGGAAATGCTTCAGTTGCCTTAGAAATCTCTGTGGTGGCTGCCTCTGGAGACTGGGATGACAGAGAAACATGCCACTTGGACAAATTCCCTGATTTCAGTGGGGGAGGACGGGGTCCCAGGGTGGCAGGAGACATGTGGCGAGGCTGCACTGCAGAGCCCAGTTGAGCACATTTATCATAACGGGCAGCAGGGACAAGCCGGAAACTCGAATGTTTTGGCCTGCAGTTATCTTTAGCAGTGATGTTGTCCCTAGGAAAGCAATAGACAGGCAGCTTACTGAAATATTGCTTGACCTACATAGCAGGAAATCTCTAGGTCTGTTGTCCAGAAATGTGACTTGAGTCACCAAAATGCAGAGTTACTGCTTTCCCCTCACTTTTCAGACCTATGTTTCTTCACAGGCCCTTGATTGAAGGGGAGGTTGGGTCCTCTGGAGGAAGGGGAAGGTCCTCCCAGCAGAGCCACAAGTACATCTTATATCTTCCCCTAAGCTGTCCCAAAGAGCCCTGTGTCCGTCCACTAGGGTGACGGTGCAGAGATGAGTGGAAGTGCCCAGACCTCTTGGAGATTACTTGGTGCTGGCTCCTTATGGATGCTAATTCCTGGGAACCCCAAAAAACTGTGGTCCAGTAGGAAGGCTCATGGACTCACCCTGTGGTTATTTCCTCAGTTCCTGGATGTTTTATTTAAATGGACATTTGCAGCAATGACCAGAATTTCCACATTGGCCCTAGGCCCATGGAGTGAGGGTTATGATGGCAGGAAGGGCTGAGTGGAATCCTTGGGACATACTTTCTCTACCTGGACATAAGCTGAAAACAATACCAACCCTCAGCCCTGGGGAGTCACTAGCCTCATGGACCGGGCACCAGAAGAGGTGCCATGTATCCATGTGCCCACTGGGGGATGTAGCTGGATGCTTCCACCCTGGCTGGACTTTCCAGGCACGGATTCTCAAGGCAGAGCTGGCATGGGCAGCCCTAGGTTTGAGGGCAAAGCCTCGGTTTCTCCATTAAGAAGGCAGAGAGCCTGGTAGGTAAGAGATTCCTGGAGTCAGGCTGATTAGGTTCACATTTTGGCTCCTCCACTTACTTGGTAACTGTGTGAAGTTGGGCAAGTTACTTAACCTCTCTGTGTCTCAGTTTCTATCTTTCCCAAGAGGTGTTGTTATATTTATTATTGGCTTCTTGTGAGAGTTAAATGATGTCATGGATATAGACTGCTTGGTACATAGTAAGCACTCAAAAATGAAAGATATTATGGTGACTATTATGTCAATTATTTGGAAGAAGAGAAGTCCAGCAAGTGAAGGCTAAAGCAGATATGTATGAATGAAGGTGAGAGGCGAGGCGTTTATGTGCAAGGCCTAGCCAGTTATGCATTCTTCCCAACACAAACAAGTCACAAACAAGTAAAGAGCAGATAAGCCCACTCTATTGGTTAAAACGTTACACTGCGTCAGCCCCATATTCATGCTGCGGGGTGAGTGGGCAGAACAGAGGGAGGTTTCCTGCAGGGTCTGAGAAACCACTGCAGGTCACTAAACACGCAGTGATGGGGGAAAGCCACGAGGCAGCAGGGATTCCTGTTGAATCCATTAAATCCCATTCCCCTCTCAATGTCCTCCTCTCAGATGCAAGCCTGTCTGGTGCTGACGCTGTCATCTGTATGCCCCTACTGATCCTGATGCTTCCCACCAAGTGTAAAAGTAAATACAGGGGATGATGTAGTGCTTGTTTGAAGGAGAGCACCTAACATTTACTCAGTGCCTGTTATGTACCAAACACTGTAGGAGGGCCTTTGCCTTTTACTGCTTCTCACATCCACCCTGTGAAGGTGGAACTGTCCATTTCACAATGAAAAAGAAAGCTGACCGCAACACCTGTAGGCTGCAGTGTCCATGGGCAACATTTATTGAGTGTTGCGATGCGCCAATCACGGTGCAAAGCATTTCACACACATCAGGGCATTCAATCCCTGCAGTGGGGCTCTGAGAATGTGGCATCTTCATTATTTCCATTTGGCAGGTGAGAGAACTGTGGTGCAGGGAGGTTATGTGGATGGGACTGTAAGTGCTACAGCTGGGACTTTAAACCTAGGGTAGTCTGATTCTAAAATCTATGCTCTCCCACATTCATTTATTTTAGCTAAGAGAGGAGAGTTCAAGTTACTTCTACCCATGCTGAGAAGTGGGGCTGGGCTGTGGTGGGAGATGGGAAGATGGAGAGAAAGGCATGAATGGAGGACCTGTTGCCGTTCAAAAGAGGGGAAAAGAGAGAATTTATATTCTCCTTAAAACACAAGCTCATTTGAAATAAACAGAAAAGAACGAGAACTACTGTGTGTCTGGCCCTTGCAAGGTGCTAGTGGTAAGAAGCTGACAGAGCCTCCTCAGTTCCAGCCCCCAAAGCCTCCTTGACTGCCTTTTCAGGGTGATGGATGCTTCAGCGTCTTCCCTTGCCCATGCTGCTCTTCTCATAACAACAGTGCCGCCCAGGCTCCCCGCTAAGCACCGACACACAGTAGCTTCTTTCATCCTCTCCACCAGCTCCCACGTTACTATTATTATCCCTTTTCTCTGTGAGGTTATGGCAACATCAGTAACTATCTGAGGTCTATGAGCTGGGAGGCTGATGCTGACTTCCATACCTCTTGGCCTTTAAAGCAAGTTCTCTTCCCACTCTACACAGCTGGACCCTGTATGGGATAATTTGAGGGGCTTCCTCCAAAATGCCCTCTGCCTCCAATTAATTGGTCCTGATATTCTTCCACTAGGATTGACAGGAGCCTGTTATGATTGTGCACTGTGAGTGCTCTGATGGCAGAAGCTATCTGTGTCATTCACCAAGAGGTCCCCAGCCCAGTGCCAGCACAGAGAGAGCTTTCAATAAAGGTGTAACTGAGAGAAAACATTACCCCAGCTCATATCCTTGCACCCAGGAAGAGTCAAAGCAAGGCATGTGTACCTCCTTAATGTGGATTTAGGAGGGACAGGAGAGATGGGGCCTGGTTCTGACTGTGCACAAATCAGACATGACAAAGGATGGTCATGCCTTGTAATTAGTTACAAAACAATTCCACTATGACCCAGTCCCACACTATGCTCTGGAGTCCAGACCACTTCTGTGGTCCAGAAACCCCCACATGGCATCCAGAAAGCTTTCTCTTGTTCTTTCACAGAAACGTTTGAGTTGCCAACCTATTGATGACTTTTGCATGTCACCTCTCATGACGTGACCTCCAAGAACATGTTGTCCTCACCGCCACCAGGCCCAACTTATTCCATTACAATTTCAATTACGAAGCTCATTTTCCCCCATTGGCCTGAAAGAGTCAAATGAAGTTCTGTCTGGGTGCCTTTTTTTTAACTGGCCGTGGGGTTATCTCATTTATTCTCTTCCTTAACACACAAATGGCCTCTAAAAAGAGGAGTTTAATTTTGCAGCCCACTGATCCATCATGGGCATAGGCACTCGGGTGGCTGCAGCATGCTGTCTCCTGTCACTGCTGTCAGGAGACCAGGGCTGGCTTTTGGTTTCTGGGACAGGGGATGGATGTATCACTTTAGGAGAAGATTCCCATTGCTGCTACCTTGAAAATAATGACCACCATTCCTAAGTGACTGCTGTTTTAACGCACATGAATCTCTGCATTACTGTGTGGTGCACTAGAATGAGGGCTGGACTTAGTGGAGGGAGACCCTCGAGAGGGCTCTGCCGCTGGCCAGTCTTGTGACATTGGGCCTCAGTGTTCTGACTTGTAAAATGAAGGAATTGATGGGATGATACCTAAGATGCCTTTCCTTCCAAATGGGCTTCAATCTAATTTTCTATATGTCAGGACTTCTTCTAGGCATGAAGATGATGAGTAAGATACAGTCTCTTTTTCAAAGATGATTATAGATGGAGGATACACATAAATATTATAAAAGTCAATCCACAAACAGTGTAATAAGGTAGGTGATGTAAGAGAGTGATATGTTGTGTGTTTTGAGGATACACCTAAAGGGACAATTGCTTCTGTCTGGCAGGACTGTGTGTGTGGGATAAGACGGGGGTAGGTGAGGGGAAGTAGGGAGGCTACAGGAAAGTGGTAACAAGTAGGCTGGGCCTGCAGGTAGGGGTCAGAGCTTTCTGGACAGGTTGGGCTTTGGGAAGAGAGTGGAGAAGCTCCAGGAAAGGGAAGCAGGCCAGGCAGCCCAATACCATCCGCTGAATACCTAAGGAACCCATCAAGCCCAGCGTTGTGAATTTTGGGAACTTGAAATGACGCTTTGGTTGGAATTCATGGGAAAAGACAGAATTGAGACAACAGCAGAGGTCGTTTGTTATTAGAAATCCACTACTCTAGGATCACACTAGTTACTATACCAGGGGTTGGCAAACTTTTCCTTAAAGGGCCAGATAGTAAATATTTTATACTTTTCAGGGCTATATGGCTGCTAATAGAACTATTGAACTCTGCTGCTGTGTTAAAGCAGTCATGGACAATACGTACAAGAATAGACAGAGTTGTGTCCCAGTAAAACTTTATTTACAAAAACATGGTGGGCCGGGTTCAATCTGTGGGCTGTGGTTTGCTGACCCCTATTGCTGTGCCAACAGGTAGAGTTGAGATAGAATTTTAAAAATCCAATAGCTCTATTGTTGGTGGTGCTGTGTTGTGGCACTTTTGCTTAAAACTGCACGTGGCATGGGTCTTCAAGTGGTGTGGCTGGCCTTCAGTGGGGACTTAGTGGTCCCTGCATAAGACTTTGACAGGAGGAAGCTGTCTTGTGGGGGGCCCTGCTCCCAACAGATCTTGATTATGCAGTTAGCAAAATGTCCTGACTTTCCTTAGAGTGCTCCCCTTCCCACTTCACACCTCTGCAGCCCACAGGTACGGGCTGCTGCTTCTGTGGTCTTGTCTCCAGGCTGGCACCATCCCTCCTGGATCCCAGAGGCCAAATCCCTGCTGCATGCTGTGCACTGCAACAGGGATTCTCTGATAAATAAGGCTTGGCCTTGGCTTATGACACTCCTGGGGCCATGGTCTTCTCCCGTGGGTGGAAGAAAGAGCTGTAGGAGTTAGGAGACCTAAACTGAAGGGCCAACTTGGTGACTGATTGGCTGTGGTACCTTCACCAAATTGCTCTTCCTTCCTGAGTCCCTCATCTGAAGAAGTTGGCTTTGGGATGTCCAGGTTCCCCTTAGCTTGCACATGATGACTGTGATGCGCGACTAATGATGGGTGTAAAACCTCAATGGACTGTTACCATTTTTCCTAGGGAAAATAGAATATTGGAGTATTGGAGTATTGATGCTTCAACCATAGACTGTAAGAGGGTCTTGTTGGGCCTCAGACCCCAGTTTATGGCCAACCATCTGCTCCACTCACAGGTAAGGAGACCCTTACCTCTCAGCCGTCAGTTTGTCTGGTTTGGGATTCTGTCTTGGATGGGGTTCTGAGAGGAGCCTATGGGACCTACTCCACCTGCCTGTAGGGAGGTGTCTGCATGTTCATTTCTCCCTCCAGACTACAAGCTCCTTGGGCAGGAATGAGACCTGGTTTATTAATGTCAGCTCCACAGGTCACACAGTACTTGGCACATTAGATGCGATCAGTAAAGATTTGTTAAATTGAAAGCTACATAGCAGTTTTTCATATTTGTGTGAAAGACTTAGAGGAGATCCCAAAGTAAGAAAGCCTACTGTTGGCAGGGGAAATTATTTAATTGCAAACAATGAACATTTATTTATGAGTACTTACTCTGTGTTGAGGCCTAAAATGACATGCATGATTTCTATTTTATGAAGGAATAACTACATCAAATCAATAGGCCAAACCAACTGCTTTTTATTGAGGAAATATATTGATTGCTTGTGACAGGTACTATGCTCTTCTGTACATTTACATTCTGATGTAATTTTCACTATAGCATTAGGCAGTTTATATTATTATCTCCATTTCATGGATGAATAAACTGAGCCTCAAATAGATGTAAACCCTTGCCTCAGCTACGTAGGTAGTAAGTGGCACTGTCTGACTCCAAAGCCTGTACTCTTTACAGTGTCAAATTTAGCTTGGAGCTTCCTGGAAATCAGGGCAAAAACCCAGATGGGTTACAGAGTTTTTTTTATAACAATTTGTCCTGGAAGGATCTATCTTTAGGCTTTTTACATCCAGCTTTTTGCTGTATGGATAGCAGCACCCTTTGCAGCACCGATAGCACTTCTGCTTGCGCCTTTGCTAATGTGGTTCAGAAATACAATGTCTGGCAGTCTAGAGTGTCACAAAGGCCACACTCAGGATTCTTTGAGGAGGGAGAGGATTACATGACCCTTAGACCTTCTTTCTCAAACAATTTATCCTAGACACACCTTTGATAGAACCTGGATGCCTGTGAGTACCAAACGGTACTTGCTAATGGTGCCCTAGGGTGTGGGTGCCCAGTGTGTCTAATTGAGGTATCAAGTGTACAGGTGGTCACCATCTTTCTTTTCAGTAGCCTCTGTGATCTTTGTCCTCAGTCAGTGCCCCCTTTCACCATCTTTCTTTTCAGTAGCCTCTGTGATCTTTGTCCTCAGTCAGTGCCCCCCTTCACCATCTTTCTTTTCAGTAGCCTCTGTGATCTTTGTCCTCAGTCAGTGGCCCCACAAGTGGTGACCACAATTAGAAGCAGCACCTTCAGAAAAGGACAATGATGAATGACAATTGAGGGTGCAGGAACTAGTAACCCATCTAATTAATCACGTTTGCTGAATGTTTAAGCTCTTCAAATCCTTTCCACATTGTCCATCTTATTTAATCCTGACAATATTCTCTTTAGCTTCCTGCAAAAGGCTCCTTGAGACAGGACCATCAGCTACGTTTTCCTTCACTTCTCCTGCTTCCTGCCCCAAGCGCCCTGTGCTCCAGCCATTTAGAGGCATGGGCAGGCTCCAGCATGTGCCACGTTCTTTCACACTCATGTCATTGCTCATACTGACTTCTTTCTCTGTCTGGAGTTCGCTCCTCACCTCTGTCCACCAGGTAAATCCCTGTCACCCTTGGGATCTAGGCAGGGTGCTTCCTTCTCCTTCAATCTTCTTCTGCCATCCTTGGCAGGGCAGCCTGCTCCTTGTGCATCCTCCCCTACAGCTCACTGGCCTGATTCATCCATGTCATCCTCTCCACTAGACTGTGAGCCCCTCAAGGGCAAGCAGCTTGTTTGGTTTATTGTTTGTTTCCCTAGTGCTGAGCACAGTGTCTGGAAATAGTATGTGTTTAATCAATATTTGTTGAGTCACTGAAACCTTGTGAAAGAGTTTTTGGAAGAGAGGAACAAGGACAAATAATTTGTTAAGTCATAACTCAGTGGCTGTTTCTCCCAGTGCCATCCTTTGAAATGGATTTGCTCTATCCACATGGCAAAGCTCTGGCATGAATGAGAGACCCTGGATGAAATGGGGACAATGTGGTCTCCTGGGAGGAGAAGGGGGCCTGGAGAGAAGGTTGGGAATAGGAGGGAGACTTGCTTTTCACTAGGTGCCCTTTTCACATTTTGAATTTTGTACATGTTCCATGCATTACTTATCCAAAAATGAAAATAAAACAAGATAAAAATCACTACCTGAAGAGGAGGTTCAGTGTGATCGTTACTTGGCTTTTGGCCTTGAGTCAGACCTATATTCATTTCCTGTTCCTTTCTAGCTATAGGAACTTTAGCAAATTTCTCAGCGTGCCTAAGCCTGAATTTTTTTGTCTTAACATAAATATAGTAAACAGCACCCATTTAATAAGGTAAAACAAAAAGCAGCCCCTTGGTGTCCTCCTGTTTAACATAAACAACGTCAGAAAACATCAACATCAGACAAAGCCACTCTGACCACAATTAAGACATAAGCGAGATCACCTCATAATCATGCCTAACTACAAACAAAAGAAGGATATGATCCAAGCCAGGAAAATGACGAAGCACCCCTGTGCTGGCTGATGTAAGTGACTGCTGTGTGTTTACCAAGTACATCTTTAATCTCCTTCTGTTCATCCCACCTTCTAGGTAAGAATGATCAAGTTAATCAATTAGAGAACTACCCCTGCTCTTCCTATAAGCATCCAATCCAGAGCCACGCCCTCCCTTCTTGGACCTTCCCTGAAATCTATCACAAGCCCAAATCCTATTTTAAATCCTCTCTAACATTCTCTTACTGAGAGGCCCCATAGCTCCCCATGGCCTATGTTCTCCCTGGTTGCAGTGAGTCAGTAAGTCCTCCTTTGTTCACTACAGCGGTGTTCTTGGTAGTTTTGGATGCAAGGCATTGACAGGATATTGTAAAGATTAAATGAGGTAAAGCATATAAAGCACTTAGGACATGGTTGAGCGTGTGATAATCACTCAGCATTTGCTAGATTACCATCATCATTATACTTATTATAATTATCAACTCTCTCCCTCTTCTGCCCCTCCTTTTTGGAATTAACTAGGATCAGACATTAGCAAAAATGGGATTTGATCCCTGACTTCTTGAGTCTTATCTCTGAAATCTTTCAATTGCATCATGGAAGTTAATACTTCCACACAAATAGAAAAATAAGATGTATTAGGGTTCTACAGAGAACAGACCAATTGGATATATAGATAAGTAGATAGATACAGATACAGATTTCGAGAGGAGATTTATTATGCACAAGTTATTATGGAGGCCAAGAAGTCCCACACTATGCCATCCGCAGGCTGGAGAGCCAGGAAAGCCAGCTGTGTAATTCAGTCCAAGCCAGAAAACCTGAGAACCAGAAAGGCTGATGGTGTAACTCTCAGTCTGGGACTGAAGGCCTGAAAACTGGGAGTGGGAGATGCTGGTGTAAATCCCTGAGTCTGAAGGCCTGAAAACCAGGAGCTTTAATGTCTAAGGGCAGGAGAAGATGTGAATGACCCAGCTCAAGAAAAGTGACAGAATTTGTCCTTTGTCCAACCTTGTGTTTGATCTGGGCCCTCAGTGGATTAGATGATGCCCAGTCACACGGGTGAGGGCCACCTCCTGTGCTCAGTCTACTGACTCAAATGCTAATCTCTTCTGGAAAGAGCCTCATAGCCGCATCCAGAAATAACGTTTTACCAGCTATCTGGGCACCCTGTAGCTCAGTCAAGTTGACACCTAAAATTAACCATCACAGAATCCCAAGGAATCTGAGCTAAGTGGTCATTGTTAATACTGGATAATGATACAATATCCTGGGGAGACTGGAAGTATATTTGGGGAATATTATGAACCTTTGTGGGTCGCTGCAGCTGAAACAATCCAAGTGAGTTCAAAGACTCAGGACAAATCAGCACAGCTGCTTAAAGGATTGGAACCCAGGCTTAGACAGGATACTTGTTCTACCCATCAGAAATGGTCAGGGGTGACCTTCAGGGGATGGACTCATCCCCAGGCAGAAATGACTCATGCCAGGAAACCCTTCCTGGAGGCAGAGAATGGGGCATAATACCAAAGAATTCTTTTCTAGATTTGCTTGGCTGCCATGAAAAATAGTTTTAGCTCCTGTACTTAACCTCCTTTTTCTCACTCTCATTTTGGACCTAGAAATAAGAAGACAGTTATTGTTTGTGTTCAGGAATAATTTGGACTTTTTAGCATGTGCAAATGCTAATGTGCTAAAGTGTGTGAAAAGGCGGGGGATACAAAATACTAATGCTGAATGATTAAAGCTAAGTAAAAGTTATATAGAGAAAAAAGACAGGAAGAACAACTCCAAAATGTAAATACTGGTTGCCTCTGTGTGGTGGGATGGTGGGTGATTGTCCTACTTTTTTGTATGTTCTAAAAATTCATGTATGGCTTTTATGATGGAAAAAATGAATGATAATGCAAAATGTTTAGTTTTGCATTGCACTGACAGATGTAAGTTTAAGGATCAGAATGGATTGCAGGCCTGAAGATGATGTTAGCAAAGATTTACATTAGGACTAGAGGCATTGGCTGGCAGAGGACCCATGAAAGCAGATCAGAGGCTCCCAGAGCTCCCCTGTTCCTCTTCAGAGAAGAGAGAAAGCTGCTAGGTCTCTGCCATTCATATATAAGTAGCACATTAAGCACCCAATGGCACTAATCTCATGGAGAGAAGCTTGCAGACCAATGTGTTTTACATACCCACTGACTTCAGGCCCAGGGCCCAGTGCAGTGCTATCCTGCTCTGTTGAAGGATTTCTGGTTGCCAGCCTCTGAAATTGTGTGTTTAGGGAAATGCAAGATGCTTGGTTCAGTCAAACTGTGGTATGTAAGCTTGGAGAAATGAGAGATGAGTCTGGGTGGGGAAATTCAGAGAATAGAGGGCCATCAGGACGTGCCTGGGAGGTTGGACTTGGCTCTGTGTGTGACACAACATGTCTTCTTGGAGGTTCAATTGATTTTATTTATTTTTGGGTGGGAGTGAGGGATAGGGAGAAACCCAATAATTTAATTGCTAAGTATTATATACCATTATTTTTATATTAAACAAACACAGGTACTTTAGGAACTAAAATGTGAAATCTGAATGAATTATTAAAAGATAAAACAGTAGACTACATAGAATTTGTGTCTGCAGCAGGCTGCATCATGGTACATCTTCAAATCCACAGAGACTCACTCTCCTCAGCTAATTTGACGTACTGTTTTTCACCAGAAACTGAATCTAGGGAGCAGAGCATGGGAATTTGAGATAGTGAATTGGGGGCCAATCTCCCAACACTTTTTGAAAAAGAGGCTGTGGAAAGGAAAGACTGAGGAAATAACCTGCCATAATTTTTAAAAAGCAATTAATGTGCATATAAAATTTGAAAGAACCACATTAGGACCAGGGAATGGTCTTTTTACCATTTTAAAGGGACATGAAATAGACCTCCTCTGTGGGCTACAAGGTGGAGAAATGAATGGCACAGTTGCTAGATCATCTCAGCCTTCTCTCTGTCGGATCACTCACCAATCTGAGGGCATCATTCATTAATTCATTCCACAAATACATCACATCCTTACCATGTGGAAAACCCTCTACTGGACATCATAACTGCAAAGGAGAACAATTTCCTGCACTCCTGGGGCCTACAGTTTCCAGATGCTGTGGAGCCAGGAACTGAAGACTTCCTGTGGTTTCTGGAAAGTGTACTGGGGCCCCTTGTGCCACTGCACTCAGATTCTTGTTCAGCTCAACTAATGTCACTGGTTGGCTTTGGGCATTTGATTGGTTAACCTTTTCCTGCACAGGTGCAGGTGTCATTTTTCTGCACAATTACCAGCTTGTTTAGGGGTTGGGGCTCTGCTATTGATGGAAGAGACATGTTAGTTAAATATTCAGTTTGAGGGTCTGGCTGTATTTGTGACTCTTCACTCGTCTGTACCATTTAGATACTACCTACCACCACTGGCCCGGCTCTTCTCAGCAGTGCTGTGGGGTGTGCCAATGCTCATGCAAGGCCTTTATCTTCCACAGCACGTTCTCTTGGGTTAAGTAGATAATATAAATAATATAAATAATGATCTGAAAATATTATTATGATAACCATCGTACCACTATAATTTTTTTTCTCAGCTGTGAAGCTAATAAAACAAGATTAAGAGGTGTCTTTGATTGAGGATCCTGAGGAAAATCTGCCATGAAGTTGAACAAAGCAATTGCCAGGGGGATTTGCACTCAGCCGTCACACAGCTGGTCAGGGGGATCACAGTGCTAAGTGGGGTGTGCAGCACGTCCCGGTGGTGTGTGCTCCTGGGCACCGCCTGCAGGATGACCCAGGAGCTGGGATTGTGCCTTGTGGTTTGGGTACAGAATCATCCCATGTTCTAAGTAAACTTCAGTTAGTGAGGCGTGCAGGGCCACCTTTCGTACATGAGACGGTGTCCTCACCAACCACCCTTTCTCCAAGGAACAGGGGCTCTGGTGGGTCCTGAAGAGGAGAAGGTGAATGGCACCGTCCCTAGGAATAGTGGGCTGAGGATGCTGCTCTTTGCCCCGGAGATCTTCTTTCCACTTGCTCACAGCCCACCCAGAGGTAACAGTCTTGGAGGGCAGCTGTGTGTCAGCCCTTCTTCCATGCCCTGTACCTATACTAGCTCACTTAGTCCTCATGAAAACCCAAGGAGGCAGGTGCTATTTTAATCACCTTCTTACAGTTAAAGAAAGGGAGGCACAGAGAGGTGAAGTAACTTACCCAGAGTCACATAGATCTTGAGTGGTCAGAAACCTGAGAATTAAATGCAGAGCCTGCTCTCAAAATTGTGACAATGAAGTAGCTGTCAATGTGCTTTCATTTTGACCTTTTGTTTTTTGAGGAATGTGTCATTTTCCTGCACAATTGCCAGCTTGTTTGGGGGTTGGGGCTCTACTATTAATGGAAAAGACATGTTAGTTAAACATTCTGTCTGTTTATCTATCTGTCATCTATCTGTCTGATCATCTGTCTAATCATTTATTCAGAGTATACTGAGTGGGCAGGCTCATGTCAGGTAGTGGGAAACCATAGCCTTTGGGATCAGAGACACCTGAATTTACAGCCCAATTTCCATTAGGTGACCTTAAATAAACCAATCTCCATGAACCATAGTTTCCTAATATAAGAAATGGAGACTAAAATACCGATTTTTGATTTTATTTTTTAATTAATTAATTAATTTTAAAATGGACAATAACATTGTATATATTTATGGCATACAACATGATTTATTTCTTTTTCTCTTTTTTTTTTGAGATGGAGTTTTACTCTTGTTGCCCAGGTTGGAGTACAATGATGTGATCTCGGCTCACTGCAACCTCCATGCCTCCCGGGTTCAAGAGATTCTCCTGCCTCAGCCTCCCGAGTAGCTGGGATTACAGGCACCTGCCACCACACCTGGCTGATTTTTTGTATTTTTAGTAGAGATGGGGTTTCACCATGGCGGCCAGGCTGGTCTCAAACTCCTGACCTCAGGTGATCCATCCTCTTTGGCCTCCCAAAGTGCTGGGAAAACAGGCGTGAGCCACCATGTCCGGCCACAATATGATGTTTTGATATATGCACGATACCTACTTTCATTGCAGGGATATTATGGAATGAGAAATAATAGTCTTAACATATCTAGTGCAGAGTGAATGCCTGATGAATGTTAACTCTGTGTGGAGGAGAGTACAGAAAAAGTAGACAGCTTACTCTCTGCTCTCACTGCTTATGTTTGAGTACAATTTGCCATCTACTGCACTTACCAAAGCATAATAAACATGAGTCACCTACTGTCCTGACTGTTATTACAGAAAGGGCAGTGAACATAAAAGGACAACAGAGGAGCACCCTTGAGCTCTGCTGCTCCTGGGGAATGGGTCTCACACCATGAATATGTTAGTCAGGCTGGGCTAGGTTGTGATATAGTAACAAGCAATTCCCAAATCGCCAAGGCTTAACATAATAAGCCTTTATTTACCTCCCACTTTGCATGTGCAATATGTCTGATAGAAGGCCCTGCTCCACACAGTCTCCTGAGGATCCAGGCTGATGGAGATTCCACCATCATACAGCTGCACCATCTAAGATACACGGGCTTCTTGCTAGAATGCTTGGGGTAGGAGAACGCTGGAGGGTCTTGCATCAGGGGTTAAATGCTTTAGGCTGGAAGCAACACAGGTCACTTCAGCTCACATCTTGCAAGCTTGCATGGTCTTGCCTAACTGTAAATCCTTCCTCTTGCCTAGAGGGAGAAGAGAAGTGGATTTTGGTGATTACTCCAAGATCCTCCTCAGGTATAATCCTGTTTCTGTTTGGTTGGCCATGTCTTTGCAGCTCAAATCCCAATGAGAAAGGGCTGTCTTTCTGCTAAAAAATATTTAAAACTCTTCTTTTTTTCACTGTAAAGAGGCAGAGAGTCCCAGATAGGCCCATGACACAAAGCACTCAATTCAAACCGTAGAAAGTCTTTCGGTTGGGGCTTCTCTGGGTTCAGGTGTTGAGAGAGGGTTGGGCCAAGGGAGCAGTCTGCCCCACCTTCTTACAGGGGATGGCTTTAGCCAGGCTGCTCTGGCTTCTTTCAGTACAAGAGTATTGGTTTGTTCAATAACGGAAGATTGGAGGTTAGGGCTTTAGTGGTTAGAAAACAAAGAACACCTGGATTGTCTTGTGGGCCCAGCGCCATTGCATGGATACATTCGGCCTCCGACAAGATTTTGAAGACATGAACATTGTCATAAATATTACTTGCAAAAGTAAGGAGCGCCCCAAGCAGTCCACATTTTCTTTGAGAACTAATCATAATGGTATTAGTCATGGTGATTTTGAAGCTTTTGGGGGATGTACTTTTGCATTGAGCTGTCTCTCCTTTGGGGCCCACATGCCTGCTGCTCTGATGGAAGAAGATGGGAATGATATTCCTTTCAGCTGCAGTTTCCTCACCAGTAAAATGAGGATAATGATAACCCTGATCTGACAGGGTTGTCATAGCGTTAAATGAAATAACACTTGTGAAGAGACCCAGTGCTACACCCAGTCCTGGCTGATTAAATGCCAGGTATTATTTGGTGTTTCTTGCATTTACTCTCCCTTGGAGTTGGGGCTTCAATTTATGCTCCAGTATACCATCTGCCACCTGTCCTGGGATGCTGGGAGTTAGATAGGAAAATGATACTCTTCTGGCCGGGCGGCTCATGCCTGTATTCCCAGCACTTTGGGAGGCCGAGGTGGGTGGATCACCTAAGGTCAGGAGTTCGAGACCAGCCGGACAAACATGGTGAAACCCCATGTCTATTAAAAAATTAGCTGGGCATGGTGGCACATACCTGTAATCCCAGCTACTAGGGAGGCTGAGGCAGATGAATTGCTTGAACCTGGGAGCTGGAGGTTGCAATAAGCCGAGAGGGTGCCACTGCACTCCATCCTGGGCAACAGTGAGACTCCGTCTCAAAAAAAAAAAAAAAAAAAAAAAGGGAAAAGAAAATGATGCTCTTCCCACCCCAATCCCCCTGACTCAGACTCACTTTCTGCACCACCGAGAGCCAGTATCTTGAGCTGGTTCTCATCTTGTAACTCCCCTCTCGTCCTCCAAAAATCCTGACCATTTTTTTCCTGCCACTGTTATCAGAACCACTTAAGCCATCTCTCTTCCACCCACACCGTCAGCGAGGGGATTGGGAAGTCCAGTTCACGGGACGGGAGAGAACATGTTGGAGAGTGACAGTCACTGCCCACAGAGCCAGCAAGTCATGCCGGAGGTGGAAAACTAGAAAAGAGGCAGGAAAGGGGGCAGAAAATGAGTTTCCACCAGGAAGTAGTTTCATTCTGAAGAATTTAACAAATTTACAAAACAGATTCTGTTGAAATGCAGAAGTAAGTCAGCACTTGGCTGGCCACCCAGGCCCTGTGAGGGAGAGATAACACAGGCATTTATCTAAAGACCCTTTTACACACGCACACAGGACGAATTTTTCTAGCTAATTAGAAATGTAGTTTTACCACCAGCACTTCCCATCTCTTATCAATCTCTGTGGCCGACAACCACTTGATGGAGGTAAATTTTTCAGTTTTGATGGTGTTTGGGTAATTCATGGGCCTCAAAATCAGAAAGTTATTGGGATAGAAAAGACCTTGACAAGTCATTTAGTCAGTAGCCTGCCTTTGCCCACAGGCTGTTCCTGGGGGCACATATATGCCACATTGTAATAATGACATCAATCTTTCCATTGACTCATTTATTCAACAATGTGTTGAGCAATAATAAAAATAAATAAATTTATTAAGTATTTACCTATACACCAGATACCATGCTATGTGCTCTCCATTAATTTTCTCATTTTATAATAATAACTCCCCGAGGGATAAACTTTCACTATTCTTTTATATAGATGAGGCGTTGGAAGGTTGAGCTCTAGCTGTGAATAGGACACAGCCCTGCCCTCAAAGAACTTGCAACCAGATAAACAGTGGGATAAGCAAGGCAGCAGTGAGACTGTGTTATGGAGCTATTAGGAGGGCAACTTAGCCCAGTGTCGGGAAGTCAAGGCAGGCTTCCTGCAAGAGGTGATATTTGGACTGAGACCTGAGTTGTTAGCCATGCAAAAGCCCTGCCCTTCTTCCCTTATAGGGTGTGGCTTCAACCAGACTTTTCTGGCTTATACTGGTATGCTGCACCAATAATGGTTGGTGCACTAATGGCAAATTGGAGGTTAAGGCTTTAGAGGTTAGAAAACCAGGAGCACCTGGATCATTTCACAGCCCACCTCAGTACATCAGTTAGCAGTCCTGGAGTTTGTTCTCTGAGTACAGTAGGAGCAAACACCAGGAGGACGTGGTGCCTTCGGTGGAGCACTGAAGGAGTACCTGGCTCAGAGTGGGTGGGAGCAAGTGGAGTGAGGGAAGCAGAGGGTGGGAGAGAGGCAGGCCCAGGTTCTGAAAAACCTTAGAAGCCTAGTTAAAAGGTTGGACTCTATTCTGAAGGTAGCTGGGGTCCACGGAAGGGTTTTCAACATAATAGAGGTGTCGGCTTTGCATTTCGGAAACATCGCTTTGGCTGCAATAAGGAGAGTGGATTGAATAGGGAAAGCTGAGAGTCAGGGAGGCTGAATTAGGAGGCCAGTCCATGATGCAGGCAGATGGAAGATGATGGAGGTCTGTGAGATTGAGAAGTGATGACTCAGGGAGGTATTGACGGTGAGGGGCTGACCAGGGGAGGTGAGTGGACAGGAGTGAAGGGCCACCCAGGTTTCTGGCTTGGATTCCCGCGTAAATGGTGGTGGCATCTGTTAGGGTAAAAAAACAGCACCTTGTAGCTGGCATATTAAGTAAGCAGAAATAATGGGGTATAATAGTGAAAGGAACTTTATTTTTCTCCCACTGTTCCTTTCAGTCTGCTAAGTGGAGATGGAAATTGGGTGGGTCTCATGGCTTTTGTGGTCTCTTAGGTGACACCAGGCTCTTAGTCACTTTAAGTCACAAAACCTGCCTCAATTAGCTAGAGTATCCAGGCCAGTATGGGGATGAGTGCTCCCCTCCTCATTCAAGGGTGAGGTCTCCCCTCCACCCAGCTGGGGCTGGTGGCAGGTAGAATATTTGCTTTTCGGGAATGGGTATGGTCAGTGCCTCTCTGTCCCTAGCTCACATCCTCACCCACTCTCTGGCTGCTGTGTGTGATCCCACCAGCATAGAAGTGGGGGTGGAGGTGAGGGATAAGGCATGAGGAAGTCCATAGTCCACTAATGCTGGAGGGAGATGGCTCTGCCCTCTCTCAGCCAGGCAGACCATCTCTTATGGGCACTTTTATGAATTCGCTGGTGGCTTCCCCGGGCTCCTCTTTCATGGGAAATGCTTCTCTTTCAAGAGGATGCTCCCAGTCAGTCTCTTCTCAGCCTCTGCTTCTGCCTGTCCAGCCTTCTGTGTCTCCATGCTGAGGCCCCTCCTTGGCAGAACCCATTTTGGGACAACCCTGGGTCAACATTTCTATCATGATTCAACTCTGGCTCACAGGCTTAATTCCCAGACATGGGGCTGAACTCTGGACCACAGTCAGTTTTGGCTTTCCAGGGCCAAGTCAGGCTGAATTTGTGGTGTACTCCATCATAAGGAGCATACATCAAAGCCTCTCCTCTGTTGGGATTAAAGGGCAACACCTGTCCATCCCTCCTCTATGTGGGTGGGATGGGACTCCCAGCTCCCGGTGACTGTATCTAATGAACTATTCATTCAAAAAGAAATCTCTTAATGTGCACTTGTTGGTTCTTTCATATCTTCATTGACAACTGGTCATTTAACTGGTTTCATCACCAAGTTTGAAGTTTTTGGATCTGGTATCTACTATAGGTCGACATCTCCTTTGAAGCTTTTAATGTAATGCTCTTTTCATTATACTTTCAATCTTTCCCATCCACCTTTTCTATTTGGGGCTTATTCCTGCGCTGTGAGGTGGATAGGAAGGCATTTTTGTCTCCATATTTCAGATGAGCAGCTGGAGGAACAAGGAGATTCAGTGATTGAATATGGTTCTTCAGAGTTATTTAACAAAGGGGTGTGGAACTGAGCCATGAGGGCCAGGCTCAGCAGCGTTGGCTGCCTCCGGACAGGGGCCATTGCCATGACCCTACTGAGCAGTGCTCTACTGTGAGCCTTTTTGGAGGGCGTCTCAGGGTACTGATGTCACCCAGGCTGGGGCTGACCTAAAGGCAGATTTGAAACAAGAGCTCCCCCAGGCTCTGACATGTGTCTTCAGCTAGGAAAAGTCAGGAGGGCAGCATGGAGAGTGAGGAAAGTCCTTTTCCCTCAGTTTTTGCCCCAGTTTTCTCATCTGTTAAACAAGAGTAACAATATCTTTCTCATAGTGTTGTCACAAGGACTATGTCAGCTAATATCTATTAAATTCCAGCCTACTGCTTGCCATAGAGCAACTGATAAATAGTAAACACTGTCCTTACCTTAAGCCGAGACTGTGGTTACTAAAAGAGGTGAACGTGGACCCCCATGAAGGAGGGGGTCAAAGAAGGAGAGGATTAGTGGGATCTTCTATCAGAACTGGAAGCAAAAGGCAGAAGTCTCAAGTCCCCAGCTCTCTGTTGGTGGCTTTTGTGATCTGTCTTCTTTTCATATTTAGTGCTCTGGTTTGTTTTTGGGAATAGCCAGGGAACCAGGAGGAGACCTACAGGGTGATCTCTGCATGCCTGGGGGATGACAACCCCAGGGGCAGAGTGGATGGAGGCAGTGACAAAGACCAAAAGGAGAAAATAGGCCAAGTTTCTTGGTCCCCATCAAAAGAAGACAGCTGAGGATACCGCCCCGAGAAGAGGGAAACCCTGAAGGCTGAGAAGCAGAAACCCTGTGTGCAAGGGGGCACTGCCCCAGGGCCTGACTTGAGCATGAAATTCCTTTTTCATTGGAATCCCGTCACTGCTGGGTTTACCTGAACTGATAGGATTGGGGTCTTGTCCCAGCAGAGTGTTGTAGGTGTGCATGTGTGTGCTCACGTGTGTGCACACATGCTTAGCATAAGACAGGTGGGAAGAGGTGAAGAAGCACAAAATGTAACAATCCTTTATTTTAGCTGCAATGCTTTCTGCTTGTATTTTCTCTTCTAAAAATGATGTTTTTGTTAGAAATAGCAATGGAGCAATCCCAATTAATGGGAAAACACCATTGGGACTTTTTCTCATGGAAACTTTTTGAGCTGACTAGTTACTATGTTTGTATTAGCAAAATCCATATGGCTCCTGTGTAAGGAAATGGGTGGATTTGTGTGCTGAGGTGAGGGTGGGGGATCATCTTACGGCAGGCTCCACCCTACAAAGTGTGTCAAGGCTTTGTTTTCGTACCCAGTAGGGCTGGTAGAATTGATTGATTGACTGATGGTGCCTGTGATTAGGTCTCCAACTTAAGCATGTATCAGTATCACCTGGAGGGGTTGTTCACACACAGATTGCTGGGCCCCAGGCCCAGGGTTTCTGACTCAGTAGGTCTGGAATTGGGCCAGATAATTTTCTAAGCCATACTAATCTCACTGGTTCGAGGATTGCACTTTGAGAATCCCTGGGCCTGTGGATAATTATAATAAAACCCAGTGACATTTCTTTTAGGCCCCCAGTTTACTGTTAGAGGTTTAGGGTTTTACACCGTTAAAAGGAAAACTACATCAGCTTTATTAACCCGGGCAAGTTCCAGAAACCACAAAGCAAAGCTCAGGGCCACCCTAGATTAGAGAATATAGTCTAGGGTTGAGCAAAGTGTAGCTCCCACATCCCATCTGAATCTGGCCTTTCAGTAAATGGGGTGGGACCGAGCTGGGATTTGGATGCAGGCAGAGACCGTGAGTTTAACCACTAGGCGGTGTTGTCTAATAGCGAGTGCTAATCTGGTTGTGGAGTCCAGACTCTCTGTGAGCCATGCCAGGCACCCAGAGGCAGAATTGCAGAACCCTAAAGGCAGGTTCCTGTCTCACCCTCCACATTTATCCTCAGAGTGGCCCTTCTAGTGCTTCCTCCTGCCAGGTATGCATGCATCTGGGCTTACCTTCTACATGTGCACCTGACCGTCACCCTGCTCTTCCCCTGGGCCTGCAGCTGGGAGAGGAGGTGGACTACCCCTTCCTTTTATCTGATCTTCTTGCCCATCGGCTGGTTGGATCAGTATCCTTGGGGTCTGCAGAGCAAACACAGCTGCCTCTCTCCTCCCATGTCTCTCTGGCTCGGACACTTACTGGTCACACATCTTTTGCTGTCAGGTGACATGATGGAGTTCAACCTTGATTTCCTCATCTGTGAAATGGGAATAATAATAATGCCATCTGCTGAAGGTGCTGTGAGAACTAAATCAGTAACTGTGTGTGAAGCCCTTAGACAAATGCCCAACAAGGAGTACATTTGGGAAAAGGCCCATGTCTTTATGATTACTCTTCTAATGGAGAAGAGCAAATTGAGGTGAGGAGAGAGAGTGCTTCCCCACATGGGAAGAGGGGCCAGAAACTGCCTTCTTTATGGATAAGATTGTGAGTTGAGGGCAAAGTCCCCTCCTTCCCATCAATGTTAGCATGGTAGTGATTATTAGGTCTAAATAACATATTTATTGGCACCTACAACAGCATCTCTTATATATACACACTCAGTGAACACACATGGTTATGATAAATGAGATATTCAAAGTGTCTTCACATCTACTGTCACATCAGATCCTCGTGGCAAGCCTGGCTGATGTGTTGGGTGGATATTATGAGGCCGTTTTCTTGTGCAACTTGTAAATGAACCCATGTCGGAAAAAAGAAGGAGAATCCTTCATCTATTGTCTACTACACAGCATTCACCATGCTAGCTGTGGCTTTTTAATTATCGCAATACCACCATTAGGTGGATACTGCTGTTCTCATGTTACAGCAGATGCAATGACATCTCAAAGAGGTTAAGTGACTTGCCTATAGTCACATAGCTGATAAGTGATGGGGTCAGAGTTTGAACCCAGCCCCATTGCCTGTATAGCCAAGGCTGTTCCCCAAGCAGGTGTTGCCCTGTAGGACAGTAGCAACCAATGAGGTCTGCAAATGATAGTGACAATTTTATCCTTGGAGTAAGTGCACCACTTTCTCATGTTACCTTTATGAGTGGAATAGCCCTCAATTTAATGGTTTCTGGTTGGGATCTCAAAAAGTCTTTCACATGATTTTGGGTCTGGCCTCATACATATACTTGAAAGTCTCTGTTATGGGCAAACATCTGGAGACATAAAATGATGCTCGATTTACTTAAAAATTACTGAGCCGGCTACTGGCAGCTGTAGACTTGAACTCAGTCTCCCTGAGGCTGGACCAGGCACTCTTTGGGCCACACTGTCGTATAGGAAGTAGTCAGGGTGTTCTGTTCTTTCCTGCATTCCCAGATTCAGGGTGGGTGCAGCGTTTGGATGCACTGGTAATATTTTCATGCTGTTTCTGCTAAAGGTCAAATTGACAATGCTGCTCTGGCCATTTCTGGAGTCTCTGGTGAGTTATTTATGCTTTCATTAGCATGTCAATGTACACAGCACACATACCATTTACACACGCAGAGATGAGATCTATGCATTTGAAGAATGTTTATGGCCATAGCCTCTCTGTTATTTTACAAAAAACTCCAGGAAATATGGTGTTTTTCTCAGAATGCCAATATAAAAGTTGATATAAAGATTGGTGATGTGTAAGCTTTGACATTACATAAATATATGTAGGCGTTGTAAAAGTTAACAACCGTTTTATTTATAATTATACTGCAGATTGATATTTTTATATCCATATTGTCGATGGTAACCTTTCTATCTTCACTTCAGTCTGGGCCCAAGAATGTTTATATTAGACTTTTATGTCTGTGTTTCCTTCTGTAACATCAGGGCACATGCTGGCTTTCTTCAGTCACAGGAGTATTAGTGTCACCCATCCATCCTCCCAGGAAAAAAATTCTTGTCCCATTGGTCTCGTAATTCATGGTATTATGGTGCACAGTTTGATATCCCTTCATTGCCATGTAACTACAAACTGTGCTTTCTCCTTCCCCTACATTCTCATCATAATATTTCTGGATTGCCACATCTGTCTTGCAAGATAGAAAAGTTATATTTGGTTGAAATTTGAGCCACTGGATTGAGAAACGCTTGTTATCTGACTCCTCCAGGTTTACAAGAATGTGGATCCAAACTCTCCTTCTTGCATACGGATGAGGAAGATAGCACGTTTTTATCCTCCGCTTAGCTCTGCTCTAAGGGGGAAAAATGCCCTGTCTTAAATATTTGATCCTCTTTACAAAAGATTCCCTACTGAACAGACAGCTATAGTATTTTTAACTGGCGAAAACCACTCTGGTGTCACTTTTAAAGTAGAAAAGGAAAAGCAATATTCACACAATATGGAGAACTATTGACCCCAGAATAGTGCCATTTTCTTTCTTGATGGGTTCAAATTAAGCAAAACCTAGACATTTTGCTCCACGTAGAGGCATCTCAGTGCAGGCCAGCTTGTAGATTCTGCACCAGGCTCTGCAGGTTACTAGCGATATAACCTCCCTGAGCCTCAGGTTCCTTGTCAGTCAAAGATAGCATTGAAAGTCACTCCCAGTCTAGCCCATAAGATCATGCATGCCAAAATTTGGTACAGGTGCAATGCATGCTTGTTTTTTCACAAAAAAGGGGATCAACTGACTGATATTTATTTGACTAAATTCAATCACTTGGTCACTCATTCAACACATTTAATTTGTGAAACTAAGACTTAAAGCTCTGTCTAAACAATGCTGTCAGATGCAAGCACGTGGTAAACCCATGCTGGTTGTGGTGGGTGCAATGTTTCTGATGTGTGGGCTTAATTTTCATGCCACACCTTGAACTAGCCAAAGGTTTTCCGTTAGAGAGGTTGGGTGGGCCTTCTGGGACATGGAGATATTCCACCATCTCCTGACTTGAATGAGAACAATGGAGCCCTGGAGGGGGTGTCTGACTCAGAGGTCCTCTTTGTTTTTCTCCCACCTGCACTTCTTACGGTAGTGTTAGTGCTGGGGGAAATAACCACTCTTTCAGGACACAGGCACACACATTTACTTGAGCTAACTATGAGTCAGGCACTTTGTATACACTCATGAATATTTCATGGTATTTTCTCCACATGTCAGATAATCATCAGGGATTAGAACCATGACAGAGAGCAGGGCAAAGTCCCTGACCCAAGGAACTTGCAGGGTAGTGGCATCTCCTGACAAGCCCTCCAGGAAGTATTAATATCTCTATTTTCCCAACGAGAAGAATGAGGTTTGGATTTGTAAAGGGGCCTAGCCTAATACTGATGTCACCTGGAAAGTGTGTGGAAGAACCAGACTCTAGTCCCAAAGTCCCTCCACTTTCCCCTATATTCTGCTCCTTTCCCAACCTGTGCTGGGCTGGTGCTGAGTCAAACAGCTTGTGATAACCATTCAAGTGATAACCAAACCAACAAGCAAAGTGGTGGGATGCCTCTGAGCCCAAGGGGACACCACTAGAAGAGTGAGCTAGTGACCAGATGCTAGCTGTGGGCTGGAGGGAGTGAAGGCCAGGTAACCGTTGTGGTCCTGGAAGAAGGTGGTGCAGGTGGACTGTCCTCGATGTGGCCACAGATGACATAGGCATTAATTATTTCTTGCATTTAACCTCAGTGCATAAGGGTGGGGTCCAAGTGTTTGGGTGAGAGTTCAACCAAGGAGGTAGGGCTCACCCACTGAAAGTCATCCAGGTCTTTCATTCATGGGCCATCTGATGAAAGAAGTGAGACATGTTTTTAAAAAATTGTTTATATTGCAGCAAGCATTTGAGCTGTCTGAAGGAAATGATTGGTCTGACTTCTATCTACTTCTCTGCATCATTGTTTGCCAAACATCTACATTCGTACCCTGGGGCAGCCATTGATAATCATTCCAAAATCTTGCCCTGTTTTATGCGTCTTGGCTTATAGACTTGCACCTTTTACTTTGGTCTGCATCTGTGACGGTTAATTTTATGTGTCAACTTGACTGGGCTGGAGGATGCCCAGATATTTTGTTAAAGATTATTCTGGGTTTGTATGTGAAAGTGTTTCTGGATGAGATTAGCATTTGAATGGGTGGGCTCAGTAAAGTAGATTGCTCTCTCCAACATGGGTGAGCATCATACAATTCCTTGGGGGCCTGAATAGAGCAAAAGGTGTAGGAAAGAGGAATTTGCTTCTTTTTATTCTGCCTCATTGCTTGAACAATGAAATGGTCTGAATATTTTCTCTCCCAAATTCATATGCCAAAACCCTAAATCCCAATGTGGTAGTATTTGGAGGTAGGGCCTTTGGGAGGTAGTTATATCATGAGATTGAAGTCCTTATAGATGAAATTAGTGCCCTTATAAGAAGGAGCCAGGTTGGGTGCAGTGGCTCACACCTGTAATCCCAGCACTTTGGGAGGCTGAGGTGGGCAGATCACAAGGTCAGGAGTTCGAGACCAGCCTGGCCAACATGGCGAAACCCCATCTCTACTAAAAATACAAAATTTAGCAGGCATGATGGCACGCACCTGTAATCCCAGCTACTTGGGAGGCTGAGGCAGGATAATTGCTTGAATATGGGAGTCGGAGTTTGCAGTGAGCTGAGATCATGCCACTGCACTCCAGCCTGGATGACAGAGCAAGACTCCATCTCAAAAAAAGAAACAAGAAGAGGAAGAAGAAGAAGAAGAAGAGGAAGAGGAAGAAGAAGAAAAAAGAAGAAAGAAGAAAGAAGAAAGAAGAAGCCAGAGAGATGTCAGAGAGCTAGCTAGCTCTCTTTCTGCCATAGCAAGAGGTCAGCCATCTGCAATCCAGAAGAGAGACCTCACTAGAACCCAGCTATGCTGGCAACATGATCTCAAACTTCCAACCTCCAACATGATCTCAAACTTCCAACCTCCATAACTGTTGTTTATGCCACTCAGTCTATGGTAATTTATTACGGCAACCTGAGCTGACTAAGAGTTCCCCAACTCAGCTCACTCGATCTCCACAATGCTTCTTCTGACGGCCTTCATCATGTGTGGAGAGCTATCCTCTGTGCTACCACAGCCCTTGTGCCCTCCAGCCCCCATCACGGCACCAATGGTGTTGCACCATCTGTCTTTGCATCTAACTTGTCTGTTTTATTAGATTGTGAACACCTCATGTACAGGAACAATTGATTTATTTTCTGTTTCCGTAGCACCTACCACAGTATCTGGCACGTGGCATCAGGTGCTCCAGAAATGTCTGCTGAATGGGAATAAATGAATGAGTGGATGGTCACTAGTGGATAAAAAGAAGCATTTTTAGGTCTCTGCCAACACCTCATAGTGGCATTGCTTGGACATGACATTTTGGAAGCCTAGGTAACAGAAGAGTTCCGGAGGCCCTTTCTATTTAGACATCTGTCAAGCTGCTCGATTATGTCCAACAACTACATTTGAATCCTTAAATGTAGTCCTGTCTCAGGGGCCAGATGCCAACCCCCTCTTAACACCAACAGTCACCTGTCCAGAGATGGTGGGGCCCCAAGTGACTCTTGCGACAATAGCAAAGGGATTTCACTTTTCTGCTTAGCCTAGGTGAAAAAATGACTTGGACTCCTGAGGGCAGGACATAGGGTTCATATAACTCTTCAGCTGCAGCTTTGGTCACTTGGCTTGGCACACCTTTGGTGCTTACTAAATGTTTATTGAATGAATACATGAACCTGTAGTTATTAACAGTAACACTATAAAGTGCAAAATTCCATTTCAGAATGGAGAAATGCTAACAGGAAAAAATAAGCAACCTTTGGATTTTCAAATTACCAATGATTTTAAGTTCAGTGGGTGGATAAAGTAATACTTTCTGTGACACCCTGTTACATAATGGACTCTGTATTCAGAGCTTTACACATATTCTCTGAGTTAATCTTTGCTAAAACTTTGCAAAAGATACAGCTATCTTCACTTTATGGATGAAGAATTGAAGCTCAGAGAAGCTGGGCGATCTAAGTCCATGTAGCTGGAAAGCAGCATAGTTGGGACTGAAACCCTGAGCTGGTCTGAAACCAGAGCCTGTGCTGAGGTTACCTTTCCTACCTCTTGGGTCTTAGAATGTGTAGCTGGAGATCCAGAGACCCAGTTACCTAAAAGAAAGTAAGAATGATGTTAGACATTTAAACTCTGGCTCTGCTTGGAGAGCTCATTCAGCAGGACACCTTTGAATTCAAACCTGAATGCAATTTGTAGTAGGGCTTCCAGCATGAGGCAGGGACTAGTCACTTCCATTGCTGTTCTCCAGCCTCAGAGGGTATCGCAGGGCTGAGAATATCTTTGAAAAGGAAAGATCAAAGGCAGGCTCTGAATTTCAGATATTGTTTCAACCTTCAGCATTGCCCTCATTTTATTGCAGTTTGTGCACTTGTCTTCCTCTTAAAAGGTAATTTAGAAACTACTTTACTTGGGTTAGATGGTTTCCTATTTGGTTGTGTGTGAGAATGCAACACATGTGAGATGAAATTAGCATTGCAGGCTCTTGACAGTTGTTTTATTAATTAGACTGCTTTATTTAGCAGACACTTTTCATATCATCATTCCTCCTGCATATCCAGAGTAGGCAACTACTTATGTGTTATGAATTGAGGAGTGTTGAGAGGGGCTTCCTTGTCCAAAAACAGCTCTTCTACTAGCTGTCATCATACCTAGAGTCTTTCTGCAGGTGAGCCTCTGTGTCCTGGCCAGTGGTAAAGATTAAATGGACCACAGCAGGGAAGAAAGCAACCCCGGAAGTTTTACTTGGAAAAGATCTTAGAATTCCTCTTGTCCAAGCTTCCAGCTGGTCAGAAATCCTTTCTGTAGTATTTTCCAGATCTAGCCATCTAGCTGTCACACAAATGCTTCTAGTGACAGCAGTGGACACTCCTATGGTTAACTGGTCATACTGGTGAAAATGTTCATTCTTCTGTGGAGCCCAAAACTGTTTCTCTGGGTTTTCATGTAAACACATAAAATGTGTCTAAAATAATGATGACATATAAAGGTTAGTAGGCAGATTCTGCCAACTGCATCCTTCTCCATTCTTCTGGGAGAGCACAGGGCTCTTCTTTAGATACCTTTCACTGTGGAGTCCATGTTTCTCCATCTGGTCTGAGAGCTTACATTAATAGTGATCACCATCCTCTCTAGCAAATTTGAATTTTTCCTCTCTGAGGATCTCTCTTTTATCTTTAAATGTTCTTTTAACATTCAGTGCTCTCTCATTTATCCTTAAAACAAAACTCAAAACCGTCACTTGATCTTTCTATGCTTATTGGATATCAAATTCCAGGAATATAGAATGTATATTTTTTGCCTCAACTTCCATCCAGCCATTGATCCATCCATCCATCCATCCATCCACCCATCCACCCAACCATCCATCCATCCATCCATCCATCCATCCATCCATCCATCCATCCTTTTATATATCCAAATAGCTAAAAAAGAATATATAAGTGATATTTTATATAGTCATCTGTCTACACAGAAAAACATTTTCTAAGTTTTCACTAAATGCCAGAAATAAGAGAGATATGCTCTGTGCTTAGGGTCATATGGAAACTGATGACAAAGCCTCATGTCTTTGAATAACAAAAGCCCTCTTGCCTGCCCTCAATTATGATTTTGCCCTTCCAGTCTCATGACAGGGTCTCTCCTTGGCAGAGTCTTAATGGGAACCATATTTGAAGAGGATTTGAGAAATGTGGTTCTCAGTCATCTAGCCTTTGCACTACATGGTACAGCTTATGAGGACAGAGGATGGGGATGGTGCAGAGTGCTGCCATTTAGCACAGACCACTTCCTGGCCTCCTCAGAATTCATAAACATGCTTCTAATCGTATTTAAACTTCCAAAGAACAACAACAACATGAATATGCTTATACCTAATAACAATACAACTATCTCTCCTACAACAAAGATGCTTTCCATGGAACCAGAGGAGCAAAGTCATAGCAGCCACAGCACCTGGCCCTAAGGGATGTTCATGGCCCTTCTGCATCAGTCACAATTCTCCTTGAATATCGTATCACCTAAAGACTAAATTATAACGTTAAATAAACATCATTAACACACATTATATAAAATAAAGGAATAGGAGGGGAAAATAAATGGGTTAATATATACCAAATATATACAGACCCTTGAACAATGCATGGGTTAGGGGAGCTGATCCTCCGAACAGTCAAAAATCTGAGTATAACTTTTGACTTCCCCAAAATTTAGCTACTAAGAGCCTTCTGTTGACTGGAAGCCTTACTGACAACATAAATAGTTAATTAACACACATATTTTATGCTTTCATGACATACCTAACATTTTCTTAATATTTTTTATATTTCTAGGCTACATAGTTCATCTTCAAGTCTTTTTAAATTATCATGAATCTCAAAAACATTCTCCAATATATTTATTGAAAAAAATCTGTGCATAAGTGGACCTGCATTGTTCAAACCCATGTTATTCAAGGGCCAACAATAAATAACAGTCAAGGGATATACATAGCTCTGCCCCCAACTTATGCAAGTGGTTATGAGGCCATACTTGCCATTTTTAATTTTTGTTTTCCACTATCCATTCCAAATTTTCTTTGCCCTCAACAAACACTTTAGCTGATCAAAGTTCTTTACCTGGTGGGACGACTGGAATCTTTACTCTTGAAGAGTCTGTATCCTTGGTGGTACCGACTGTCCTGGGTTGTCAGTACCTAATGACTTTTGATGTTGGGCACAAAATCGCTGCATGTTTCCCCAGGGAATACGATGGCTTCTTGATGCATACCTCACTGTCCTTATTGTTTAACAATGGCTCTGTTTTTCCTTTATAATTAAGAAATATCATTAAAGTTGGTACAGTAACTATTTTTTGCCTTTGATTTAGTGGAAGGCCAGATAGTCATCTCAACTTATGTTGAGTGGAACAATCGTTGTGTCCCTCATGAAAGCATTATTGCCTTGGGAACAAAGACTTCTAAAGCAGCAGACCCCAAAGTTATGGAGACATGAGGAAAAATGTCGCAAGTTTGTTATAGGAATAACAGTGAGAGTGGCTACTCTTTCATTGCTTTGATCTCCTACCCTTATATTTTGACAGTCAGAAAAACAGAGTCCTTAATTGGTTGCTGGTTCACAGCATACGCTGCATTTTATAGGATTGCTTCCCAATTCTGCATGGTGGTGTCTCTGAGCTAGTGCCACAACTAAGTTGTTAACAGGCCACTGCAATATTCTAGGATATTCAGTGGTTTCTGCATGATGGGAAAAATGGTAAGAACAGTGAACACCAAGGGCACAAGTCCATTGCCTTATTCATTCTGCTGAAATGAATTTCTTTGTGAGAAGCGATGTTATGTGGAAGCAATATGATGGCAATAATTAAGTCATTCAGTGGGTTCAGTGATGACAGTCCAGCAGAGCATCAGGGACAGAGAAGACAAATCCAAATCACTAAAATAGAGCTGAGATGGATGAATTGACTCACTCTATTTTAGTGAGGACAAACTACTGACCCTTCACTAGAAGGGAACTGCCACCAGGTATCTGGCTGGTTCTTTATGGAACCATGCCATATTATGGACTCGGTTTCCATCCCTAATTTCAGCAGGTGGGGCATTTAGCAATGGTAACAGCCAGCAGAGATTGTATTGTTGAGCTGATGTGTAATGTCAATCCATGTCCTGGCCACACTGCTCAGCAGCCCATTGAGCAGGCACTGGGGAGTTGGGCAAAGACACTGACTTGCCTAGAAGGAATTATCATCTCCACTTGATTACTAGACCAACCTTTGCAGTAGATGCCCTTTGGTAAAGAGTCACATGGGACACAGATATCTCCACACTCTGTGCTCCTTCTGGTAAGTTCATCTCCCTCCCTCTTCCTCAAAACTCTTTGCTAACATTTCTTTGATCTAACTCCTTTGAAACCTTCACCCATGTAGCCAAACCATTGGTTACAGCTCATGAATCAGTGTAGCTCTACACCTTTGGCCATCTCTCCTTCCAGGCACAGTTTGATCCTACAGGTTATAGTCATCTAACCAAAGTTGACTTCACAGCTAGACCACATTTTTAATGTAAGTGTTAGAACCCTGGTTGAGAAAGAGCAGGACCTGAGAATCAGAATGGGGATGTTTGCCTAGATTCTGATGAAGCTGATACTTTAGGCCTCCACTTTTTGCCAGGCTGTCTTTGTCAGCAGAAGAGGCCTCTTCTTGCCTCTCTGAAGAGGTCAGCTCTCCCTTGTGTGGGGACACTGTGATGTCCTTCCTAGGCCTTTCACTGATAAGGAGATGCAGATTTCCTCAAGGGCCATCCCTATCGCCCTGCATTGCCTTCAGACTCTTAACTGTGGGTAGAGCCCCACAGACTCCAGGGAGAGAGAGAAGTGAGAGCTGTTGATGAGCTCAGCGGCTCATCGCCCAAGGGTGTGATTCATAGGGAAGGTTCCAGAAACTGTGCAGTGCCTCATGCTCATCTGCCAGCTGCTGGAACCATGATGGCTTCTGCTTCTTTTTCCACCCCAGATCTTTCATGAGTGTTTCTCATTGGAAGATTCAAAAAAGGCACCATGCTAGCAAAACAGTCTGGGAAATGTGGGTTTTGGCCTCTGCCTATGTGCCATAGGGGAGAGCCTAGGATAGCAGAGATAGTGACAAGGGCTGACAGCCATTTTCACCTTGCAGGACCTGGTACCTAAGGCACTCACTTGTGAGCAGAAGCAGAGGTGGTGTTAGTGTAACTGCCCAATAGGTTCTCCTTGTCTGCTGCCTAGACAGAGCCTATTTATCAAGACAGGAGGATTGCAATAGAGAAAGAGTTTAATTCACACAGACTGGCTGTGCAGGAGACTGGAGTTTTATTATTACTCAAATCAGTCTCCCTACAAACTTGGGAATTGGGTTTTTTAAGGATAATTTGGTGGATAGGGGGCCGGGAAGTCGGGGGAGTGCTGATTGGTTGAGTCAGAGATGAAATCGTAGGGAGTCGAAGCTGTCTTCTTGTGTTGAGTCCGTTCCTGGGTGGGGGCCACAAGACCAGATTAGCTAGTTTATCGATTTTGGTGGTGCCAGCTGATCCATTGAGTACAGGGGCTGCAAAATATCTCAAGCACTGGTCTTAGGTTTTACACCAGGGATGTTATCCCCAGGAGCAAATTGGGGAGGTTCAGAATCTTGTAGCCTCCAACTACATGACTCCTAAACCACAATTTCTAATCCTGTGGCTAATTTGTTAGCCCTGCAAAGGCAGTATCGTTCCCTGGCAAAAAGGAGTTTTGTTTTGGGGAAGAGCTCTTATCGTCCTTGTTTCAAAATTAAACTATAGAGTAAGTTCCCTGCAAAGTTAGTTCAGCCTATGCCCAGGAATGAACCATGACAGCTCGGAGGTTAGAAGCAAGATCATAATTTTCTCAGTTATAATTTTTTGCAAAGGCAGTTTCAATAGAGGGAAGGGGGATGATTTCTGTAAACTATCTGGGAGTTTAGAAATGCGATACAGAAAATAGCTTGTGTCGGGCAAAAGTCTTATCACCACTAGAAATAGTTTCACAATTGTTCTTGCTTGCAAGGGTAGTTTCCAAGGACAGAAAAGTAATATAGTTGGTTTCTTCTAAATGTCTTATATCCTGGTGGAAACTAGTTTCTAAAAATGAATATATTTTCAAAGATTACTTGAAAGCTGTTAAAAGTTGGGCTCTCATATGAAAGGAAACAATTCTTTATGGGGATTTGCTAGAGTTGTTTTTGTTTATAGAAACACTGAAGTCTTTCTCTCACTGATGCATTTTCTCCTGGGCATGAAATGTGTTCCTGCTGAAGCCAGAAGAGTGATATAGCCAAGAAGTGAGTGAGACACATGTGTTCCTTAAGAGGTTTTGACAAAGCTTCCGGAAGGGGGCATCTGTTATTAACAGTGGGAGCTATATTGCACTCTTTTGTTTCTCTTGGTCCATGCTGAGAAACAAGCCCAAATATCCCCATTCAGTATGATCGCTGAAATCTGAGCTCCCTGGAAAAGAATAGGGATTTAACACTTGAAATATGTGTACTTTCTTGGCATCGGTGTGCAGAATGTCTGAATCCTGACTCATGCATCTCTGGTGACTCCTGATTAACATTTTAACCCTCAGTTTTGAGCCACTGGGGAGAATGTTGGTATTCTTACGGCTTCTGTAATAATAGGGAACAGGGATTCTGATCCAGCCCTCATAAGCAAACTCAGCTATGTCTGCAAGGCACTTTTGATCTGCCTTCGTATATAGAAACCAAAGACTCCAGAACAAATTGGACCTGTGTCAAGATCCTCTTTAAGAAACTAAAAGTGGGAGCTTTTCACTAGAAAAGGGGATCCCACAGCTGGGCCACACCCTACAGTTGCAGAGTTGTCAAGAGTCAGATTATGGATATTGGGGAGTCACAATGGGGCAGGAAGATGGCACTGAAGGTTGAAATGGGGCAGAAAATGAGAGGTGCAAGAAAGAGCTCACCCAGGAACTACCGGAGGAGAATCTACTGTGATTCCAGCAGCAGGCCAGCGCGAGTGGTACGGATCTATATCATGGGCAGTGGTCATGTCCTGGGCTTGCTTCTCCAGTTTATGTCTGTGGAAGCAGAGCTGGTGAATCCCAGCAACAGTGCCAGGCTTGCTGACCCATAAGACATGGTTGTGCTCAGGAATTGTACGACTGGATGGCTCTGAGGTGCCTGTGATGAAAGGCTTCCACCTGCAGAGACGTCTTTTCTTTGTAACAGCTCTTCTATGACTACTTCCTCTGAGGGCGACCTGTGTGGGGTGGGGACTAGCTTTCTGGATGTGGGGCATATGTGTGTGGCCTTGGCCTCTAACAAGTGTGCCTCAACTCACTTCGTTAGGGTAGGTCCTGGTGGCTTTGTATGATCTCACTGCTGTTGGAGTCCATTACCAGCCAAGGGAATCATCAAGTTGAAGTGAGTGAGGGCACCATTGGGGCTGTTTCAGTTACAAGTGACAGAAATTCAATCGAGTTGACTTTAGTTGCTTTTTAAAAATGAGCTTTATTGCCTCATATATTTGAAACAGGGCACAGGTAGACCTGGCTTCAAAAACATCAGAAGACATAGAATCAAATGATGCCGTGACTCACCGGGACGCAAATGTTCTCTCTCACTGTCTCTGTGACCCTCAGAGAAGTTCTCTTTTCTGGGCTCAAGGCTTACAAATTTGCAAGTCTGGGTCTAGATGTAAAGTAAGTGTATTTGTTCTCAGTTGTTGTGGTTTGAGTTCCAAGATTGAGTCTTTTGGACCAGATTAGACCACATGAGTATCTCTGGTCTAATGTCTCAAGCCAGGGGGATTCGATGTTCTGACTGGTTGGGCCTTGCTCATGTATCCACCCCCAGAGCCAGGAGTACAATGATTACACCTGAGCCACTTGAACTGGACGTGTGGAGGGTGGGTGGTCCCTCAAAGTAAATTAGGGCCAGTTATCAGAAGAAGGGGCAGGAAAAAGTAGCAAATGCATTCTGAGAGTGTCAGGAGATTAGGTCAGAGGGCTAGCTCATGAAGTATCTAGCATAGCAGGGGCTCCATGACTAATATCATTTGATTACAGTGACTGCGTGAAGCACAGTGTTGAGAAGGATTCTGAAGCTGAATTATTGCATCTCCATGTGCAGTAGTTGGTAAGCAATGCCTATCATGGACGCAGAAGGGCTCGCCGGTGCTATAAGTGCCACGTGTTTGCCAATCCTGATGTAGAAAATGCTTTAAGTTGGCCGGGCAGATCAGGGATGCCTTTAAAGTGAAAAGGTTTCTTTTTCTCTTGGAGAAAGATAACATGGAAATACCATTTCCTGCTGAAGATGAGCAATATATTTAAATATCTCTTGCTTTGATGAAGTTCTGTGTGTACCCTGCCCCGATCTTCCTTCTGTGGAAATCAAGGTAATGCAGAGAGCTTGGTAAGTATTTTCAAGATCTGAGTATGAACTGCAGGCTCGCAGTGTCTGGGGAGAGCTTGAATGCCTTTGCTTGTGGCAAACTTACACTGTGAACAAGCCAATTGTGTGGAAGATGTAAAATGTTTCCAAGTGCATTTCTTATCTTGACAAACTCCTCCACTAACAGCCAGGGAGCAGAGATCTACTTAGCAGTCAGAGGGAACAGGAGTTAACCATGGGAAGTTGGGATGCTAACAGCCCCAGGCTCTCCACCCTCTGTGCTGCACAGCAGTCAGCTGAATCTTTCCCAGCCCTGTGGCTGGCACCCCGTAGCTCTGGGCCTCATTATACATGCTCCTTGTGCCCACTCTTCCCTGCTCTGCATTTCCTCCTTCATGTGCCTGACATTTCCTAATGAAGATGTTTAACTTCATTTTTCACCACTGGTGTTCAGGCACAAGTCAGTTTCCACTGATGCTCTGGCTTCTGAAGGCCCCAACAGCATGTGGCCACCAGGATTTGGGCTCAGAGAGACATTCTTGGGGGAGTGCCCCCCAGGACCCTTTCAAAACAGCTCTGGTCATTGGTACCAGGCATGAGGACACAGAGATAAACATGGCCAGTTCCTGCTCTCCAAGAATGTCAAGTCCTTTTGCAAAGACCGACTCTCCATGAGTGACTCACACTGCAGAACACCGAGTTCAAGAGTGGATGGGGATACGAAAGCATGCATCTGAAGAGTCTGCTTGAAAGACACAATAATGAGTGTGTATGCTTACCCTACTTTCTGATGCTCATGGCCTGAGGTTGGCAGGACCTGGAAATTTATAATTGTTGTTTCTTTTTACAGACAAGGAAACCAGAGTTTAGATTGCATATCCATTCACTCATTCTTTTAGCTTTTTTCTAGTACCCACTATAAGTCAAACATATTGCTAAGTGCTTAAGACACAAGAGGTGTAGCTGTCCTTGCCACCACTGAGCTGGAGATGCTCACATTTATCCCTGCACACTCACACCCACTCAGTGCCTGAATCTGGGGGCAAATCAGTCACTGCTCTGTATCAAGCTCCCTTCTTAAGACTCTGTATTGTGTATTTCACTGGAATGCAACCACAAAGAGAGCTTTCCTAAAATGATCTCCTCCTGAAAACAGTGCAGGAGGTTTTGCAATATTTCTTTCTTGAACATTTCTCTAAAGCTTTTCCCTGAATGGAGAAGGGCCCCTGGCTATACAGATGCAGGTGGAAACTACTGGTGTGAAGTTATCCTGTGAACAAATAAAGTTGACTTCCTAAAATTTCCCTGTTCAAATAGTTGTTGACATATCCTTGAAGATTTTTAAAAGAATGATCTATAAACATCGCACTTCAGAGTTATGTTTGCAAGGCCATCTATTATGTTTACAAAGAAGATCTTGAGGTAGGAATCTCTGGGTTCTGCAGGTGCTGCGTGAACCCCAGCAGGGCCATTCCAGATGCTCCACAGGACAGCGCTGAACGCACCGCAGTGAGCCTGGGAGGCCCTGGGCTACTGCTGCCTCCCCTTCTCTGGGCTGAACATCAAGGTAGTGCTTCTGTGTTCTTCTCCCAACTTGTGCAAGAAAGGACATTAAAGTTATTTTTATGAAATTGCCTAACACAATGGCTAAGCCAGTGATTTGTTCAGACTCGTTTTTACCACTTACCTGAAAAGTTATTGATAAGGATGTTTTTAAGCTAATGTAGAGAACGTTCTTATTTTGCTCTTCCAGGGTCAGGCTGTTCTAGCTAGAGATAGAAAAGAGTGAGGTAACTTATGAGCACACTTTTGAATGAATTCTGCCAGTTCTACAAGACAGCACAAAACCTCCGTCTCACAGCGCTGAGAAGACCGTCTGTATGGACCCACAAAAGGCTCTCTGGACAGCCATGATCCTGTGACCCACAAGCCATGTGTCTGGGGATTGATAGGACGAGGAGCGTTGCCAACAGATGGCTTTGCCCTTTCATGCACTGTCTTCCCCTGGGAGCTTGGAGGGGCTTGGGAGGCAGAACCAAGAGTCCAAAGCTGAGTGGAGAATGGTGCTGTGGAATATGCTGTCCTGCCTGTCATTTCTGTGCCTAATAAATGTATCTGGGGACTCAGAGACAACCGAGAACCCTTCCCACAAAGCTAACAAACTTAGCTTTCTCAACCAGAGCACACTGTTTGAGAATATTTAGGACTCAGTTATACCAAGTCCATTTAGATTTTTAAAAATAAATTCTTAAACCTCTCTGCATGACCTGCTGTCCTGATAGAGGATAGCGAGTGGTTAATTAACTTAATCTCATAGTTTTCAAGTAATATAAAACACAACCCAATATAAAGCAGGATCCGATTATGGACATGGAATTGCTGTCTTCTAGGCTTGTGCTTGTGTGTTATCATGAACTCTTTTCTGAGGAAGAGGCTGATTACTCCAGCATCCTTTGTAGTGAAGGGCCACATGGAACTGTGAATAAAGGAGAACAAGAGGGTGGGTGAGGGGGACCTTCTGACACAAGCAGCCTTACACACAATTGAGGGCAAAGCTTCTGGTAGGCTTTGCTCATGTCACGTGTTACTTATGAAGTGTCAGCTATGAACAAAGGCTCAGATGTGCTTGTTGTCATGCGGTCCTTCATAGCTCTCCAGTGCAGCAGGGCTGGTGTGGTCCAAGACTGGAATTCTGGTGCTGCTGCCCACTGGGTTGGGAAATGGCCATGTCTGCTTTTTCTCGGGGGCTTGTTTCACCTGTGCTGGATCCACAGCCGGTGGAGCTCCTTGTGGGTTTTGTGCTGACTTCTGCTGCTGGTGCCCTCTGTTGCTGGTGGTCTCTGGTGCTGGCAGAGTCTCCTTTCTGACTGTCAGGAGGCAGAATAATGGCCCTCATGGGCCATGGGGTTGGCCACCACTGTGAGCTCCTGGAGTGGGGACCCTCTCTCTTCCCTTATCCCAGCACGGCCCAAACTACAGCTCCTGGATGGGGTATGTATGTCTCCGTGGGCTCCCTCTTCAGCCTGTGAGTCCTGGTCTGTCTGCGTCCCAGCTACCCTTGATGACCTTTTCCAGGCTCACAGTACACTGAGGATCTTTTGCACATTAGCCTTGGCTCTGGGGAATATGGAGGGTGACATTTTCCTTCTTCTGACTTGCTTTGTTCCTCTGACATTTCCAACCTGTGGCCATGTCCAACCTAGGTGCCATGTTGTATGGGGTCATTGTCTAAGTGCTTTTGAAAGTTTTCCATCTGTATCTGGGAAAGCGCACACAAAGCTTCATTTTTATAGTATTCTCCTAAAATTTGTCTGTGATTCTGCTTCAGATTTGGTCTCATAAGTGAAGGAGAGAAAGGAAGAGAGTAGGAGAGAGAGAGAGGAGAGTTCCTCTCTTTCCCTCTCTGTGGCTTCTCTCAGGTTCCCTCCTGGAGCCAAGAGGACTGTGTTCCTCTTCTCCTTCCTGCCTTACAGGGCTTTCCCTGTGTCATAACCTTCTTCCTGAGGTGGCACTCACCTTTTCTTTTCCTGGGGCTGAAATACAAAAAAAAAAAACCAACACAAAAATTGAAAAAAAAAACCCACACCAAAAAGCCAGGATATTCAAAACAGCAGAGGATATTTCAAAAATTATCCTGTTAGTAAAACAATTAAAAATTAAAAGAGAGCAAGAAGTTTCCCCCTTTCCCCTTTCTTCTGAGAAACAAATGGGGAAGTGAGTGGAAAGAATGATTCCCCAAGGTCATAGATGAAAGACCTGCACATCCACACATGATTCAAGGTGTTGAGGTTCCACCCACCTGGAAAGACAATTAAAGGGTTCAGGAGAAAAATACTTTTCTTTGAAAGATATGGAAGTGCTGGGCCTTTGGTTTCTCTTTTCTCTCCAGTTGTGTCCTGTGTTTTTGTGAAATGCCCTTTCAACTCTCACCGCCTTTCCCCAGTTGAGGCCACCTTGGACCTGGGCACCAGATCAATAAGAGATGGCATGAGAGGTCATTAAAAATGCCATGGCAGAGTGCCTCACCCAATTGCCTGTCTTTCTAGGTGAGATCCTTCTCATCACTCCTAGCGCTCATCCTTGATGGTCAACCTGTTTCCCTGGGGGCTGTTTGTTATCTACCAGCCAAACATTATTTCCTTAGACCCTTAAGCAACAAAGATCACCTGTTCCTGGTGACCTGCATTGAAAGTTGAAAGGTTTTGTGTTCAGATGGACCTCCTTTTGGGGTGTGAGCTGGTTTGAACAAATGGAAAAGAGGACAGGACGGAGAACTGGGTTCTCACCTACCTACTGGGGGATTCTGAGCAAGGTGCTGAACTTTGCTGAGTCTCAGTGCCCTTCAGCAAAATTTGGCAGTGCAGCAGGGTGCCAAGGGTTCCAGCCTGTCTTGGAGGCTGAGCTGCAGGCAAAGGTCTGGGGCCTTTTAGCTGTTAGGACTGGTCCACGGCAGACTAAATTGACTGCGGCTTTCCGTTTTGTCACCACTGGCTTGATGTCATTTTTATAGAAGCTCTGCTTTTTTTAAAGGATATTTTTTCATCCAGCAACTTGTCTTGTGATGCCCTCTTTATTATTTCCTCCTCCTGCTATTTAGCACTGACTTTCCGCAGATGCTTCCACAGCCCACTGTCATCCATCAGACTGATTTCCTCTGAATCTGTCTCTAGCAGGAGCTCCTTGGATGGCCTCCTTTTGTCATGGTATGACAAGATGACTTTAGCAGGCCAGTCCCCACTGATAATTCACTTGCAGGAGATGGACCCTGCTGCTGGATTCCCCTTTCCTCCTTCTGATGCCATTGCACTCTCCATTGATATGATCTGATGCTACACATGCCACAGAACGTGAAAAGATCATGATGCCTCTTTCTTTGGAAAGTTAAACAAGCACCTTCCAATTTTTGATGCTGCCTTTCTTCCACAAAAGTTACCTGGAGAGTGGTTGATTTTCTTCTCTTGAGGCAGTTCTCAAAAGAGAGAGGAGATAAGATTGTGTTATTGAGTGCCACCCTTGTGCTTGGCCTTAGACCAGCTGTAGAAGGAATGCGGGATCTTGCCTTGTGAACTCACATCATAAAAAAAGGTGGATCAAATAGCTCTCCAGAAGTGTGGAGAAGTCTCTGCAGTGGCCTGCAGTGCTTGCTGTACTTGAATACTTTGTAAGTTGTTCCTTCCTAGTCATTTAAAGTCTTCTGAAATGTCTTTTCTTTCTTTCCCACTCATTCTTTGGAAATGAAGGGTTATTAATGCTAATAAAAATTACTTTTGAAAATTTTGATAATAATAATGATAATAATTTCTATGAGACTAATGATATAATAGCTACCATTTTGTTAGCATTGAGTATGCATTAGGCATGCTATATGCATTATTGTGTTGAATTCTTGCCATCATCCTGCAAGACAGGAATTATTATCTCCAGAGTTTAGCTAGAAAAGCAAGGCTCAGGGCAATTAAGCGATTTGTCCAAAAATGCTGAGCCAGCAACAATGGCAGGTGCAGATCCAAACCCAGGGCTTTTTGACTTCAAAGTCTGTGCCCTTTCCTGTATTTTAAACTGCACCTTAATTCACTTTTATTGTAGATCTTTTCTCTTTCTCTGGTCTCCGTTGTCAGGGTAGATACTACTTCTTAGATTTTCATTAAAAGGCTTAATAGAAGCAGTAGGTCAAAGCTTTGGGCAGCAACAGCCTGGAATAAATGGAACAGCAGCAGCAGCAGGCCTGAAATCTGGTCACACATCAGAAGACTTGGTAGGCTTGGGAGACAGCCACATATGCACATACGCACCACACTGTGATTCATTTGCTTTATTTTAGAAAAAAATAGTTTCATTTTCATTGTGAGAGATTCAAATAATGCAGAAGTATGCAGAAAAATATCACTCAAAGCCCTGAGGAAAATTTTTTAAAAGTACAGATGCCTGTGGCTTACCTTGGAGATTTTGACCGGGGGATCATGAATGAGGTCTGATGGGGGGTGGTTCTGTATTTAAACAAGCAGTAGAGGTCATTTTGATCCCCAGCCAGAGAGAAAGAGCCATGTCCTCCTCTAGACTAAGACTAGGGCTTGCAACAGTGATTTGACTCCTGGCCTATGGTGCGAGTCTAGAGGAGTCACGCTCCTCTTTCTTCCTCTTCCTCTTCCGCTTCCTCCTCTTCTTCTTCTTCTCCTTCTCCTTCTTCTTCTTCTTCGTCTTCCTTTTTGAGACAGAGCCTCACTCTGCCACCCAGGCTGGAGTGCAGTGGCATGATCTCAGCTCACTGCAACCTCTGCCTCCAGGGTTCAAGCGATTCTCTTGCCTCAGCCTCCCGAGTAACTGGGGCTACAGGCACCCATCACCACATCCGGCTAATTTTTTTTTTTTTTTGTATTTTAGTAGAGGTGGGGTTTCACTATGTTGGCCAGGATGGTCTCGATCTCTTGACCTTGTGATCTGTTCCCCTCGGCCTCCCAAAGTGCTGGGATTATAGGCGCGAGCCACCGCATCCAGCCTCTGGTCCCTTCTAACCCTAGTGGTCTCTTTCTGAGGGGAAATGGGGCTGCCAGGGGCAGGGGAAGAGAAGTACTAGAATGGAAAGTGATGATGAGAGAGTCTGCATGTGCTGTGTAATGTCCATTCCATCCCTTAAGATCCAATGCCTGAAATTTGCATGGCAAACCTTCAATATATCTCACTTTCCCAGACAATTGCATTATCTTCTTTCTGAGATGCAATATGATGCAGTGAAGGGAATCTCCCTGCAGGAGTCAGACATACTTGGCTGAGAATTGGGTCTTTTCCCTTTACTGGCTGTGTAGGGACCCAATGGGAGTCAGTAGCCCTGCCATCAGACTTCTATGCTTGCATCCAACCCTGCCACCTATCTGGGCAAGCTATATATCTCTAAGCCTTAAAATCCTTACTTGTGAAGTGAGGATGAGTAGATAGGTATTGCCTAGGTTTGTATGAGAGTTAAATGAGATAATCCATGCACAATGCTCTAGGTAGTACCTAAGAATTCAGTATGTTGTTTATCTTGTGCAAGGTATTTAACTTTTCTTGAAAGTGAGCTCTTTCCTGAAATTTACCTGCAAAACTTATACCAAATGTGCCTGGTTCATTGTAGGTATGCAATGAGCTCTAAATCCTTTTTTCTTTGTTCTGAATGTGTGGACTACAAGAAAAAGTTTTAGGGCCAAGTCAAGTCAAGATCCTGTGGTTTAAGCTGTGGAGAGGGCATCGCTTGAGATTCGCAACCTTTGCACACAGATTTACTTTCATTTGCCTCTTTAAGGTTATGGAATGCTCAACTCTCCTCCAGGTCCCAAAGAGGCAAGAGGCCTTTCAAAAAAGGTAAATGCCTTGAAGATAGCACCACTTGGTCAAGTGGAGATGCCAGCTTATCCATCCTAAAGAGAAAGAGTCTCTTCTATAGCCATTATAAGGAGACCTGCGGACAGTTCTAAGTGGTGCAAGTTATAGATGTAATTCATGGATACTCAGGTTATTTAATTTGATTGGTGCCCTGGAAAGATATCTTGGCTGACTAAAGCATAATAGAGACAGGTAGAAGACTGTCTGAGGAAGTTCCTTGACCTTGTCTCTATGTCTATTTGTGTGCATATAAAACCAAGGTATAGAAGAAAGACTAAATTAAAAAAAAAAACCTTCAGAAACTTGTGGTGGTTATAGAGCAGTTTCCTGCCTGAGAGAAGCATTTGCAAAACAGCTTTTTAAACTCCTCTCTCCAACTCTGCCTGCTTTTCCCTTTGGCAGATTGGCTCATCCATCCTCGAGCCTGCCCACAGGCCTGTTGCCCTGCAAAATCTCAGACAGATGGGTGACTGTCCTCCTTTTCAGAGGTTTCCTGAGAAATAGATCATCCACATTCTCTGTAACCCATACCCACACCGTGCGCCCGGTAAGAATGTCTCAAATTAGCATAGCTTTCAAAAGAAGAGTAGTTGGTAGTCCAGCTCCATGTTGGGTGACATGGATTATGCATCTTAGAATAAAAGAGGCATGAAAATCAAATATGTAAGTGTCAGAACAAACTGACTCAACTCAATGCCCTGTGACCTCACTGTTATTCCTGATAATACCAGCTATTCTTCTTATGGAAAACCACCTTCACTTCCAGTAGCTACTTTTCAATTAGATCAAATGCTGCATTGTTATATGTAATATGTAAGTCAATTATATGATCAGGACCTCAATTCTAGGATATGAAAAAATACTTTTCCCTCTGCAGGGCTGGCCCTTAGTGTAGAAGAGTTAGCAGTTATCTCCTGGGTGTGACTTGAGTTGATCCAGAGTCCCCAGTGGTTAGGATTTTCATAGCCCATACATTTTGAATTCCCCTGTTCAATACCCATACACAAATAGGCTCTCATATTATGCCAGCAATTCTCCCCAAATAAACTGCGTATATTTACCTGGGAGTTTTCAAACCTGGTGCTGTCAGATGACCGTAGGCTTGCTGGGTCAGTGCAAAATCAATGGCAACAGAGTTGCCTGACTTAGTGGAATTGAGCACTCCCATCTGCTTTGATGGCGGGTCCCCTCTGGTCTCTGCTTCCATACTGGGAACTTTCTGCCCCTGGTTTCCTGATGCCATTCCATCTCCAGACCAGATTATCCCATTATGATAACTAACATTACTGACCCTGTGTGGTCAGTGTCCCTGTCTGGCACACCGACTGATATGGTTTGGCTGTGTCTCCACCCAAATCTCATCTTGAATTGTAGGTCCGATAATTCCCATCTGTTGTGGGAGGGAGCTGGTGGGGGATAATTGAATCATGTGGGCAGTTTCCCCCATACTGTTCTTGTGGTAGTGAATAAGTCTCATGAGATCTGATGATTTTATAGGGGGTTTCTCCTTTCTCTTGGCTGTAATTCTCTCTTGTTTACCACCATGTAAGATGTGCCTTTTGCCTTCTGCCATGATTGTGAGGCCTCTCCAGCCACCTGGAACTGTGAGTCCATTAAACCTCTTTTTCTTTATAAATTACCCAGTCTCAAGTATGTCTTTATCAGAAGCATGAAAATGGACTAATACACTGACCACACAGGGTCATTAAGTGGTGGAGCTGGGGAGATAATGGTTTGCTCAAGTTCTCCACCACTTACTGACCTTGTGAGTTAGGGCACTCTTGGCTGTAAGAGAAGACAGTAATCCAAGTTTGCTGGAATGATAAGAAAGTGTATTATTGCATATAAGAAGAAGCTTAGTAGTAGCGCAGCTGTAGGTCTGTCACAAGGAGAAGCACAGCGATCACATCAAAAGGAGTTTCTCTTGCTAATAGCTACTCTCCTCAGTGTGCCACCTTAGCCCTCTGGATGGTTCCCTCTTGTTCATAAGTGGCAACTCCTTTCCAGCGATCACAGTTAGACCTCGCAATGTCCAGATGCAAAAAGATGCCACCTCTTCCAAGTCTTCCTTCTTAAAAAGAAAGGATCACTTTCTTGGGAATCTTTGAGGCCCTCCCTTCTTGTCTATCTAGCCAGCTGATTAAATGCCTACCCACCAACCTTCACCAGCAAGAGGAATTTGACAGCCTTGGTTGGCATGTGATTCAGCTGAGGCTGGATCCATCTTTCCCCTGGAGTGCCCAACCCCTAGGAATTCTATTAGAGAGAGGAGGAGGAGGGTAATGGCAATCAAGAGTACCTACAGCTAATGGTGCAATACCAGTGGAGTTCCCTTTTTGAGAACTGGTCTAGGATCCCACTGCCCAGTCTGCTTGACTGACGGCAATGGTTTGGGGTTCACACTGACTGCTGAACTCATGAGACACTATGGGCTTCACCCAGCACTAATTTAACTTTAAGAAAGAACATGAAAGGCACTAGCACAGCACACACATCAGCAACATAATGGAGGTCTTGGCAGTCCCCAAGCATGTCTTGAAATCAGTGTATACTTGTAATATTTATGGTCACAAACAAAGCTTAGTGGGCACAGACAGCAATCAGTTCTGGGGACTTGTGGCTTTTACGCCTTGCTACTCCTTTCTCAGGGGTTGCTGACCAGAGTCTATTCTCAGTTCAGCCATATCTTATCAGCTACCACTTACTCATCAATTGTAGGTTATGAACTAAGCAACCTCAGTAATAAGGCCCTGGAGCTGAATCTGTGTATAGCAGTTATATTGGATCCATTATGCCTCTATGAATTCCTTAAGTTAGTGTTGCAAGAAGGATTTACCTGAAGATCAAATCTTGGGCTCCCCTGAGGCTAGAGGAAAGGCGACAATAAGCTGTTGACCCTTTCCTTCCAAGATAAAACTATTAGATATATGAAGAATTTTAGCAGAATGATAGGAACGTATGTGCTATAAAAACAAGCAAACGAAAATCCAGAAAGGATATTACTGCCCTCACCCTTTCCTTCCCGAAACATCACATCGGCGGTGGTTTTTATCTTGTTTCCTTCCCTGTTTCCAGTTTCCTAGGAGATAGCCAGTTCTACATTTTGCATGATCTTCCACTTAAATTTGGGTCCATTAATATCATTCCTCAAGATACTGAACAATGGGCATTTCTTTTAAAATACTGTCAAGCTGCCAAGTGGATGAGTTCTGAGTATTTTTGAGGAAACAATTGGTTGTCATGACTTGTCAAAATCCCCTGACCAGGTGAGCATGACCTCAAGAAGGTGACAGAAAGCCTTGGAGTGCAATTCCTCTTTCAGAAGGATTTGTGTGTTAAATAGCTTCTGGCTTACAGGAAGTCAATTACTAATGGAAGGACTGTCCTGTATGATTTCAAGAAAGTCACTTATTAACCAATCTCAGCCTCATTTTTCTCATCTTGGAAAGGCAGACAATATTACATGTTGTCTTCATCAATTTGGGCTGCCATAAGAGAAGATCATAAGCTGGGTGGCTTAAACAGACATTTGTTCCTCATGATTCTGAAGGCTGGAAGTCTATGATCAAGATGCTGGCCAATTCAGCCCTGGTGAAGGCCCTCTTCCTGGCATGCAGATGGTTCCTTCCCACTGTGCCCTCACATGGTAGAGAGAGCAAGCGAGCTCTAGTTTTTCCTTCCTCTTCTTACAAAGAAACTGATCCCATGATGGGAGCCCAACCTTCATGATCTCTTCTCAATCTAATTATCTCCCAAAGGCTCCATCTCCAAATAGCTTCACTGTGGGGGTTAGGGTTTCAACATATGAATTATAGGGGGACGTACATATTCAGTCTATAACACCTGTCTTTCCTTGGATGGCTTTGACAGTTCCATGAGAGACCAGAGGAGAAAAACCCTTCATCATATACAAAATATTATTATTTGGAGGTGAAGGGACCCACTACAGTGTGATGTTTTTCCCTCTCAAATTCCTATGTTGAAATCCTAGTTCCAAGGTGATGGTATTAGGAGATAGGGCCTTTGGAAGACAATTCAGTCTTGCGGGTGAAGCCCTCATGGATGGAATTAGTGTCCTTATAAGAGGCCAGAGAGCTAGCTAGCTGACTCTCCACCATGGGAGGCCACAGCAAGAGTCAGCCGTCTGCAACTCAGGAGAAGGACTTTACCGAGAATCATGCTGGCACCACGATCTCAGACTTCCAGCCTCCAGAACTGTGAGAGATAAATATTTGTTGTTTTAGGCACCCAGTCTATATGGTAATTTGCTATAGCAGCCTGATTGGACTAAGACAGGACTGGACCTGTTTCTGATAATATCTTAAATCACTGTATATTGGGAAGAGAAAGAGAAATGATCAGTTTGCAATTAGTGCCTCTTGGGAAGAGAAGGACAAGACCTTATGAACTTGTTTTGCAGCAACACAAATGTTCAGCCTAAAGGACTTGTGTCTTATAGATACAGTTGGTTAGAGGCCCACTTAACTCTTCTCTCCATGCCTCTGACACTGGACCCACATGCAATCTATGCACCAGTGCAGGAGGCAGGCCCAGGCAGAGCTAACATGTTTTGGAACATGTATCATGAACCAAGCACCTTAAACACGTCATCTGATTTAAACCTCAGTAAAACAGTTTGAAGTAAAGGGTGTTAGTCCCATTTCGCAGATGAAGAAGTCAAGTTTTGAAGGTTAGAAAGCTTACCTGATTAGATAGATGAAAGGCTCCAGGTGTCTGCAATACTAAAGCCCACGTCTTTGCAGCTCACCATGCTGCCAAGCCCCAGAGTACTAGGACCATCCGAGCTTAAGAGAGAGCCCCGTCCTGCTCAGGAATCCTGGCCCCGCTGTGGTTCTGCTCCTGCCTGCTGTCATGGCTCTCAGGACTAAGCATCTGCTTGTTCTTGAGCCCTGTGGCCACCTCAGCCCTGGCTACTGTCATTGTTCTTCTGTGCGCAGTTTAATCACTGGCCTGTGGCTCCAGAACTTTTAGACGTGACACTACTTCCTTTTACAGCCCACTTCTCAGAAAAGTGTAATATAGCTGGAGCTCTATTCATTTCTAACAGACTTCCCTGATGCCAGCTTGCCTACCTGGACTTCCATATTATTATAGCCTGTGGCCTGAGTGCCCCACCACTGGGTATCATTGGATTGGATTTCAGCAAAGAGTCAGAGTCACCTTTTCTAGAGCTATGCTGGGCAGTGTGCTGGGGAAGGAATAAGAATAATTCCTGTCCTCAGAGGCTCAAGGTAATTAGGGGCGCAATAGATTAGATGACTGTTCAGCAAATATTCACTCCCCTGTCCCACCATGGGAGGAGTCTATCCCCCTCCATTCCCTCTGAGGCTGGGCTTACCCATGTGGCTGTTCCAGCCTGTAGAATTGGGTGGAAGTTTCAGTGCGCCAGTCTGCGCTGAGGTCCGAGGAGGCCTTGTGTGTGTCTGCTTGTCCTCAGGCTGTCTGCCATCACCACGAGAGGACTGTGCCCAGGAAGCCTGAGGATGACGGACACGTGGAGCAGACCTGGAGTGAACCCCAGGTGTGGCCAACCCAGCAGACCCACAGACCAGAGTGAGAAATAATACTGTCACGCGGCAGAGATTTTGTGTTGTTTTGCTGCAAAAACTGACTGGTACCTGGGGAGATGTGATGATGATGATGGAGTGTAGCAATAGCATCACATATGGAGGGGGTCAGAGGGGTGTGATGAATGGCATCTTTCCCCGGGCACAGCGGCAGCTGCTTTGGTCCCTGCATAGCACGTCTCGCTCTGGTGGGGAGCTGGATTTGCTCCAGCGCTCCCTGCTCTGCCCCGCCCTGCTGTAGTTAACTGGGTTATTCTTTGAAAGACATGACAGTCTCTTCCAGGTCCTACGATTTAATTCCCTTCACTCATCCTGTGAAGTTAGTGCTTCCCTAGCAACTTCCAGGCAAGTCATTTATCAGCCTCCAGTTCAGCTAGAAACACTGCAATTACTCAGGAAGGATTATCGAGCAGTGAACATTTTAACCTTAAATGTTAATAATTATGTCAAAACTTAAATGACAATCGTTTGTCCTTTAGATAGCATTGTGGGAGATCTGGAGATCTTATATATGTATATTTTAAATGCAGTTAAACTGCTAATGACTCCTTTGCTGGATTTCAATTCTGAGGTAACCGTGTTGGTAAAGCCATCCTAGCAATTATCGAGAGAACAGAATGTCAACAGGGCCGCACCGTTAGGGAGCGGAAGGCCGTCCTCAGGGGGTCCCAGAACAGCAACACACAAGAAGCTACAGAGATAACGTGGCCCAAACCCAGCGCTTGTGCATTTGTAGTCCAGAAAAATAAAGGGACATGCCCGAGGTCACATAGCTGTTTGCCTGGAGCTGGGAACTAAGATTACGGAACACCTACCATGAGGTTTCTAGTCTGACTCATTTTTTGTATTACTGCATTTTAATCCCTACAGTAAACTTATAAGTACTGTTGTCTTCCCTACTATTCTATAGCTGGAGAAACTGAGGCTCAGAGAAGTTAGCATTCAACCCCTCCCACCCCACTGGCAGACAGGTTTTTCCAGTGGCTGCATGCATTGAAGCCTGCCAGGGTAATTTTATTAAATTCAGAGTTTCAAATATGAAGAGCATTCAAATGCCATCCTGCACTGGACTCCTATCCATGCCTCTGATCACTGGTCACCTACTGGACAGGCTGTTCCTTCAGTTATGTAGAAGCCCGCTTGAAGTGCTATCACGTGATTGGCCAAAAACTGGCTTTTGTTTGGCCCATACAGTGTATTAAATTAGAACAAAATCGTTACCAAATTTGAAGGCCGGGCGTGGTGGCTCACGCCTGTAATCCTAGCACTTTGGGAGGCTGATGCGGACGGATCACAAGGTCAGGAGATCAAGACCATCCTGGCTAACACGGTGAAACCCTGTGTCTACTAAAAATACAAAAAATTAGCCGGGTGTGGTGGCGGGTGCCTGTAGTAGTCCCAGCTACTTGGGAGGCTGAGGCAGGAGAAAGGCATGAACCCAGGAGGCGGAGCTTACAGTGAGCTGAGATCGTGCCACTGCACTCCAGCCTGGGCGACAGAGCGAGACTCCGTCTCACAAAAAAAAAAAAAAAAAAAAAAAAATAGTTACCAAATTTGAAGAGTGTACCATTTCACCCAAAAGTCTCGACTTCCTGCATCTCTTGAAAACATTTGAGAGGCTGGCAACACTAACACTGCAGTGAGAGAGGAACACTAATGTCCCCACGACTTGCAGCATTCCCCTGCTTCACATGTGTGAGTCGCCGGAGCTTCTGTCATCTGCCTGTCCCCTGGAGACATTGGCATTCTGCAATTTCAGACCTGTGAGATGGTGGGGGTGGGCAATTCTTGAGGGAATGAATGATTGTTTTCTCCTAGGTGGGGTTTTGTTGATCTGCTAGGCATTTCCCCTAGTTCACAGCTATCCTTTCCTTTCTGTGTTGGGGGCTTTCACAGGGGGTTAGGAAACGTGGGGGCCGCCATTTTGGTGACCCTCCTCCTTCAGCAGATGATACAATTAGGTTCAATCACATTATGAAATGGCCACTGTAAGGGAGTGGTATGCATTTTGGCCAAAAAAAAAAAAAAAAAGCATTTACTCTGAAAAGAGGAAGTCTTTATTCACTCACCTGGGGGAACAGATTACTTCCAGAGAATAATTTACTCACTGTAAGAACAAGGCCACTAATAAATAATGAAAATAATGAGGGCAAGAACAACACCAATAATAATAATAATGAGTGGGCTTATGAGAGTGACACGTGGCCTTCCAGCAGCCTTTGGCTCTGAGGTGATAGCATTATTCTCCCTGCAGAAACCTCAAACTTGAGACACGGTGGGAAATCAGGAAGACATGAGGCTTTGCTCAACACTGGAGAACACCAGTTCTTTTCAGTTTGTATGCATCTTTATCAGGTAAGTCTTCATGGAGCAACTTAATTTAACTAAGCATGATCTTTCTGTTATATTGAGTGTATCTTTCATGAGATGGTGATTATAATCCCCATTTTTCCTCCAGCATGGCCATGACGTGTGTAAGGCATTTCCAAGGGTGAGATTTCCTCTGAAATGTCCAAAGAAGTCAACCGCATTTCAAAAACTACCACAAACTAAATTAAAAGGCAAATATCACAATTTATTCTCATATTAGGTTTTTGAGTGAAAGATTGGATTCTAATCTCAGTTCTGCCATTTCTTCACTGGGGGTTTTGTTTTAATCTTAGTTTCTCCATTTTTCCTCCCTTCCTCCCTTTCTCTCTCCTTTTCTTCTTCTCTTCCCTCCTTCCTATGTGGTTTGGCTGTGTCCTCACCCAAATCTCATCTTGAATTGTAGTTCCCATAATCCCCAAGTGTGGTGAGAGGGACCTAGTGGGCGGTAATTGAATTATGGGGGTGGTTTCCCCCAGGCTATTCTTGTGATAGTAAGTTATCACCAGAGCTGATGGTTTTACAAGGGGCTTCCCCCTACGCTTGGCTCTCATTCTTCTCTCTCTTGCCGCTTGGGAAGAAGGATGTGTTTGCTTCTCCTTCCATCATGATTGTAAGTTTCCTGAGCCCTCCCCAGCCCTGCAGAACTGTGAGCCAATTTAATTTATTTCCTTTATAAATTACCCAGTCTCTGTCCTTATAGCAACATGAGAATGGACTAATACACCTTTCATTAAATTAGCACTTATCTCAACAGTTGAAATGTTTTTACAAAGGTTTTGAAGCATTAAAGATAATGAGTTATTAAGAACTAGATATTTGATTTAAGGATCACACTTTTTTGCTCTTTTGACTCCATATCAACATTCTGCAGCTGGTAGGGCTCCTTCCATTATCTCCATTACCCAGATGGGGAAACTCTTTAAATGCCTCTCTTAAGATCCACTGTGTGATTTAGTAAAATATTGGGTCTAGAACCCATATCATTAACTCGCACCTGTCTGTGAAATCTGTGAACTTCTGGTGCCGATGATATTATGAATCCCTCCAAGTAGAGGCGTGGTCTTCAGTCACCCAGAGGAGGTGTTCCAAACACCACTGTAGCACCAGCCTGCCTGGGGCTGCCTCCTGATCCTGCTGCATCCTAGCTCAGTGAACTGCAACAGAATGGGGGACCGATCTGGCCTTGGATTCTACATCTGTAAAATTCATGGGGTTTTGGTGAGAACTGAGTGGTCAATACAAATGAAGCCTTTCACATAGAGCCTGGCACGTAGAAAGACCTCAAAAATGATATTTGATACAGTTATTCATTGCAATTGCCATTGTTGTTGCTTTGTTAGGAAGATGATCATTCAAGAGGCCTGAAGGAAGACTTGTGTTGGAGCCTAAGGTAGAAATATAAAGGTTTTGAATGTTATTATTGTTGGAAATACAATTAATTTTCCCCAAAAGCTCTGAATATATGATGATTTAATACCTTTATTTATGCTGAGTTATTTATGTTATAGAACTATAAATCCTGAAAAAACCCTAAAAACCTGTTTTTGTGTTGCAAGTAGATAAGAAGTTTTAAAATCCAGAAAAGAATAATTTTTCCCATGATATAAAACGGTTGAGGAATAAAATTCCTCTCACTTTAAAATAAATAGGAAATACATACACTTTATCTTAGTTCTTTCTTCACAGCTCATTTTATTTCTTTGGATTCAGGATTAAGCACCAGAATCCACCAGGTTGAAGTGGTCAGAAATCTTCAGTTGGGCACCTTGGTGAGGATATATTATATTAGTAATTTGTTTTTTTAATGCACATACTTTTTTTGAACTGGAGAATCTAAAGGCATTTTAATGTTTTCAAGTAAAAGAACTGTACTCGGTAGTCTTAGACTGCCTAAGAAAACATCCCCTAGATTCTGTGCTGGGAACGTGGCTAGGGGTTCAAGTCCACATCTGGACACAATGATCACCCTATCACTAAAAAAATCCCAATCAAATGGCAAGCAAGCAAACAAAAACAGACAAGCCAACCAACCAGTCAAACAAACAAAAAAACTCACAGAAGGGTGGAAGAAAGCTACGCTCCAGGGAGTTCCTTATGTTAAATTTTTATATTCATAATATACAGTGAAGGTGAGAACATGATTTTTTTCCTTTACACAGACGCTTTTCCTCATTAGACTTTGAGATTTGATTTTATTCTTCTATGAGTTAGATTTTTATCTCAAATGGTAGAAAAGGTGACACAAGTGTATCTGTGGATAGATGGTTAGGTGAACTTAGAGGATGCACATGGCAGAGTTGTGTGTGTGTGTGATGTGTGTAGTGTGTGTGTGTGTGTGTGTGTGTGTGATGTGTGTGTGTGTGTGTGTATGCAGAGGAAAACATTTCTTTGAGCTGAAAACACATTAACTCTGTTTATTCAAGCCAAACATGAGCCTGTGTGCTCCTGTCACTTTGAGGTAGTGGAACATCCTCTAGTGTCTTTTTTATTATGGGAACAGTTCCTTTTCTGTAATTGAAATGTCCCATCTAGGCAATAAAACCATGAACTTGTTTCAAAGTTAAATCTTCTGCTGTCCCTCTGCTGGGACCTCCTTTAGAACAGAAAGACTGAAGTTGGTTGGACACACGATGGCTTCTTTCTGCTTCCCCAGCCTTATTCTTGACTTCTCCTCCACTGTCCTCCAGCTGTGGCTCCTGATGCCTGCAGAGTTGGAGGTGGAGGCAGAAGAGAGCAGAGATGGGGCAGAGAAGGCCTCCCTTGGCTGGTGCAGATTTGATGTGGCATTGGGGCCATCTGGATGGCTGCTGTACAGCGGCCACCTTATCTTCCCCTGGGGCTCCCCGGTGACTTTCCGTAAGGTTCCCTGCTGGGCACTTCAAGCTGGAGTTCTTGTGCTATGGGTTTGATCTCCTCCCCAGTTGGCACTCGTCACTTACTCCAACCCTCTGCCCCTTTCGTGGACCCTCTGGCCTTCCAGGAAGCCTTCCTGGGCAGTTGGCTTCATTCATCCCTGCCCTACTGTCTTCGAAAGTGCAGCTCACCCCAATGCAGTTTTTCTCTCCTTCACCTTTGCTGATGTAGGTCAAGAGCCTCTCACCCCTAGATCTCTCACACTTGTCTGCCATAGACTTCACAGGACTTACAGGGCCACCTTTTTGGGCATGCAGCCTGGACAACTGCACAAGGCACTGCACTCAGAAGGCGCTTGTTCTTGCTTTAATGATCTGGTGTTGCCATCTTGAAGTTTTTGATAATTTTTTTTGAACTTGTGTTTTACAAGTGAAATCTAGTGGGACAATGGAGTATGCACACATCTGGGGATGCCCCATTCACACACAGGATTCATGATGCCCATGAGTGCAGAATTCTGGTGAGAGTTCAGAGAGACTCTAAGCCAGTACAAGGTATTATGGAAACTGCCAGCTTCCATAGAGTGCTGGCAGAAAATGCACATATTAAGAGTGAAATAGAAACAGTTGAGTTTGTTCTGTGCAGGGTTTCCACTCTTCTGGTCAGAATGAAATAAAAATGCATGTATAAGCTATGAAATACAACTGTATTTGAAGTGACTTCACATGTGAGTTCAATGCTCTTATATTTGCACTTATAACTGGCATTGTTCAATGTAAAGAGAAATGATAACATTCATGTTAATAATTTTAAATTATGATTTTTCTTCACTTAGAACAACATTAAATGTGTATGTGTACAGGAATATGTAGATGAAACTTAGCTTTTTCTGCATATGAATAGCAAGGCTCCAGAGAGTTTCTTACATCTTCATATTTATAATGTACAGTGGAAACACAAATGTGTTGTTTTCCTTCTACACAACCCCTCTCCCTCTGCATTAGACTCCAAAATTTGATTTTATTCTAAAATGGGTTAAGTTTTACCCCAAATGGTGAAATAGGTGACAAAATTGTGTTTGTAGAAGATGAGATGAACATCCACATGCAGAGGTGTGTGTGCATGCCTGTGTGTGTGCACACGCACAGGGACACACACCACTTTCTCAGCAGCATTGTTTTTAGTATCCCCTGCAGGGAGGAGTCATGAATGATATTCCAAACGCATCTCAGTCTTCTAAACACTTAAATCATCTGCTCTCCTAATAGGATCTCCAAGCTGAGAAGTGATTGCTTCCATTGGCCCTGAACAGAATATTAAATATATTTGATCTTCAGAGCACTTTATCCCAGAGTAGGTCTATGAAAAATCGAAGCAAATTATATTTGGCTTAGGAATGGGTGGGACTTTTTTCTAAACACCTAAAGCAGTGTTTTTTTTTTTTTTTTTTTTTTGTGAGACAGAGTCTCATTCTCTTGCCCAGGCTGGAGTGCAGTGGCATGATCTTGGCTCACTGCAACCTCCACCTCCCGGGGCACGCACCACCACACCTGGCTAATTTTTGTATTTTTAGTAGAGACAGGGTTTCACCATGTTAGTCAGGCTGGTCTTGAACTCCTGACCTCATGATCCACCCACCACAGCCTCCCAAAGTGCTGGGATTACAGGCGTGAGCCACCATGCCCAGCCTAAAGCAGTGTTTTTAAAGTGTGATTTACCAACAACTTGTACCAGAACAACCTGTGAAGCTTGCTCAGTAAAATCATGTTTTCTGGGCCCCTCTCTAGATCCATCAAATCAGGAAATCTGGAAGTGAGGCCAAGAAAGCTTTAGCAAAGTCATCAGGGGTTCTTATTCACATCAAGTCTGAGATGCAGTGATTCCCAAGTGGCCTTTCTGACAGCTCTGGGTGAGAGGGCCTGGTTCCTGCATGGGATGCTTTGGATTGGGTTGTCCTCAGGTGCATCTGAACTTGTGAATTAGAATTGGCAGCTAAGAAAACCAAGAGAGGAAAATACACCATTCAGAAAGACTCCTCACCTCCTCTCCTCCATCCTGCCAGGGCCAATGTGGCCAGAAGCCCAATTTTACCCATTTAATGGAGAAGATGGAAAGTGTCTGGGCATTTTGTCACTGTGAGTATGAAGAAAAAAATAGTGATTTTCCCATCTGAGTATTTCTTTGAGGAACGTTCAGTTTAGTGGGGTTCTTAGATGTTCCCTGGATTCATTCGTTCGTTCCTCCATCCATTCTTTCATGCATTCAGTGAACATGTATTAATTGGCCCTATGCCAGGACCTGGGCCAGCCAGAGGTGCGTGTGCATGCCTGTGTGTGCGCACATGCACAGGGACACACACCACTCTCTCGGCAGCGTTGTTTTTAGTACTCCCTGCAGGGAGGAGTCATGAATGATATTCCAAACGCAATCCAAAGATAAACCAAACAGAGCCCGTGTTCAAGTGTGAAGGTGGATGATCAGAAGGTGCAATGTGTTATTCTATGACAGCAGTGAACCCACCTTTAAAGCAGACTGGCACCATTCAAGGCTTTCCAGAGGAGGCCACACCTGGACTGGGCTTTGAAGAGTGAGTAAGAGTTGGCTGGGCAGGGTGAGAAAGGCACTTGAGGCAGAGAGTGGTGTGTGTGACACAGAGTGCGAAACAGATTGGGGCTTAGGGACTGTGGATCATATTTTATGACTGGGAGAGCAGCAGGAAACAAGGCTAGACAGCAGGGGTGTTCTGATCCCCTAGGGTGTCATGTGTGGATTTAAGAAGTAAGAGTCTGTCTCTCAAAGTTGTACAGGGGTGCTGATGGGTTTGCAAAGGGGAGAACAAGATAAGATTTGGTCTGGCAAAGTCTACTGTTGCTGTCACTTGCAAAGGAGCAGAGAGCAGAGAGACCCATTAAGAGATAAGTCCTGGCCAGGCACAGTGGCTCATGCCTGTAATCCCAGAACTTTGGGAGGCCAAGGTGGGTGGATCACGAGGTCAAGAGTTCAAGACCAGCCTGGCCAATATGGTGACATCATGTCTCTATTAAAAATACAAAAATTAGCCAGGCATGGTGGCGTGCACCTGTAGTCCCTGCTACTCAGGAGGCTGAGGCAGAAGAATCGCTTGAACCCGGGAGGTGGAGGTTGCAGTGAGCCAAGATTTTACCACTGCACTCCAGCCTGGGCGACAGAGTGAGACTCCGTCTAAAAAAAAAAAGAGATAAGTCCTGAGTTACAACAGTGGTCTAGAAATAGAGGGAAATGGCTGATAAGAGAGACATTAATCTACAGAACGCAGTAACTGACTGGACACGGGCAAGGGATGAGATGAAGGAGTCAAGAATAACACACCTGGGTTTATGACCTGGACAACTCGGTGGGTGTTGTCATGCAAGATAAAGGAATTAGGAAAAACAAGTGCTTGTTGAAGAGGAAGAAGGATGATCAAGCTCATTTTGGACTCGTGCCTCTGGCATACTTGGGAGAAGATATCTAGTAGCAGGGGAATCACAGGGTTGGAAGGAAGGAAGGCGGTCAGGGCTGAAGATGTAAACGTGGGAGCTATTGCGGGAGCCTGAGGCCCTGTGAGGACAGAGTGAGATGCATGGAGTGGACTTGGAGTGCCAAGCCCAGAGGGGTAGCATGGAACCTGGGGGCAAACTGAGAAAGAAGACCCAGGAGGGAGGCTTAGAACTACTGGGCAGAGAGGACGGACATTTGGTGACTCTGACATGGATGGGTCCATCCTGTTTGGCCACTTACTTGCCAAGTATTTCCATGTAGTAGGCCCTTGGTGACTTCTGTTTTCACCACGAGCTACTTTCTCTCCTTTCTGCTCTAACCTAAGGACCACAGGCAGACATCCCTGGCAACAGAAGAGTCCTAGATGGCCCTTCCTATGAGATCAGGCTTGATGACTTGAGTGAAGTCCAGCACCCTTGTGACTGCTTGGCACTGGTGGCCAAGAGAGGGAAGTGTAAGGAGGAGGTGGGTTACTCATCTGTGTGGCCGCTGGGCAGACACAAGGAAGTGAGTTCAGAAGCCAGAACCCCGTGTCAGAGGTGGCCATGAGACCACCAGAGCCTCTGTGAACCCCCATCTCAGGCACTTGTCATGCTTCACAGCGAAGGGAGGCAGTGTGAGGTAATGGGCAAGTGCCCTGGCTTTGGGGTTAGATCTCCCTGTTATACTTTCTAACCCTGTAACTTTGGGAAAGAAGTTACTTTAACTTCCTACATCTCAGTTCTCTCCTCTCTCTAAATTGAGAAAATACATAGTCCCAGGGTTGTCCTGCAGATTAAAACAGGTAAGTATGCCTCTATGAATCCTCCAGCACAGTGCTTTGGCCAGGGTAGCAGGTGTTCAGGACATGACAGCCACCTTCTCCCTTCCCTCTTTCCTCAGCCCTGGGCAGAAGCATGGTACTCACCTGCAAGGGGTTTTGAGTGTTTGGGATGAGACTTAACACTTGAGTCCATGAGACGAACATGCAAGACAGGGTGTTTCAGGAAGAGGAACAGCAAAGGCTAAAGTGAGGAGCTGTGGAAGGGCATGGCAAGTTTGAGGATGGATAACTAAGCAAGTGATGTGGTGACAATGTCATAAAACATGGCTGGAGATGAGCCTGGGAAGCTATATATGGAGCTAGATTTTAAAGAGCATTGAGAGCTCTGCCAAGGAGTCTTACTCAATCCCGTAGGCTATGGCGTTCCTGATGGGATGGGAGATGGGGGTGATACTACATCATCAGTGCCTTAGAGTCATCATTCTTTGACAGCTTCTAACAAGGAACAGTTCTACGGCTCTACAGGGAAGCTCTTGTGGAGGAATTTTAACCCCCTGATAGCCAAGGGAGAGAAACATATTGGAGGGAGAGGCTGAGGGCTTCCCAGGACCCCATCAACTTAAATTACCAAACTGCTTATAGCTAAGACTCCATTGCTTGGTAACCAACTGACCACCATGGCCTCAGAACCTGGGCGCTTTGACAGCTGGATTCTTGACATCCATTGATCTCAAGCTAGAAACCTATTACTTCATCATCTTCAATGTGTTTCTCAATGTCTCCTTTCCTGACTGTGGAAGGCAGGTAAATTATGTGCTTATTATGTGTTTGGCTCCGTGTCAGGCCTTCTGCCTTGAATTCTGTGCTGTAATTCTCATAACCACATTTCAGGACTGATACCATTCCCTATCTTACAGTGGAAATACCAAGACTCAGAGAGATGAAGCAGTTTGTCCCTAGTCACTCAGGTTATAAACGGTGTGGCCAGGATTCACACCATGGCTTTCTGACTATAAAGACCTATTTATTTTACTGCCACTTCCATCCATCCTCTGTCCTGTGGCCAAAGCACCCTAACATGACTTCCTGTGCTTGTGGTCCTGGGGCAGGTTTGGGTGCCTGGGAGGGTGGAGGAAGGGAGGGAGCAAGCTCATGGTGGGACCATCTACAGACATCATTGTCCTGGAGGGTTTGTTTTTGGGCAGTCTCCATTCATTTTCAAGGTTTTGTGAAGAGCTGGTGCTTTAACAAATCTGCAATTCTAAAGGCATCAGAACTCTGCTGAAAAGGAAGTGTTCCAATGTTCTGTAGGTCCAGCGGATCTCTGGTTCAGGAAACTCATGACTCTGGCAGGGCTGCTGATGTTCACCTTGCATCTGCAGGCAATGGCCATTGGAGGCATCTCCTCAGCCTTCAAGGAATCTGGGGGCTGTCGACATAGCTGGGACTTCGTAAGCCATGCTGAATGTGGCAGCTTTTCAGGCAAGGAACCCGGGCCAGAAACATTCATAATTAGCTGTGTATTAGCCCAACCTCAGGGACTAAAAAGCCAGGTTGAGGCCAATTCTGGAGAGATGGATGTGCTTCCCGCCTCCCCACCGGCAGGCAGCTGTCTACGGAATGGCAGGGGGAGGTGGCACAGAGCAAAGCCACCTGCAGGCTCCCTGTCCTTCAAACCCATGGGAGATGATGCTGCCCTGCAAAGGATAGTCATGGCTACTCTGCCACCCTGCATGCCTCAGTTTCCCCCATCCCCTACTATTGTACAGTACTGCCTTGAACAGGAAAAATGATGCCTTTTAGGTGAGGAAAAGGAGTAACCACAGCCTTGGTAAGAGACTGGAGGGAGGAGCCTTGAGGGATGGGGGTCAGCCTACAGTTGCGGAGCCCCACAAGCTCTGGTAGAGACCGTGTGGGTCTGAGTCCACAGCTTCCAGATTGCATTGGGAGAGAGAGGCCTGGCTGTGCCCTGTGTGTGGCAAGTGAGTGATGGAAGGTTGAGGATGAGATAAGTGCTCTGGGTTCTGCTTCTCTTTCTGGGGCTGAGCTTGCTCAAGAAGGGACAAAATCATAATCAAAGGTACAATTTGGATTCTCTAGAAATTTCAGCATCTGTCCTCCTGCAGGCCTCTGCCTCCACTGCCTTGCCTGCACTGCCGCCCCTCAGCACCTTCTGGCCTTTGTCTCTGTGGACCTCCAGCAAGCCTTGCTTGATATAACCTCCTCTTACTCCATGTTCTTCTTGAACAATGTCCAGTGTTGTCCCTTCCATCACGTGGGAAAGGAGAAAAGGGATGGAGCATGTTCCCCACATCAGTGCTTAATGGTTTGCATTGATTATTTCAGTTAATTCTAAAAATAATCCTATATGGTATGTGCCATTTAATAGACTGGGAAACTGATGTTCATGAAGTTTGGGTAATTGACCAATATCTTTTAGCTGGTGATTGACATTTGAATCCACTTCAGAGGTTGTATAACACTTCCTTGCACCAGGGAAAGAGATCCAGTGTTGGGGCATTTAGCTTCCTTTCCTCTCCCAGAGAGGCCTCCTTCCAGAGACTTACAAAGGAGTGGGGTTCCTCACCTCCCCAGGCACTCCTTCCCTGCATAGCATCAAGAGGTGTCCCTGTGCAGATAAGAGTCTGGCATAGGGGTCACTTTGTGTCTCACTTCTGTCTCTTTCTAGCTGTACAACACTGATAGAGTTACTTCACTTCTCTTGGTCTCAATTTCCTTATCACTAAAGGGAACTGCAGGGGTAGATGGTAATACCCCATAGGATTATATTGAGGTTTAGAGCAAAGAGTGTGTGCAGCATAACTTGTACTGTTCCTAGCATTGAGTATATACCAATGAATGGAAGTAGTCATTGCCAGGCAATTCTTCGGCACATCAGGTTTAGTTTGATCCATATCTAGGAACACCTGAGTGCTGAGAGGTACAGATGCTGTGTGATGTAGTGGAACAGCCACTGGACCCAAGTTGGAGCAGTCAGGTACATGTCTTGAATCAGCCACCTGCTAGACTGAGAGTGTGGATGAGACATGAAATCACTCCAAGCCTCACTTTCATCTTCTGTAAACTGGGAGCTTGGCAGTGACCCCTGTCCCATGTGCTGACCTCATAGGGCTGTTTGGAGGATCTACAAGGTGATGTCCATGCCAGAGTTGTATGTAGAGGAGTTGTTAGTGCTACACAAAACTGGGACAGGATCCTGTCCCCGCCGCAGAGGAATGCTTGGTGTGATTGGCGATACTCAGCTAAGAAACTCGGGCAAAACATTGGTATCACACCAGGGCTGACGTGATGCTACAGACAAAGATGGAAACTCTGGCCCACAGCCTGCTGCTGGAGTAAGGCTTGTTTGGATTTGCGGGTCCTCACTGCAGATGGAGGAGCTCAGCAAAGCTCTTGAGGAGATTTTTGCTTTCAGGAAACAAATTCAATTCCTATCTTTGGATTTCTGTTGTCTTTTAGGGCCAGCTGGGTCTGCCTGAAATCTTGGCTGTCATTTGAGGATATTTCCGTGCATGTGGAGATTATTCCAAAAAAGGCTTCCTGCTTTTTCTTCGCTCCTTCTTGCCTTTTCCAGCTCATCCCAGTGTTTCCAAGGGAAGGGAAAGCGGAATTTGCTCTGTTCATCCCTGTATATGAGGCGTGGCATTAGTGTGCATATGTTTTTCCGTTTCATCTTCACAACATTGTGACCTGGTAGATATTATCATCAGTTTACAGATGTTGAATGAGAGTCAGAATCAGTAAATTTAAAGGAGAACTTTATTCCTGGGTTCGCATGCATGAAACGTATGACAACATATGACCTGTGTTCACTTTGGGGTGGAGAGTTAACATTTAAATGTATTCTATCTGGATCATAAAGATAGAAAGGTGTAATGGACTACAAGCCCACCCTCTGGGCAGTCTTAAGACACCAGTCCAAACCTGTTCGCAGCCATCCATCCATCAAGAAGGAAGTCTCTGTGGCCCAGGGTGGCTGTCAGGTCAGAACCATACAAACAGGAGGAAGGCACTGGGTGGTCGAATGAAGTAAGTGAAGTCTTCTGGCTTGACTTTTTGTCCTCCTCAAGTCAGCCTTTGATTAAGATCTGCCAATGATGAGTAAGGTAAAGGGACTTGCAGCAAGCGGGGCGCATCTGGTCTCTGTCCTGTCATGGTCGGGAACTTAAAACTCTACAGTCTTTTGGCCAAAAGAGGGTTCATCAGTCCATTGAAGCCATGTAGGACTTTTATTTCAGTTATCACAGATGAGGAAACTGAGGCTTGGGGAGGTTGAAAAACTCACTCAAGGGTATAAGTGCAGGAGCTGGTAAGCAGCAGTATCAGGCTTTAAACCATCCTGAGCTTCTACTTCTATGCTTAGCTCTGTATTTCCTCCAGAAGGCTCCCTCCATCCTGTGCCTTGGAAGACCTCACACAGCTATGAGGTCACACATCTTCCAGCCTTTACCCCATCAACACACTGACTCCTACACTGCCTGCTAGCATACCATGTGGGGGTGGCTTATGTGTGGCATTTGTGAAGTTGGTTGTTTTGAAGCAGGACCCAGGGAGAGTATAGTTCATTTTTATAAACAGATAAGATCCTTGAGGATAGGATTTATTTATTCATTGAACAGATATGAATTATGCATTTACTGCGTGCAGATACCATTCTAAGCACAGGGAATAAAGCAATGGGCAGAAGAGACACATTCTGTTGTTTTCCTGAAACTTATATTTTAGTGGAGAGCAGACAGAGAATGTAACTAACCACAAACTTACTAACTAGCCAGCTAACCAACATGTATAGTTTGCTAGGTGGTAGAAGTGCCATGGAGAAATAGAACAAGAAACGGACAGGATGGGAAGTATCACTGGGGGAGGTGTTTACCATTTAAAAAGGTAGTGAGGTTCAGACACAGCCTCACTGCAAAGTGACATTTGAACACAATCTGAAGGAGATAGGGGACAAGCAACAGAGATAATGGGAGGAGCCTGGAGGGCTTTATGCTAAGTGAAATAAGCCAGGCACAGACGGAAATACTGCATGATCTTACTTGCATGTGTACTCTAAAAAAAATCGAACTTACAGAGGCAGAGAGTAGAGTGGTGGTTACCAGGGACTGAGGGCTGGGGTTCAGGAAACGGGGAGATGTTGGTTAAAGGGTGCAAAGTTTCAGTTAAACAGGAAAAATAAGTTCTGGAAATCTATCGTACAGCACAGTGACTATAATTAATAATAAACTGCCCAAAGAATAGATTTTAAATGTTCTCATCTCAAAATTGAAAAGCATGTGAGGTGATGGATATGTTAACTAGCTTGATTTCATCATTCCACAATGTATACATATTTCAGAACATCATGTTGGACACCATAAACATCTGTCAATTAAAAAAATTTAAAAGAGATAGAATGGGATGAGCACTCTAGGAAGAGCACTTTGCAAGTGCAAAGGCCCTGAGGTAGGAGGTGCAGTTCTGTTTATTAGTGGAGGGTAGGCTGATGGGACTGGCATGGACCAAATGGGACAGGTGTGAGAGACAGGCCAGAGAAGTGACAGGCGGGATAGATGAGGGGAGCTCCAGGTGGACATAAATCATCCTGTTTAATTTGTCCTTTGTTGTGACCAAGACAGGGAGTTAGAGGAAAGTTCTGAACTGAGGAGTGACATGACCTGAGTCACATTTTAACAGGATCCCTCTGGCTGCTTCACTGGGAAATACCAGAAGGAAGAGGTGCTCAGAAGTTAGGAAGCTATTACAATAATCCAGGCAAGTCGGTTAGTGCCCAGGACTATATCTGCCCATGTTTCTTTCTATTCCAGTCTCCTTCTGCTATAGCTCAGAAAAGAATGTTTGGCAAATTGTAGGTGCTCAAGAAAAACTTGTTAGAAAACGAAAGCAAGAATGACAGCATTGTATGAGTGTGAGCATTACTCTGTGATCCAAGTCTCAGCTCGCTACTGTGCAAGATGTGTGGCCTGGGTTATGTGACTTTACCTCTCTGTGCCTCAGGTTCCCAATCTGTAAATGGGAATAATGACAGCAGCAACTCCATAGGCTTTTTACTGGCGGGGGGGCGGGGGGGCGGGCGGCGGGGACGGGGTGAGAATTGCATGCAATAATGTATATGAAGTGCTTAGAATAAGAGGGCCTGGACCATAATTAGTGCTCAATAAATATCAATAATTACCAGTACAAGAACTGGCTTTATGCACATTTGTTGAAGAAGAAAGGAAAATGTTGGGAGAAAAATAGAAATCTCTGTGAATTATTTGTGAATTTGGGAAATTCAGAATATTCATTTTTCTGTATTTCCATTCAAGCCTTGTGATTTTTGTCTACTACATTTTTCTTTCCTTTTACAGAAACAGATGTTGTTTTTGGTGATGTAAGTTACCAGGGTTGGGGGTCTGATCTGGAGGAACTGGGAGGTGAGTTCCAGCCCCTTCCCTCAGTTTCTCATCATTGTGGAGCAGTCTTGCCCTCTTCCTTCGATCAAGCTTCAAAGCTTCATGGCAACCACATTTAATGTTTATTGCTAATGTTATTAGTTTCTAATCAGAGCCTACTGCGATTATTACCTAATAGCTATTGCTTTGCACTTCCAACCAGATGTCAAAAATAATGAGCCAATAAGACTGCTATTAATTTAGACTGAATGACAGTTTTAGGCCCTCGGAGCTGAAGATTAGGGGCCTCATAAAAGCAGGGCACAAATAATTCGAGTGCTCAAAAGTAATAGCAAAAATGGTGAGAATGTGAATTAATAGGTAAGTGTTTCTAATTTACAAATGAAACATGCAGCTTGAAATATCAACACTTCTCCTGCATTCTCCTGCGATGAATGGAGCAGTCCTCATGGATCCCAGCCTCCAGGATTTGGGTAGAATGGCTCAGAAAGTTTGCTGTCTATAGGAAGAAGAGATGATATTAGCATAGATCTGTTTACCTGGTCCTATTTGGTTCCAGTGAGAGAATGGGGCCAGGTCAGCAAGTGCCTAGAAGAGACCTTCTCCCGGCATCAAGCGTTCCATGAAACGTGTGTCCATTTTGCTGACAGGCTCTGGTGCATTCTGATTGACTTCCAGATGCCTTTCCTGACATGCACCCCATTGTAGATGATTATCCTCCTTCTAACTCATGGATGCTGTCATCCTGTACACCATTGGGTATGGGATGCTTGGGTTCAAATCTTAATTGCATTATGCTCTGAGGGTGTGACCTTGAGCAAGGTGTCCATCATCTCTGAATCTTAGCTCCCTCCCCTTTTAAGGTGTCCATATCAATAGCACGTAACTTGTAGGATTACCACTGATCATTGGAAGAAATAGCAGATACAAGGATCTCAGCACAGTGCCTGTCACACCAATGAACTGGAGAAATTGTCACTGTTGCTTAAACACTAGGGCTCTGTTTCTCCTTCACCTTGATCATTTATTCCCTCTGTTTATTCATGCCTTTAGGTACCTATTTATCAAAGCAGGAGAAAAATTTTAAAAAGTTCATTTCTTTTCTTCCTCCAGTCCTCATATATTAATCTGTAGACCCAAGCCTGTTTCATTTCACTTTGTTCTACCATTTTAAAGACAAACATTGTCCAAAGGCATGCTATGGCTCCTTTTGGTATATATTTGTTTACCATGGTCCTGTTTGGTTCCAGTGAGAGAATGGGACCAGGTCAGCAAGTGCCTGGAAGAGGAGACCGTCTCCCAGCATCACGCATTTCTCCATGAAATGTGTCTCCATTTTGCTGACAGGCTCTGGTGCATTCTGATTGACCTCCAGATGCACCAGAGCCTGTCATATAAGGGGATGGGGTACGGAGGCGGAGACCCAGTCTGTGCTACAATACCTTTAGTGTCTGGTGGGTGTCATGGAGGAAAGAGGTCCCCGAGTGTAAGGGTGGGGTGAGCAGGGAGCAGTAAGGCTGCAGAAGGAGATGGTGTCCCGTCTGGCCTGAGAAGATGTTGTTGGAGAGACAAGCTAATTGCTCTCAAATGGCTACCTTTTCCACTAGGCACACAGATACACTCCAGGATGGAATGCAGGCAGAAATCATGACCTCCATCCACCTTTAACTTTCCAAGGCCTGGCCCATAAACCCTCCCTGTCAGGCTTCCTGGTACCTCTTCCCTGGCTGCTAGCTGGATGCTGAGGCCCTGGGGTGCTGAGCCACTGGTGGAGTGAAGCCTGGGCCTGAAAGGCTGGGTGAAACAGAAGTCATGGGATGGGCAGGTGAGCACACACACCGTCACGGTGTTGATGCATGGTGGCATAGGATTGTCTGTTACAGCAGCCAGGCTTCTCTGACTAATACAGACCAACACGACTTTTCCAGGTCATTCAGGAAGCAGGAGGAGGGTGCTGCAGGCAGGGGGAACAGCATGAGTCTAGATGGGCATTGTGGAGCGAGATGCCCCCATGTGTGCCCTAAGAACTAAAGGGTTCCAGGATTGCAAAACGACATGGTGGGAAGCAGATGGGGAAGGTGGAGGCAGATGGAGCTGGCTGCAGAGAGACTGAGGACATGCATGCCATCTGGGGTTACTCAGGAGGCAGTGGAAGCCACCAGGGACTGTTGAGCAAGAGCTCTGATGAAATCTTGCCTTGGACATGCCATGCTGGTGGCACTCCTCCAAGGGAGGCACAGGACCCATGCCAGGCTGATGAATCAGGAGGCTCTGGGAATGACCCGGGAGGCAGCATGAAGGCCTGGACTAGGAAAGTGTAGGGAGGCAGGGGCGGAGCTGATTAAGGAATTATTTAGGAGGTAGAATTCAAGGGACTCAGTGGTTGTTTTTTTAGCATAGAGATTTCTGGTGTGCAATATGATGCTTTGATCTATATCTACATAGTGAAATGATTACTACAGTCATGCAAATTAGCATATCCATCACCTACCATCCTTAGCTTTTTATGTTGTTGTAAGAGACCCTAAAATCTACTCTCTGAGCAGATTTTCAGTATAGCATCCAATAACACTAACTGTAGTCCTCATGCTGCTCATTGGCTCTCCAGAGCTATTAATCCTGCATAACGGCAAGTTTGCCTCCTTTGACCTACCCCTCCCCATTTCCTCTCCTAGTAAGCTCGGTGGCTGTTTTGAACTGAGATAGTCTTGCTGTTCCTTTTACATCCTTGCATCCACTCCCTTTCTATTATATATTTCTTTCCTGTTTGAATGTGGGGACACACTGGCTACTGCAAATGTTGAATTGGCTCTTGTTTTCTGGTGCATTCTTGCTGGCCACAGAAGATGCTGATCTAGGCTGATACCTGGCAAACCCTACCTTGTCCTGCCCCTGACACTGCAGATCTGAGGACGCGCTGGGGGAGCCGAGCATCCAGGTGTGCATTTTCCCATCTTTGCCTCCTTTGCTGTGCCCCATCCATGGATTCTTCCATTAGTGACCCTGGGATTTTAAGGCTTGTAGCCTGAGCACTCACAGGGAGGTGTGGGGACTGAGTAATCCTCTCAATTGAGCCTGTTAATAAATTTGTCACCACACTAGACGAGGGGAAATGATTTTAAATTGATTCGTGCAGAATTTTGATGTGTTCTGCACATCCAACTTTGCTTTTGGTGCTCTGGTTAAGCATTGGTGAGTCACCGGTTCAGCCTGATTATTCTTGCTGCTGTAAAAGTAGAAATCAATATTAATATTTCCTCACTGTTAACCATCTCTCTAGAACAAATATTTTTTCCCCTCCTTCTCCTTCTATGACTTTGTTATCTTTGCATTTCTAATTGTGTCTGAAATTTATGGAGTGTCTTTTTTTTTTTTTGGTAAAGAACTACAGTTTGTGATGATGCTGCTTTTCCCATCACATCTGGGATCAGCGTTTGTAATAGATTCTCTTTTACGTTCAGCTCCTGAAGAGCACTCTCATGATCTGATAAGAGAAGATGATCTTTGCTGGCCCTTTGAGGTAATGAATCCTTTTCATTTGTTTTCTTGCATACTTTCTAGGTCAGTGAGTGGAGGGAATTTTTGTCCAACGTGCACCTTGACAGAGCTTCACTGACCACGGGCGGTGTCTCCCTGCTGCCACGCAGCACACCTCTGACCACAGACCTCTCTCCAGAGCCACGTGTTTGCTTCTCACCTGACAGGCTCTGTGAGAGCCCATCTGTGCTTCCCTGGGATGTCTGACCGCACGCATCCCCCACTGTGCATGGGAGCCCTGCTGGGCCCGTAGGTGGAATTATTTCTCAGTTTTAATCTGAGTACATAATTGAGGCTTGTGCCAGCAAGGACTCCCATCGCTTTCTTTCCTCACACTCCACACGTAGTGCTGCTCAGTGATTTTACTGTTCCTCTAGGAATGGCTCCCACCTGCTTAGAGTATAAGATTTATCTCCTTAGCACACCATGGGAAGTCTCCTAAAATCCATCCACTGCTTATCTCTTTGGCCTCAGCTCTTGGCCCCCTGTGATGAAACCCTGATCTCTAGTCATGCAGAGGTGCTTGCAACTTTCTGAAAGCTCCTTTCAAAGGTGCCTTTGCCTTCTGTTCCCTATCCCTTCAGGGTCCTTCCCGGCTAGCCACTGCTCCTGGCTAAGTTCTGAGAGGTTGCATCCACCTCGCGGGAGTGTTGGCCATTTTCTCCCTTCGAGGTCCTTATTGTTGGCCTTTCTCTCTTTCCCTACTAGACTCTAAGCTCCCTTAGAGTGGGGCCTCTGTCTCACCCATCTCTCTGTGGCCCCCATCTAGTGTGCGGTCAAGGCTTGCTGAGAGCTGCCTTTTCATGTGTATTATGACAATTCAGCCCAATGACAAGTGGCTCACTCCATCTCCAACACGCTCCTGTCAACCTTCCTTTTCCCTGGGTCTCTTCAGTTTAACCTTTTGTGGGCATACCATCATGCATTAGTTGGAATCAGATTGATACTGGAGGTGTTTTTGTTTTCCAGAAATGTCTGGGGAAAGTGTGCCTGTGTACTTTTCATGTATGTCCGTCGGAGGAAAAGTTTTCATCATTCATTTATTCTTGTATCGATTGCACAAAATTGCTTAAGATTCTCCTCTGTGTGTGGTTCCATGGGAGCTTGGACCACTTTACATGATGAATAGGACAGAGTAGAGTCCCTTTTGGGAAACAGGCATCTGTAAAATGCTATGGGTACATAAAGAGCCACCTAATGGAAATGGGTCACAGCTGGCACTCCAAAGGAGGCAATGTCTGAGCTGAATTGGAAGGAAAAGCAGGCATTTGCCAATGAGAACTTGGAGGGTTCTCCAGGAGCAGGGCGTGCAGAGAGCCCATTGAGTGGAGGCGTGTAGGGAGCCATGGGGACTTTGGTTTATCTTAAGAACAATATGTGTTTGTGTGTACAAGGGAGGGGGCAGAATAAGGAATGGCAGATAAAGCTGAAGAAGTGAGTAGAGGCCAGATCACAGGGTCCTGACTGTGTCCTGGATAAACACGGGGATGCTGGAGGTTTAATCAGGGTCATGGCGTGGTAATATTTCCAAGTAGAAAGATCACTTTGGTGGTGAATTGCAAGGACTGGCCGATTCCCCTGGTGGTAGGAAAAGAGGTGACCAGGCTGGTTTCCAGCGGATCTGGGCTGGGGCTGAGCGTCTGGTTAGTGGTTAGGAATAAGCTGAGGGATAATCTCAAGTCAGGCTCTGCTGTGGGGCATGTGTTCCCTGCCGAGTGTGTGAGATGTGAGTGCCTGTTCTGCTGGCTGTGCTTCCTTCCCCTGTCTCGGGGTGCCGGGGACTGAGCCCTGTGACTCCAATTGACGGCTTCATTTCACAAATTAAACATATCATGCTAGTGAACCGTTTCAGAGCCACAGCATTACAGAATAAGAAAACCACTGCAGCCCTAAGTCTACAATGCTCATGAAGCAAACAATTCTCTGAAACATTGACCCAGCACCTCAGAGCTCCCCATAACAGGTCTACCTCTTTGGAAAGGTCAGACTTTTTAAAGGTTAATTGTTACCCTTAAGAAAAATGCAAAACAAACGGTATGGCTGCATATTTAATAGGTGTTTGGAACAGCATTTCCCAGAAGCACAATTCCTGATGATTTGATTTTTAAAAAGAATGGTCTAGAAATAAAGTGCCCTTGGCAACTTCTGACTTGAAGAAAGTGAGTATGCCACCTGTGGTTTAAGGAGTATTATTATTATACGTCTGAAATGTCCTCTCCCTCCTCCCCTTTCCCCAAAGAAAACAAACCCAGCCAGACAGTAATTTGACCATTGCTATGTCCTGGGTCTTTGCACAGTGGTGGCTGAACAGCTGAGCATAGAGCGTCCAGGAGATCTCATCCTTGTCTGCCTTCTCTTGCCTACTCTTTCTCCCTCAGCTTTCTCCTCTGCTCCCAGCATTGACCAGGCACTTGTCTGAAGCCAAGCTCTCCATCAGACTCCCCAACACCTCCCACATAGCTTACCGAAGAGCTCTCCCTGGACACCTTGCTGGGCGCCTCAGTGCAATTTGTCCAAACCAATTTAGCGCCTCTCTTTTCCATGGCTCTGGTTCTGCCCTTAACTTCTTCCCTCTGCTGAGCTCTCCTCTCCTCCCTGCACTCATCTTGCCCCCAGCTTGGATTCTCCAGTTGTTTTCTCACGACTCATTGTTCTTCTAGCATGCTGTCCACCCTGGTGCTGGGTCCTACTGAGCTTTTTTCTCCCAATCTGTCTCAGGACTGTCTCTTTTCATTGTGGTGGCCACCACTCTAGACGGAACCTCTCTCCTGGATCACTGCAATAACTTCCCAATTGCCTCTATTACAGATCATCCATTTTGCCCACTGACACAAGACATTTTCTGGGAGATCCATTATGATTCTGCAAATTCCTTGATCAAAATTTTTACTGTTTTCTTACTGTCTATGGTATGAATCTCAGAATTTCAGGGTTCACTGCCTTTCTACCTTAATCCTTTACTACCTTTTCTTTTCAGTAACCTTCATCACCCCCAAGTGGATGGTCTCCATTTTCCAAGCTGGCAGCTCACCCCCTCTCTCTGTGCCTCTGCTGCTGCGGTCCACACACCTGGAATGCCCTCTGCACCCTGCACACGGCATCCCCCCTCCTTCAAGCATCGGTCAGAGGCCCCATCCTCCTACCAGCTCCCTGATCGCTCCAGTCTGGTGCATTCATTGTGTATCATTTCTCGCAGGCCCCTGGGTACAATAGCTGTTTGTATCCATTGGTTATTAATCTGGGGGGAATGGCGGCAAATTTATCTTATAGTCCCACAGGTAAACTTTCTGAACCTCTGGTTTTGTCTGTAGAATTGGTATAGCCATTCCTTCAAAATAGGTGTTTGAAGAATATTCAATATTAAAACTAACTATTTATAAGTATGTAAAGCTCCTAACAGAGTATCTGACACATAGTAGTAAACACACAATTATTGTCTATAGCAGGTGCAGCCATTTTCAAACGAAGGAAAAGAGGAAGGAAAGAAGGAAGGCAGAAAAAAGGAAGGAAGAATGGAAAGAATGGGGGGAGGGAGGAAAGGAGGAAGGCAGGAAGGAAGGGTGAGAAGAAGGAAGGAGGGAAGGGTAAGAAAGCTAATTTTCTAGAACTTCCTTAACTGTGCCCCTCCCTGCTGTCAGACCCCCATGGCTTTACCCATACTCTGGGTTTTCATGAACACACGGGCATGTGCTCAACACCTTCTCCTTCCAGCTCCAGATGCTTTCCTGCAGGTCTCTACCTCAGCTGGCCTCTTTGCAGGAAATTAACGGCGTCTCCTACCTTCTGGCTCCCAGTTGCGCTGGGCCAGTGGGGCATATCGAAAGGAGAGAGAGAGACAGGGCATTTATTCTTGGCTTCTTCCCTGTGTGGTTGCCCAGGCTGGCTGTTCCTGACTGAAGGCCTCCTGGCCTGATGGAGCTGTCTTTCCTCTTCCAGTGGCTGCTCTTGCCCCTCTTCAGGTGAAGAACATGCTGGTTTCAGGTTGTGACTCACCCCGAGGGGCTTGTGGATTCCTTATTCCCAGCTCACAACGTTGTAGCCCTTTATTAAACACCCCTAACACGTTCCAGATAGTCTTCCTTCCAAGACCCCAAGGAACACACTCCATACACGCCTTGTGCTTCAAATCTCAGAATCACTGTGTCAAGCAAGAGAAGCCACCCAGGAAACATATGTGGGTGAAGTCAAGAACAGGCAGGACCGACCTACTGTGATGGAAGTCAGAACACTGGAGGTTCAGTTTTGGATTGGAGTTGACTTGAGGAAACTTTCTGAGGTTTGGAAATGCTCTGTATCCTGTTGAGGGTGGTGGTTGTGTGAGTATATGCAATGGTCAAAACTCATTGAACCCATACACACGTTTTATGGTATCTAAATGATACCCCAATAAGAAGTAAATACATAAGATTACAAAGGAAAATAACTGTGTTAAAATAAGATTATTAAGATGTCCAATACAAAGAAGATCCTCGTAGTTCCTCAACACACACAGCAACACACGCATCAGAATCCTAGGCTCCAGAACCCCAGAGATGCACTGTCTGGATGGACCTCTAACAAAGCAACCCCTGAAGGTGCAGCACCCATCTTGCCGCCCAGGCAATGCCTCTTCCAAAGGAATGTACAACTCTTAGAAACAGGGACATGGTCCCTGGCACAATCCTAAGCACAGAGTAGGTACCTAAAGCTTGAAACCAAAAGTCAGCCCTCACTTAACAAATGGATGAAGAGTCAAATAGATTCTTATTCTGAGCTAGGCAGCAGGTTAGCTACTAGAAGAGCCTAGTCTTCAGTTTTTAAATTTAATCTCGTAAACTCAGAAGACTCGTTGGCTCTTGGAGGTTTAGATGAATCTGGCTCACCTCTCAACCCCAGGGGTTCAAAGCTTGTGAAAAATGCTTTGTTTCTCCAGAGATGCCCCTGTCTCTACTCCCTTGGCTGTGACTGTCATCTCACTACTACCTCCATGATAATCTGGGCTCAGATATCTGCCATTTGGGTGAGAAAATCTGCTCCAGCCAAGCAATGTGTGCTGAGTGGCTTCATGAAGGACATTAGGGTGTCATGGTGCAGGGTTGCCGCTGACTGTCTGATTATCATCAGCCTCCAGTGTGCTCCCTGCATGCCTGCTTGCAGTCCACTGACTCCTTTAACTTAAATCCCAGTGGGTGACCTTCTATACCCTAAGCATTCACTTGGGAAATGGAAACTATTCATTCTTCTTCTTCTTTTTTTTTTTTTTTTTTTTTTGAGACAAAGTCTCGCTCTGTAGCCCAAGCTGGAGTGCAGTGGCTCGATCTTGGCTCACTGCAACCTCTGCCTCCCCGGTCCTAGTTCAAGCAATTCTCCTGCCTCAGCCTCCCAAATGGCTGGGATTATAGGCATGCGTCACCATGCCCAGCTAATTTTTGTATTTTTAGTAGAGATGGAGTTACATCATGTTGGCCAGGCTGGTCTTGAACTCCTGACCTCATGATCCACTTGCCTCAGCCTCCCAAAGTGCTGGGATTACAGACGTGAGCCACCACACCCAGCCAAAACTATTCCTTCTACTTTCTCCCAACACAGTGGCCTCTTTCCGACTTTTTTTGAGTTTTTTTCAGGGATCAACCAAGCTAGGCAATTTTGCCTTTTATACAATCTCCTGAAATTCTAGTGAATAACTTTTTTTTTTTCTCATCTTCCGATATCTTGTGATGGTCCCAATGCAGATGATCTGTCCAGGGGATGGATGAGGAAAAGACAAGAAATGATGCCCAACTGTGGCCTCCAGACTGACCTCCCCTGACACTGCTTACTCCATAGGTGATGGGCAGTACGCTCTTATGAGACTTTATTTGAGGATCTGTTTCCATGGTACAGGCTAGGTAGGGGACATATCTTGTCCCTTCTATACAGGGCTTCTCAGTCAGGCTGGGCTACTCGTGGTCAGCAGAAGTTTTCAGGCAACTGGGATACAGAAAGAGCTGAGTGAGGGTGTGAAGATGGCGAGGAGGGCCATGGAAGTTCCAGGCTGAGGCTTTGGCAACTCCTTCCACCCTCAGAGCCAGGGTTTACAGGTTTGCCCATCCATTTCTGACCCTTCTTCCAGGAGCTAGGATTGGAAAGGAGTACCTGTACTAACTGGCTTTTCTTCATTCTCTGACCTCAGTTTCTGGAATTCTTTTTGGTGCAATTTGCCCCAAGTTGTCCATCAAGAGTTGAAGGCAAAATAAATGGAGGGCAGTTCATCTCCCCAAATCTTTGAGGAATATTGTATTTCTTGCCTTTTCTCCACAGTACTTGGGCTCTAATGGGTCGCATGTAATAGCTGCCTGTAGGGTCACACATGCACCGGGGGATGGGTGCAGTGTCTCTTCAGAGCCTCTGGCTTGCTCTGAAGATCCCTTCTGACTGGAATGGGAAACCTAACAATTATTTCTCCCTGTTGGGAGTTCAGGCTTCTCCATAAGCTTTGGCTCTGGGGATGTAAGCTGAACCTTCCAGACCTCTGAGAGGCTTGTCTCCTGGGGACAGCAGATGACCATCACCTTCCATCTGTCTTCCTAAATGAGCAAGAATCAGCAATTCTTGCATGGGCTTAGTTTCTCTAGGGATGTCTTGCTGGCAGTTGTTTTCTCATCACCTTGCTCCAGTGGGACCTGGTCTTCCAAATTGCAAGCAGGAGGAGTTGGCATGCAGCTTACTGCCAAAATCTCAGGATGTTTTACACCTCGAGGTCTCTTCTTCTTCCTGGTGCTGTGTACTCAGAAACCTGCCACATAGATCACAACACTGTGCACATTCCTGAATGCTTGTGTGCTGTTGGATATTGTTGCCTGGAGACAGGGAGAGTTATGACTTTTTGACCTTGTATAATTTTCAATTCTGGACCATGCAATTTTTCTATTTATCACCATTGCTTCTCCACGTCTGAGGCCTGACTCCTTGGGAACATTTCAGCAGCTCAGAATCCTCCTCTTCAATCTGGCTGTGCCTTCTCGCAGATGCCATATGTTGGCTCACATCCATGTGGCTGTGGCCAGTGGATCCCAGCTTGCCTGGCAGTTACTCCTTAGGAGGATACCAGGCTCTGGGGAGTCTGCCCCAGCAGGTGAATCAGGAGAAAGGCCCTTCTCAATGATCAAAGTTTTTTGTTCCTTTTTCAGGATTGTGTGTCACTTAAGAAGCTGCAGTAATCACCCATGGCCAGGATTTCCTCTGGTTGGTGGGTTGATGAGTTTATTCCTTGTCATGCAATGCCCTGGCTAAGACACCACAGAATGCTTTGTATGTGTTGCTCTCTCTACCTGCCTGACCTGTGTGTTACTCCACACATTTCCATGTGAACCTCAGGGTTCTGTCAACCCTCTCCCCTGGCCCAAGCAACAACATGGCCAGTGCAGAAACAGTCATCTTTCTTCCTTGAGCTGTAGGTTCCCTGGTCTCATAGTCAAGATGAGGGTGGACTTAGACCCACTATTAGACTCAAAATACTGCATTTTGCATTGGGGGCCAGTTTATCTGCTGGTCCAGTGTTCTGGGGCTGCTCAGATGTCACTTGGGGCTGCTTTAGATCCCGAATATTTAGGGAAACATGGCTCAAGCCTTCAGTCTCATGGACTATATGAGCCCAGAGCTCTCCCCACAATTCCTGTGAATTCTAACCTTGGGTCCTCAGGGTCCCATGTGGACCCCTTTGCCAATGGGATGCAAATTTCTGCTGGTTCACAGATTTCCTCTAAAAATTTTACTGAAAGCTTATCTTCTGCCACTTCTGTGCTTTTTGTTGGCTTATTTGTTTCGTTTTTTGTTTTTATTTTTTTAGTAAAAAATAGGCACTATAGGCAGGTCAGCTTTCCATATTTTCCTTTTCCCAATTATGATGAATATAGTTTTATTTATTTAATTAGCTAAGTATTTTTATGTTGGACTTTGCAGCAGCCTCAAGTATTATTTCAGACTTGGCAGGCAGCATTTCCTGCACAGGTAGGTGTGAATTTATAAGCAAGGAGGTTGGAGGTTAGTGGTGATTATTTAACACTATTTGGCTTAACAGATGTAATCTAAATATAGATAAATGAGAAAAATGAGAGTTAAAACACCTATTTCCGCCATTTGAACCAGCAATCCCGTTACTGGGTATATACCCAAAGGATTATAAATCATTCTACTATAAGACACATACACATATATGTTTATTACAGCAGTGTTCACAATAGCAAAGACTTGGAACCAACCCAAATGCCCATCAGTGATAGACAAGGTAAAGAAAATGTGGCACATATACACCATGGAACCATAAAAAGGGATGAGTTCATGTCCTTTTCAGGGACATTGATGAATCTGGAAACCATCATTCTCAGCAAAGTTAACACAGGAACAGAAAACCAAACACTGCATGTTCTCACTTACAAGTGGGAGTTGAACAATGAGAACACGTGGACACAGGGAGGGGAACATTACATACCGGGACCTGTCGGGGGATGAGGGGCTAAGGGAGGGAGAGCATTAGGGGAAATACCTAATTTAGATGATGGGTTGATGGGTGCAGCAAACCACCATGGCACGTGTATACCTATGTAACAAACCTGCACATTCTGCACATGTATCCCAGAACTTAAAGTATAATTCAAAATAAAAAAGAAAAACAAAAAACACCTATTTCCATATTTATGTATGTTTCCTCAAAAAGTACAATGGCTTTTTTTCCCTCTACTTCTCAAACTTATTTTTATTAAAACCATTGCATTCTTATTATTAAGTATTTACTCTATGTGTATTTTAAATAAGACTTATAATTGGATTAAATAAATAGTATGTAGTAAGTTGCAATTGTGACTTTGTTCAAATTTCCAGATATTTTAAATCACCACTTAATGCAATCCTGGCTCTAACATTGAGGCATAAGTATATTTCACACACATTTCTTATTCTAGGGGTTAGACTGCTTTCTAGGCAATGTTCTTTCCAAATATTCAGCCTTTCTGAAGACTGGATGTGATTCTTTTTAATTTTTTTTAAGATGGAGTTGCACTCTTGTTGCCCAGGCTGGAATACAATGGCATGATCTCGGCTCACCACAACCTCTGCCTCCCAGGTTCAAGCAATTCTCCTGTCTCAGCCTTCCAAGTAGCTTGGATTACAGGCACATGCCACCACACCTGGCTAATTTTTGTATTTTTCTTTTAGTAGAGACGGCGTTTCATCATATTGGTCAGGCTGGCCTTGAACTCCTGACCTCAGGTGATCTGCCCACCTTGGCCTCCCAAAGTGCTGGGATTACAGGCATGAGCCACCACACCCGGCCGGATGTGATTCTTTATAGGAATTTTCGCTGGAAAACTTTTTATTTAACTGCTTAACCTGAATAAAATAATAATAATGATGATAATGATAATAATTTCAGCCAGGTGTGGTGGCATATGCCTGTATGCCAGATAGTCTGGAGACTGAGGTGAGAAGATCATTTGAGCCCGGGAGTCCAAGTCCAGCCTGGGTAACATAGCCAGATTCTGTCTCTAAAAAATATAATAAAATAAACACAAATTTTGCTTCTTTGACTCTTTCCATGAGACTTAGAAGAAAATATATGCATAGCTTTCTGTTCCTTTCCTAGCCAACAGAACACCTCCTTCACAGTTTTGTGATTAAAGAACATGATGTCCACCATATTTTTAAGTGATAATCTGCTCGTGTTTAATGGTCTATTGCTGCCTTTATCTCTATTTCTCTATAGATGCATTTTTCAAACGTAAGATGTCCATACCATTTTGTCTTGTTTACTCACTTATCCTAAACATATTCCAGTGTTTCTCCAGAGTCTTCAATAAATGTAATTATTAACACCCATAATCTACCATTCTAGCTGCATTTACAACAATCAAAACTTTTATTTTCCCTTTAACATCTATAAATGCATTTGCACAAAAAGCTGCTCTTAGCCTGTGGTTTTAGGTGAGCTGCCTGGGTTGGGCTCCTGACTTTGCTTCACACTGGCTCTGACTTTGCAGAAGTTACTCACCACCCTAGTGTTCTCATCTGTAGAATGCTGGTAATAATAGTGCCTTCTTCATTGGACTGGCTTGGGGATCAAATGTGTAATTACTTTGAATGCCTTTGGATCAGGGTCTGGCACAGACTAACCCCTCAATAAATGTCGACTATCACTGTTTTCCCATGCTTACTTTTATTTTTGCAAATGTCTACACTGGAAATCATCACTAGTTCCCCAGGCTGCCTGTGTATCTGTGTAGGTTGTGCAACACATACTCTTAATTCTTTTCACTCTTCACCGTTTGTGGAGAATCCCCTGGAAACTCTACTTTCTGATTTAAGTGGGTTTCCAGGTAGAGTAAATTAAAGCATCTTGGTGTGGAGGCCACCTGGCCACCTTGCCTTAATTATAGAAGTAACAATAGCATTCCCTAAGAAGACAGCTGCTGCTTCTGAAAATTTAGGTGACATGTGCCTTGTGGAACATGCTTTGTGTGACAAGAAGCGATTTAATTTCTTTGCAGGTAGACACAAACAAAGAGGCAACAAAGAAATTAGAAGGTTGTATAAGAAGCTGCATAGAATCACAATGACTGCGTTGTCCTGAAACCAACCCAGGTGACTTTCTGAATAAGTTGGTGCTCAATTAATTTACTGTTAACTAGTACTCCTATAGCTAGCTACATTGCTTTCTAGTTCCAATTAGACCATTAGGAAGTTTGGCAAGTTGAACTTTTCTCTGTGTCTCAAATCTGCCATTCTTCAAATGGAGAGAAAGAATCTGAACTTCACAGGGAGTAAAACACTTTGAAATGTAAATATAAATGTAGATGCATATATACAATAAACCATAAAATATTATGCAAATATCTTATTAACACTATGCATTTTCTTGGAAAGGAGGTAAAGGCTGAGATGATTTTCATTCACATTTTCAGGGTGCTCATCTTTCAATTAAAATTGGGAGTAGCGGTTTTTGTGAATGAAGAAAAGTTTATTCAGATATATATTTAACTCACATGATAGAGGGACCCTGTGGAGGTCTCTGTATAATATAATACCATCCTTTCTTTTCAGAGATGTCTTTACTTTTCAAAGACCACCTGGGTGAGCAGGGGGGAAGACCAGGGTCAGGCTCACAGACCTTCCCCTACTGTGTGCTGCCGAGGCTGTACTTTGAGTAAATTTCATTTTGAATCAGCAAAGACAAAAGGCATTGCTTGGTAGAAGCACAGTGGATTTAAAATTAGAAGACCTGCGTTTGCCTTTGCTTCTCCTGGGCAATTCTTAACACATTAAGAATCTTTCCCTAGTGTCCTGCTCTTCTATCTGCTTGCTGATTTTCTCTGAAGTGCGTTGCATGTCCACATGGTCCAGATCCCTACCCACTTCTCTTCTGACTGTCACTTGGATTCAAATATAACTACCTTTTAGTTATAAGTATATATAAAAAAACTATGAACATAGCCTTTCTAGCTAGCTATATTGCTTTCTAGCACTTTTGAATGACAGAATTACATTTTTGTTTAATCCCAGAGATTATCATGTCACTAAGTTTTTCTTTACATATTAATTTAAAGCTAAGCTTTAATTGAAAAAGAAATCTGATATTAAAGTAGAAATTTTCTTGCATGCAATCAGATTCTATCAAAGACTTAAGAAATTATTCATTTTTAAGGAAATAAGGATATGTTTTAAAAATACAAAACTTATATGGAAACAGTTTGTTATAGGCTGAATTGCATCCCTCCAAATTCATATGTGGAATTGCTAACTGCCAGTACCTCAGAATGCGACCTTACTTGGAAATAGGCTCATTGCAAATGCAATTAGTTAGGATGAGGTCATACTGGAGTAGGGTGGGGCCCTAATCCAATGTGACTGGTGTTTTTATGAAAGGGGAAATGTGGACATTGACACACATACACAGTGCACCACGTCAAGACGAAGGCAGAGATCAGGGTGATATATCTACAAGCCACAGAGCACCAAAGATGGCCAGAAAAACACCAGAAGCTGGGAGACAAGCATGGAACAGGTTCTGCCTCACAGCACTCAGAAGGAAGAAACCTGCCCACACATTGATCTTGGACTTCCAGCCCCCAGAACTGTGAGACAATACATTTCTGTTGCTTAAACCACCCAGTGTGTGGTAGTTTGTCATGGCAGCCCTAGCAAACTAATACAGATTTTGGTAACAGAAAGTGGGATGCTTCTGTAACAAATAGCTAAAAATGTGGAAGTGGCTTTGGAATTTGGTAATGGGTAGAGGTTAGAAGAGTTCTGAGATGCTTGACAGAAGAAGCCTGGATTGCCTGTAGGAGACTGTTGTAGAAATATGATCGTCAAAGGTGTTTTCAGTGAGGCCTCAGATGGAAATGAGAAACATGTTATATGAAGCTGCAGGAAAGAAAACCTTTGTTACAAAGTGCAGATAACTTGGCTGAACTGTGTTCTACTTTTTGAAAAGTAGAACTTATAAGGAATGAAATAGGATATTTAGCTGAGGATATTTCTAAGCAAAGTGTTGAAGGCATGGTCTGGCTTCTTCTTGCTGCTTTTGGTAAAATGCAAAAGGAGAGAGATGAATCAAAGAAGGGACTGCTTATCAGAAAGAAATCAGCACTTAATGTTTCAGAAGATTCTCAGCGTATCCAGATATAGTGTGCTCTGGAAACAGGGCCAAAGGTGTGGCTGGACAACCACTTGCCAGAGAGACTCAGTGTGCCGCTTGTGGATCCAGTCAACCATCTCTGCAGAAATGCTGCCAGCTTGGACTGAAGGGACAGAGATGGGATGAAATGAAGAAAGGCTGTCAGGATTCTGGGGTTCTACAAGCAGGAAATGGGCTAATAGAGCTACTCAGCTGCAAATATGTGTTATCCTTACAAGAAGGAAGGAATGTCTTCGAAGGCAGTTCAGGTGCTGGCAAAGCTGCCATCAGGGCCCAGAGGGCAGCATCCTTCACCCAGGTGTGGTACATGAGGCGCCTGTCCCTTGCTGCTTGTGGCTTGTTGAGTCACTGCTGACATGGTCGGTGAGCACCAGGTCTGGACTCTGTTCTCTCTACCTTGATCTCCTAGGTTTTATTCTCAGCTTGGTACCTGGGTTTGTTCTGGGTGCCCATTTGATTGGCATCCTTGGTGGAATTAGGCCATTCTTTTTTATCCCTCTTTACTCTCTTTTATGTTTCTGTTTTGCATTGTCCTGTCTGAAATTGTTGTTTGGCCCAGAAGGAGACTTACAAGGTAGAATGCAGGCATAGATCCTGTAAGCTTGTTGTTTGAGCCAGCCTCACAGACTGGTGAGTGTACAGTTCTCACTGGGCTGATATCCACCTGGACTAATTTTGCTGTGAGTGACTAATAGAACTGGATGAGGTTCTCCTTCCATCTGAAGTTTTTGTCTAAGTGCTTGGCTTGGCTCCACAGACAGTGTTCTCGCTGGTTTTTTGTCTGCTGGTGGTGCAGATTGTCAAGCTTGCATTGGGAGGAGGACAGCCATCATGCTGGGGACTCAAAACATGAAGTGCTCAAGCCTCACATTTCTACTGACCACTGCCAACACTCGTGGGGTTGTCCAAGTATAAATCCTTGCCTCCTCTAGGAAAAACTCCTGCTTCTTATACTTACTCCCATTACAATGCTAATTCTTGTGCCTATCTCTAAACGACATAACTTCATCAAGGATGATTTGATTTTCAGTGGCCACTCTGGGGAAGACTTGACTAGAGCAAAATTGTTCATTTGAGAAGTGCTTTAGAAAAAAAAGGAAATAAGTTTTCTCAGGCCCAATGGGCAGCATTTTTTAATTGGTATGCAAGGCCTCCAAATGAAATTCTGATTTAATAATTGCTTCACTAAGAGTCATTGGCTAAAGCTAATGAGCAATTTGACTAAATTAAGCAACAACAAACTAGACTCATTTGCCTGCTAAATCCTTTTCCATCCTGTCTTTCAGTTGCTTCCCTCTACAAAACTCTCCTTCATTCCCCTTATCTTTTTGATGTCTCTCCTTACTCACCCCTATCAACTCCTCCCTTATTATACCCCTGTTCAGACTCCCTCCCTTTCGCCTAAGACCCAAACTTCCACCTCTCCCATGAGCCAGGTATGCAGGTAACTATAGAATTTAAGCCTTGGACCTGAGCTGAATTAAGGATTTCTCTAAATACAAATTAGACCAGCAACTACTGGTAGAAGAAATCAGAATTATATTGAGCGCCTATAAGCTGCATTGCCCACCCTATATTAACCTCTTTTTTTATTGCTGTCCTAAATTCTTTAATTTGAAAAAGGAAGAAATGAGCATGAGTCATTTAAAAGAAGAATTCAAAAGCCAGACTGGTAGAAATGGGGTAAGTTGTGCTGCTGGTTAAAATTCTCAACCAGGGCTTGGAGAAGCACAATGGCCAGCAGCTCTTAGGTTAGTGACTTGGTTAGTCAATATCCAGGATTGCAGAAAATGTTTAATTGGCAGGCTGGGCACTTTTGGAGGCACCAAGGAATACCTCTACTCAGCCTATTGCTCCTTAGGATAAAGCAAGATAGATGATATCTTCTAAGGCTTCCATGGGTTTAGACTGACACTCGTCCTCATGACTCCAGCAAGCTTTGGATTCTGACAGTGGAACTGTAAGTGCTAATGTGGGAATCCATGGAGAGGTTTGGGGGAATTTGGGGGTGGAGACAGAGTAAGCCATGAGAAATTGTACATAAAATTATATGTGTATGTGTGCCTATGCATATTTTCCTGAGGATAGAGTCACTAGAGTTTATCAGATTATCAAACGGTCCTGAGTCCCAAAAAAAGGCCAAGAACTACTTCAGTTTAGGTTATGGCTGAGGCTTTGGGGTCTCTATAAGTTTTCTAGTCTGAGTCCTTGAAGGTTCAGATTCTTCCCCAGTGGGTGCTCCCTCCCAGAGCACGAGTCACATCAGAGAGGTACTTTGTAGGACCATGTGCTGTCTGAGCTGCCCTATCCGCAGCCTCCTCAAACAACAATTATCAGACAAGAATTTTGTATCCAGCAAAACTAAGCTTCATATATGAAGGAAAGATACAGTCTTTTTCAGACAAACAAATGCTGAGAGAATTTGCCACTACCAAGCCACCACTACAAGAACTGCTAAAAGGTGCTCTAAATCTTGAAACGAATCCTAGAAACACATCAAAACAGAACATATTTAAAGCATAAACCTCACAGGACCTATAAAACAAAAATACAATTTAAAAAAGAAAAACAAAAAACAAAAAACCAAGGTATACAGGCAACAAATAGCATGATGAATAGAATGGTATCTCACATCTCAATACTAACATTGAATGTAAATGGCCTAAATGCCCCACTTAAAATATACAGAATTGAAGAATGGATAAGAATTCACAGAACAACTATCTGCTGCCTTCAAGAGACTCATCTAATACATAAGGACTTACATAAACTTAAGGTAAAAGGGTGAAAAAAGACATTTTATGCAAATGGACACCAAAAGCAAGCAAGGGTAGCTGTTATATCAGACAAAACGAACTTTAAAGCAATAGCAGTTAAAAAAGACAAAGAGGGACATTATATAATGATAAAAAGCCTTGTCCAACAGGAAAATATCACAAACCTAAACATATATGTACCTAACACTGGAGCTCCCAAATTTATAAAACAATTACTACTAGACCTAAGAAATGAGATAGACAGCAACACAATAATAGTGGGGGACTTCAATACTCCACTGACACCACTAGACAGGTCATCAAGAGAGAAAGTCAACAAAGAAATAATGGACTTAAACTATACCCTGGAACAAATGGACTTACCAGATATATGAAGAACATTCCATCCAACAAGCACAGAATACACTTTTTATTCAACAGCACGTGGAACTTTCTCCAAGATAGACCATATGATAGGCCACAAAATAAGCCTCAATAAATTTAAGAAAATTGAAATTATATCAAGCCATCTCTCAGACCACAGTGGAATGAAACTGGAAATAAACTCCAGAAGAGACCTTCAAAACCACGCAAATACATGGCAATTAAATAACCTGCTCCTTAATTTTTTTTTTTTTTTTTTTTTAAATGAGAGAAGGTCTTACTCTGTCACCCAGGCTGGAGTGCAGTAGCATGATTATAGCTCACTGCAGTCTTGAACTCCTCGGCTCAAACAATTCTCCTGCCTCAGCATCCAAAGTAGCTGGGTACTACAGGTGTGTGCCACAATGCCTGGCTATTTTTTTTTTTTTAAATTTTGTAAAGGTGAGGTCTTGCTATGTTGTCCATGCTGGTCTTGAACTTCTGGCCTCAAGCGATGCTCCCACTTTGGCTCCCCAAAGCACTGGCATTACAGGTGTGAGCCTGGCCCCAAGTTGTATAGATATTGGTCAAACCTCAGATGCTAAAGCCTAGATGGCAAAAGTTAATTATAACGACCTGGAAAAGGACTACAGAATGCCTTTTTCTGTAATAAACTCAAGGCTCTCCCCTGCCACCGACCCCCCCGCCCAAAAACAAAGCCAGAACAGTAGGTTAACATCTTCTAAAAGCCATATCTGAACTATTTCTAGTAAAAATGGTTTGGGTTATAATTAAATCATGAAAACAGAAAAGATGCAACTATAGAAGATTTTTAGGACAGATTAGAAAACACCTTCTGACAACATTCAGGAGTTAAAGATGGCACTGATGTAACAGTGGCCGTTTCACTTCATTTTGTCCTTGGAATTAAATTTGAAATTAGAGACCTAATTCAAAACCAGAAATTAGAACGAGGAATAGCCTCTTCTCTTGAACCACAACACCTTGGAGAGCATTTTGAAAGAGTTTTAGAATAAATATGAAATAAGAACAAAAATAAACTTATATTCTGTAAATCAACCAGCTAAGTGGCCCACTTTCTAATCAACTATCTACTGATGAGGACACTTATTGAAGGGACACTGGAAAACAGATAGTCTGGTCATGCAAAGAAAAAGCAAGACAAAGAAAAATCCTTCAATTCAGATCAGTGAGCATGCATCAAGGAAGGAAAGAACTCACTATCTTGCCTTACCCTTAAACATTCAAGGTGAATTAACAATAAATACAGATGGTCAACCTCCTCTATTCCTGGTAGATATGATCCTACTCTTTCTACATTAAACCCTGCCACCTTTGCTCAACATCTTCCTCAGAGTAAATATACCACACAGGTGTTAGATATTTCAAATAAACTATAGCTTTTTTCTATCTGTCAGCTCTTAGGGGTAACACTTAGACTTTTGACTGAAAAGCATTCCTTCCTGCTCTGTGATACCAACCCCTGCAAATTTAATAGGAAGAGACTTACTTTGCAAATGGAATTGTCATGTGATATGCACACTCGAGGGACTGTTACTTGAGGCTTTAGAGAACTCCTTTGCTTATAATTGGGGGATTTCTGATCTAGATGTACTTTTGCCTTCTCTATTGTGTTTGATGCACACTGCAAATAAAGATCTTGAGACTATACTTGACATCCTATGGGCTAAACATTCCACTGAAATAGGAAAAATAATTGGAGCAGAACCTACTAAAGTTCAGATAGATCTTACCAAACTGTTGCAATTATTTCCACAATATCCCTTGAAGCCAAAAGCAAAAGAAGGACTCAAATCTATACTTAAAAGCCTTTTATCCAAAGACCTTCATGTATCCTGGACTAGCTACTACAATACGCTTGTTCTGCCAGGAAAGATACCAAGTGGATGAGAATATTGACTTGTCTAAGACACCAAGGCCACCAACAACATTGTTATTCTTCGATGTGGTGGCATCTAACCCAAATACCAATAATGTCGTTAATTCCATCTGAAGCCTCTTGCTTCACTGTAGTGTATCTTTGCTCCATATTTCTGCAGTGTGCCTCTAGACCAGGGCAGCCAATATCTTTTTGCCTTTACTTGTGGAAGACAGCACAGACCTGGATAGTTATGTTCTAGAGATTTAAAAAAGTAATATTTTTCCTAGGTCTTAAAGACTGAAAAGATCTAAATTTCTCTTGTGATTCATATTGCCATTCACTGCTGCAATACTTGCCTTTCACTTGCCTTTACCAGAGGAAGGGGAAACCTCATGATTGTTTTACCTCATTTAGTGAACATCCTGTGTCTCACTCTGATTTATTGGAGACTCCTACTGAGAACCCTGACCTTGGATTATTGGTTGGTGAGTCATGCTTCAGAGCTGGAAGTGGAGGTTATCAAGCAGAATGTGCTATCACCAAATTAAGCAGTCCTCTGGAATATAGCTCTCTACCTGAGGCAAAATCAACTCAGATGGCAGAACTTCTTGCCCTTAGTAGAGCTTATCAACTAGCCAAAGAACAGAGAGTAAACATGTACAGTCAAACCCTCTGGTGAGGGCTCTGCCCTCCTGGATTCAACCAAGCATGGATTGAAAATATTCAGAAAAACAATTCCACAAAGTTCCAAAAAGTAAAACTTGAATTTGCCATGCCCTGAGTACTACAATGAACCCACTCAAATGCAGCAATGTGTTGGCATTATATTAAGTATATAATCTAAAATCTCTATAATCTGTAATTTCTATAATTAGGTTTATAGGTATGTAATCTCTAGTAATCTAGAGATGATTTGAAGTATGTGGGAGGATCTACTTAGGTTATATGCAAATACTGTATCATTTTATATAAGGGACTTGAGTATCCACAAATCTTGGATTAGTGTTTTATAATAGTGCTGGATGGAACTATCTTAGCTTTTTTTTTGCCCTTCCATCTCTTCCTCCATGTGAGGACACAGCCTTTGTCCCCTCCAGAGGATGAAGTAACAAGGCGCCATCTTGGATGGAGAGACCAGGATCCTCAGCAGACACTGAACTCGACAGTGCCTTGATCTTGGATTGGAGGTTTTATAGGATACACAATTCATTCCTATAGTAAATGATTATAAGACCCTAAAGTAAGTTTTAGTAAATTGAGCAAAGGTAGAACATTTGTAAAAGTTATAGCTTTATTTCAAAATATGTCCATGGGTACAGTCCATCTGGTTGGACTCACCTTTACTCTGAGTCATGGGCTCCAGGCAGGTGTGATATGCACAAACTCACCCCTGACTTTCTCTGATCTTTTCCTCTCCACCCCTTTGCTTTTTCCTTTAATCATTACTCTCATTTTTTTCTTGTGACATTTTTCTTACCAACTTTAAATTTTTAGTGTAAGTTATAGCACACCATGATGTATGCATTCACACATACACACTTTTTTTCTAAGTGGGAATCACTTCTTTTGCAATGCCTTCCCTGACTTTTTTTGTCTTTGATATACTCCTTCTGTAGTTTACTTTTGTGACACTCTGCACATCTCTTTCCTATCATTTGTCCTAGTTGCAATTTTGTACTTATTTTTTGATGATCTGATTAACATTTTCCTCCTTCAGTAGGCTGGAACTACATCTGCTTTTTTCATGATTGAGCACCAAGCTTGATTCAACAAATTATTACTGAATTAATGAAATAAAAGTATTGCAATCATCAAATTATGGTAGTTCCCTATTTTCACATCTCTTTCCTGATTAGGTAATGCTGATTTCTCAGAAGCCAGGGTTGAGCCTGACACACAGTGGATGTTTAATAAATGTCCATTGTTGAAATGAACCAGTTGTATCTGTCTAGTGTCATTCATTATCCCATTCTTAGGGGGAGCATGAACCAATGAAGTACCACCGTACCTGACCAGGGAGACACAGATGAGGAATTGCAAAGGAAAGATGTGGCTGCATCAGAGAAGCCTGCTCAATTTTTTGCAGAAGATGAATGATTAATTCATCACCTGCAGTGACACTGGACTTATTATCATTTTGCTTTCTAAGACTGTTTTACAAATAACTGGTCAGTTAGTTAAGAAACTGGGAAATATTCATTATAATATAGTGAAGAAGTTGGTCCAGAAATTAGAGATCTGGCTTCTCCTCTCTATTTTGTCTTTAGCTAAAGATAAGCAAAACTTTTTCACTCTCTGGACTTCAATGTTCTCATCTTAAATAAAGGTTTTGGGACAAAAGTGTCTTAAATTTCTAACCTGAAAATTCTCTTGCCTTGTGAAGGGTGTAATATTTGGATTTTTATTTTACTTATTTTAGCCACACATTCTGGCAAATTTCATTTCATGGTCTGAAAAAGTGAAGCACTTCTAAGAAAATATTTAGAAGATAGACTATTTCTGGTGTAAAACATGGCCAATAAAACTTAAGCATAATCAAATTCTCTATATATTTTCATGTTCAACTTGTCTTCTCAAGCTAACTCACCACAGATCACTCTTTATGAAGATATTTATCAATTAATCATACACCTCCTGAATTTTGTGTAAGTGTGATGCATGGTATGTGTATTATGAATTATTTTCTCTAACCCAGTAGGGAAGCATGGTAGTGTAGTATGTGGACTAGGTTCAAATATCAACTCTGGCGCTCACTAGCTATCTTATCATGACAATGGATTTTATTGACTCTAAATCCCAATTTCTTCATTTAATAAAGGATGATGATGATATCTGCATAATGTAGTAGCCTTTGCAAGGATTGCAAACATTAATGCAGGGCAGGAGAGCGTGCACATGACTGAGCTCCCGTTATGTTCCTGGCACTACAGGTCCATAGTAGGTGCTCAGTCAGCACAGGTCCTTCACCTTCTGCTGCACGATAAGGTTTTTTGTTTTGTTTTTGTTTTTGTTTTTGAGACGGAGTTTCACTTGTCACCCAGGCTGGGGTGCAATGGCATGATCTCAGCTCACTGCCTCCCTGCAACCTCCGCCTCCCAGGTTCAAGCGATTCTCCTGCCTCAACCTCCTGAGTAGCTGGGATTACAGGTGCCCACCACCACGCCTGGCTAATTTTTGTATTTTTAGTAGAGACAGGGCTTCACCAAGTTAGCTAGGCTGGTCTCAAACTCCTGACCTCAGGTGATCCGCCCGCCTCGGTCTCCCAACGTACTGGGATTACAGGCATGAGCCACCGCGCCTGGCCACGAGAAGCTTTTTGAAACAAGCAACTCTCTCTTCTTCTTTGTAAATGCCACCTATAAGCAGCAATTTACAGAGTAGGAGCTTAATATAGGCTGAGTGGTTGGAGTGAAAGACTGCTCAATACTGAGAGGGAACATAGCATTGAAGAAGGCTTTCTTTGAGTAAAGGGAATTAGAAGAGGGATTAAGCCAATAAAATGTAATGTCATGGAGACCACACAGAAGATGGGAGCCTTCACATGGAGGGTGAAATACAGCAGTGGCTGTGCTGTCAGGCTAGACCAAAAAACTATTATCCCATTAAAATGCTTCTCCTCTGGCTCCTTTGCAAGGTGGCAGAACTGTAAAAATGTTGTGCATTATTTCCTTGCAAATCATGATGGAAATGCTGTGGAATTGTGCATGAGAACTTAAAGGATTCATCACGGCTTATTCCATTAAAATAAACACCAAAGAAAGTAATAATGGTATGCCATTTATTATGCAGTATTGTCAACCTTTTTATATGTTAAATGGAATCTCCACAGGCTTGCTAATGGTATATAGGCCATAAAGCCTTTAAGCAATAATGTTTAACTGTATCTGAAATAGTGGAATCTTCTGGTGGTTGCATAAGTGGCCTGGTTTTTAAATCTTCTCAGTGAGAATATCAGAAATGCAACAAAAGGCCCCTGGGATATTCTTTTTCAGAACAGGGGACAATCAGTCAACAAATACAAGGCTTTGTCCTTGTCATGTATGGTAGCATGTGTGCATGAGCAGGCATGATGACACCAGGCCTTTAAATTAACAAGCCAAAAAAAAAAAAGTAACGTTGGGACTAAGGTACACAAATTGCCCAAATCTGAACTGAACTTCCTTGTTAGGCTTTATTTTGTTTTGCTTCAACAGAGTCTCAAACCAGATTTATTTTTAGTTAACCCCTGGAAAAGTAGTACTAACATGTTGAAAAGAAATAGATAAGAAATGCTAAAATATTTCCTATTATGAACCTGAAATGAACATATGTTTATTACATGTAAGTGACGGTCATTGATTTTCTTCTCCCTCCACTCCCACCTTCATCTTAATTTCCTTCCCTTCTTTGGTTTTATCCTTCCTCCTCTCTTCCCCTTTGTTTTCACTTTTTCCTTTCTCCAAGTTTGAGATACACTTTCTCCTTGTCAAGTGAGTAGCTTCAAAAATATAACAGTCCTTAGCAGAAAGGAATTTCAGAATATCATCGGACCTGAGCTCCGAGTTTCAGATTCAATTGCCCTTAAAAGGCACATAGATGATCGTTGATCCAACTCCTAAACCTTAGTGCCTCATGCTCAGGGTAAGTGGTAGTGAGGAAAGGTAAATTTCTATAGGGGAGAGCACCTACAAAAATTACCTCCTTTAGGTTACATGCTGGGGTTCATCCCTGGAATGACAGAGGGATATTCCATTTCAGTTCTCCATGCATATGTGAAGCTATCAGTGCATATAATTGTCAGGGTTCCATAGCCTTGGGTGTTAATACATGGAGTGATTGATTTCATTATAAACCATAATTTACTGTTTATACTTCCTTCCAACTTCATGAATACTGATTGGTGGGAGCAGACCAATGCATTGTAGAATATAATTCCAAATGAGTAGTTTCCACGTAAAATTTAAACATGTCATAGTATACCATGCCTAATACATTAAACTGTGCATGTGTCAAATGAAAAATTCTTTTGTGAGAAATGAGCAAGTATTTATAAAGAATTTGGCTGATGCTATGAGCAAAGACTTTCAAAATAAGGAGCCAAAAGTTTCCTTTTGAACTGTGAACTCTTGCAGTTTTCAATCAAAATGAGCCCAAGTGGAACCTGGGAGAGCAGTAATGAACTGTTTAAATTAGAAGAATGGTACAATAGTATTAAATATCTGGTGGGCTTTAAAGCACCAGAAACAGGAATTCCTTTTGTCATGCAGTAGCAGAACAATTTGTTATTTCAGTAAACACATGAATCAATTCCAGCAGGATAGATGGATATTTTCTGAAGATGGGTCAGGGTTTTTTCAATTTAAAAAAATAGCAAAGGTGGTTTCTGTTAAAGTTGCTGCAGGGAAAATTCCAGTGACCCAATCCTTGTTCCCATATTTGTTAAAGGAGTATAAATATCTTGTGGTTAGGGACAATGTAGGAAAGAGGGGGACATAGTAGGTAATCAATAAATTGCTGTTATAATAATTAAGAAAGGGTTTGCCTGGTAAATTCAGACTGTTAACGAAATTGCAAGGGCAAGTTAAAATTGCAAAATATGCCTGTCTGACACCATTTGTGTGCAATTGATTGGATCATTTAAATAACGCTTAAGAAAAAATAGAGCCCTTTCCTACAATGAGTAACAAGGCAAAGCTTAACCAGATTCCATCCATATGTATTTGTCAATACTTGATAATATTGAGCACTCCTAGACCTAGTTAGGACAGAGAGACAGTGCAGTGCTGGAGTCCAGCTGCCAGGTTTCAAACTCCATCTCTGCTGCTGACTGGCTGGGTGCATTTAGCTCACGTCTCTGTGCTGCTCAGCTCATTTCATCTGAGAAGCAAGGGACAATCATGGCACATATTTCATATATCTGCAGCTGGTGTTAAATATAATCCTTGCAGAGCAGGTAGTGTTAGGAAGTGCTCAACAGAGGCTTATTACTTTAAGTGTTCTTAGTCTAAGAGAGATCTGGGCAATAATGGAAAGTTAGAAGAATCTACCCTGATAATATAGGGTAACTTTCCATCTTGGGGGCATTTTAGAAGATAACTGGCCATGGAAAGAGATGGAAAACTATTAAATTTAACCGTTTATTATTCCACACAAACTGAAAAATGTCAAAGGTATTTGAGATTTCCTCTCCTCCCATCCAATGTCCCTAACACTAGAAAAGAGAAATTTAGAAGCTTTATCAGATCATAGATACACCGATAGGTTTAGCAATGATTGGGGGATCTAAGAGCTGGTTGATTAGAAACACACAACTTTTGTGACCTAACATATTAAGTTGGCTTAGTATCTAGGGGAACACTTCAGTGAGTCTAGGCTGAAATCCAAGATCTCCCTTTAATGCAGAGAACAGATGGTGGAACAATAAGTCCAAAGACCATTAACGTCTTGCAGATATTCCTGACTTCTATAATTCTGCCAGAATCAGTAGTTCATGCACATGAGTCTATTCCCCCTTGAGAGTTCAGACAGGATGTGTTCTCATTAAGTTAAAGATAAAAAGATTAGGTTCACTGGAGAAAATGTTTTGTGGGTATCTTCAATTAAATCTCAGCAGTTTATAACTATATATTTAATTTCCTCCCACAGAGACTAGTAAAGAACTACAACACCTTGGAGTCCCACAAGCATTTTATGACATGAAAAGCCCATGAAACAGATTGAAAAAAGGGGAAAGCCTGTAGAATAGATGGCAACTTCACTAACATCTTTATTTTTTTTAAATTGTATCTATTCCTATGCTCTAATGATCTAGAATTTTCAGTGAATCCCTGGGAAACTTAAAGAATGCTGTGAGAGCATTCTTTTTTAAATATTTAAGAAAAGAGACATTTACTTTTATAAAGAAGAACATATGGCCTTGTTTGTTATTGTGAATCCTTGGTTCTAAATACTGCTGTCACCCAGGCATGTGTTCCCAACATTAACCTTTGTCTGAACTATTCTTATCCCTATGTAGGTGTATTTTATATCTGCATCTTCCATTAAGCCTTCAACTAACCATTTAACACACACACACGCACACACAAATTGGCCCCCAAGTATTTTTAGGTTTCAATCCTCTTATTTTTCACATGTTAAACTCATGGACCTTATATTTAAGTATATTTTCTGCACCTGCTCTCTGCCCAGACCCCTCCCTTAATTGACCTGAGGTCTCTCCTCTCTCTGATGCTGAAGGGTCTACTTATGGTGCAAGGATTTTCTATACTGTGGTGATTACAGAAATGTATGATTGAAGTTTATTATATGTCAATGATGAAAGGGATAGTCCTGATTTTTTAATAATGGGATTTATCCTGATAACTTTGAAGTAAATAAAACATTCATCTTTGTGGCTTTACTAAAACATAGCTGTTAATGGACACTGTATCCCCTTTAAAATTTTCTTCTTTTTTTACTTTATTCACACACTTTTCCATGGAAACCCCAAACATTAATTTAAAAAAATGGTATTAGTTTTCTTTGAGATAATAAAATTTTAATGTAATAAATAAAGGGGAAAATAAGTTTATGAAACAAATTGCTATTAGAAACCTGGTTTTGAAGAGTTTTTGTTTCCCATTGCATGACGGATGAATTTACATACACATACATGCAAAAATGCTATAATCCTAAATTGTTTGGTTCTGATGAGAAAAAGATCATATTTAGGAAATTAAATATTGGGTAGATAAATCTATATATATGATCAAACTGATCAAACTATTATAAAATCAATGATCCTAAGACTTAAGATAATTATATATGAAAATAATTCCTGCACATACATTGTGAAAATTTAGTCTCTCTCCAAGCTCAGTGCCTAATCCCACTCAAGGGTGACCACTTGGAGTGGAGCCTTGTCAATACCCAAACATGTTCCTTGCATGTTGTGCACATATAAGCACACAAGTACGTAGTTTATATATCAATCCTCTCTTTTTGAACAGAAACAAGAGTACAGCAGATAGCATTGTTCTGACCTAGAATCTTTTAAAAATCTTTATGAACAAATATGGAAGCACATTCTGCTTTTTGAAAATTTTTTTAGGTGATTATATGATGTAGACTATATATATTCTCTATACTGTATAAAAGGAGTTGTCAAATTATGGCCACAGATCTACCACCTGTTTTTCTAAATAAAGCTTTACTGGAACACAGCCACATCCATTTATTTACTGTTTTCTATGGCTGCTTTTGCACTACTATGACAGGGTTGAGTGTTACAACAGAGACTGTACGTCCCACAAGCCTGAAGTATTTCCTGTCTGACCTTTTAAGAAATGGCTGATTCCTGCAACATACAGTCATCTCTTGGGATTGGTTTCAGGACCCCTACATACCAAAATCCATGCATGCTCAAGTCCTTCTGTCAGCCCTGGGTAACCCACAAAAAGAGGGCACTCTGTGTGCCCTGATTTTGCATCCTGTGGATATATGCGATGGGTTGAAAAAAATCCACATATAAGTGGACTTGTGCTGTTGGAATCCTTATTGTTCAAGGGTCAACTTTAATATGACGGGAGATACGATGTATAGAAAAGTGCACACAAGTGTACAGCATGATGAACATTAACAAACTGAACATACCCATGTCACCGGCACCCAGATCAACAAACATAATCTTGCCAGCATCTTCTCCAACTTGCTTCTAGTCAATATTGACAGTATTCTTGTAATATTCCATTGTTTGTTTGGATGGATCTTAATTTGTTAAATTATTTCCTTAATCATGGGAATTTTAATGATTTCTTTTTGGTTACATACAATGTTTTATTTAACATCTTCATACCTATTTTCTTACACTTTAGGGGTTATATATGCAGGATAATTTACTAGAAGCATAATTTTGGAGTACAAGAAAATGAGCATTTAAAATTATAATTATTGCCATGTTGCACTCTAAAGAGGTTTTACCACTTTTATACACTACAGCAGAGTATCAGAAGGCCTTCCACACTAAATTAGCCAATAGTTTAATCTTTGCCTTCTGATAATTGGAAATTGTATTTCATTTTAATCTTAATGATCGCTGTTTTAATTTGGAGTGAGATTATGTATTTTTTCATTTGTTATAAATAATTTTATTTATTTGGGGGGAGGTAATTTTATGACAAATTTTTCAAATTTTCCTGTAGTATTTGATCTGTTAGATGTTTTGTCCTTTGTAAGGGAGAATGGTTTATTTACACTTTCTTAGGTTAACACTCATTGTATCCAATCTGCATACATTTTTATCTAGGGGTGAACAAAGCTTTTATTCATGATTCATTTGACTTTCCTCTGTATATGTGACTATTTCTCAGTTCTCATTTCTAATGCTGTGTGTTTACGCTTTATTGTTTTGTTTCTTTTTTTTCTGACTCTTTTTTTTATTTTTTATTTTTATTTTTTATTTTTTTATTATACTTTAAGTTTTAGGGTACATGTGCACATTGTGCAGGTTAGTTACATATGTATACATGTGCCATGCTGGTGCGCTGCACCCACTAACTCATCATCTAGCATTAGGTATATCTCCCGTTGCTATCCCTCCCCCCTCCCCCCACCCCACAACAGTCCCCAGAGTGTGATATTCCCCTCCCTGTGTCCATGTGATCTCATTGTTCAATTCCCACCTAGGAGTGAGAATATGCGGTGTTTGGCTTTTTGTTCTTGCGATAGTTTACTGAGAATGATGATTTCCAATTTCATCCATGTCCCTACAAAGGACATGAACTCATCATTTTTTATGGCTGCATAGTATTCCATGGTGTATATGTGCCACATTTTCTTAATCCAGTCTATCATTGTTGGACATTTGGGTTGGTTCCAAGTCTTTGCTATTGTGAATAATGCCGCAATAAACATACGTGTGCATGTGTCTTTATAGCAGCACGATTTATAGTCCTTTGGGTATATACCCAGTAATGGGATGGCTGGGTCAAATGGTATTTCCAGTTCTAGATCCCTGAGGAATCGCCACACTGACTTCCACAATGGTTGAACTAGTTTACAGTCCCACCAACAGTGTAAAAGTGTTCCTATTTCTCCACATCCTCTCCAGCACCTGTTGTTTCCTGACTTTTTAATGATCACCATTCTAACTGGTGTGAGATGGTATCTCATTGTGGTTTTGATTTGCATTTCTCTGATGGCCAGTGATGATGAGCATTTTTTCATGTGTTTTTTGGCTGCATAAATGTCTTCTTTTGAGAAGTGTCTGTTCATGTCCTTCGCCCACTTTTTGATGGGGTTGTTTGTTTTTTTCTTGTAAATTTGTTTGAGTTCATTGTAGATTCTGGATATTAGCCCTTTGTCAGATGAGTAGGTTGTGAAAATTTTCTCCCATTTTGTAGGTTGCCTGTTCACTCTGATGGTAGTTTCTTTTGCTGTGCAGAAGCTCTTTAGTTTAATTAGTTTTGTTTCTTTATATACATTTCTTTTCTCAAGAAGAAAAGCTCTTGGATCCATTTATTTATTTAATGGTTTTCTTTTGTTCTACTAATTTGTTGTTTTAATTTTTCCAAATTACTTTCTACACTCTGCTTTCTTTGGATTATTTTACTGTTTACCTCTTCATCTTTTTAATTTTAATGATTAACTCAATTATTTAAATTATTTTCTATTTAGAAATTTAATATTTAAAGCTATGAATTTTCCTACAATGCTGTTAGCTGGCTGCAGCACTAAAATTCTGATACTTAGTGCAACCAATTTTCATATTTCCTAGATATTGTGTAATTTGACTTTTGATTTTCCTTTTCAGCCAAAGATTATTTTTAAAAAGTTTTCAGAAATATCAGTGGTTTGATATTTTTCTTGTCTATTTGTATTATTATCTTCTAAATTTTTAAAATGTTATCTGAAAGATCAGAGAATATGGGAGGCTAATTTGGGGTGTATGTTGAAGCTTTCTTGTGGCAAAATATATGACCAGTTAAAAATAACATTCCTCAGGCATCTGAAAAGAAGATTATATGCTCTAGTTTCACAATATACAGCTTGATATGTCTATTACATCTAACATATTAAGTAAGTAGTTTGAAGCTCTCATATTTTATTTTGTTCTACTTTATTTTTGATGGCCAGAGGCCAGTGAGAAAAACATCTTAACTGGTTCTGTATTTCCATCTGTCTCTCATTGTTCTTGCTTCATAAATGTTTATGTTTTCTTGTGTGAAGATTTATGACAGATCTTCACTGTGGATTGCACCTTCCATCATTATTAAGTACACTTCATTTCACTTATTACCTTATGCTTTGCATGCAGCTGGGACTAATATTAATAGTTGACTCCTGATTTCGTTTTGTTTCCATTTGCTTGTATAATCTGTTACTATTTATCACTTTTCTTTCAAAATTCCTGAGTCTTTTATTTGTGTCTCCTGTGTACAGCATGTGGATGGATTTCATGTTTTATGAAATCTGAGAAATATTTTCTTTTAAAAATGAGTTCATCTTATTAACATTTATTGATATGACAGTTATATTTGGTATGTTCTTTCAACCTCTGCTTTTAGTGTTTTCTGCATTGTGGCACATCTTTGTGTTTTCTTTGCTTTGCGCATGTGGGTGTATTCTTTCTGAGAGCCTGGAAAGTTTATGTTCTGTTTTCACTTTTGTTATTAATATTGTTACTGCTTGTTTCGATTTTGTTGTTGTTATTGTTTTTTCATATACATTTAACCCTATATTCCTTCAGCTATGAAACTGAAGGAACGAATGAAACTTATTAAATGATAATAATACATTTAACTCTATATTCTTCAGCTATGAAAGTATCTGTGGCAGTATCTTTTGCTGTCCCACTATGAAAGTCGAAATAATTAGTGCATATGTATTTCCTTTTACTGCCATTTGCTTTTTTTGACCTTTGACTTTTGACCTGCTTCTTTTCTACAGACCACCCCTTTCATTTTCTAACTTCTGCCTCTTTCCAAGTACCGTGACCTCTCCTTAAGTCCCTACATGATTATTTTTATACTTTAAATCATATACTCAAATTTCTATTTCTTGGTTTTCAGTATTAAGCAGTAATCATTAGGTTCTTGGTATGAGAAATGAGCTAATCAATAACTTACCTGTCCGCTTTTTTCCAAAAGTTGAATTGGTGTTCTCCTAATTTTATCCACAATTAACAAATTTTTATGCCTAGTTTTCATCGACTGTGGGTTAGGGTTATAGCTATTTGGGGAGCTATTTTTGTATGTATATACATTATATTTATGTATTATATCCATATAAAAATTATACATTTATGTAAGTATAAAACTTTACATAATTTTATGTTATATAAGTAGAGTGCACATTTTATAGTATATACAATATATTTTATATCACGTACAAGTATATATTATATAAGACATTATCTCTTTATGTTTTTTGATTCTTTAAAATTTACCATTTTAAAGTATACAATTTCATGGCATTTTGGACATTCACAGTATTGTGCAACGCTTACCACTATCTAACTTTACAACATTTCATCCCTTTGAAAGCAGCCGCTCCCCATTTCCCCCTCCTCCCAGGCCCTGACAACCATTTATCTGCTTTCTGTCTCTCTCAATTTGCCAATACTGGACATTCCATTTAAATAGAATTATACAGGCGGGTAGATCACCTGAGGTCGGGAGTTCAAGACTAGCCTGACCAACGTGGAGAACCCTGGTCTCTACTAAAAGTATAACATTAGCCAGGCTTCATGGCATGTGCCTGTAATCCCAGCTACTCGGGAGGCTGAGGCAGGAGAATCGCTTGAACCCAGGAGGTGGAGGTTGCAGTGAGCCAAGATGGTGCCATTGCACTCCAGCCTGGGCAACAAGAGCGAAACTCTGTCTCAAAGAAAGAAAGAAAGAAATAGAATTATACAATACATAGCCTTTGGTGTCTGCCTTTTTTACTTAGTACATGACTCAGCAGTTCCACTCCTAGGCATATATACAAAAAAATTGAAAACAGATTTTCAAACAAAACTTGTGCACAAGTGTTTATAGCAGACTCAATAGCCAAAAAGTGAAAATAACCCAAATTTCCATCAGCTGATAAATCGACAAACAAAAATGTGGCATATCCATACAATGAAATGTCATTTCACCATAAAATGAAATAAAGTATAGATGCATGTTACAACTTGGATGAATCTTAAAAAACACCATATATTTCTTGCTGTGTTATTAGAAATGACTTGCATATTAATAGAATTTTTTTATCTCTATCTGGAAGACTTTGGCTTTTGTGTTCCAGAAGCCTAAAATATTAGAGGAAAAGATTAAGGAAGGGGAATAATGGGCTCTACAACCTTCCACCCTCTCTCCAGACTAGAAACCATTTTCTCAGGAGTTGGGAATTGATGAGGCTGAGAGAGAAGAGTTTATGCATTCTGGAGAAAGGGGTTCTGTGCTCCACCTCCTCACCAGACTCTTGAGCGGAGAGCAAGACTCTGGGAGCAATGGAGGACTCAAGAGCAGGGAAAATGTGTGCCTCTTTCCCACACAGAGCAGAGGAAAGTGACCCACCTCCGCTAGGGTGTGCTGCCTGGTGCCGCTCAGCAATGGCCAACCTGACCTCAACATGCTGACCATGCGCTTAGGAGTCACAGGCGAGCATCAGAAGGGCCAGATGAAAATGCACGAATGGGCAGAGGGTCCCCTAGCAGCAGCATCCTGTGTGTATCAATGACTGTGAATCTTTGAGACATGGGAGTAATCATTTCCTCTATGGACAGATGAATTCAATTCTAGGTTTCCCCCTATGCTTTCCCATCTCTTATACACAAGACAATACAAACACTCACATCCTGGGTACTACACAAACCTTGGAACTTGGACATGAAGGGAAACCTCTGAGAGAAACCAGTCAACTGAGGTTGAGTTTCCCACCACTTCACTGCCTGGGGTTTTAATTGCTAGAGAAACGTAAAGACAATGATAATTTTAAAAAGTATCTATTATCCATCCACTGATAAATGGACAAAATGTGGCATATTCATATTTAATGATAATTTGTTTAAAAGATTTATTTTTGAAGAGCAGTTTTAGGTTCACAGCAAAATGCAGCAGAAGCTTCAGAGATTTTTCACATAACCCTCCCCCCACACATTCTGGGCCGCTTCCCACACACTGACCTCCCCAACCAGAACATGTATGTACTGAAACATCACATATCCATTTACCACAAGAATTTGTAAAGGTATTATTTATTAATTAAAAATTAATTTAAAAAACAAAACAAAAAAGAAAAGAAATTGCTGAACCTACATTGACACATCATTGTCATCAAAAAGTCCATAGTTTATATTAGGGGTCACTCTTGGTGCTATACATTGTGTGGGTTTAAGCAAATGTGTAATGACATGGATCCACCATTATAGTCATACAGGGTGTTTTCACTGCCCTAAAAATCCTCAGCCCTCCACTGGTTCATCCCTCCCTCCATCCATCCCCTGGAAACCACTGCTCTTTTCACTGTCTCCTTAGTTTTGCCTTTTGCAGAGTGTCATACAGTTGGAATTATGCAGTATGTAGCATTTTCAGACTGGCTTCTTTCACTTAGTAATATACACTTTAATTTCTTTCATGTCTTTTCATGGATTGATAGATCACTCTTTTTAGCACTGTATAATATTCCACTGTCTGCATATACCACAGTTTATTCACCTACTGAGGGATGTCTTGTTTGCTTCTCAGTTTTGGCAATTATTAATAAAGCTGTTATAAACATCTGCATGCAAGTTTTTGTGTAGACATGTTTTCAACTCTTCTGGGTAAATTCCAAGGAGCACAATGGCTGGATCCTATAAAAGTATGTTTAACTTTGTAAGAAACTGCCAAAGTGTTTCACAAAGTGGTTGTACTATTTTGCATTCCCACCAGCAATGAGAGCAATGAATGAGCGTTCCTGTTTTTCCACATTCCAGCAAGGACTTGGTGCTCTCAGTATTCTAGATTTTAGCCATTCTAATAAGTATGTATTGGTATCTCATTGCTGTTTTAATTTGCATTTCTAAGATGACATATGATGTGAAGCATCTTTCCATATGCTTACTTGCCATCTGTATAGACTAATTTTTCACCACTTTGTTGAGTGGGGCCTTACCTATCAGAGAAAAACAAGGAGAATAATTTCTTTTAGCAGCTGGGTTTGCATCTTTAGACTCTTTCTACATATGCCAAGAGGAAGAGAGTTCTTTTTTCAATTTTTATTTTTATTCTTATTGTTATTTTCTCTTGCTTTCAAAGAGGAAATTGGAATAGACAAGCTTTATTCCACCATCTTTAACTGGAAGCTCCACATTAACTATTTTAAATACATCAGATTAAAAATAAAACATAGATATCAAAGGTTTTTGGTAAGAATAAAGAAAAGGTAATATTGCTAAGGTCAAGTTCTGGGGTTGTCTAAAGGGTCTTATTTGATTTTCTAAACTTTGACAGTAGGAGAATTTATTTGGGAAGAAACAATTAGTTCCATAGACCAAGGCTCATCATGTATCATTTGCAAGTGGAAAAGAATGAAGCTGACACCTAGAAAGATGTCCTATTTCACTATCCTAAGTCTAGTTGGCCAGGGTGGCCATGGTTGGGAGATTTTATCAGGCTAAGCTGCTATTTGAAAGAGGAGTATAAAACTTTCCAAAGTGTCTTAATTAAAACTCAACAGACAAACTCAGAGGACAGACATGGAGGAATTGGAAGAGATGATTCAATCAGCCTCAAGGAGAATGAATACTTTGGCTTCAAAGAAGCCAACTCAAAAAGAGCTATGTGATTTCTGAGAACATGGTGCCCATCCATGGCCTGTGCTGGGCAAGCCTGTGTGATTTCGAAGGACAGAATTTGAGTGGGGGGTGGAGTGTTAATTGATGACGCCTTTATCAAGTCTGAACAAAATGAAACAAACAAAGAAAATCAGTCAATTGGGGCAAACCAGCAGCTTTTCAAGTGGAGTCTGCAATCTGTTTTGGAGATTGGCTTTGTCGTTAGGATGTTACACAATGGGGTGACATAACCATTTTTCTCCTCTCCAGCTGTTTGTTACTGTTTATACCCCGTGTTTGTGTTAGATATAAAATTACCTGACAAGGTAAAATGAAATGATGTTATCTTCCTAATAAACATGTAATGGCCATGCTAGTTTCAGCAACATTGATTGAGCAGCCCATCTCTGGGATCCAGAGAAGTCATTAGAAGTACCATTGATACTTCTTTTCTTGATGCCTCTGGGTGGAGATTGTGGTGAGATGATGTCACTGTGAGCAGAGTGTGTGTCTTCTTTCTTTCAACGGCTTTTAATCTACACATTTCCTGAGGGAAGAGAGTGTCCTCTACCTTTTTTAAAGTACATTCAGAGATGTGCTAGGGAAGGGTTTGCACTTAGTAGTCAGCTGTCCCACCAAAGAGGAGCAGCAGTAAGTTCAGTGATATTTTGCCTCATCTGATGTGCACAATTGGTGCCCTGATGATATTCCAATGGGTCCAAGTCAAACGGCCAGTCAATAACGTTTATGCAGCCTCTGATGACACAGAAAGACACCAGAGGCTCACATGGAGGAAGACTGATGCAGTGGAATGGGTGAGTGCTTGAAGCTAGGCAGGCCTGTGTTCAAATCCCAGCCCCAGCACTTATTGCCTCTAAGGCCTGGAATGAGTTATTAAATCACCCTGATTTCTAGATTTCTCCACAGAATAGAAAGAAAAATTCTATCCCAAATTATTCAATTAAATCAATACCAGTATTGAGTACCTACTATGTACTAGAGTCAATTAGGAGAGACACTTTTTGTTATTCCTTCGGTAAATATGTTGTGAACCTACTATGTGCCAGGCACTAAACTGAGTGAAAAAAAAAAGACTGCAGGAAAATGTGATAAATATAGTTACAGGTATTTTACTTATTTTTGATGTTTTAAGATTTTAAGATTGAGTGAGGGCATATAAAAGAGTCTGCTATCCTGGAGGGATCCACAAAGGCTGCATAGGGGAGTTGCTGGTGCTCAGCTTTGAATGAGGCAAAAGAATATTCCAAGCAGGGAACTGACAAGGCTCCCCCAGTGAGTCTGTAATGGAGACACCCACCTCCCCAGGGAGGGGCTTCTGGAATCCTAATCCAGTGCTCTTTTTCATTGCCACGTTCTGCATCTTGGTTTGAGTTTTAAATGATTAAATGCCAAATGTGATAGTAAAGGTATTAAGGAAAGAAAGTGTATAAGCACGAAAGAATCACGTGTGAAGAATTGTTTAAAACGAAGTCTTCCATCAGCCTCCCATAGCCAGGATTGACATTCTGATGCTCTCTTAAAATGATAATGCCCAATTTAAAAAAATTATGTCAAAGCCTAACTGTGAGGGGTGGGGGAGGAGGTGAGGAGAATGCACTATGTGGGAAGGGTTATTTAAAGTCATCAGGATAATAAAACCTTCATTCTTATAACAAGGGTGAGATAATGAGATGTTAATCCTTCCAATATTTAATAGATTTATTATTCTAATGAACTATACCTGACAGCTTTGAACTGTACATAAAAATTATTAATCTTTTGACAGATGTTGAGGGTTTTCTTTCTCTCAGTCTAGGTGTATGACCAGAGAGTTATGGCTGAAATTGCTCACTCACTGCAATTTCCCTCATGGTGTAGTGGAATATTGAGGATCTCTGTGGTCCTGACTTTACTGAATGAAAACTGTGGGAATAAAACCTTGCAAAGCAGAAATTAGAGAAGTACTGATAGAGGAGATTAACTGGTATATGCGTCCAATGATAAACAAAATCAAACACAAATCATAGAGGCTTTTATCAACCTGTTCAGTAGGACTCAGTCTTGTAAATTTAACAGCCTTGTTAATTTAACAAAGATGTTCTGAACACCTATTTTGTGCCAGGCACAGTGTTAATGTCAGGGATAAAAAGTTAACTGGGACGTGTTTTTTGTCCTTGAAGATCTCAGCATGTAGTGGTCAGCCACTGCTGCCAGGCAATGAGGGAAAGTGAGTACCTGAGATGAACAAAGGATACAGAAAAGGCCGGGGCTAATGGGTTGAAAGCTTTGGTGTGACTGAAGAATTTCTGGAGCTAGGATGCTAGAGACAGTGAGAAAGAGAGAGAAGGTGGTGGCTACAGGGGGAGATGCTTGCCATGGGAACATTGAATGAGGTGCAGTTATTGGTAATGAGTATGTTTACAGCAGTGGTTTCAGAACTGTTTTGATCATGACTCAACACAAGAGAGATACATTTTATATCATGACTGAGTACATATACATATATGTGTATACACGTCTATACACAGATGTGTATACACGTCTATACACAGATGTGTATACACGTCTATACACAGATATACATATGTGTATACACGTGTGCATACACGTGTGTATACATATGTGCATACACGTGTGTATACATATACACATATGTGCATACACGTGTGTACACATCTACATATATGTGCATACACATGTATACGTATATACATATATGTGCATATACATGTATATGTATATACATATAGGTGTACGTATATACGTATATACACGTATATATACACACATACATATATAGGTGTATGTATACACATATATACGTATATATACACCTATATATACACATATATACACCTATATATACACACATATACGCACCTATATATACACATATATACACACCTATATATACACACATATATGCACCTATATACACATATATACACACCTATATATACATATATACATATATATACCTATATATACCTATATACTCCTATATATACATATATACACCCATATATATACACCTATCTATACATATATACACCTATATATACACATATAAACACCTATATATAGACATATATACACCTATACATACACATATATACACCTATATATACACACATATATACCTATATATACACCCACATATACCTATACACCTATACATACCTATATATACGCACCTATATATACCTATATATACACCTATATATATCTATATATACCTATATACACACATATGTATACACCTATACCTATATATATACACCTATATATACACACATATATACACCTACATATATACACGCATATATACACCTACATAGATACACACATATATACACCTATATATATGCATATATGCACCTACATAGATACACACATATACACACCTATATATACACATATATACCTATATATACACACACATATACCTATACACACATATATACACCTATATATACACACATATACCTATATATACACACATATATACCTATACACACATATATACCTATATATACCTATATACACCTATATATACACCTATATACACATATATACATATATACACATATACCTATATATACCTAGTATACCTATATACACCTATATATACACACCTGTATATATACACCTATATATGCACACCTGTATATATACACCTATATATACCTCTGTAAATATACACATATATACCTATATATACACCTATATATACACACCTGTCTATATACACCTATATATACCTATATACACACCTATATATACCTATATACACACCTATATATACCTATATACACACTTATATATATACCTATATGCACACCTATATACACACCTATATACACACCTATATATACACCTATATATAACTATATACATATACCTGTATATCTATACACCTACATATACCTATATATCTATACCTATATACACCTATACATACCTATATATACACCTATATATGCCTATATATCTATATATACCTATATACACCTATATATGTACACCTATATATACACCTATATATGTACACCTATATATACCTATAGATATACACCTATATATACACCTATATGTACACCTATATATGTACACCTATATATACACCTATATATGTACAGCTATATATACAGCTATATATACGACTATATACACACCTATATATACCTATATATACACCTATATATACATCTATATATATCTATACATACACCCATATATACCTATATATACACCTATATATATCTGTACATACACCTATATATACCTATATATACATATATACCTATATATACACCTATATATACATACATACCTATATATACACCTATATATACATACCTATATATACACCTATATATATAAAATTGAGGCAAAGTTTCGTGAAATAATTCCTATGGTTATTACAGGCAATGTACCCTGATATTTCCTCTTATATTTTATTTCATTTAATGTAATACAAAACTAGATTTCATAACCCAATAATCAATTACTATTCTGGCTTAAAAATCACTGGGGATGAAGGGCTGACGTGGGGTAGAAAACAAACTCACTGCCAGTGAAAAGATAAAGATAATGAGAGGCCAGATATTGGATAGATGTATCAAAGGTTTTGTAACCACCAAGAATCGTGATAGGAGTGATAGTGAAGAGAAAAACAGCAGTCCAGGGAATAGAATCCACATTGAATGAGGAGAAGTGACCAGGAGGGGGGCAGGTGCTTGGTGCAAGGACAGGGGATGGGCTACCATCTGATAGAACATGCCTTAGAGGGGCTGGGGGTCATAGAGAGAAGGGAAGAACACGGTGTGGAAGCAACTGTGAAGTGTAAGAGAAAACCTGTTCCATGGGACATGGCTGTGAAAGAAACACAACTCCCACTTGAGAGAGGGTTACAGGGATATAGGGTCATCAGGGAGACAGAGCTTCCATTTAGGATAAGGTGGAGGGAATGGTCAGTGAGAGTAAGAAGATAGGGAAGGCTTTGCCCTCCAGAACTCATGGTCTGTCATCAAGTTTGGGGGATTAGGGAATGGTGGGAGTTTGGGTCAGCTTGGGGGACTCGTCAAGCATTGAGGTCATGAGTCCTTGGATGCATCTTAGGCTCCTTATGGTGACTGAGGTAAGAGAAGAGCAATGCTTCGTGGGCTTTGACATGGTGCTCTCTGGGGAGAAGATTGGTCATTGTTTCTGAGATAAGCCTCTTGAAGAGTGTGTAGTATTGAGTCAGGGAGTGCTTTGGGTGTAGGGGGGTGCATATCTGATGTTTTCAGCAAGTGGAGGCAGGGGACAAGGTACCATTTCTATCTTCTACAAAAAGACTTGGAAATTTGGTAAAATAATAGACCACAAAGCCATACTGCAATGTGTAGGTACCAATAAATATGGGAGAAAAGGGAAAAATCTTCTATTTCTAAATTCTCAGAGGAATTGGGGAAAGCTCACAGAGACAGTCAACTCTATTGAGTCTCAAAAAATGAAGTCTTTGCTTGGTTGTACATGGAGAGAAAACAGTCCAGAGAGTGAGAAGGCCTGTCAGAAAGAACAGAGACATAGACTAGATCAGCAAGTGGAGAGGGTGAGGGACCTCCATGGCTGTAAGGAGGCATGGTTTTGACTAGCATGCCCTTCAAAAGTCATTGTTTCCTTTCTTCTGGAGATGGTCCAATGATCTATCGACCTGCTGGTCACTTGCTCAGGTGGACAGATATGGCTTATGGTAGTTGGCTTCACTGGGAAGGGTCTTTAGCTTTCTGTGGAGGGAGCCATAGCTACTTGTCCACAGCCATTTCTCTAACAAGGGTCTCTGCAGAGTGACAGGCTCAGAGAAGGCAAGCCATAAGTCTGAATTCCTGGATTCGGAAGAGGATTATCCACGGTGATTGCACTGTCTTTGGGAGTTTTCTCTGGGCCTTTCACTCATTTGTCATTCAGTCTTTCACCAAGCACACATTGAGTACTAATGAGCAAGGAGGAAAAGCATGTGGTTAGAAAGTCCCCTTGGAGGAAGTAAGACCTGACCTGAGGGTTGCAATTCATTAGTGCATCTAATTTAAAACTAAAGTAGTGGTTCTGGCAGGGCGCCGTGGCTCACGCCTGTAATCCCAGCACTTTGGGATTACAAAGTGCTGAGGCGGGTGGATCACGAGGTCAGGAGATCGAGACCATCCTGGCTAACACGGTGAAACCCTGTCTCTACTAAAGATACAAAAAATTAGCCGGGTGCGGTGGCGGGCGCCTGTAGTCCCAGCTACTCAGGAGGCTGAGGCAGGAGAATGGCGTGAACCCGGGAGGCGGCGTTTGCAGTGAGGCGAAATCGCGCCAGCCTGGGCGATAGAGCGAGACTCCGTCTCAAAAAAAAAAAAAAAAAAAAAAAGTAGTGGTTCTATTCCAGTATGTTTTTTTAAAGTATAAAGTATACTAGAATAGGAAGTGTAATGCAGAAAGAGAAAATGTCACTTCCTAAAGATTTTGCAAGATGAACAGCTCGTTTACATGTTCTCCATGGAACATAATGACTCTAGGTGTCAGAAGCAGAGGCAGGGGTGGTCAGCTACAGCCCCGTGGAGGGGAAACTCCAATGCCAAACCCTTTAGGCACTTAGGGTGTCATAGTTTCTCTCTGTGCCTCAGCACTTTCATCTGTAAAGCAGAGGGGTTCTCATCTAGCAAGATGACTGCAAAGCTTAATGGTAGACAAAAATGCGAATGTTTATTATTTCACAATATATTTTATCTGAAGTCTTCTGTCTCCTGGGGTCAGAGAGTTAAACTGATTATCCTTATTGCTAATATAACAAAATCTTTGAAACCAGAGATTTCATTTCTCTATTCATTGCTGATCATTGAGTGATAATTATGTGGCCAAATAATAAATTATATTATCAGCTACATAAATAATGAATCACATAATCAGTTATCTGAAAACTATACTAAAGTAGAGGAAACTGACTTAATCTCCTCAACTAAGGAAGTGGAGATATTCCTTGGAACTAAGTTATTTTTTTTTCCCTGATAGGCTTAAACCTGGCTAAAAGATAACTATGGAAGTAGAAAATGATGTGTCTTGGAGGATTTTTTGTTTGTTTGTTTTTGTTTTTGAGACGGAGTCTCACTCCGTCGCCCAGGCTGGAGTGGAGTAGCGTGATCTCCACTCACTACAAGCTCCGCCTCCCGGGTTCATGCCATTCTCCTGCCTCAGCCTCCAGAGTAGCTGGGACTACAGGTGCCCGCCACCACGCCCGGCTAATGTTTTGTATTTTTAGTAGAGACGGGGTTTCAGCGTGTTAGCCAGGATGGTCTCGATCTTCAGACCTCGTGATCCGCCCGCCTCAGCCTCCCAAAGTGCTGGGATTACAGGCGTGAGCCACCGCGCCCGGCCGTGTCTTGGAGGATTTTAAAGATTTGTGTTAAGTTGCAGTCCTGTATAGAAGCAGGAAACTAGATATTAGAATATATTTGGCTTCTCCTAGACCCATCTTTCTCTTTTTTCCTGACAGCACATTTATCCCAATGTCTTTCATGTTAAGCTTTTCATATGACCGGCTTCATTTGCAATTTGCTAGAAGGAGGTAGAATGCAACTTCTGATTTTTGAAAGGAAATATTTTAGTATAATAGAATAATCGAATGCAAGTACTACTGATATAGTTTCTAATAACTTCCTGGAGATTAGAGAGAGAAATCCATGAATAGAAAACATGGTTATCTCTGAGTTTTTAATGTGTACGGTTAAAATAAAAGGTTTTAACAAAAAATAGGGCTTGATATGGGCTTAGAAGTTGGGGACGGCAGAAGGGAAAAATAATAGCTTTAGCTACACAGTTATCTATTGCTGCTTATCATTGAGAATCAACTAATGGGTTGCAATACTTCTTTATTTTAATAGGTTAGGGCACATCTACATATCTGTGATTAGAATCAAGTTTTTAATATAAAGCTACAAATAACTGTAGTTGTTCCAGACATTGGAAGATGATATAAAAGTAATACAAAATAGTGCAGAAAATAGGAAGCCTGCATTGTATGGTTGTTATGAATATAAATGAAAATATGTGTAAAATCACTAGTCCAGTATCTGGCACATAGCAGGTACATAATAAATGGTAGTTACACATTATTATTATTCTAAGAGTATTTATTAGAGAGTAGGGTCTGTGACCACCCCCCCAAAAAAAGAAAGAAAATCTTCTTACAGATTCCCTCTTCTCCGTTCATTTTTCTTTTAATTTTATGGGTTAAACTTTAGAAAAGTGGCAACAAAAAAAGTATTACAAAGAATGCCCATACACTCTTTGCCTGGACTCACCTATTGTATTTGCTTTCTCTCTCTCTTTCTTCCTCAACCAATACATAATACGTTCCATACACTATGGCCCTTTAACTCTAAACAACGTATTAAGTATCTCCTAAGAATATGGGCATTCCTGCACATAAACACAATGCAGTTCTCAACTCCAGTAAATTTAACATAATTGTGATGCTTTATCTACCCTCCACGTTCTGATTTTATCAGTTGATTCGCTAATTTTTACGGTATTTTTCACCGATAAATTACTGTATTTAGTTGTATGTCTAGCATATTTCCATAGGCTTTTTGTATCTTATGACATAGACATTTCTGAAGAATACCAATTCTAAAAGTCAAGCATTTTATAAATGGTGTACTTCCTCTCACACCCCTTCTACCCCATCTCTCCCCACCTCCTCTAGATAACTAACATCATTGTTTTCTAGTTTGCACTTCTTGTGATCCTGTTGGTGACGATGAGAATATACAGCCATGTTTTCTTATTTTTCCTTTTCTCTTTTCGCAAGACAGCATGTACATATGCTGTTTTTCACATTGCCTTAAAAAAACTTTACAATGTCTTCCGGAATTCACTCCACATCAGTTCATAGAAATCTTCCTTGTTCTTTTTCACAGTTGCATAGTACTCCACCATGTGTATATAACACAGGTTATACCCTATGTCTCCATATGACTCTTTGGTATCTTTTATAAAGTCAAATAATACTTCAATAAATAACAAAGTGCACGTGGTTGTTGGTATTATTTGAAATGTATATTTAGGCTAAGTGGGATTGTTGGAGTTAAGGCCAATGAATGTATATATTTGTTAAATATTGCCAAATTCTATATGGGCTGCACAATTTGGTATTTCTAACCGTACTGGACTTTGAGCTGGAAAGATTTTACTGTGGTCCACAGTAACACGCAACATTAGCTGTTGCCTCTATGTCTGGTGTTTATTGCTACGGCAACTGTTCTTTCTGTCTCCTGTGTAGCCCCATCTTTTCCCTCAGCGATCAAACCTGCTAAAACTGCTCATTTTGAGGAAACTGGTGCTGGCTGCATTAAGAGTCTTCTTCACTGCCATTCTGCTTCTCATTGTGCAGTATAATTTCCTTTTTTGAGGACGTGGGGGTTCACTCTGCAGATAAACCTCCCTTTTAGGGTTGGGACCTAAAGGTGAAATCAGGAGATGAAACAGAGCTAAGAGCAGGCATGCGTGGTGGCTCACATCTGTAATTCCAGCACTTTGAGAGGCCGAAGAGGGCAGATCACAAGGTCAGGAGTTCGAGACCAGTCTGGCCAACATGGTGAAACTCCATCTCTACTAAAAATACAAAAATTAGCCAGGCACGGTGGCATGCACTTGTAATCCCAGCTACTTGGGAGGCTGAGGCAGGAGAATCACTTGAATCCGGGAAGTGGAGGTTGCAGTGAGCCGAGATCATGTCACTGCACTCCAGCTTTGGTGACAGAGCAAGACTCTATCTCAAAAAAAAAAAAAAAAAAAGAAACAGATATAAGAATTGAAGATGAACACGGAGAATAAATGAAGAGAGAGAAATCAGAATGCATTGTCAGAAATGAGGTTTTGGAAGCAGATAATCTGTGATGGCTGGAGTGAGAGAATTCAGATAGACAAGGAAGAATTGTGGGTCCGGAGAAACAGGGAGTGAGCACAAGAAGAACCTGGAAGGTGCCGTGATGGGTGGGAGGATGGCTCATGGGTAAATGACCAGAAAGACATGTCAGTGACCAAGATGATCAAGCATCTTCTATGGGTCTGGTATTGGGGTTGGTGTTTCGAGTCTATTAGTCTTTTTGGTTCATCTATGTCTGAATTAGTTGGGGGCACTTCTAGCTGCTAACTAAGTTTTGGTGAACTTTAGAGTGAGTAGGAGATAGCTAATACAGACGGAAGAGTTGATTACTCTTTTTTAGACTTACATTCATTTTTCAGCTTAATTCAGCTCAATAAATAATCACTGAATGTTTATTGTGAATCAGGATTATACTGCGTGAAGTGACTTAAAGATAGATCCTATCCAGCCTCTGCCTTCTAGGGTCTCATGTGGGTGAGAGGCAGTGCCAGCACAGTTACAGGCAGTGCCAGCACAGTGTGGTGGGTGTGAGACTGCAGTGGTATCAGGTGTCCTGGGAAACTTGAGGAGCCCCAAGATTTCCAGAGGAGGTGTTGCATGCCTCAGCTAAGTCTGGGTAAAGAATGAGAGAGAACCCGAAAAAGGGCAGTGGGGTCTGAGGCAGAGAGAGCATCTTGTAATCTGCAAAGTTGGCCCAAGAGGATGAAACAACAAGTGTAAAGCTGCAGGCACTGGATACTAAGCGGGGGAGAAGGGAGTACGGGGAGGTCTTTGGGAGCCCCTCCTCACTTTTTGTGCACAGGTGCACACAGTTCTTTTTGCCAGTTACTCATATCTGTTCCTTGTTTCTAGTGTTAACAATCAAGAATAATAGTAACAACGATAACAACAATAATTAATTAGTCCTTTCTTGAGAAGGTAATTGGGCAAACGAGACCTTGAAATTGTCGCTCCTGGGATAAGCCAGTGACTGCATGGTATCTGGCCAGGAAGTCCTGAGAGGGGGCAGCTTGATGTTCAGCTTAGCTGAAATTATTGCAGTTACCATTCTCTTTCAGAAATTGTCTCATGGAGAATAGAGGGTCCAAACAAGTGCGTTCTCCATGGCAATGGTTTTGTGACGTCTACAGTCAGTGGGACAGGATTTGTACTCTGCACTATTCCAGACGTATTAGAGTGATTGGGTGTGCTCAAAATATGTTAGCACGCCACAGAAAGTTTGCTAAAAGCTCATTTTCTAAGTGATTTGCTGACCAAGAGCTAAATTACTTAGTTTACATTCATTTTTATATTATTATTTAATATAGTTCTTAACAACCTTTAGGACAGAATTCAATCCTTCCCACAGTGAGAGTACTCTTTCCAGGTCTAAAAGAAAATAAGAAGTGACTACCAACTGGTTGAAGCTATAGGATCTGAAATAGCAAACTGATTTTTATGTAGAGCACCAAACTTTGCTGTTTCCCCGTCAGAGATTCTGAGTTACTCATCAGCTGCCCCAATTTTCTTCTCAAATATAACATTTTCTTCTTACATTAAAAAGATTTTTTTAAAAATTTTATTATTATTGTACTTTAAGTTTTAGGGTACATGTGCACAATGTGCAGGTTTGTTACATATATATACATGTGCCATGTTGGTGTGCTGCACCATTAACTCGTCATTTAGCATTAGGTATATCTCCTAATGCTATCCCTCCCCCCTCCCCCCACCCCACAACAGTCTCCGCTGTGTGATGTTCCCCTTCCTGTGTCCATGTGTTCTCATTGTTCAATTCCCACCTACGAGTTTTAAATCCACTCCTTTCACATTGAGTTTCTTCTCTCCCTCCTTTCCTTCCCTCCCCCTTTTTCTTCTTCCTTTCCTTTATTTTCTGCAATATGTTTCTTTTTTATGATATGTAATTTTAAATCTTACTTGGCCATTGTTATATAACTTGTCATTCTAGCGTGATGATGGATTAACCTGGTCTATTAACACTGTTAAAACTTGTGTGTCCCCTGGGATTCTTTTGTTATAATTGGTAGAGCCAGCTAGAATTTTCATCTCCTAGCAGAAGAGGGATTTTGTCTGCCTGGTTTGTTCTCTTAATTAGCAAAATTTACTGATGTAACATTTTAGAAACTACTGCTAAACCATCTCTCTATTTGGTTATTGTATATGATCACTCTATCTTCTAATCATCGGAGCTCCATTCTGCCTTATTTTGTGTGAACAACCTTGCTAAGCAATCTCTGTGGCTCTTTTTCTGAGTTCCTACTTTTTCTGAAATTACTTGACATGCTTGAAGCTCCTTGGATTATCCCTTCTTGCTCACAGATGAAAACAAGTGTCAATCTATAGATTAGAAACAACTATATACTGAACAAAGGAAATAAAATATTTACATAAATTAACACTCATGAAACTCAATTGCTAATGTATCCTGTTAGGTTAGGATAATTGTGTGTTACAGATAACTTTTCGTATGTTTCATATTTGTATTTCATGTTTGTAGGATTCACCTGAAACCTGGGGTTAGAGTGCATATAAGAATTTGTTGATTTGTGTAAGTTGATGTGAACTATAGATGCCTTGTCAAATTCAATTAATTTTAATAATGGATGGAATGATTCTTCTATATTTTCTAGCTAGATGATCATATTGAATACCAATAATGATAAGAATATCACTTCATTCCTTATTGTATTGGCCAAGATCTCAGTGCAATGTGGAATCATACAACAGATAGTGGTTGCTATAAATTTGACACCACTATGTTTATATTAAGGTCAGCTATAGGTTTTTGAGAGATAAATTTTTCAAGTTGAGGCAACTTTCATTTAAATCTAGATGGTTATCTTTTTATAAAACATGAGAATGAGGGTTAAATTTTATCAGATGTTTATAATCTATCGACATGATTTTTATTCCATATTTTTCTTCGATAAGTAATTTTATGTAATTTTATGTGATACAGTGAATCACCCTGAGAAAGTTTTTTGATCTTGAAGTATGGTCATGTTTCTGACATAAATCCTGCCACGAGGTTGTTTTTTATAGTTGTTAGTATTTCTCTTTGTTTTCTTTTACTCTGTTGTTTTCAATTTCGCTAATAGTTTTCTGTTAGTCATTTGTTTTTTGTCCAGTTTAGTATCATACTTATGTCTGATGGGTAAAAGAAGTTGGTTTTCCCACTTTTCCTATGCTCTGGAAGAAATCACAAAGTTGTTGTCTCTTTAAGGTTTGTTAGAACTCCTCAGAAAAGTGATTTGCTCCTGTCTGTATCTTATAATTACAATTTTGGCAATTGGAATATTATGTTTTCTACTTTTTATTGAGTTGATTTTGACAGTTTAAATTTTCCTTAAATTTTGATTCCTTTTAGATTTTCAGAGATTGTTGAAAGGCTGCACATAATATTCTCTGTCACTTTAAAATTTTTCTTTTCATCTGTTTGTAAAAATTACTTCCTTATAGTGTCTATTCAAATGTTTAATTTCTGTGATTAGCCATCCCATTTTTAATCCATTTCAATAATTTTTCCAAATTATCTTTTGTTTTATTAATCAACTCATTTCATATTTTATTTTTCATCAATTTCTGCTTTAATCTATATTAAGCCTTTCCTCTTCTGTTTATTGAGCACATTTTTCTAGTTTTTAAAAAACTAGCTATTTATTTTTCATTTGTTTTCTAATAGAGGCCTCTTATATATTTCCTCTCATTACTACTTTGGTTAGAGCCCTCAGTTTATATGTAAATTGTCAGTAATGTTTCCATCAAAATTATGCTTTTGATTTCCTCTTTAACCCTGTAATTAATTAAGAGCAAGTTTTCAACATCCAGGCATATGGATTTTCTTTACTGTAGCCTTTTGTTGCTACTTTCTACTTTGATTGCAGTAGTGCTCAGTGAATGTGACCTCTTTGATTTTTGCTTTTTGGAATTCGGTGAGATTTCATTTGTGGCCTAACATAATTTGTGTTGTCAATTTTCCACATATGTTTGAAGAGAAAGTGTTGTTCTGTTAGAGACAAATTTCTATATAGAGTTAGATACTAGATCAAGCTTTTAAATTTTATTATTCAAACATTATCTACTTTTTCTTTTTTTTTTACTAACTGATGTCTGAAAAAGGTGTGTTTAAATCTACTTCCATGATTGTGGATGTCAATTTCTCCCATAGTTCCCCCAAATTTTGCTTCATATATTTCCACTCTATGTGGCCTGGTACATACATCAATGTTATGCAATATTTTCATTGCAAGTTGGACTTTTAAAAAATCAAAATGAAATATCTTCCTTTTGTTTCTCCTGTTTTCCAAATTGAATTCTGTTAACATTTATTGTTAGTATTACAGCTCTACTTTCTTATTTATTTTATTAACATTTGCATTGTATGTATGTTTCTATAGTTGTTTCAGTTTTCTTTTGATGTTTTTATTACAGTTGTGTCTCATTTGAACAGTAAATAGACTGGATTTTGTTATTCAATCTGAGTTTATTTTGGAAAAAATTTATTTTTTTCTTCTGGTAAAATACATATAACAAATTTGCCATTTAAACCATTTAAGTCAATTCCATGATATCAATTACATTTATAATGTGCAGCTATCACCACTATCTATTTGATCACTCTGAATAGAAACTGTAACCATCAAGTAATAACTTCCTATTCTCCTCTCTCTGCAGCCCCTGGTAACCTCTAATCTACTTCTGCCTCTGTGAATTTCCAGCTATTTTCAATATTTAATATAAGTGGGCTTATATTTGTCCTTTTGTGTCTGGCTCATTTCACTTAGCATAGTGTTTTTAAGGTTCATCCATGTTATAATATGTGTTCAGAGTTCACTCTTTTTTATGGTTGAGTAATAGTCCATTGTATGAATATACCACATTGTTTACTAATTCATCAGTCGGTAGATGTTTGGGTTATCTCTCACCCTTTGGCCCTTGTGAATAGTGCTGCAATGAATCTTGGCATGCAGGTATTCATTTGAATCCCTATTTTGAATTCTTTTGCAGTTTTCTTTTTAATTCTATCTAGGACTGGTGCTGGGTTATATGGTAATTCCACACTTAACTTTTTGAGGAACGGCAAAACCGTTTTCCACAGTGGCTACATAATTTTTACATTCCCACCAGCAATATACAAGAGTCCTAATTTCTCCATGTCCTTGCCAACCCTTGTTACAGTGGTTCCCCCTATCCACAGGGGGTACATTCCAAAACCCCCCATGGATGCCTGAAACTATGGATAGTACTGAATTGTATATGTACTGCTTTTTTACTATAAATACAAACCTATGATAAAGGTTAATTTATAAATGAGGAGCAGTCATAGATTAACAACAATAACTAATAACAAAATAAAACAATTATAACAATATACTCAAATAGAAGTTGAGTGAAAGTGGTCTTTTTCTTTCTCAAAATATCGAATTGTACTGGATTCACCTATTTTCAGACCATGGTTGAGCATAAGTAACACTATGAACATTGTGGAAAGTGAAACTGGGGATAAAGAGGGACTGCTGTATTTTTTGTATTTTTGTTTTTGTTTGGTTTTTAAATATAGCCACTCTAGCAGGTATGAAGTGGTATCTCATTGTGGTTTTGATTTGCATTTACCTAATGATGTGTGATATTGAGCATCTTTTATGTGCTTATTGGCCATTTATATATCTTTGGAGAAATGTCTATTCAGGTTTTTTGCCCATTTTTAAATTGGGTTGTAAGCCAGGCATGGAGACAAATATCACATGTTCTCACTCATATGTGGGAGCTAGAAAAGTGGATCTCATGAAGGTAGAGGGTAGAATGGTGGTTACCAGAGGCTGGGAAGGGAAGCAGGAGAGGCGATGAGGAGAACTTGGCTAAGGCAGGGGTACCTAACCCCCGGGCCACAGACTAGTACCGATCAGTGGCCTGTTAGTAGCTAGGCCTCACAGCAAAATATGAGTGGTGGGCAAGCAAGGGAAGAGTCATCTGCATTTACAGGCGCTCCCCATCACTCACATTACTGCCTGAGCTCCAGATCATCAGCAGCATTAGATTCTCATAGAAGCACAATCCTTATTGTGAACTGCGCATGAAAGGGATCTAGATTGCATGCTCCTTATAAGCATCTAATGCCTAACGATCTGTCATTGTCTCCCATCACCCCCAGATGGGACCGTCTAGTTGAAGGAAAACAAGCTCAGAGCTCCCACTGATTCTATATTATGGTGAGTTGTATAATTATTTCATTATATGTTACAGTGTAATAACAATAGAAATAAAGTGCACAATAAATGTAATGCACTTGAATCATCTTGAAACCATTCCGCCCACCCCCGGTTCCGTGGAAAAATTGTCTTCCATGAGACCAGCCCCTGGTGCCAAAAAGGTTGGGAACTACTGGGTTAAGGGGTACAAAAATACATTTAGCTAGAAGGGATTCATTCCTGTATTCGATAGTACAGTAGGGAAATTATAATTAACAATGATTTATTACATATTTCAAAATAGAAGAGATTTGTGATGTTCTCCACGCAAAGAAAAAATAAATGTTTGAGATGATAAATATACTGGTTATTCTGGTTTGATAATTACGTATTATATACATCTGTCAAAATATCACATATACTCCCAAAATATGTACAACTGTATCAGTAAAAAATTTTAAAAATCAAATTGGGTTGTTTGTCTTTTTCTTGTTGAGTTGTAGTTCTTTATATATTATGCATGTTAAACCTTTGTCAGATACATAATTGTAAATATCTTCTTCCATTCTGTAGATTTCTTTTACTTTCTTGATATTTTCCATTGATGCACAAATGTTTTTAATTTTTGATGAAGTCCAATTTAATCTAGTTATCTTTTTGTTGTTTATACTTTTGGTGTCATATCTTTTCAATTTTCGTTTATGGTGATTTAAAATATATTGGTACAAATGTTATCTTTTTATTTAGAAGTTTCTATTCAATACATTTTATTTCTTTTCTTGACTTTTGTAGAATTACTTCTTAGATATGACACCAAAACCAATAGAACAGAATTTAGAGTCCAGAAATAAACCCATATTCCTACAGTCAAATGATTTCTGACTAGTGTGCAAAGTCCATGGAATGGAGAAAGGATTATCAGACAACTGGATTACAACATGCAAAAGAATAAAATTGGGTGCTTCTTAAATTGGACGCTTGCATCACACCATAAATAAAAATTAACTCAAAAATGGATAAGCAACCTAAATATAAGAACTAAAACCATAAGACTCTGAGAAGCAAACGTAAGGTCAATCTTCTTGAGAAACAGATCTGAAAACAGATTTGAAAGGGTATCTGTTCTTTCAGTGATTTCTCTTAAATTAAGGGATATGTGAAGTATTTATACATATATTTATTTTAAATTAATCTCTTGCCTTAATAAGAAGCTATATGCTTGCACAGAATAAGCAAGAAACATACTTTGTTTTATTTCTTTTTTCCCTCCACCTAGCTGCCTTTCTTGGTATAATGTAGGATTTTACTTATATTGTTTTTATTTTTGTTCCTTCTTAGACTTTGTGATAAGTTTTAATGCTTAGTTTTTCTAGTAATCAGTTTCACATCCATTCACTCTTGAATGCACTTTGTTTTTGTTTTGTCAGAGTGTATCCTTTGATAGCTCTTCTAGGATAATCTGTGAAAAGTGAACTTATTGTCTTCCTTAATTCTAAATATGTTTTATTTTCCCCTCACTCTTGAATATTGGATGGCTTTAATTAAAAATTCTTGATAAAAATGTTTTCCTCAGATCCTTGAAGAAAGTATTTTATTGTCTTTCTGTATTTAATGCTGTCAATAGGTAGTCATATCAATTTAGTTATCTTTCCTTTGTAAGTACTCTTTCATCTCTCTAGAAGTTTTTGAGTGTTCTCCTTTTCTTTGGAGTTCATCATGATGTATTTGTATGGGTCTTCATTTGGCATCATTTGGGCCCCCATGAAACAAGTTTCATGTCTTGTTTAAATTCTAAGAAGTTTCTCCTATTATTGGTTTGTGTGTATTTTTCCCTTTTATTTTCTGCTTTGGGAGCTATTACTAAAGAGTCATTAGAATATGTGTATCTCACCTTTCTCTCTCTTTCTCTCCCTCTTCTCCCTGCCTCTCTCTTAACTTTCTTTTTTTTTTTTTTTTTGAGATGGAGTCTCACTCTGTCACCAGGCTGTAGTGCAGTGGCGTGATCTTGGCTCACTGCAACCTCTGCCTCCCGGGTTCAAGTGATTCTCCTGCCTCAGCCTCACAAGTAGCTGGGACTACAGGTGCACACCACCACACCCAGCTAATTTTTGTATTTTTAGTAGAGATGGGGTTTCACCTTGTTGGCCAGGATGGTCTCGATCTCTTGACCTCATGATCTGCCGGCCTCAGCCTCCCAAAGTGCTGGGATTACAGGCGTGAGCCACCGCACCCCGCCTCTCTCTTAACTTTCTGCTTTATCTTGTTGTGGTGTTCTTCTTGAAGGTCATATCAAACTTCCATTTCATTTTTTACTACTTTAAAAAAAATATTTATTGTGAAGCTTTCTCAACATATTAAAGGATATACTGAATAATAAAATAAATATTTATAAACATAAAATTTGGCTTAAGGAATACAATAGTGCCAAAATATTTGAAGTCTTTGGCATTCTCTTCCGCAATCAGCACACCCTTCTCTCTATCCAGAGGGAATCATAATTTTGCTTTCCTGGGGGAATTTTGCATAATTTTACATAATTTTGGGAAGTTTATCATTCCCATGAATGTCTTTATATTTACTACACGTATGGCATCGTTTCCCATTTCTAAACATTATATAAACAGATTCTAATGTATACATCCTTTGCAACTTTGCTTTTATAAAAAAGTCAGCTTTATGTTTATGATATTCATCCATGTTTACAGATTATACCTCTCATTCAATTCAGTCCTTCAAGCTGTTGTTTTGTATAAAAATGGCTGAACAGACCTCAGTTTATTTATCCATTTTCCTCTTGGTATGCATCTGGTCTGTTTCCAGACACTTGTAATTAGAAGCAGCCTTGCTGTGAACATCCTTGTCCATGGCTTTCTCATTGAATTATAGATTGCCTTACACATCTTAAAAACAAATACTTTGGGGGGTTATATGCATTCCCAATATTGTCTTCCCATTTTCTTATAATTTTTTCACACTTCTCAAATGGTTTCTTTTGATAGAGAGACGTTTTAAGATTTGTATGTGGTTGACTATATTAATTGCTTTCTTTAAGTTTGCCCTTGTCATGTTTTACTAAGAAATTATTTCCTTGTGGTTTCTTGTGAGGTCATAAAATACTTCTCACTGTTTTCTACCAAGTGTTTTCAAATTTTGATTTTTTTAAGTCTTTGATCTGTCTGTGATAGATTATTGCTTATAGACTAGTTAAGGGCTCCAATTTTATTTTCATTTCCATAAGGATAATCAAATATCCCACAATATTTGAAGCATTATGTAAATATGAACAAGGCAAGAAGATAAATGTCTAGAGGGGCCTACCATTTGCATTCTGACCAGGAGTGATTTAGACTCGACTGGCTTCTACAATTTGGGAACATCAGGCCTCTTAGAATTTAACTCCTTGTGGAGATGGAAGACCTGAGTTAGTGAGGGGTGTGAGATGCTTCTATAGTCTTGGCTCAGGATGTGGGTGGCGAGGGATAAAAGACCACACATTGGGTACAGTGTACACTGCTTGGGTGATGGGTGCACCAAAATCTCAGAAATAAAGAACTTATTCATGTAACCAAACACCACCTGTTCCCCAAGAACCTATTGAAATGAAAAAGTAAATAGAAAAATAAAAACAAATATAAAAATAAAATCCACCCTTTCAAGAAAAAAAAAAAAGAATGTTTGTTAAGGAAAAAAATAAAAATAACGTGATGGCTAGAAGAAGGCCTCCAGCCCAGGGTGTCATTGCTGGGCAGCAGAACAGAGCATCAGTCTCTTACACAAATGTGCCAGAGGACCCTGGGCAGTGAAGTTTTTTGGCAATTTGTCATTTGAAGAATTTTCTTCATTTGACTCAGTAAACTGTACCTAGAATCTGCCTATTTATTTTTATTATTTAAATTATAGCCATTAGCTTGATATTGTCCAGGCTTTTTAGCTTGTGTGGTGTTATTTGAATGCCGTGTGCTTGCTGCTTTGTAACAGCTCTCTGATTGAGAGTAGAAGCAGCCCATCTCTCAGAGCCCAGAAAAGAAAGATAAAGGTATCATTTGTTGTCATCAAAATTGATTATCTCAGGCTTAGGAGGGGAGGCAGTGGCTGGGTTAAGCCCATGGAGCTGGAGCGTAGATTAATTTCTTTTTGTCTGCCTTATCAGCTGGAGGCTAAGAAGTTATTATGGGTAAAAAATGACTTTTATCTGTGATCTTAGATAGACAAATGAAGGGATTTTGTCAAAAAGAAAAGAAAACTCGTATAATTGATGTGTCAGTCTCTTATCACTCAGAACCTTTAAAAATAATAACTTATTAATTAACTTTGGAACTAGTAAGTAAAGGAATCCTCCATGGTCATTAATCAAAAATTCTCCTTAAAATACATACAATTTATGTCATGGTTCCATGACTTTTCTCCAGCGATCTTCTGGAGACGCAGCGATCCACCTGGCAATGCATCTACCTTCCTTTGGCAAATAAGCTCATCTTCACCCCTCAAAACCAGCTGAGGTGGCAACTGTTCCAAGAGCTGCATTCTGTGCAAAGCGTGCCTCTCAGCCAGCGCCTCCACTACAGTGCTAGGCTTGTTGCGGTAGAGTGATCTCTTCCTGAGCCTTACTTTCTAGGGGACTGTGTGATCCTGGAGGGCTTGAATGGGTCCTCTTCATCTATGTGTCCTCTCTTCCTTGTTCTTTGTGCACAAACACCGCACACACACGCAATCTATATTTCCCTCTCTCTACATATGCACATATCTACCAAATTGAGTTTAAATGAAAGGCATATTTTTATTTTTTTATTTTTTGAGATGGATTTTCATTCTTGTTGCCCAGGCTGTGCAATGGCACGATATCGGCTCACTGCAACTTCTGCCTCCCAGGTTCAAGTGATTCTCCTGCTTCAGCCTCCTGAGTAGCTGGGATTACATGCACCCCCAACCATGCCTAGCTAATTTTTGTATTTTTAGTAGAGACGCGGTTTTGCCATATTGGTCAGGCTGGTCTCGAACTCCTGACCTCAGGTGATCTGCCTGCCTCGGCCTCTCAAAGTGTTGGGATTACAGGCGTGAGCCACCGCTCCTGACCCTAATTGAAAGTATTATTAACTAATAATCCAAGAAGCCAAAATATCGGAAAGCCTCTAAACTTTGGAGTCAGAGACAACTGATTTCAAATCCCACCTTGGCTACTTATTGCCTAGATGACTTTGAAAACGTTAATATATGAGTCTTAGTTTGCTGTTTGATTAAATGAGAGTCATAACTAGTGTCATGCTGGGATTAGACAAAAGAGCATCGTTCATTTTGAATGTCACACAATAGGACCTAGATGTAGGTCTGCTGTCTTTCTCTTTTTTCAAAAAAAGTATTTTAAGTTATTTTTATTTTAATAAAATAAAATAACTGACAGAACCTTGTATAAACAAATGATCAGAATACATGGGATCCTTACTCCTTGGTTATCTGCTATTTTCCTGTGTAAGAAAGAGTGAGCTGATGAAGACTTGGCATCAGACTCCAGGGACCAGAACACCAGAGCCACTTGGGAGCTTATCAGAAATGCAGGAACTCAAACATCTTGAATCAGAAATGTGCATTTTAGGAAGATCCCCAGAAGATTCAACTGCCCATTCAAGTTTGAGAGGAGCTGAGCCTGAAACAGGCTACAGCCCAGATTTGAATAATTCTGGGAAGTTCATTCTCGCTCCTGTGGTAATGAAAGAGAACTTATGGCCAAATTTGGACTTACTGAATAAAACTACCCTGTGACGAAACGAGGAATGGGCTTTCACAGAAATAATTCATTCTGCCTCCTTGTTGCATCTTATTTCAAAGCTGTGCCATCCTAGAGGGGCTGGGGCCTTTGTGCCAGCTACTGCCCCCAGAGAAACGAGCCAGAACACCCAGCCTGATGGGAAAACAGGGGTCTCACTTAATTTCCCTGTCCCTGGCTCTTTCTTGTGCCCATGTCAGCAGAATGTAAAGGCTTGTATCTCCCCAGGGATTCAGGGGGCTGAAACAATAGTTTTCTTTCATCTTTTGATGTTTTATTAAAAAAAAAACTACCCACCAAAAGCAAGGCTTTAATACAATATATATTGATTTAAAGTGTTTCATGTCTTATAGAAACATATTATTACCTTTTGAAGGGACAACCTTTGCTGACATTTTGAGTCAAGGATATTGGCCTCATGGACCATCTCGTTTTTTTTTTTTTTGTTAAAGTATCTGTGCATTTATTTGAGATTTGAAGGGGTCCTCATATCAATTTGGTGTCTATGCTCGGCAAATAATCATTCATGACCAACTCCAGAGTTTCCTCAGCGGCAGATGAATGTAGACTTGCAGAGTCATCTTGGTGGGGGCTTTCTGTCCCATCTTGTATGATAACTGAATAAATCCCATTTGTGAGAGTTGGATGGCTGCTTAGGAAGCACTTTTCAACAGAAAAAAAAATGGCTTTTCTATTTTCCAACTTATCTTTTATGTGTTGGTTTAGCAAACATTTCCAACACACCTACAATACAACATGTTCTTGGAGTAAAAAGATGAGGGAGAGAGAGAGAGAGTTTCTGCCTTCAAAAAGCCAAGAATTTAGTAGGCAGACAAGCAGTGTTCAATGAACTTCAAATAAAATATGACACAATTGATTAAATCTAAATGCAATGAATGTGACCAAGGTACAGACAGAGTGCAGTCTTTGGCATAGAGAGAACAAAGGAGAATGTCTGAGTGAGGATGTGGACTCACACAGCAGGTAACTAAGCTTTCGCTGTGTATTATTGAGAAGAGACTCCATTTGGGCTAGGGTGGGCAAAAGGACCTTCCACTGGAAGGAAGAGCACCAGCACAGGCCCAGAGATATGAAGGAGTATTGCCTATTTAGGAAACTGAAAGTATCTTAGCATGTGTATGGCGTATGGCAGAAGTTTTTAAATTTTTTTGATTGTGTTGAGTAATAAGGAATATGTTTTACATCGTGATCCAGCACCCACATGTACACACTCAAATACCACTGCAACAAAAGACAAAATCTTCCTAAGATAGTATGTACCCTTGCTATACTCAATGTGCTTTGATGTTTTCTTTCTTCATCTCTTCAATTCTATTTCATTTATTAAAATGCTGGCCATGCCTTATTAAACTGATGACAGTTCACTAAAGGGTCATCACCCACAGTTTGAAAAGAATGTTGTGTTCACTGAGGACTCAGGTGCAGTTATATGGCTGGAGTCAGTAAGAATCAAGGGCAGGGCCCTGTTTGAGCATATGTGCCACCAAGCGAAGAGAATGGGTAAAGTGTCTCTATAATTTATTTTTCTTTACTCTTTCTCGCAGCAGCTCATCCTTCGTATCCATACAATTTCTTGTTTCATATTCCATATCTCAAGGCTCTGATGTCTGCCAGCCTATCTTATAACCCAAAAACCCCAAGATGTAGTAGAAACTAAATTGTAGGTTTACAGTTTACCAAATACTCTATTATTCTTATAATAATACTATGAAGTTGGGTTTTTCTATATGTTACAGTTTAATAAATGGAGATTTGGTGAAGTTAGCTAACTTTTATAAGATAACTCAGCTAGTTAGTGGTGGATCCACTGATTTCATACTCATGAGATCTCCTTTCTTCCACACCACCCTCACTGCCTATATTGATGTTTCCTTTTTATATAATGTGTTTGAATTGTAAGAAGGACTTTCTAAAAATAATATTAATTGAAGTGACAAGTATAATAAAGATGTCTCAGATTTATGGCTGGTTAGAAAGGGAGGCATTTTTGTGCTGGTAGGCCATTTTGTGTGCTTCGAATTATGCCATAGGTAATCAGCTGCTTCACCCACGGGCAGTGTGAAGGCTGCTTGTATGTGAGAGTGCATAAATGCATCCATAGATCTACATATACTTACATGTTTATGGATTTATAGAAGTTATCTAGTTTAAGTTTTGGTTTTCCATGGGGAGAATTATAGCTCCCTCACACTTTGAGGGGCTCTATCAAGTATCAATGCCAAAAAGCCCAGATGAGCCCTGCCACCAACACAGACTCAAGATCTTAGTGAATACATCCAGGCTGGGGAGAAGCAATTCCTTTTGATAGCTTTTATACTCCATTTGAGGGGGCAGCTCCTGGCTATGCCACATCTTTTGAAGAGTCTGTTCATTCATTCATTTGTTCATTTGTTCAACAAATATTTTTTGATCGACTATTAAGCGACAGGATCTGGCAAGGGCAAGTGTGATGACCTGCACAGGAACATTCATAAGCCCATCCCAATCTTTGGCATCTCAACCAATTGTTCTACCCCCATCCATGTGCTCAAGCCAACACTTAGGTATCAGCATTGATTACTCCCTGCTTTCTTCCCAAATTCCTGACATTCTCCTTCCACCTGCCTTACTTATTCAAAGTTTAGAGTCACCTGCCTTCTTCAAAGGGTTCTCAAAGTAGAGTGGGAGATATAGTCATATAGATGAAGCAGTATGGATGCATGAAATGTTTATGACCTACACTGGCTTTACCAAAATTCGAGAGAGGTGCAGTGTGCTTGCAATATCCAGTGAAGTTGCAGGAGAGCAGACTCAATTTTGGTCCTTAGTTCTTCTTTTCATTATCTCGTCCTTTGACTTGGAACAACCTTGTCCTAGCCCTTCTACCAAAGTGCAGCCTGTCAGTGCCGTGTGTTACTTTGCCCCTAATTACTGTTTACTGAATTTGCATGTAACTTTTTACATGATAAAATAATTATCATTACTAGGTAGTCCGGTTGCTGAGGCAACTAAGAGTGGTGCATGCACAGCTTATCCTTTCCCTAAAATTTAACTCTCCTTAATCAAATATAAGAGATGTTCTTGGTATTTTCTCTTTTGTGTTTGAAAATTATAGAACATTCTACAGGTCTTCTGGCTTTTCTCCCTCTTTGTCTGTCTCTTCACAAGATTTTACTGTCTTTTCCTCAATACTTTTTTCCCCCAAATTTTATTTTTCTCAAATGTAATATATATTCTTTAAAAGTTAAATTGTATTTGAGATTTATAACAAAAATAGGAATTTTCCTACTTCATCAATTCTCACCATTACCATGCTTAATTCTTGCTTCATAAATAATCATTTAAAATACTTTTTGTGTATTATTTTAGTATTTCCCTTCATATTTCTAAATAACAGACAAATGTTACTTCTTGACTTTTCAGCTTTAGTTATGATCTAACTTTCTGCCAAGAAAGATAGCGATTTAGTTTCTGTTTCCACTTATTCTCCCCATTTGTTTCTCCTTGATTCTCCTGATAGCATTTAGCTCATGGCTTCCCTCTCAGCTGATGTGCCTGGAGCTTAGGAAAGAAGTGAGAGAGACAAGATGAGGCCAGAAGGGTAGATATACAGGGCCTTGTGGTCTTTGTTGAGGAGTTTGGGTTTTATCCTAAATGCAATGGGAAGCATATGGCTGCCATAAAGTTGTAGAGAAATTGTCAGATATAGGACATCTTTTCAAGGGAGAACCAGTAGAGCATCATGATGGATTGAGTGTCAGGAGTTTAGGAAGAAAGATGGATTGAGTGTCAGAGTTTAGGAAGAAAGCAGGGATTAATCAATGCTGACACCTAGGTTTTGGTTTGAGCACATGGATGGATGGTAGAACCATTTGTTGAGATGCCAAAGATTGGGGTGTGCTTATGCATGTTCCTGCACAGGTCATCAATAATTTTGTTTTGATTGAGTAAATTTGAGATGACTATTGATTCCAAGAGGAGATGTCAAGTACATAGTTGAATAGACTAATAAGGAGCTCAGTAATGATGTCTGGGAATGGATGCATAAATATGGGTGCCATTTTAATGCAGGTGGTACTGAAAACCACGGGACTGGCTGAGATCACAGGGAGCCCAGTTCTCAGCTCAGTGTGCTCCAAGATCAAGGGATCTAGCTGAGGAAGAGAAGATAAAAGCTAATTCTGAGAACTGGTGGCTAATGTGGTAGAAGGAAGACTGGGTGGTTGTGATGTCCTTAATTCCGGGAGGAATGAGTGTTTTAGAAGAAGGAAGTTTTCAGTTGTGTCAAATGCTGATGAGATGTCAAGTGACAGAGAAGGGACCACTGCATTTGACAACACGAAGAGTCATGGCAGTGTTGGAAGAAGAATTTGGTCGATAGGTGGCTTTGGAAGCATGAATGAAAGGGCTTAAAGGTTTATAATGAGGATGTGGGGACCGTGACAGGTGCTACACCAGAGCCCAGGAGGCAGTGAGAATACACTATAGAGAATCATGACCTCGTCAGGACATCAGGAAGTTTCTCCCAAGTAAGTAGCTCTGAGATCTGTCCCGAAGTCTAAAGAATGAGAAGGAGTTGAGTATGTGAGACAGTGGGGAGGGGAAAGAGTGTTTCAGGAAGAGGGAACAGGATGTGAGAAGACTCAGAGATAGCAAGGCAAGTGCAAAGAAATGAAAGAAGGCCAAAGAATATGGGAAAGTGATATGGGGTCGGGGGAGGTGGCTGGAATTGAGGGGTATTTAGGGACTCAGGCTTTGCAAGATACCCTAATCTTATTTGTCTATCCCAAACACAATGGGATGTTATTGAGACGTTCTCAAAAATAGTTTTGTGGTTTTCAAATATCATGTGGCTAGTATACAAAGAGCAGACAGGAGGTGGATAAGTGTGGCTAAGGAGAGACAAATTAGGAGGCTTTTGCAGTGGTCCAGACAAGAAATGATGGCAGCTTATTCCAAGCACAGGGGTCAGTGAGGGAATTATGTCACAGAAGCCCTTCACAGAACAAAGAAGCAAGTTCAATAATAGCAGTAAAAGTGTTTTATCTTTGGCAATGAGCACAGTCTTTGCATTTGACAATATCTCATGTTAATTTATTCTGTTGACTAATTGCTCTTTGGAGAAATGGAACTCATTCACCATTAGGTTTGACATGTTAAATTAATCAGATCTCTTAAAAGGCTTCCAACTTCTGAAAGGCTCAGACAGTTCAAAATTTCATCCCCATTTATCACACTGTTTTTGACATGATATGCAAAGAAAAATAGCCTCATTCATTCCTATCTATACTCTGGCATACTTCTTGAGGCACAGGGGCATTTACTGGGTTACAAATGACTTCCCTGTTATTCAAGATAAACTGATGCCTTTAACTTGACTTTATTATCAATCTATTATTTATCAATAAGAAACCCTTCAAACAGTGTTTCAAAAATTGAAGCATACAGCAGATTACTTTCCAATTCCTTTAATTTCTGATCACATCATTTCTGATTTTGAGATCACTTTCCAAAAAGATGTTCTCTTCTCTACAATGAGATATGTTGTGTATAACACATTTTCTATTACGTTGCCATTTTCTTTTAATGGAACTCAACTTGACGTATCCATTTTTGGCTTGGAGCAAAATGAGATTCTTTGGCTGAGCTCTTGCATTAACAACCCCTGTTGTGCTGGTTCTTGTTCTTCAAAACCCTAAGTGATGTACTGAATGGATCTTCTTACATCCCATACATCTTTGCACATTTCTGACTGATTCTAAATATTCCCTCCCCAAATATAACCTTTATGCCTTTCTACTAAGCTCTTCTATTTCATTTCAATGCTGCACTCAGACATAGTTTATCATATTTTTATTCAAAGATGTGGTTCTTGTTTTAGGAGATACAAATACCTAAAAATAAATTTTGCAGAACTTTTAGATAAACTTTTAAGGGAACTGTTCAGTCTTGAACAAAGGTCTAACTACTTCTTGGCCTGTACTCCGTAAAGTCTCCATCTGAATGCATGATCTGTTGCTCTCAGTACTGTTGAGAAGGTGTTTCACTGGCTCTGAGCAGGATTGCATTTGTGCTCTTGTGCTCGCTCCCTCTGTTTGTACTTTTCCAAAGTCTCCTGACCACTCTTTCTCTGTCCTTGTCTCACACGCCTCCTCCCACTGATTGCCTGGCTCCTGATGAAAGTTTACAGTTGAATCTTTCTTCTTCTCCATTGCCCATTTTAATTCATACAGTCTTCTCACCAACTCTATCTTCCTTTTCATCCCTCCTCTAGTAGTCTATGCTGTATTTTCATTCACTTGCATGTTAACCATGCTTAAATGGGCTAAATTATCAGGCATCATTCATTCGCTAATTCAGTCAGCCAGCTGACAAACACAGCCTCACTACACAGCCAGCACCCTGTTATATAGGAATTCAGGTGAGAATGAGACAGAATCCATGTCCTCAAAAAACATCCACGGGATACAAAATCATATCACCAAGTTTCTGGATACAAAGCGTGAATCCATGCTTAAATCTGGATTCAAAAGGAACACTGTCTGCAGTGTTTTTTTTTTTTCACTGAGCTGGAATCTGCTTACTTAGAAGGACTGGTTTAAACAAAGTGTTAAGGATATTCCATGACATCTACAAGGGATTTTTGTATTATTAAGTACTTACTAGGAGCCTGGCATTATTCAGGCCTATTACACTAATTAATCTTCAAAGCGATCATGGAAGGAAAAACATTTTTATCCCTGTTTCATTAATGAGAAAATCAGAGCTCAGAAAATTTAAAACATGTCCAATATCACATAGCTAATAATTAAGTTGCAATGGCTATTTTAACTAAATCTTATGAATATTTTCAGACTCAAATTTAGCCCTTATCACCCATCTTCATCAATTATTAACATGTTGCCATTCTCCATTCTTCCTTCTTCCTTCTTCTTTCATCCATCACCCCCTGCCATTTCCTTTTTTTTTTTTTTTGGACAGAGAAGTATTTTAAGCAAATTCAATATGACATATTACTTTACCTGTGTATATTTCCATATGTAACTTTTATAGATGTGAACTCTAAAAAGACACAAGCACAATATTATTATCACAAACAACAAAATTACCAACTTTCCTGAATAATTGCTTAATAGCATCTAATACTCAACTCAGGATTTCGTTCTTCTGATTGTCTTTCTGGAGTTTTTAAATATTTTTCTTAACAATTAAGATCTAAAATGGAACCCAGTCTGTCTTCTTCGTGAGCACCCCCATCCTCTTGCTCATCATTAGGCAGGGCTGTCTAGCTTGGGCCCACAACACAGCCGCCCCACCTCAGACTGATTGTTCTGATTGATAACTGCTTTGTGTTGTGCTGGGGTGCAGCCCTGAGAGACAAGTGAAAGACCCTCTGGCCCTCTGCCATTACCACTGCCAAGGTCTCTGCCTCTGCTACCCTCACGTTTGGGAGGGACCATAAAGCCTGAGCTAGCTCCACGGCTATGGTGTGCAGCCCAGGAGTGCCAAGCCAAGATCTGCATCCAGCATTTGAGTGGAAGAGGAGCCCACACCTTCAGAGCACTGCAAGGGACCACAGCTGCAATCATGAGGAAATACAGAGGAGCCACTTGGCTAAGAGCCTACCAGTCATTGCACTTAAGCACCACCTACTGGATCACGGCCTGAACTTCAACACCAAAAATACTTTGCTGTATCCCCCCTCCATTTCTGTGAAAGGAACGATAAGAATTCAGCTACAAATAAAGACCCTGCACAAATACTTAGCCCTCTGAAAACATCCAGAAATGAAGACAACTCATTATACTCAAATCCCACTGTAGTTAAAGGAACATTAGCCCATACAGTTGAGAAAGGACCAGTGCAAGAACTCTGTCAACTCAAAAAGCCAGAGTGTCTTCTTTCCTCCAAATAACTGCACGAGTTCCCTAGTGATGGTCCTTAACCAGGCCGAAATGGCTGAAATAACAGACACAGAATTTAGAATATGAATGGGAACAAAGACCACTGAGATTCAGAAGAAAGTCAAAACCCAGTTTAAGGAATCTAAGGATTACAACAAAATAATACAGGAGTTGAAAGACAAAATGGCCATTTTAACAAAGAACCAAACTGATCTGACAGAGCTGGAAAACACACTACAAGAATTTCATAATACAATGGCAAGTATTAACAGAAGAATAGAAGAAGAGGCAAGAGGCATGTGAGACAAGGACAAGCTGTGGAAACAATCTCAGAACCTGAAGACTGATTCTCTGAACTATCTCCGTGAGGCAAAAATAAAGAAAAAAAAGAATTTTAAAAACAAACAAAACCTCTGAGAAATATGGGATTGTGTAAAGAGATGAACTCTGTAACTCATTGGCATCCCTGAAAGAGAAGGAGGGAAAACAAGCAACTTGAAAAACATATGTGAGGATATTGGCCATGAACATTTCCCAATCTCACTAGACAGGCCAATATTTAAATTCAGGAAATGCAGAGAACCCCTGTGAGATACCATACAAAACAACCATCTTTAAGATGCATAATCATCATCAGATTCTCTGAGGTTGACATGAAAGAGAAAATATTAAAAGCGACTAGGAAAAGAAGGGATAAGTCATCTACAAAGGGAACCCCCTTAGTATAACAGTGGACTTTTCAACAGAAACCTTATAAGCCAGAAGAGATTGGGGACCTATATTTAGCATTCTTAAAGAAAAGAAATTCCAACCAAGAATTTTATATCCAGCCAAATTCAGCTTCATATGTGAAGCAGAAATAAGATCCTTTTCAGACAAGCAAATGCTAAGGGAACTCATTGTCACCAGAATTGCCTTACAAGAGGTGCCTAAAGGAGGGCTAAGTATGGAAAAGAAAGACTTTTACCAGCCATCACAAAAACACACTTAAATAAATAGACCACTGACACTATAAAGCAACTACACAATCAATTCTACATAATAACCAGCTAACAATATGATAATAGAATTAAATCCACAAATATTTATGTTAACTTTGAATGAGAACAGGCTAAGCAGCCTGATCAAAAGGCACAGAGTGGCAACTTGGATAAAGAAGCAAGACTTAACTGTATGCTGTCTTCAAGTTACCCATCTCACATGCAAGAATACAAGCTCAAAGTAAAATGATGGAGAAAAATCTATGAAGCAAATGGAAACCAAAAATATCAGGGGTTGCTACTCTTTTTTTGTTTTTAAGACAGAGTCTCACTGTGTTGCCTGGGCTGGAGTGCAGAGGTTGCTATTCTAATTTCAGACAAAACAGACTTTTAACTGACAATGATCAAAAAAGACAAAGAAGGGCATTACACAATGGCTAAGGGTTTGATTCAATAAGACAATTTAACTGTCTTAAATATATATGCACCCAACACAGGGCATCCAGATTCATAAAACAAGTTCTTAGAGACCTACAAAGAGACTTAGATAATTATACAGTAACAGTTGGAGAATTTAATATCCCATTGACAGTATTAGACAGATCAACAAGTCAGAAAACTAACAGAAATATTCAGGACCTGAACTCAATACTTGACCAAACGGACCTAACAGGCATCCACAGAACTCTCCACACCAAAACAACAGAAAATACATTCTTCTCATCTGCACATGGCACATACTCAAATCGATCCCACAATTGACCATAAAACAATTCTCAGCAAATTAAAAAACTGAAATCACCAATCACACTCTTAGACCACAGCACAATAAAAATTGAAATGAATACCAAGAAGATTGCTCAAAACCATAGAATTACAGATAAACTAAACCACATGATTATGAATGACTTCTGGGTAAGCAATGAAATTAAGGCAGAAATCAAGACATTCTTTGAAACTATGAGAACAGAAGACACAATATACCAGAATCTCTGGGACACAGCTAAAACAGTAGTAAGAAGGAAGTACATAGCACTAAATCCCTACATGAAAATGTTAGAAAGATCTCAAATTAACAACCTAACATCATACTTTGAGGAACTGTAAGAACAACCCCAAAGCTAGCAGAAGACAGAAATAACCAAAATCAGAGCTGAACGGAATGAAATTCAGAAGTAAAAAACCATACAAAAGATCAATAAAAGAAGAAGTTCTTTATTTGAAAGGATAAATAAGTTGATATACTGCCAGCTGGACTAATGAAGTAAAAAAGAGAGATGGTCCAAATAAACACAATCAGAAATGACAAAGGGGACGTTACCACCAACTCCACAGAAATACAAAAAACCATCAGAGACTGTTATAAACACCTCTATGCATACAAACTAGAAAATCTAGTAGAAGTAGATAAATTCCAGAACACATACACCCTCCCGAAACTGAATGAGGAAGAAATTCAAGCCCTGAATAAACCAATAATGGGTTTAGAAACTGAATCAGTAATAAAAAGCCTACCAACCAGAAAAAGGCCAGGGCCAGATAGATTCACAGTCAAATTCTACCAGAAGTATAAAGAAGAGCTGGTACCATTCCTACTGAAACTATTCCAAAAATTGAGGAGGAGGACTCCTTCCTAACTCATTCTATGAGGTCAGGATCATCCTGATAACAAAACCTGGCAGTGATGCAACAGAAAAAGAAAAATTCAGGTCATTATCCTTGATAAAAATTGATGCAAAAATCCTCAACAAAATACTAGCAAACTGAGTCCAGCAGCACATCAAAATGCTAATCCATCACAATCAAGTAGGTTTTATCTCTGGGATGTAAGGTTGGTTCAACATGTGCAAATCAACAAATGTGATCCATGACATAAACAGAACTAAAAACAAAAATCACACAATCACCTCAATAGATGCAGACAAGGCTTTTGATACAATTCAGCATCCTTTCATGTTAAAAAAATCCTTAACAACTAGGCATTGAAGGAACATACCTCAAAATAATAAGAGCCATCTATGATAAACCCACAGTCAACATCATACTGAATGGGCAAAAGCTGAAAGCATTCCCCTTGAGAACCAGAACAAGACAAGGATGTCCACTTTCACCATTCCTATTCAACATTGTATTAGAAGTCCTAGCCAGAGCAATCAGGCAAGAGAAAGAAATAAAAGGCATCCAAAGAAGAAGAGAGGAAGTCAAACTATCTCTGCAGACAATATGATTTTATCCCTAGAAAACCCATAGGCTCTGCCCTAAAGCTCCTAAATCTGAGAAACAATGTTAGCCAAGTGTATTAGTCTGTTTTCATGCTGCTTATAAAGACATACCTGAGACTGGGCAATTTGCAAATGAAAGAGGTTTATTGGACCTACAGTTCACCATGGCTGGGGAGGTTTCACAATCATAGTGAAAGGTGAGGAGCAGCAAGTCATGTCTTACATGAATGGCAGCAGGCAAAAAGAAAGCTGTGCAGGAATACTCCCTCTTATAATAACCATCAGATCTCATGAGACTTACTCACTATCATGAGAACAGCATGAGAAAGACCTGCCCCCATGATTCAATTACCTCCCACAGGGTCCCTCCCACAACACGTGGAAATTCAAGATATTTGGGTGGGGACACAGCCAAACCATATCACCAAGTTTCTGGATACAAAATCAATGTACAAAAATCAGCAACACTTTCATACATCAATAATGTCCAACCTGATTGCCAAATCAAGAACACAATTTCATTCACGATAGCCACAGAAAGATTAAATACCTAGGAATACATCTAACTAGGGAAGCAAAAGATCTCTACAACAAGAATTACAAAACACTCCTGAAAGAAATCAGAGATGACAGAAACAAATGGGAAAACATTCCATACTCATGGTTAGGAAGAATCAGTGTTTTTAAAACGGCCATACTACTCAAAGCAATTTATACATTCAAAGCTATTTCTATCAAACTACCAATGACATTTCTCACAGAATTAGAAAAAACTATTCTAAAATTCATATGGAACAAAAAAGAGCCCAAAGAGCCAAGGCAATCCTAAGCCAAAAGAACAGAGCTGGAGGCATCATAGTACCCTACTTCAAAGTATTCTACAAGGCTACAGTAATCAAAACAACATGGTACTGGTACAAAAATAGATACATACTAATGGAATAGAATATAGAGCTCCCAAGTAAAGCTGCACACCTACAGCCATCTGATCTTTAATAAAATTGACAAAAACAAGCAATGAAGAAAAGAGTCCCTATTCAATAAATAGTGCTAGGATAACTGGCTAGCCATATGCAGAAGACTGAAGTTGGATCCCTTCCTTACACCATATACAAAAATTAACTCAAGAGGGATTAAATATTTAAATGAAAAACCTACAATTATAAAAACCCTTGAGGAAAACCTAGGAAATACCTTTCTAGACATAGGCCCTGGCAAAAATTTTATGATAAAGATGCCAAAAGCAACAAAACAAAAATTGACAAATGGGACCTAATTAAACTAAAGAGCTTCTGCATATCAAAAGAAACTATCAACAGAGTAAATAGACAACCCATAGAATGAGAAAAATATTTACAAACTATGCGTCTGGCAAAGGCCTAATATACAGAATCTATAAGAAACTTAAATTAACAAGCAAAAAACAAACACCACTAAAAAATATCAAAGGACATGAACAGATACTTTTCAAAAGACATATGCATGTCCAACAAGCTTATGAAAAAATGTTCAACATCACTGATCATTAGAGAAATGCAAATCAAAACCACAGTGAAATACCATTTCACATCAGTTGGAATGGCTATTACTAAAAAGACAAAGAATAACAGATGCTCATGAGGCTGTAGAGAAAATGAAGTGTTTATACATTGTTGGTGGAAATGTAAATTAGTTCAGCCACTGTGGAAAGCAGTTTGGTGATTTCTCAAAGAACTTAAAACAGAACTACCATGTGACCCAGCAATCCCATTATTGGGTATATGCCCAAAGGAATATAAATTGTTCTACCATAAAGACGCATGCTGGCCAGGTGCGGTGGCTCACTCCTGTAATCCCAGCACTTTGGGAGGCCGAGGCAGGTGGATTGCTTGAGTCTAGGAGTTCGAGACCAGGCTGGGCAACAGGGCAAAACCCCATCTCTTCTAAAAATACAAAAATAAGCTGGGCATGGTGGCAGGTGCCTGTAATACCAGCTACTCAGAAGGCTTAGGTGGGAGAATAACTTGAACCCAGAATGCGGACGTTGCAGTAAGTTGAGATCATGCAACTGCACTCTAGCATGGGCAATAGAGTGAGACTCCATCTCAAAAGATAATAATTAAAAAAACACATGCAAATATATGTTCATCACAGCACCATTCATAATAGCAAAGACATGGAATCAACCTAAATGCCCATCAATGGTAGACTGGATAAAGAAAATGTGGTACATATACACCATGGAATACTACACAGCCATAAAAGAGAATGAGATCATGTCTTTTGCATCAACATGGATGGAGCTGGAGGCCATTATCCTAAGTGAACCAATGCAGGAACAGAAAGCCAAACACTGCATGTTCTCACTTACAGGTGGCAGCTAAACATTGAGTACACATGGGCACAAAGAAGGGAACAATAGACACTGGGGCTTACTTGGGGGTGGAGAGTGGGACAGGGTGAGGATTGAAAAGCTATCCATTGGGTACTATGCTTATCACCTGGGTGATGAAATAATATGTACTCCAAACCCTCGCAACATGAAATTTATCTATAGAACCAACCGCACACGTGTATTCCTGAAACAAGAATAAAAGTTAAAATAAAATAAAATGGACTCCCACACTATGTTTGGTTAATATAATTACTAAGACTCTTTTTACCTTTACATTTTTCTTCTCCTCTTCTTTCTCCCATGCCAACTACTTGTTGAAGACACCTGGTTTTTTTTCTTCTGTAGAATTTCCCACGTTCTGAATTGAGCTGATTATTTCCATTTGACTGTGTTTGCCTTCTTCTTTTATCTCTCATATTTTCTATAAACTGGCAGGTTAATAAGGTGGCATCATTAGATTCAGGTCAATGTGTTCTCTTTTAATAACACTTTTTTCTTTATACATGGTGTGCGGCACTTCCTAGTGCATTATATCAGCCACTTCCTTTCTACAGATGTCACAGTTGATGACTGGGGGCAGGTGTCGTTAATCTGAGCCATACTTGCTAAGTGTCCTCCTTAACCTTTCACTGATTTTTTTTAGCCATTGATAACCATTGTCCAGTTGATTAATTCATTAAGTATCACAAACTGTTGATTTCTATAATTCTCTATCATTCCTGCTAAGTTCATTAGTTGATATTCTTATATAAAAAGAATTTTTCCTTCACCAATTATTTGGTTGCCCTGAAATATGGTTTATATCCAAAAGCGAGACTAAATTCCTGATTCTGACCCTTTTGTAGCAAGTTTCAGAATAAGGAGTTGGTATACCACAAAGCTAGAGCCCAGGACCGTGTGACACTAAGCCTTATTAAATTGCTCTTTAACTGGAGAGTTTAAAATGTTGTAAGAATAAAAGCAAAGTCTAAATGTCCCAGTTCTTTTTTGGCAGTCAGGTGGCTGTGGAGCCAGGATCCCTGAGATTCCCTGGTGCGGCTGTTTCAGAAGAAATGTCAGAGGTCACGAGGCGTCACTTGGTTGCACTTCATAGCAGTTACTGCCCTTTGCAGGCTGATTAGCCATCGCGATCAACCTGGAGTTTCAACACCTAGACGGCCAAGAGTCAGGTTTAATTAATAGCTTGGTGTCTGAGTCATATCCATTTATTGCCTCACTCCCCCTGCCCATGCTCCTGGCCACAAGGGCTGGAAGAGCGTGAGAGCACGTCTGCTCATCTCCTTCTCACTAGCTTTCCAGGGAAGTCAGGTGCCTTTGGAAGAAGAGAATTATGTGAGTAAATACAGTGTTTCTTCTCCAGCCCATGGGGGTGGCCTTTGTCAGCATCAGCAGAAAATCATAGATTGGAAGCGACTCGATGATTCTGCTGAGCTCGGCCTAGCATAGCAGCTGGAACAAAACACATTTCTATGTGCCCATGTGAATACCTGAAAATTGTTTTACCTTGGGCCTTCAAAATGGAAATGATTAAAAAAAAAAAAAACCTCCAGAAGGCACCAGTGCAATTGTGGGAGTTTCCATTAACTACCCTTGTCACACCTGCTGCTCTTCTCGGCTGAGGACAAGGGACAAGGTTGTCTCTGGCCACAGTTGCCCTTGGACAGGTGGGCCCTTCTCTAGACTCTGTTTCATCCCTACATTTGCAATGTTCTTACTAATCCTAGATGGGAGAAACGAGCCCAGCTTTTAGTCTTCTCAAAGGAATCACATTAGATGAGAGACAGATTTAGAACTTTAATATTCTATTCTCCACCCCACACCTCACACCCTGCTGCTCAGAACACCAAAGGGAAGATTCCTGTGCACAAGTGTCTTGGAGACAGGGGGTGGGGAGTGTCAGAGTAGATTGCATCTGAGAATACAGAGAGAAAGGCAGGAGGTCGCAGAGAGCAGAGGAGTGCAGCTGGGTCTCAGAGACAGGTTCATCCCAAGGGGAGAACCCCATGCTCCTCTCTGGCTCCCGAGTTCCTGTTGGTCCTCTTCTTTGTTCCCCAAGGTCCCAGTTGTAACAGCTTTTTGCAGATCATCTAGTAATGAGTCTCTAGAAGAGCCAGTGTCTGTGGAGTGGCTGTGGTAAGCATGGGCACAGGACATATACTTTCTGCTTCTCCCATGCTTATTGTTGATGTGGCCACAGGGCAGAGATGTCTGACAAAGAAAGAACTACCTTCTTTCTGAAGTCCAGTTGGGGTCCCCCAAGCATTTTTGGAGGCTGGCTAGTGCATGCTGTAGGCATGATGTTGTGGTCTGAACCAGCAGCCTCCTGTTCCCTGTCAAGGGATAATGTCTCCCCATTGGTGCTGGGTGGGGTAAGAAGTGGCATTTAGGATCAGCATTGCCCAGGCCAGGTGCTCAGAGCACCCTCACCCACAAACACACACAGGGACCATGGATGCCCTTGCCCTGGCTAACTCCAGATACCCCTGCCCTTTGAAGTTCAGTTCCTTCACCAGAAATTGTATTCCATAGTAATAAGCTTCTCTGTTCTAGAAACATTTGTTTTGTTAATTTTACACAAAATGTCATAGTTTAAAAAATATCTGCATATCTGGAATATAGGGAGTACTTAATGAGTGTTTATTGAATGAATGAGTGTGTGAAGGGAGCAATAACAAAAATTACAACAGAAAACAATTCCACAACGGCACTTCCAGAATAAATGGATTAAATCTCAATCCTTCTTTTCTAGGGCTCTTGTATGGTTGGAGCTGCTTACTTAGATAGTAGTGATAATTCTCATGCACGGAGACCAACAGGAGCCAATTCCCATAGACACACTGTCTCTGTCAACCTAAATAACAGAAAGACTCTCTAAAAGAAAATGATATTTATTTGGGAATAGGGCATTGCAATGAGAAGATGAGTGCCACAGTGAACTATGTGTATGTTCAGGGAGATAAAAGAAGACAAAGGTTTTTAAAGGAAAAATGAGGAGGATTACACCACTGTTTTGAGATAATTATCTTCGGCTACAAGGGTCAATAACAACGGTGATGCCAGTTGAGGTTGCACAGGAAGTTCCTGGGCAGGTGTCCTTACAGAAGTATTTTTCGTGGGAAGTAGCAATGACCTTTGTGCAAGCTTGTGGTTTTTGTAGTCTTTTGTGATACATTTTGTTATCAGGCGTACGAGCATGAGAACCTTCTCTTCATGGCCTTCCCTGTCTCTATTTGTCAGGTGATTTTGGTTTGTTTAACAAAAGTGACTCCATTTTGATTCTGACAACTTTGACAGCTCCAATGCCACGACCTTGAAGCCTGGTATTGCTACCTGTTGTTTTACATGTGAGGCCACTGAGGATGGAGGAGCTGAGCACAACTGATTAGGGATGCCTGGCAGATCTGGGCTTGTGCTCTTGCTCCACATGGCTCCCAGGGCTGCCGTGTGCATGGAGCAAATGAGTGGAAGGTCGTGAAGCACTGCTTCGTGGAAAGAGTCGCAGAGCAAGCCATTACATGCACAAGAGCTCATGCAGCCTGCAGGAGACCCACACTCAAGCAATGCCCAGCTCACTCTTCATATATGAGCCCTGCAGGACTGTGTCCACTCAGAGGGGTCACTAGTCTTGTTTACAGAGACTCAGTGTCCCCCTTGCATCCATCCAGAAAGGGGACAGCTTTCTATCTCATAAAGGATGGATATGTGGGAAGCTGTCTCCATCAACACTTATTTCAGAATCAAGAAGGTCGTGAGTATTTAGTGTCTCTACCTAAAGGATAGACTGAAACTCACTTGGCAAGTCAAATCACATCTCTCCTTTGCTTCAACTCTTCCAGAGATCCATCACACTCAGAATAAAATCTGAAGCCAGATCAAGGCCTCCACGTCCGCAGCCCAGCCTTGTCTGCCTTTTCACCTCCCTGTTCCCCGCCCCTCTTGCTCACTTCTGCCTGTGCAGTGGCTGGTCCCTCTGCCTGGCACTCTCTTTCCTCACCTTCCTCATAATTCAGACGTCAGGTGGTTGAGGTCTTTCCTGAGGACCCTGTGTGATGAAGGCCATCCTGTCCTCTGCTCCTCTCTCCCATCACGATGTCAGTTGGATGGTTTCTGCGGGGGTCCAGGAGGGTCTGTATGCCCCTCTCCATCTCAGTTTCCTCTATTGTTAACATCTTGCAGTAGTGTAATACTTTTATTAAAATTGATGAGCTAATATTGATAGATGATGATGATGATGACGATGATGATTACTCTTAGAGAGAGGGTCTTATTCTCTCACCCAGGCTGGAGTGCCGTGGTGTGATCTAGTTCATTGTAACCTTGAATTCCTGGACTCAAACAGTCCCCCACCCCAGTCTCAAGTGGCTAAGACCACAGGCATACACCACCATGCCTGACTAGGACCACAGGTGCACAGCACCACACCTAGTTTTTAAAATTATTTTTTGTAGAGATGAGGTTTCATTACGTTATGTTGCCCAGGTTGGTCTCGATCTCCTTGCCTCAAGCAATCCTAACACCTTGGCCCCCCAAAGGCTGGGATTATAGACATCAGCCACCATGCCTGGCCTAATGCATTATGATTAACTAAAGTAGTTTACATTGAGGTTTCCTGTTGGTGTTAAACACTCTATGGGGTTTCACAAATGCAAAATGCCATGTATCCACCATGACAGTATCATACAGATTAGATTCACTGCCCTAAAAATCCCCTGTGCTCCACCTGTTCATCTTTTCTTCCTACTGGTTCCAAACATGATATTTTTACTTTCTCATAGTTTTGCCTTTTCTATTAAATAGAATGTCATATAGTTGAAGTCATGATTATGTAGCCTTTTTGACTTAGTAATATGCATTTATTTTCTCTGTGTCTTTTTTTGGCCTGAGAGCACATGTCTTTTTATCTCTTTTATCATTATGTTGCATGGATGTAAATTATAATTTACTTTTTTTTTTTGAGATGGATTCTCGCTCTGTCCCCCAGGCTGGAGTGCAGTGGCACAATCTCGGCTCACTGCAATCTCCGCCTCCCAGGTTCCCGCCATTCTCCTGCCTCAGCCTCCAGAGTAGCTGGGACTACAGGCGCCTGCCACCATGTCTGGCTAATTTTTTGTATTTTTAGTAGAGATGGGGTTTTACTGTGTTAGCCAGGGTGGTCTCGATCTCCTGACCTCGTGATCCGCTCGCCTTGGCCTCCCAAAGTGCTGAGATTACAGGCATGAGCCACCGTGCCTGGCTGTAAATTATAGTTCTTTAAAAAAATCTATTCACTTATTGAAAGTTATCTTGATTGCTTCCAATTTTTGGCAGTTGTAAATAAAGCTGCTATAAACACTTGTGTATAGGTTTTTGTGTAGACATTAAGTTTTCAACTCATTTGGGTAAATAGTCAGGAGCACAGTTGCTGGATCATATCATAAGACTAGTTTTAGCTTTGTAAGAAACTGCCAAACTGTCTTCCAAAATCACTGAGTCGTTTTTGCATTCCCACCAGCAATAAACAGGAGTTCCTGTTGCTCCACATCCTTGCCAGCATTTGGTGGTTTTGGTATTTTTGGAATTGGGTCATTTTAAAAGGTGCGTAGTGGTCTCTCATTGTTGTTTTAATTTGCAATTCCCTAATGATATTTGATATTGAACATCTTTTCATATGCTTATTTGTCATCTGTATATCTTCTCTGGTGAGGTGTCAGCTCAGATCTTTTGCTCATGTCTTAATTGTTTGTTTTCTTATTGACATGTTTTAAGAGTTCTTTGCATATTTTAAATACAAATTCTTCATCAAATATGTATTTTGCAATATTTTCTCCAAGTTGTAGGGTTGGAGAACTACAACTATAATTTATGGCTGGGCAACGTGGCTCACGTCTGTAATCCCAGCACTTTTGGGAGGCTGAGGTGGGCAGATCATGAGGTCAGGAGATCGAGACCATCCTGGCTAACACGGTGAAACCCTGTCTCTACTAAAAATACAAAAAAAATTAGCCAGGTGTGGTGGTGGACACCTGTAGTCCCAGCTACTTGGGAGGCTGAGGCAGGAGAATGGCGTGAACCTAGGAGGGGGAGCTTGCAGTGAGCCGAGATCATGCCACTATACTCCAGCCTGGGTGACCTGGGTGACAGAGAGAGACTCTGTCTCAAAAAAAAAAAAATCCCATTATTGCGTTTATACCCAAAGGATTATAAATCATGCTGCTGTAAAGACACATGCACACATATGCTTATTGTGGCACTATTCACAATAGCAAAGACTTGGAGCCAACCCAAGTGTCCATCAATGATAGACTGGATTAAGAAAATGTGGCACATATACACCATGGAATACTATGCAGCTGTTAAAAAGGATGAGTTCGTGTCCTTTGTAGGGACATGGATGGAGCTGGAAACCATCATTCTGAGCAAAATATCGCAAGGACAGAAAACCAAACACCGCATGTCTCACTCATAGGTGGGAACTGAATAATGAGAACGCTTGGACATAGGGTGGGGAACATCACACACTGGGGCCTGTCATGGTGTGGGGGAAAGGGAGAGGGATAGCATTAGGAGATATACCTAATGTAAATGATGAGTTAATGGGTGCGGCACACCAACATGGCACATGTATACATATGTAACAACCCTGCACGTTGTGCACACGTACCCTAGAACTTAAAGTGTAATTTAGAAAAACCTATTTCCTCATGGCTTTGACTGATATTTTTTCTGTATACTTCTGCATTATTTGAATATCTCACAATGAAAATGAAGAGATCACACCACTGCACTCCAGCCTGGGGACAGAGCAAGGCTCCGTCTCAAAAAAAAAAAAAAAAAAGAAAAAAGAAAACTATAATTTACATCCATGCAACATAGTGATAAAGAGATAAAAAGACATGTGCTCTCAGGCCACAAAAAGACACGGAGAAAATAAATGCATATTACTAAGTCAAAAGGGCTGCATAATCATATGACTTCAACTATATGACATTCTATTTAATAGAAAAGGCAAAACTATGAGAAAGTAAAAATATCATGTTTGGAGCCAGTAGGAAGAGAAGATGAACAGGTGGAGCACAGGGGATTTTTAGGGCAGTGAATCTAATCTGTATGATACTGTCATGGTGGATACATGGCATTTTGCATTTGTGAAACCCCATAGAGTGTTTAACACCAACAGGAAACCTCAATGTAAACTACTTTTAGTTAATCATAATGCATTAGGCCAGGCATGGTGGCTGATGTCTGTAATCCCAGCCTTTGGGGGGCCAAGGTGTTAGGATTGCTTGAGGCAAGGAGTTTGAGACCAACCTGGGCAACATAATGAAACCTCATCTCTACAAAAAATATTTTAAAAACTAGGTGTGGTGGTGTGCACCTGTGGTCCTAGCCAGGCGTGGTGGTGTATGCCTGTGGTCTTAGCCACTTGGGAGGGAGGCTGAGGTGGGGGACTGTTTGAGTCCCGGAATTCAAGGTTACAATGAACTATATCACACCATGGCACTCCAGCCTGGGTGAAAGAATAAGACCCTCTCTCTAAGAGTAATCATCATCATCATCATCATCATCATCATCTATCAATATTAGCTCATCAATTTTAATAAAAGTATTACACTACTGCAAGATGTTAACAATAGAGGAAACTGAGATGGAGAGGGGCATATGGACCCTCCTGGACCCCCGCAGAAACCATCCAACTGACATCGTGATGGGAGAGAGGAGCAGAGGACAGGATGGCCTTCATCACACAGGGTCCTCAGGAAAGACCTCAACCACCTGACGTCTGAATTATGAGGAAGGTGAGGAAAGAGAGTGCCAGGCAGAGGGACCAGCCACTGCACAGGCAGAAGTGAGCAAGAGGGGTGGGGAACAGGGAGGTGAAAAGGCAGACAAGGCTGGGCTGCGGACGTGGAGGCCTTGATCTGGCTTCAGATTTTATTCTGAGTGTGATGGATTTCTGAAAGAGTTGAAGCAAAGGAGAGATGTGATTTGACTTGCCAAGTGAGTTTCAGTCTAACCTTTAGGTAGAGACACTAAATACTCATGAACTTCTTGATTCTGAAATAAGTGTTGATGGAGACAGCTTCCCACATATCCATCCTTTATGAGATAGAAAGCTGTCCCCTTTCTGGATGGATGCAAGGGGGACACTGAGTCTCTGTAAACAAGACTAGTGACCCCTCCGAGTGGACACAGTCCGGCGGGGCTCACATATGAAGAGTGAGCTGGGCATTGCTTGAGTGTGGGTCTCCTGCAGGCTGCATGAGCTCTTGTGCATATAAGGGTTTGCTCTGCGACTGTTTCCATGAAGCAGTGCTTCATGACCTTCCACTCATCTGCTCCACACACACGGCAGCCCTGGAAGCTATGTGGAGCATATATATATATATACACACACACACACACACACACACACGTATATATTTGAACATCATATTTTAAAACTTCTGATGGCTGTAAAACATGCCATTACTCTTAGACTTTGTTATATGTTTTGGTAATTGGCCTGGTGCCTTTCCCCTTTCTTTGAGCCATGAGAGTCATAAACTCTTAAAATCACCAGAGTAATACAGAGAAGAGAAGACAAAGCCTGTGGCGGCTTCCAGAACTATCACCAGAATCACTGAACCAGGAAGTATATTATTTCAAATCCAGCTGGAAGAACATTCAAAGAGTTTTAAAGCCATTGCACTTTCACTTCCCAACTCAGTATCATTTCCCACACATATTCAGCCACTTTCCAATCTTATAACGAGCCAAAATCCATGACAGCCCTGTCTGAGGTTGTCTTCAGTGTGTGGGTGTTATTTGTGTTATTTGCAGTTAAATGAGTCCTTTGAGGCCCCCATCTGGTGCTCGTTCATATTGTCTTGAAGACTCTTCGCAAGTTAAGGAAGCTTGCTGAAGGAACCTGCTGAAGAACCCAAAGATCGTTCCAAGATGAATCTTTGTAAAAACTGCATGCATTTATCCCAATATCCAAGTCCTCAAGTCAAAATAAAATGTGTGCTGAAGTTCTACAAATGGCACTGAAAAAAAGGTAGGAAAGGTCAAGGATCTCATCTCTGATTTTAATGCATAGAGTTAAACAAACAAGGAAAATGAGGGATGGGAATTTAGACACTGCCATGATACTGGTTAGAGAAAGGCAGAAAGAAGGAAAAAGCATTATGTAGTACAGAGGCTTTCACCAGGACACACAGGAGAAGGAAATTACAAACCCAGGCAGTTGAGTGTGGACTCTACCCATTAACCTGAGCACCTTGTAGAGCCCACTCCAATTTCCTAGGAATATTTTCCCCATCACTGGCCCTTTGCTTTAGAAACTTGCAGGAACTAAAGGAGAAACAAGGATGGCTTATTGCAGTCTGTGGAGATGCACACGACAGTGGAAACACTCATAACAATATTGAGAGCTAAGTTAAAAGGAAAGTGAATTTTGCGGAAAAATAAAATGCCTGTTGATTACATTTTCTTCCCCATTAGTACCAAATGAACATTTTCCATTTCTCTCATCTGCTCTGGACTCCAAGATGGGTATCCTTTTTAAGATCCACAATTAATCACCTGATGGAAAGAGGCAGGGGATGTGGGTGGGGAGTGAGCAAGCAGGTATGAGAACAGAGGCAACCAGATCTGCGGGGAAAGGCACAATTATAGCCATGTGAGAGGCTTGCCCTATGGGCAGTAATTTCCATTTACCCACAGGTTTCCATTCTGCCGAATGCAAACAGCAGGAAAACAAGCAGATAGCCGTATGAAATAATACATCTTCCTTCGCTTGTGTTGGCTACACAATTGGGAAGCCTGATGTCGGAGAAAAAACACTGTTAGGAATTTTAGTTTTCAAATTATGAAATGTTCATCTGGTACTTGAAAGGGAAACGTGTGCCTGGAAGAAGATGAGCACACATGGGCACAGCCCAGGCACATCCTTCCATCTTATCATTTAATATCTCATTATTGCAAGTCAGCAGGGAATGCAGGCACCTGGCATCATCTCACCACTCCAGCCCGGGCGACAGTGCAAGGGTCCGTCTCAAACAAACAAACATGTAAACAAACACTCCATTTGCCTCTCTCTCTTTCTCCTTTCTTCTTTTGCCTCTCCTGTGAAAAGTGGGTAGATGGGTATGCATTCAAATTACCTACTTAGGGAGACAAAAAGGCCACTTTTGAATTCTAAGTTCAACGTCTACTAACCCAACTGTATATCTGAGGAAGAAAATGTTTTTTAAACAGTTTCTTCTGTCTCTTTTTGCAAACAGTGTTAAAGGGGGTATGTAATAATTTCTTAAATTCCCTTTGCTTGATTTAAATTGATTAAAATATTGGTTGGCCATCTTATACTTAATCATTCAACAATATTTTTTCAGGCCTGTATTATGGGCAAGTCATTTTGCTAGATCTGGGGTACAAAGATGACTAAAGCATAATTGTTTTACTCAAGGAGCTCCAAGTTTAGAAGGAAAGGCCAGAAGTAGATCCTGACATTCACAAGATAAACATTATTAAAGCTTTTGAGGTTGATTTCATAATCTGTTTCTCCCCATAACATGCAATAAGTTAAAACTGAAAAATTAATCTCATTCTAGTCCTTTATAATGCTTAAAGAGTCATTAATTAATTAAGCAATTAATTAATTTAAATATTTGCTGAACATCTATTAAGCATCAAAGGCTCTCATGGAGCTTACTTTTATGTCAGAAAGTGATAAAGGCCATGAAGAAAAAGGTAGGTTAGGGGAATAAAGAGAGATTGAAGACAAAGCTTTTTTTAATGGAATGATCAGGGAAGGCCTCTTTAAGAGGGTGACATTTGAACAGAGAGGGAGTGAGCCACACAGATATCTGAGGAAAGAGCAGGTGCATATGATCTGAGGCAGGAATAAGTCAGGCACACTCAAGGAATAGCCAGGAAGCCAACTTGGCTATAGAAGTGGAAGGAGAAGTAAATGATGAGGAAGAGAAGAAGTGAAGGTCCGTTGTGCATGGAAGGTCTATTGTGCATAGTTGCACTTCGTAAGGATTTTAGATTAAATCCTGGGCCCAACAAGAAAAGCAGGTAATGGGCTGTGGAAACAGTTTTGGTAGATGTTGGTAACCTGAACTAGAACAAAGATGGTGAGAAGGGCAGATTCTAGTTCCATGGTAGAGATAGAGCCAACAGGATTTGATAATAGATTATGTTATGGGATGAGAAATAAATGACTGGTGGCCAGGAGTAGGCATTTATTGAGATGGAAAGGGTGAAGGGGTAGGGAATGGGGAGGAATGAAGAACGGGTTTGGGCTTGCATTTTTGAATAGGAAACAAAGGGATACGGAGAGTGGAAGCAACTGTGAGTCTGGAGTTTGGGGTGATGTGGGGGAGATCTGGATCTGAGAGTCCTGGGTGTAGGTGTTATTTGCAGCCCTAGGTCAGGCTGATATCCCCTGGAGACTAAAAATAGAGAGACTTGAGGAGTGAAGGCTGAGATCTGGACCACTCTAGGCTGCAGATGTTGGGAAGACGAGGAAGAATCTGGAAAGATGACTGAGGGGGTATGAATAGTAAGATAGGACAGCTAAGAGAAACTGGGCTTCTGAATGCGAAGTGAAAAAATGCTTTAAGGAAGAAAAGCTCAACTTTGACATGAAAAGCTCAACTTTGACATGCTGCTGAGAGGCTGACTTAAGGTGGAAATTTTACTTTCTTTTTCCACTTTTTGCCAGCCCTGAAAGTTAGCTTTTACATCTGCATATATTAAGAGCTAGTGGTAGCTTTCTTTTCTTCTTTTTAAAGAATCAAGGTTTTCAACTCTTAATAAAATATATTGCACGTAGTCAGTCTGTTTGGGATACTGTAACAAAATACCTTAGACTGGGTAATTTATAAATAGTAGAAACTTATTTTCTCACAGTTCTGGAGGCTGGGAAGTCCAAGATCAGAGCACCAGAAGATTCAATGTTTGGTGGGGGCCTGCCTTCTGCTTCATAGGTGGTGTCTCTTCTCACATCCTCACATGGCAGAAGGGGCAAACTGCTCCCCTGTGTCTTTTTTTTTTTTGCAGATCACAAATGAGTAACAGGATATCTTGGGGAAAATAAAATGAAAAACAAAACTGTGTCATTTTACAAATGTAAATACAGAGAAAAATTCTATATGGAAGCACATGAACTTCATAACAATAAACTTCATAACAATGTTACTCCTATACAGGAGGAGACGGGATTAGGACATGGAATACGGTCAAGCATAGGGAAATTGTATCCTGGGATGCCTGGGACAGTCCACATTTATTCTTGTTTTAATTACTGGTTGACTTAACTTATTTCCCTTGTGTCTCTTTCATAAGGTCACTAATTCTGTTCACTATGGCTCCACACTCATGACTTAGTCACCTCCTAAAAGCTGCACATTTTAATACTAACATATTGGCAACTGAATTTCAACATGAATTTTGAAGGAACACAAGTATTCAGACCATAGCACATATGTAAGAGTTAGAGAACAAAAAAAGATGAGTTTGTGCTGAGATGGACTGCTAAGCTGTGGGCTAGATTGTCTTACTAGTTACATCGATCTCACAACATTTGTATTTCACATAGCTACTTCAGCAAAAAGAAATTTTCTGTATGTCCTTGACCTTTGAGTCTGATACCATGTAATTGAAATTTCAAGAGTTAAATTTATAAATGCTAGGACCAGACAACAAAGAGTTCCAAGGATTGTGATAGAGAACATGTACAATTTGGGCATAAAAATAGGAATCATCAATTTTGCCTTCAATGTGGTTTATTTATTTATAACCTGCCTTGTTCCAAACTGTAATCTTCCAGCAGGTAAAATCTATGTCTAAAATACTCATTGTTGGCAGCAACTTAGACTAAGTGCCTGGGGGTGGAACAAAGATTAAAAAATGCGTGGAGGCAGAAATCTTCTGTTGACTCACTTTGGTCAATGTGTAGATGTTGCATTCCTCTCAAATTTTTAGGTTTTCACTGATATGGTCATTTAGACGCTAACCCCTCAGGCCAAATCCAGCCCACAAGCATATTTTGTCTGGTGTACACAACGTTGGCTCACATTTAAAAATTGGGAGTTTTCACATGAAAATTCACAGTTATTGCTCCTTGTGAAAAAACAATTGCAACTATTCCATTTATCAATTTAAATTACCTGAGTAATCATTTTATTGATTTAAATTACCTGAGTAAGACTTACAATCAAGTTTGCATTCGCTGATCCACAGGATGATTTATTTATCATATAAATTGTTACAACTGCATTTTCTTTCAATACAACCTCATGTGGCTTCCCCATAAACATTTTTCAAGATGACAAAATCAAATCTTCCTTTGTGTGCTACATGGTTTTGGATGCTGTTAAATTTTATTTAAATAATTGTTTTTAATATGTCAAAATGAAATGTATATGGTTCTGATAGAGTTAATAAGTATATGTGGCCATATTTTCCAGAGTCAAAGTACTGTAAATAATTGATAAGTTGACTCATTTTGGGAGTGCATATCCCCCAGGTTAGACCATCTAAACTCACCATGCTCCATTTTCTGAAATGGCTTTCATTAGTTGATTTTGAAGGGGTCCAGAATATGACATCCCAAAATATGCCACTTTGGCATAGGCTTATTCTGAGATGAAGGCAGTTGAGAAAAAATCAAACACAGGAAAAGTTCTCTGCTCTTTCCTTCTGCCTAAAAGCACGATGTAAATTTTCCTTGTGGAGATATCTGCTTCTCTCCTTCTTGTACCAGGAAGAGGAGATTAACCCTTATTACTGCAGGCAGAGATGGCACCAAGATGATTCTGTGTAAATAAGCTTTACTAAATAACTTTCATCTGCCATTCCATAGTTTCCCCTATGTATTTACATTCCCACATTTTACTGCCCTAGAAACCAAAGCCTTCCTTCCTTTGTCTAGTCATTTGTCTAAATTTATCATCCTTTGTTAAAATGGTATATAGGCACCCAAGTCCAACCACTCTTTCGGAGTTTTCACTTCTTTTCTTTTTTTTTTATTATTATTATACTTTAAGTTTTAGGGTACATGTGCACAATGTGCAGGTTAGTTACATATGTATACATGTGCCATGCTGGTGCGCTGCACCCACTAACTCGTCATCTAGCATTAGGTATATCTCCCAATGCTATCCCTCCCCCCTCCCCCCAACTTCTTTTCTGTGAAACCCATCATACATGTAAAAAATAGTAACGTCAAATGGAAAGTGTATGGAACGTTAATACTACTTTTGTCAGTTTAATTCACAGGCCCCTTCCAAATAACCTAAGAGAATAGAGAAAATTTTTTCCTCCACTACAGTTTATTTATATACTTTTACATTGATGCCTTTTATGTGACAAATGCTGCTAGGGTATGGATATTAGAAATGAGTAAACTTGATTAACTGCCATCACGATTCAGTGGAAAGATGCATACAAAAGCACATAATCAAGATTCAGTGTAACATATTCCAGGAGAGATATTAGCACAAGGAACTATGGAATCACAGAGGAGAGGGACCACTAACCCCTTTAAATGAGAAGTTATCCAGTGTGTTTTTAGCTGTTAAATGAATATCATGTTACTCTGTCGTGTGCAATGAGATCTGATGGAGATCTCATTCATAAATTCTCTCTCTCTTTCTGAATTTGTGTGTGTGAGAGAGATGAAAAGCATTTATTTAAGATGGTTTCTAGAGATGGGTTTACATAATGACACTAGGGACTATTTAGCAAAGAACTTTCCTGTCTTTAGCTTTGCCATATGCCATAGATTGAGCAAGGCATTTATAATCTATAAATTCAGTTTGCATATCTATTAAGAAGCATTAATTTAGATTATCACTTCTCAAATAGGGCTCCTCATATGAATTATAGGACACAGAAAATAATTTGAGTGGCTATTTTCTCAATTCTCCCAAGGATGGTATATAAGTCGTGACATTCTAAATGCATGAGAGAGAAATTAATTCATTTCATACAATGGATGCTTTAAGAGATTAGGGCTTAATTCTCTCAAGAACCCTGCTGCAATCTTATGTGGCTTTTAACTGGTTCATTGCTGCTCTATCCTCCACCCTCCTGCAAGCCAGGAGTCCAGGTTATAAATGAGGAATATAGGTCACAGGTGTCATTATATATCTCGCCTCTGTCTGTGATATAAGCCTCAGCTGATTATAGGGTTTGGCCTATATGGATTACTGCTGCTAAGGCTAGGATTGACACTGTCATAACTTGCATAGGTTCTTTGTCCTTGAAAATGGAAATCTCAGAAAAGTAAGGAAAAAACCTCGAGTATTCTAATCTGATTTTAGAACTAGACCTCCTGATAAAGAATTATGAACTTGAACTCAATCCAGGCTGCCATTGCTATATCAGGGAGTCATGGTTTCAGGAGAGCATATTAAAATAACAATAACATAGAAAATGGCAGCTATTCATTATAAATAGTTGTTTTGTACATTATTTTATTTAATTATCATGAGAATCCTGAGCTAGCCTTCTTGTTCTCCATTTAACAGATGAGGAAACTCAGAGGAGTTAGGTCAATTGCCCAAAATCCAGGGCTAGTAAGTAGCAGAGGCAGGTTGCACACCAATGTCTCCATAGCCTTGATAACCTTATACTGTGCATCCTCTCTTTCAAGACAAATAGGAGTCAGGTTATGCTTCCTAGAGAGGAGGAGTGGCAAGAACTATACAAAGACTCTGAACCTGTCAAAGTACTAGAAAGACTGGACAAGCATGGAGATGACTTGGTTGACACTTGGAGGGTGCAAAGGTATTCCAGGTACTCTGAGGATCAAGCTAAAGGAAGGATCCCCAAATCTGCCTCCAGCAGCTGATGGCACTGAGTGTAAGGACAAACTGCTGCCTTGGCTGGAATTGATTCAGTGGCCCAGGGAGACAGGGGAGGAAAGAGGAGCTTGCAGATCTAAGCCCATTTGCAGATTAGTCAGGGAGGGGCTGGGATGGGTGCTGCTTTTGGTTCTATCCGTTGGAGCATGAACCTGTGCTCACATTTTTGGTTGTGACAATTTGCTTTGAAATGGTATAGTGGACCCTGTCAGTGCTGCCATATATCCTTCTCAGGTCAATTTTAATGTTTCTATACAATTATTCTTCAAATTTAGTAAGTTCTTGCCTTATTTTGAAGATTGTCTTCGGGCCAGTGGAGGATTCCTGCAGCATCAGATTGCCTGAGAGTTCACATCCTCAGGGCTGCCATTGGCTGGGTGACTGACACACAGGATCAGGGCTGCCCAGCCCCTTTATCTGGGTGAGATGGCTCTGAGATTGCTAAGCTCCTGACTTCTCTCCTGCAGGATCAGCTGAGGCTACTTCCGCAGGAAGATTGTCTGAAATTATCCGCTTCTCTCTCTCTCTCTCTGTCTGTCTGTCTGTCTGTCTCTCTCTCACTAGTTTCTCCTTAATAAGTAATTTGCTCATGGTCTGTCTCTCACTAGTCCTTCCTTAATAAGTAATTTGCTCAAGATCCTTATCTCAAGAGCTGCTTCAGGGAAAACACACCTAAGACATACAGTATTCTTGTTTATATGTTACATACTTATATATTCAGCCAATGTTCCAAATTCACGGGAAGTCGTGTTCACTGAAAAAAGAGCCTAGGGTTTGGGGCCAGATGAATCTTGAATCTTGCTCAAATACAAACTGAACCACTGCTACTGAGGGCTTTGGGTGAGGCACCATCCCCGTCTGGTTGCTTGTTTCATAATGTGTGAAATATCAATAATGATACTTAAATTGGAGGAGTCTGGATTTAATGGGATAAAGTATTTAAAGCATCTGGTACTCATTGGTACTAATTATTAAAACCCCAAGCAAAATAAGATTCTAATCTCAGGACAGTCACAGAAAAACCACATTTAAAATATTATTTTCATTGTGTGATGTTTTTGCATAGATCTCTCCTATAAAAAAAGAAAAAATATTGTATAGCCTGGCCTTTCTAGAGACAGGCAGTGCCCTCCCCACTTGGAGTACTGTATTGTTGCTGCCAATTTGTTCTCACCCTCAGGAGGCACTGTGGTCTGTGGACAGAGAAATAAATATTTCTGTTTGTTTCTTCATTTAGTATATGTCAGTCCTGCATTGATCTTGGCTATTTCCCTCAAAGGGATGCATGTAGAAGCAGTTTTCACAGCACAGATAAATATTAAAGGCATATTTAGCTCCCTGTAGTGAACAAGGCTGAGGAGACAAACGGGCACATCACTGAAGGAGGCGTTTGAAGGTAAATTAAGAGCCGGCCATCAAAGTGACCCTCATGTATGCCCGCAGAAAGTGTGCCTTTCAGAAAACTCGATGACCTCTTCAGTTCCTCTATGGGAGTGTGGTTGGGTTGAGCCCTGCATAATTTCTGTTCCTCTATGGGAGTGTGGTTGGGTTGAGCCCTGCATAATTTCTGTTCCTCAAGCCCAAAGTAGTTTTTTCTGATTTGTTAAATATTCTACTCACAGAAGTACGTGATCATGATTTTTCCTGTGTTTTATAAAGTATAAGAATTTCTTTCTTGGAAATGGTATGGGCTTTGGATTGGCACCCAACTGCCCCAACAAGAGGATGAGGAAACCTTGAGGATTTGTTCAATAGGATCTTGTCTCTGACTAGGGATGAGGAACCATTTATTATCTTGTGGCCACTCCAGACACAGAAGACTGTTCCTTGCCCCTCTGCTTTGGTTCATACTGTTTTCTCTGCCTGGTATTTCCAACCCTTTCCTTATCCCTACACCTGTCCCCATTTACCTGGTGCTGAGCTACTTACACTCCAAGATTCAGCTCTTGCAGCATCTCCTCTAAGTAGCCCTTTTCTAAGTCCTCTAATTAGTCTTGTTCCCACCTCCTGTTTCTCCCCTGCCCTTATATAGGTTTCCACTGTGTCAGCTGAAAACCAGGAAGTGCTAGGACCTGTGATTTCCCATGAGCAAGCATCAAGACTTATACATTTTGGCCAGGCGCGGTGTCTCATGCTTGTAATCCCAGCACTTTGTGAGGCCATGGTGGACAAATAACTTGAGCCCAGGAGTCCAAGACCAGCCTGGCCAATATGGTGAAACCCCATCTCTACAAAAAATACAAAAATTAGCCAGGCGTGGTGGCATGTGCCTGTGCTTCCAGCTACTTGGGAAGCTGAGGTGGGAGGATCACTTGAGCCCAGGAGGTGGAGGCTGCAGTGTGCTGTGATCCCACCTCTGCACTCTAGCCTGGGTTACAGTGAGACTCTGTATCAAAAATAAAAAAATAAGATTTATTCATTTTGGGTCCTTCAGTACTGGGCAAATAATATGTGCTCAATATACATTGGTTAGTAACAGAACAGTCATATAGCCATGGAGTATTAATTGAGGTATATTATATGCAAGACACTGTGTTAGATGCTAGAGAAGATATTGAAAAATAAAATATAATGCTGCTTTCTATAATTAGAATCCCTAATGAACTATCATGCCAATTACACAAGGAGGGGGGATTTCTGTCTGTTTGGTTCACTGATGTTTCCCAACCCCCTAGAATAGTGCCTGACACATAGTTGGCCCTCAGTAAATATTTAATGAATGAAAGAATGCCTTCCACTTGGTAACAGTTTTAGCTTTCTCAATGATGCGTCCTGTTTTATATTATGCAATGAACAATGCGTTGCTTTGATTGCCACATCAGACATCCTCATTTACAAGGTAAACCCCTCTGAAAAAAGTGAGGGAGTTATTTTCAATGCTACCTTAACCAAATAGAAACAAATTAATTTCTTGTTTAAAGTTGCTTTTCAAAAGTTCTTGTTCGTTAGAAGGATGAATGGTACCTGAGGCCAAGGGAAGCTGGTTGCTTTTGAGCTCAAACACTTCCTATGAGAAGTGCAATTGTGTGTAAGGTCTGGTCTATCAGTGGCCACTGAAAATATGTGTTGAGCTGTTGATTGTTTTACCTCAATTTAGAGCATTAAATAGAAAATGTTTTCCTGATTGGAAGTCATTTCTGCTCTTTCTGGGTTGTTTGTAAGGACTTCATCACAAGGGTAGCTTTTATCTCCTCTTTCTTTAAATAATCTGGGAGGTTGCTGGAACCCTCAGTAAATTACTTCAAAGATAGGCTCTGTCATTGGAATAAATCCTGAAAGACCCATCGCAGGTAGCTCTGTAGGAATTTTTGATGGAAAAATGGAAAAATACCTTGGTGTCCTAGGACACTTTTGACTCTAAAGAGAGATGACCAGTGAATTACAAAATATAAATCTATTCCGAAACTCGGAATCTAAGGAAATTAAATTTAGCTGCAATTGAGAGCAGTTAAGGAGGGGAAAAAATAACAAATGTAGAAAACTCGTAGCCTATAAGTTTTATCTTTAAATGTTCTATCTGTTAGTATTCCTTATTAGGACTTATATTTTGGGGAAAATAAATTTTGTATTTGAATTCTTAGAAAAGAATATTCTTCCTAGTTCAAACTAGACAACAAAGATATCTTCATTTCACAGGGGTGATTTTCTGGAGGAAAAGAAAGGGGAAGGTAGTTAGGAGAATCAGGCAACTATGGGGCTGAAGAGGGGAGAGGAGGGCACAAGTGGGGAGAGGGCAGAAAGTAAAATGCTGGGGCACCTCAAGAAGAGAAGAGAACAGGCTTAGCTCAGCATCTTCTTACAAGTGCCTGCCATAGAAACTGCGGGAGCTTCACCAGCCTTCTTCTCATCCTTCATGACAGAAGGGGTCTGAGATTTTGGTGAGCAGGGAGGACATGAAGAGAAAAGATTCCACTGGAGTGATTAAGGTTGCCTACATGGCTGGTGAGTGCGTGAGGTTGTATTCCTGCCTTCCCAGTTATCTTTCCTTCCTGACTATCACTCTCGCAGCTTCTGCCTGCCACGGTTGTGGCTGTTGCATACATTAGGATGTCTACCCAGGAGGGCTATGCATCACCTTACAATCCTGAAGAGAATGGCTTACAGTTAAGCTGTCCTTGGGGGCTTTGCAGATTTAGCAATTCACCCTCCTGGAAAGTGTGACTGTATTAATATTGATGCCCTGGGAGAAGGGTTATTGTAAAAATGGAATTGTGGGAAAGTCACTTTTACTGCTTCAGCCCATCTGAATCCATGCACTAGAGGATGCATAGGTAGTTTTATTTTTTAGCATTGTTTCTTTGTGAGCCAAAGAAAGAAAGTTATGTTCCCTGAAGTGAGACCTTGATATTTCAAAGTAGAATCAATATGTTGCCTCCCTTCAGAGGAGAGAGAAGATGCTGCAATTGGTCTGGATTTTGCTAATCACCAGCCCAGTGGATTCACCTTTATCTCATTCTGTCTTGGTGAGGAAAGATGGTTGTGAGAAGAAAGCCCGACATTCTGTTTCACTAGCTAACCCCTCATCTTTCTTTTCCTCGTTAAACCACAAAGACCCCGACCTCCCAGCCCCTTGATAGGGGCTTTATATTGCCTACTGTGAACTCTAAGAGGTGGAGTTTGTTATCCCTATCTGATGACATGGGAACTCTTCATTTCTAGAGCTGATGAATAGGGAAGCTAGGATTTGAACCTGAGTTTTTCTTACTCAAGGGTCTGTACATTTAGCAAATAATCTTTCTTGTCTATTGGTTATTTTTTAATTTGCAATTAATTCAATCAAATGTTCTGCTTCTATATTAAACAAAGCAGCAGTTAGGATACAGCTGTAAAGGTTTACTATCTTTGTAGATAGTCTGTGGTAGAATACTTTCTTTGAGATGGGTGAGCAAAGAGGGCTGAGAGTGTAGATGTTGGAAGGATGATTAGAAAGTGTTTCCGTGAGAAGACTTGCCTATCGTTCCCTAGGAAAGATACGGACTGCTTCATGAGCCTGGTGGTCTCCATGTGAGCATGCGGTAGATTTGGTTTTCAAAGTGGAAGATACTGCTCTTTCTCATTAGAAACCCAGGTGTTTCAGGGTCATACCTGTGAGTACAGCATCATTCTACATTCTACCATGGCTTGCTCTGTTTCAGGAGCAGCTTTAGGTGGTGGAAGGAGCATGGCCTTGGAGCAGAATTTCTTATGTCCTACAGTGGGACCAACCCTGGGCAAGCACAGGAGCTGGCTGCCTCATCAAGGAAGGTCCACAGCTTGGGTGTGAACCTCAAGCAGGATTTGACCAGCTTTGTGCCTCAGCTTCCTCAACTGTAAAATGGGGATAATACTAACTGTTATATATAAACCCATGGGGATTTATATATAATAGGTGATAGGTGAGTGTATATGTAAGCATGCCTGCCCCGTGATTAGCTCTATAGAAGGGTTCAGTGTTTCTGTTATTTTTTCCCTGGGAAAACAAGAATGATAATGCCTTCCTCATGGGCAGGGTTGAGATTAATTGGTATACCTACAACATTAGTTGTAAACTAAGGCCAGTTTTGTCTTTAGGGGATCTTTGGCAATGTCTGAAAACATTTTTGATTGTTAAAACTTGGGATGAGGTGGTGCTACTGGTATCTAATAGGAGGAAGCCAAGGATGCTGCTAAATACCTTTTAATGCATAGTGTAGATCCCAAAACAAAGAGTAATCCAGTCTAAATGCCAATATTGTCGGTGTGCAATGCATAATGGTGCTTATGGTGCTTTTTATTTCCTCATCCTCTTCAATCTATATCACTGACTATCCTTTTCATCCATGTGCATTATTGTCAACAACCTCTACTTGATGCCCCCTTCTTCTCTGTTCCTTCCTTAAGGAATTCACCAGCTATTGGACTTTTGTGGGGATGTTGAAATAATAAGGCACCTTATCAAGTGACTTTTTTTAGTGGTCTCACTTTAGGGCTGTATTTAGAGCTGTGGGAGAAGATGGATGAGAGCAAGCTCTGGTTTGGGGCTCAGAGTACCAGAGCTTACGGTCATTTAACAATCAGTATGCCCATTGCTAAAATTCTGAGTTCACCAGGGCATGGGCTTTGCCAGGGCATGGGTTCCTGAGGGTTTGATTGAAATTTCTGAATACAAAACAAAACAAAACAAAACAGAATATTTGGCCAATGACAGGGAAGGGTGCTCTTTGCCTCTCTTCTCTCCTTGATGTAGACTCCAGCAGTTGGGAATAATTGGTGTAATGGGTGGGAGAAAGGAGATAATAGACATGAGGAGGATCATTTTAGAAACTGCGTTTGAAATCTACCTGGGAAAACTTCCATAGCTATGAGTCAATTCATTGCTTAGAGTTATGTAATTTATCTGAATTGTTATGACAACAGTTTTGGCTCCATATAAACATCCCCTAAAGCCTGAGAGTTAGGAGCGCTACACATTTTATGTTGATAAATGAAAATAGAAATGATCTTGAGCACTGTTGTGTTATCAAAAAACTTCTCAGCGGATGTCCTAGTAATTAGATGTGGGTTCAGAGGAGGCTTCACTGGAATAAAATATTCGAGCATTAATTGCCAAACTTTCACATGATGACTTGCATTTGTATGAAATGTAGTAACATCTTAATTTTTATTTTGATGTTTGACTGTTTTTTCCTTTTCTCAAACTCTTTAACTCTCTCTCTTATTCAGGAAATGCCACATTCATCTCATAGATGATTTATGGTTTTGGAATAAAAAATATAGGCAGGAAGGAATTTTTCCTAAAAGTAACCCAGTATTTTATTTTCAGGATTATAGAGTGTTATTGAATATGAATGCAATGTGCCTGTAACCTCATGGCACCCGCATTATATTAAAAAATGTGCATTTGATAAAGCCTCGGATATGAACCATGAGTCAGGGCAATTTTTCAAAGTCATTTTGCAGAGTCTTATGAAAGCAATAAATACCTAAGTATCAGATTACTAATTGGATCATGAAAAGTTTGTAATTGTGGACACATCACCAAAACTGTTTATTCAGCATCTCTCAGGGAAAAAAAAATCAGAGGATGATTTTACGTGAGATGTTTTCAAGTAAAATGCAAAAAAAAAACAAACAAACAAACAAACAAAAAAAAAACCCAGCAAAAAACAACAAAACAAAAGCAGAAAACAAGTGGAGAGAAAGTGCTGAAAAGTCCAATTCTGAGTCTTTTGTTGAGTAGTTTGCATTAGTCTCATTTAGGTTGCAGGAAGTGAGAGTGTCTTGTATTGTACAGGCTGTCGGACCTAAGATAAAATTTTGGTTCTGCCTTCTAATGCCTCTATGACCTTGGGCACTTTATTTAATCTCTGGTTTTAAAACTTTTTTCATATATAAAATAGACTAATAACACACCCTGTAGGGATTTTGTAATGATGGAGTGAGAAAATGCATGCAGACATCCTTGCACAAGTAACTGGAGCATAGTAGGTGTTGCTTGAGAAATTGTACAAATAGCATCTCTGGGGAAGGCAATGCGTGATTTATGCAATACTTACAAACATGACATTTTGAAATTATAATCCTCTTATTATTTAATTTTTAGGAATTTTTGGAATTGAAAGAGGTTGAAAGAAATTAGAATTATGACAAATTTTTAGTCACATCTGGTTCAGGTGAACACAGATACAGTACTATATTGTAGAGACCAAAGCTGTCCCAAGGAAACATGGAGGATGTGATAGCCAGACCTTCCGGTACTGTGGTCAGCTGACCAGAGTCACCATACAGGCAGGTGGAACTTTGTTGGACCTCCAGAAATGCTGACGGATAGAAATGACTCGAACCAGGAGATAATTTGCCCAAATATAGTACCATTACCCTTTTCTCTCCTTAATTCAAATCTAAAGAGGAAGAAGGAAAATTCTATAGGGCCTTTCAAATTTTTTGTTTATATTGGTCTTCAATACAAACTGAAAGTCAACCACTTTCAGGCCCTCTGTCACTTACTAGCTGTGGGATTTGGGACAAGGTACTTAATCTTTGTCAGTCTTAATTTTTCATCTATAAAGCGGTACTAATCAGAGTACCTGTTCCTACAAGCAATCATGAAGATTAACGGAGATAATGCATAAGAAGACTTTTGTAACTGTTAGCTCTTGCTGTTGCTATTACCTCTTCTCCTAGAATTATTTTCTGTTTGCCCTGGTTCTTCCAGTCAAGTTTTCCCTGGGAGGACTGTCTGAATGGCAGGTGAGTTTGTGAGCCTTTGACAACTGCTGCTCTAATGTCTTAGGTTCAGAAAGTCTGACAGTTGTAGTGATGACCTTGGAGTACGGTGAAAACAAAAATCTGAAACTGACAGGAGAAGAGGCATCTGTAATTACGCACCTTGTCTTTAAACTCTTGATTGCATCTATCTATCTATATATGCATACGTGAAAATATATTTATTTATAAAGTATAATTAGGTTATATATTTCCGGTGATTTTTTTTAACCCTTCTATGGTCTTCTCCATGGCCATCTTCACCATACTTCTTTCTGGAACAAAACTTTGTTGTGACACTTTCTAAGGAATTTTAAAAGTACATGTATTTTAACTTTTGCTTTACATTTTAAAACAGTCTCACAATGGAAATATTCACTATGATTTATAGCAAAATAAAAACTTCAGGAATTATAGATGCTCTCATCCTGGGATAACATTTGCTATTTGCTGGGAACGAATGTCAGCCATAAAAAATAGATGGGAGCTGCTTATTTAGTGTTTTCATTTGTTGTAGCAAATCTATCTGTCAGGTGAATTTGACAACAAGATGAGCATCCGTGGTTTGATTCATACAGGAAGAATAGGAGGAACTCTGTAGAGATTGAACTTCAGCCTGGTGTATAAGGGAAATACAGGTTAATAAGGAAATCCAAATAAACCACACAGCCACAAAACTTACAGGAGAAAAGGGACTGACACTTTAGCATTCAGCCGCTTCATAGTGACATGCATTTTAGAAGCTCTCCAGCTTTAAATTTGTACTACTAAGGGATTCCTCTTCCAACTTGGATTTTTAGATTACAAATTACTTTTATGTTACTCTGAAAGCTGAGTTCTTCATAGAGTTTCTTACATGAAAAGACTAGTATGGAGGGTATTTATTAATTTGTTCAAGAGAACTTCTTGAATATCTACTATGTTCTAAGTAAATGTTCAGGTCTGGGAGAGGAATGAGACACAAGCAGTACTTGCCCGAAGGGGTGAGGGATGGGAAATAGATAACTCATGTATAAACAAGCAGATGCAAAGAAATAACAGGGAACTCCAGAACTAATAGCTCGTGGGGCAAAGAGGAGCAAAGAGGAGGGAGTTTTCATTTCCACTTGTGGGTAAGCATTGTCTATATCAGAAAAGGCTTGTCCTGGTGTGGTGGCGCACGCCTGTAATCCCAACTCTTAGGGAGGCAGAGGCGGGAGGATAGCTTGAGCCCAGGAGTTCGAGACCTGTCTGGGCAATATAGCAAGACCCTATTCTCCATAAAAAGGAAAATAAAAGAGAAAAGAAAAGACTTCAGAGAAGATGAAGCTCAGATGAAGCTTGAAACATGAACAGGTACTTGTCAGTGTAAAATGAGACAGGTATTCCAGGAAAAATGCAATGGTGGAGTGAAGGCATAGGGGCGTGCAACCCATGAACCAAATATTAAGAGACACATCTGACTTCATTTGGGCACTTTGATCATGCACACCTGCTGTAAAAGGTTTAGAAACCATGTGAGCTTAAGATGACCTGAATTTTAAAATATGCTGAAAACAGGTAAGGACTGGCTTTTCTTGCCTTGCATGGTAAATCCTATTTACCCTTTTTGAAAATGTCTTTGGTTGGAAACACTCCATCAATCTCATGATGGCATTCTGGGGTGGAGGTGGGGTCTGGGACTATGACATTTATTAATTGTAAATCAATAATAAGATGTATGCATACAGATTTCAGATATATTAACATGTGATCGGATATCTATGTCTTAGAATTGAAGAAGGACAGTATTTTGAGTCCCTCAAATCTCTTACCCAAGTAGGATGCTACCCTGGAAGTTTGGTCAGTGGAGCTGGTTGTGAGTTTACTGAGTCATTCAAATAACAGGATCCATTTCTTACCAGCATCCCCGGCTTTATACCTTATGAGGTGTAACTGATGTCTACATCTTATCTCAGAACTTGAGGATCACCAGCAACTCTAGGTCTGCAACTACTGAGCACCTGCTTTGTGACAATCCAGGCAGGCACAGCCCTGCACATTTCCTTCATTGCTAATCTTCTCTGCCATGTTTTATAGATGAAAACTTGGAAAGGTTTAGCAATTTGTCGAAGCCCACACAGCTAGGAATTGGAAGGCCCATAGTTTGACTCCAGGATGGAAAACTGGTGTTCTTTCTGTCATCTAATGCTCACTCTCCAGTTTGCCTCTACCTACCCTGATGGTGCTATTCTGAGTAAGACTCCAATACTACAACTTAATATCTCACTTGGATTTTTTTCTTCTTTTTTTAGTTTTTAATTTTTGTGGGCACATAGTAGGTGTATATATTTATGGGGTACAGGGGATGTTTCAATATAGGCATGTAATGAATTTTAATCACATCACGGAGAATGGGATTTTCCAAAAAGAAAAACATTTATCCTTTTTGTTACAAATAATCCAATTGAATGCTTTTAGTTATTTAAAATGTGCAATTAGGTTATTATTGATTATAGTTACCTTGTTGTGCTATCGGCAATAGTAGGTCTTATTCATTCTTTCTAATTATTATTTTTTTGTACCTATTAACCATTAACCATTCCCACCTCGTCTCCAGCCCCCGACTACCCTTCCCAGCCTCTGGTAATCATCCTTCTACTCTCTACGTCCATGAGTTCAATTGTTTTGATTTTTAGATCTCACAAATAAATGAGAACATACAATGTCAATATCTCACTTGTACTTAGCAGTGAAGACAGGTTGAAGATGATCAACTTTTTCAAAAAGAGTATTTTCACCAGTAGCAAACCAGTGTAACAAACCTGGCAAAGATGAGATTCACAAAGTACCTTTATTTCAATGCTTTAATTAGGTGCAATTCCAAATACTACAAGGTGCATTGTGTTAAAATCGAATTAAAGACAGCTACAAGGGCAAAAAACTGTGTTTGCTTTTGTATTTTGGTGAAGCAGAACTAAGAAGCTGGTAACGATTAAATAATATCTGGAAAAATGTTAACTTTCAATAACCTAATGGTTGCCTTCCTGAGTTTGCATGTAAAATCATACGTGTTTTCTCTCACTATCTTGCTCTCTCACTCTCTCTACCTCTCAGTGGCAAGTGGATGGTGTCCTATCTAAAGGGGATGAGGGGTTCAGCTTCCTACACCATTTGCACTGGTGGAATCTACAGTTTAATTTTTGTTTACTCATTTCCATGGATCCTTCCTCTATAGGGTCAGGAATCTGTTCGCCTACTGAGCTGAGCTTGGGCTTTCACTCCAGATTCATAGACAGAATCACTATAGAGACCTAGCCAGCTGAAGGCTGTTCCCATTTCTTCACGCAGTCATTGGTTTCTAGGGGTGAGGAGGGCATGAAATCTAACAAATCACTGAGTGCAGTGAGGACAGTGGCTCCTCCTTGTCTGCAATCCCTGAATCTCCATCCTAACACTTGCTGTGTGCAAACTCTCCCCTCCATCCCACAGCTTCTGCCTTCAACAGGTCTTCATTACATCTTGCCCAGGCTATGGTGACTGCCACTGAGTGGTTCTTCTTTCAGCCCTGCCTCCACTTTGATCTTGTCATTCCCTGCTTAAAGTCCTTTAGAGACTCTCTGCTGCTTGTAGGCCAAACTTCCAACAAAGCCAGTAAGACCCTGTATGATCTGGCACATGATGGTCTTTTCAGTCACAGTCCTGGAAACTGTGCCTGGGAACCTCCTACTCTGGAGTTGCCAGAATACTTAGAATTTCCCTAACCTACTGGTTATGCTACACAGTCACACCTTTCTCTTTTTTCCCTTTCCATATAATTGGTGAACATCATGGATTTTTCAACATAGATATCAAGCCTTACCTATTCTGAGAAGTTTCCCCTGATCCCATCAGGGAAACTGATCACTGCCTGCCCTTGGCTCAGAAGCATGGGGTTTGGGATCACGATATATAGAAGAAAGACAATTCTATGGGACTGAATGTTTGTATCCCTCCAAATTCACATGTGAAAGTCCTAATACCCAGTGTGATAGTATTTGGAGGTGGGGCCTTTGGGAGGTAAGTAGATAATGAGGATGGAGTTTTCATGATGGGATGAGTGACCTTATGAAGGAGACATGAGAGAGATGATCCCTCTCTCAACCACTGAGGACACAGCAAGAAGGCAAACTGTTGGCAAACCAGAAAGTGAATCTCCGCCAGGAACGTTATTGGCTGACATCTTGATATTGAACTTCCCAGCCTCCAGAACTGTGAGAAGCAAATGTTAGCAAATGTTTGTTGCTTAAACTGCCTTGTCTATGGTATTTATTATAGCATCCTGGGATGACTGAGATAGACAGGATTTAAAACATCTCTGAAAGAACTTTGGGCATAGTGAGAGGTACATGAGTAAACTAGAATCAAATAGATCAGAATCTAAATGCGTTTTTGAAGAAATTTTATTTCCAACAAAATTGTGTAATCCTGGAAAATACAAAACAAAATGAAAACAATCTCCTTCCCCCAGTTAAAGACCACTTTGCATGTTTGATCTCTAGGACACTACATTTGGTGCAGCAAGAAGGATGGGGAAGTGGACCAGTTCCCAAGGAAGACATACCTCCTTAACCCTTTTCAGATATAACAAGGAGAATAGTGGGAGATGGACAGAAGTATTCCTATCACAAGACAATATCAAAGCCTAGTCAAGGAACTGCCCTGCCCTGTGAGTCAGCTGGGTCTTATAACTGGGTCAGTAACTTCTGTGTGCCCTCCATTCTTTTATGTTCAGACTAGGAATTTTTATTGTCATTTTCCTGACCCTGGTCCACCATTGCTTATTAAGTGTGCATGTATCTGTGGAGGGCAAGTGACTCTCCACCGTAAGAAGCCACACAGCATCTGGAGAGCCTGCGCCTGGGCTGGATACAGGGCCTGCCTGAGTCTTTGCATTGTCTCCAGCAGGAGGGAGTGAGCATGCTTCAAGGTGCTCAGAGGGTTGGACCACGAGAGATATAGTGCCTGAATCTCATCAAGCCCCTCTTCTTTCTTTTCCTGGTCATCCAGTAAGACATTTCCTAGCCCCTGTCAACAAATACCTGAAGTTAGGTGCAACTTTGGGATCAAACTCTGGCCTTTGGAATGTGGGTGGAAGTGGCTGGCCTTTCAGAGCTGGCCCTAAAACTCCTTCTCACGGGAGCCTCCACACTTTTTTTCATCCCCATCTTTCAACTGGATTTTGATACCTAGGGCCACTTTGAGGACTAAGCATAATGAAACATAGACACCTCCAGCTTAGGACTGTGAGCAATGAGCTTTGGTTATATTTGACCTCTGAGATTTGTTTTTGTTTTTGTTGTTATAGTAATTAGCCTACCCTGAACAACTTGAGTCTAACTCATATTTACAACTTGAGCACTAAGCACTCCTGGAACATAGGAGGTGCTCAATATATATTCTTTGAGTTAATGAATAAAGTTATCTGCTGAATTTAAAATAAGAAGAATTTCATGCTTATCTGTTACATCACACAAGCTGAGCAAAGTACCCTAGGGAAATAGGGACTATATTGTTTTAGCCCTCAAATAGTTAAAAACTTTTTTTAAAAAAAGTTATAATTCACTTTGTTCCTGAACAGTTTCAAAGCATCTTACATTAAAGGCAAATGTAATAGAGTGAAATTCAATATCAATAAGAACCAAGAATCGGGATCAGGGAAACAGAAGTTTTAATGGGCAGCCAAGATCAAGAAGAAAGCATGAGACTAAGAGCAGGCTGTACCACCCCACCTGCCTCCTGGAGGTGGGCATCTGAGCCTTCTGGAAGCAAATGTGGAAGACAGACATGGCTGAAAATCTCTTTTTTATCATAAGAGAGGAAAACGCTATGCACACTGCGATGCATAGTAGCCATTTTTTTAATACCAAAAACTCCCTTTGAACATGAAACTGAGACCATTCCACTATTAACAATTAACAATTCAAGTCATATATTAGAATTGGAAAGGACATTAGCATTCCTTTTTTTTCCAAGTTGAAGTTTTATTTAAAATGTAACAAAAATGGTTCTTTAAAATGTAAGTGAAATACCACAAGTTGAGGTGCACTTGAATCTAACTCAAAATTGTCAGCTAATTATCCTACACTGTGTACCTTAAGGGAAGGAAAAAGCGACTTTTCATTGATACTTCCTCAGTGCCTAGTACATAGTAAGCACTCAATAAGTATATGTTGGATGAACATTGTAGTTACCATCAGGTTAAATTTCAATTGAATTAGAGTTGGTTACTTTTTATAGATTGGACCTTATTAAAGTTACTTTCAATAGGCCTTATGTAATAGACCTCATTGATTTTAATAAAATGTGCATCGATTAAGGCAAAATGTCAGTTTTCTGCCCTGAACACAATCTCCCACAGTCATTAAACAACATTATAATTTTATTAAATCAATTCTATTCATTCACTTTAATTAAGAATAGCTTACTATTTGATCTCTTTTTATTCTGAAGGGCACTTGATCAAGACGTAGCAAAGAGTTAATCACTTTACTCCAATTCATTCTTCGGATCCTTAAAACACAAAGAACAAAAAACAAAACCTGAAATTATGTTGTTTTGATGGTCATACCCAAAGGCAAAGTAGAATATATCAATCAGTTCACCTTAATTTATGATTTGGGGGTGAAAAGAACAAGTTTTGAAAAGTTACTTCTTTTAAGCCATTTTTTTTGTCTAGAGTCAGATTCTGAAGGCAAAGTTATAAAGCAGACGAGGTTGGTCCTTGGAACTCCTTCTTTTCCCACGGTTTTAATCCCTTTTTACACTTCTTTTTGCTTTTCACCAGTATTAAATTCAGTTTTTTCACATGAGAGGATATATGTAAACAAGCATCCCTCAAGATGCTAATGACACATAAAGTTTCATGCGGCCTTTCATCCAAAGGTTTTTGTAGTTTAATAGAAGAAAATGCCTGGTTCTTGAACAGTGATCCAATTCTTAACTCTACACCAGATAGTGCTGCCTGACCCACTGGCACTGCACACCTGAGACAGGTTAAAACAAAAAGCCTAATGGGACTGAGCCCTGCCTCTTGTCACTGCTGTGTATCTGATAGCAGCAAGTGTTGTGCCTGCAGGCTTGTCTCAAAGAGTGATGATAATCAAAGCATATTGTAACTAATTGATACGGTTTGGCTGGGTCCCCACCCAAATCTCATCTTGAATTGTAATCCCCATAATCCCCACGTGTCTACGGAGATAACAGGTAGGAGGTGATTAGATCGTGGAGGCAGTTGCCCCCATGCTGTCCTCATAATAGTGAGTGAGTTCTCATGAGATCTGATGATTTTATAAACATCTGGCATTTCCCCTGCTTGCACTTCTCTTTCCTGCCACTATGTGAAGAAGGTCCTTGCTTCCCCTTCTTCTGCCATGATTGATTGTAAGTTTCCTGAGGCCTCACCGGCCATGTGGAACTGTGAGCCCATTAATCATCTTTCCTTTATAAATTACCCAGTCTCTGGTATTTCTTTACAGCAGTGTGAAAACGAATTAATACAGTAATTAACTAATTTTGATGAACTGTTTACTTTTGTAAATATTCCATTATAAAATAGGTGACCTTGTGAAGAATTCTATACACAAAGGAGAAAGAGATATGTATAAATCCTCCAGATACAATGAACTTAGTTTCAGTCCCATCCAGTTCTCTTATTTCACATGCAAACTGATCCTTATTTATTTTATTTTATTTTTTATTTTTTGTTTTTGAGACAGAGTCTCTCTGTATCATCCAGGGTGGAGTGCAATGGCATGATCTTGGCTCACTGGAACCTGTGCCTCCTGGGTTCAAGCAATTCTCCTGTCTCAGCCTCCAGAGTAGCTGAGATTACAGGCACCCGCTACCACGCCCAGTTAATTTTTGTTGTCTTAGTAGAGACAGGATTGGCTTCTGTGCACACTGGACAGTGAGCCCATTGATTGCTTGGTAACATCAGGAGTATCCCAAAGAGGAGAGATGAGACCAGGGCTCACAAAGGACAAGTACAGGTAAGGGACAACTGCTAGAAGGCACTGCCTGCCCCAGCCAGCCCCAGGAACTGTAGGAGGATGTAGAAATACTCAAGGAAAATGGCATGACAAAGTGTGGGGTCCCTGCAGAGCCAGGTCTGGGGCAGGGGCCCTGCCCTTGCTTGAATCCAAGGGTGGTGCTGGACCTGGGCTTGGTCTCCTGTCTGCCTCTCGCTAGGTGTGGAACCCAGGTAAGTCTCTACCTCTCTGGGCCTAATTTTCCTCTTCCCTAAGATAAAGATAATGACCTCTCAGGGTTGTTGTAGAGAGTGAATAAGATATTTATTGAAGCCTTGTGATATGCATTGGAGAAAGCCCAGTGAATGAGGCACGTAAAACTTGCTTTTGTAAAATTAATAATATGTCCATGAAAATCCTGTATGCTATGAAGCCAGAAGTGTGCAGAGCAGATAATTTGCTCTCAGTAAATAAATGTAACATTACATCGTTGCTGGCCCACACCAAGATCTTCACCCCAGGGCATGTTCCAAGCCCACCCAGTTTCTCTTTGAAGCTTCAGTGTGAGTCCATAGCTTCTTTTGTACTTTACAGGATGGGAGCGAAAGAATATGGTCCAAGTGAGAAGGGGTTCTGTTTGCCTAGCTTAATCCAAGAATGACTTTGAGAGCATCTAGATGAGAGGAACAAAAAGACTATAAGGCCCTCAGGCAATCCTTCTTAAATCTGTCTTTTTTCCATCTGAGACTTTGAGGGTGATCAGGCAGCAGTGAGTTCAAGGTTTTACTTACTGGTGAGGGCTGTTCCTTGCAACTGCAAGGATAAATGAAGATATCCCTGCTGAAACAGCGTCAGGAGACGGGGGGAGTAAAACCATAGGATGAGTATGTACTCTACAACAATACATATGGTAGCTTCGTGTTCAATGAGGAATCCTCCTGGTGCCTTTAAAATAAATTCTACTGATCTTAACTCATCTACTTGATGAGTTATTTTTCTAGAATGCAACAATTTCTAAAGGCAATACACAATTTCATTATTCTTTCCAGCCTGTTTTCCAGCTTTCCAATAATTTTGGAAACTGAAAAATATTTTGAAAAAATTGCTTTCCAGATATGCTTCTAAAAATCTGCGTGAATGCCAGAGATACTGTTTTTCCTTTGAACAAGTGCCTGCCATATATCCATATGTGATGGAACACAATAATTAAAGGATAACTGAATCATAATGGGGGGTTTGCTTTATTTTCTTCTCAGTAGGAATTTTGTCTGAAATTCACTTCCTTTCATGTTTAAATGAATACATCACGTGAATTTTTGTGGAATAACTAAGGGGGAAACCAATTATATTTGCTGCAGCTATTTTTTCCTTATCCCACAATAAAGCATTGTCTCCAAGTAGAGAGTGTAAAATTGACATTTGTAGAATAAGTTTAAGTAGAGATGCCGGCTGATGTGTGATCAACACTCCAGTAAGAGTATAAGTGCTGTAGTTTGAATATTTGTGCCCTCCAAAGCTCATGCTGAAACTTAATCCCCAATGTGGCACTATCGAGAGGTAGAGTGTTTAAGAGGTGATTGGGTCATGAGTAATTATGGGGGTGGAACTGGTGGCTTTCTGAGAAGAGGAAGAGAAACCTGAGCTAGCACGTCAGCATGCTTGGCTCCCTCTCCATGATATACCCTGAAACACCTCAGGACTCTGCAGAAGATCCCCATTGACAAGAAGCCTCTCACCAGATGTGGCCCCTGGACCTTGAGCTTCTTAGTCTCCATAACTTAATACATAAATTCCTTTTCTTTACAAAGTATTCAGTTTTAGGTATTCTGTCATCAGCAAGAGAAAACAGACTAAGCAAATGAGGCTGTTATCTGACAAGTTTTCTTTAACTCTTTGAAGACAGTGCTGAAGGCTGGTGATTGTTTTGGTTTGAATTGTGTTCCCCTAAAATTCATACATGAAGACATAGGGAGAAGATGGTCATCTACAACACCAAGACTACTGACACCTTGATTTTGAACTTCAAACTTCCAGGACTGTGAGAAAATAAGCCTCTGTTTTTTTAAGGCAGCCAGGCTGTGACACTTTGTTATGGAAGCCCAAGCTGACTAATCAGTACTTTACAGTCATACAACACAGAGTTGATAGATCCATTGAGAGATACAAATGTATTTGGGAATTTGACTTCCATGACATTTTGGCAGAATTGCAAGAATCTGTTTCTTTCTGAGTGTATTTCTGCAACAACAACAACAAGAACAACGGTAATCTCAATAGCAACCACAGCGTCTACCACCTATTACACATTTACCAGGCATTGTACTCTGGGATTTCCGTCCATACCAGAGGAATGTCACAAAGCCTCTCAACATATCAGTGGTGCAAAACAATGCATGTTTATTTCTTGCTAATGCGTTGCCTGAGTGGGCACTCTTGGCTGGGAGGTTTCCTTTCTAGAAGTGAGTCAAAGGACCGATATGTTCCTTCCTCCTTAGGATTCTGTCCTGACAGAACCCACTACATCCAATTACTGGGGCTTGGGGGTGGAGGAGAGAAGGAGAGTATTGTGTTGCTTATAGAAGGGTTTCATGGTTCTGGTTTGGAAGTGGAGTCATCACTAGACACCCACCTTCCATGGACCAGAACTAGAGACAAGGGAGCCTGGAAAGTGTAGTCTCTGGAGAGAGGATGAGCAAACTGAGGAACAGCAAACCTGCTTTTGATACAATCCCTAAAGTTTTCTTTCTCTCCAGGTCTTATGCTTTAATAATAATTTGTTAAAGCTGAATCTTATTATTCCCCTTTTACAAATGAAATGAAAGTGAGGGTCAGAGAGAGCAAGCAGTGTCTGAGGCGATGTTTCTGGTATGTGATGGAGATAAAAGTAAAATTGTGACCCAAGTGTCTCCCAAACCTGTGTTCTTTTTATTACACCGGCATCTAACCAAATGAATTTGATAGAATATGAATTCCAAGAGATTCTTTAACAAAAGAAAAGTTTTGTGGTCAAGTACAATTAAAATACATCGCACACTACAGGCCCCCTCTTGGATATTCAACATGGGCTTTGATACGTTAAAGTATCTGAGAACCCAGACCCAGACCCACCTAGCTCATCCGTTGGACCTCCTGGTCATAACCATGATCGGGTAACTGGTGAGTTGCTTTACAGTATAGCAGCGGCTGCCAGGACCGTGTTCCAGCACCACGACTAGCGTCTATTTTGGTTGATCGTTCACAATGTCATTAGCTTCTAGAAGCCCCACTTCCTGGGCAACATTATTGGCTTACCTGAGATCCTGATGGGCTGCTTTGAACCCTGCCCATATTATTGTCCAGATTAATCAAGACATGGTGGACAGCACCTGGGAATAATTCTGGCATCTGCCACCCAATCTAGTGGAGCCCCAGACCAGAGGAATTTCAACCCTGGTGAGAGAGGAGGCCTCCTTGGTGGTTTCACCGGTCCCCCAGTGGGAAATGCCACATGAGCACTTGCATCTGTGACTGCTCCCTGTTGCCTATTATTTCCCTAAAGTTGCCCTCACACAGCTATTTTTAGTACAAAGGCTTTATTACCAAGCCAAAGATGTTGGCTCTGAGTGATCCAAGAATGGACAACCAAGTGAGTGGGTAGTCAGGGAGGCCTGTTCAGGAGCCAATTAGGCATCGTGAGCTCCACCAGCATGCCACGGAAGCACTTCTGGGATAGGACATGAAGAAGAGCTGTGCCGGGGGATGGTTTGGGGTGAGGGATGCCAAGACTTTAGGTCTCTCTTTTAAGCAATCCTGTTGAAGTTCATCTCCATGGAATGGGAAAAATTCATCAAAAGCCACCAAAAGCTGACTTATTACAGATATTAAAAGCATTAGATTTATTAATAAAATGAGCATTAACACTGATATATCACTTGCTCTATGCCAGGCACTTTTTGAGATGCATAATTAACTAGGTTGAATATCACAAATATCATCATTATCTTCTTTTACAGGTGAAAAAAACTGAGGTGGAGAAAAGTTATTTAAGATTTAATTATAGAGCCAGGGTTTGGCCGCAGGCTGCTGACCATAAATTGCCAACAACCTCACTGCCTCTCAGCAAATAAGATAAGGTTTGACTTAATATCTATGACATTCCAGTAAATGATTGTTACAACTTAAGCAACAGTAAAAATATCAAATATATATATATACATATATCTAAGACACTTTAATATTAAATTTTAGCCTTTTTGATAAATTGGGCTATTGCTGTTGCCCAATTATTATTGGTTATGTAGAAACTGAGAGGGTTCAATAGGAGAATGAATATTGTCAGTTTTAAGAGGAAATCTTTACAGCTTAAGATAAAATGTGACCTAATAGCTATTGATTAAATGGGAAAGTCACTAAAATAGTTTGAGGTGATTTCCTCCATGTCAAAATATGGCTCAGACAACAAGTATCAGTCATGCTACAAAAGATTGCACCAATAGAACCAACATTTTGGAGGTTTTTAGGACAATAAATGATTTATGCTACAACTTGTAAAACTTAATAACTAGTTTTACAGTTTAGCTTATTTAGGGTGTGTGTGTGTGTGTGTGTGTGTGTGTACTTTAGGGGTATTTACTGTACCATTTGTTATATATTTTGAATATATACCTATGAATGTCAAATCTCACAAAAGTAGCTCTGGGTGGTCCATGAATTGACAATTATACTTTCATATCATCTGATGTATTAAGTTGAATAGTGCTCCCCTTCTCCCAAACATTCATATTCATCTGAAGCCTCAGAGTATTGGGAAATAGAGTCTTTGCAGATGTAATTAGTTTAGATGACATCATACTGGTTGAAGGTGGGCTCTAAATCCAATGACTACTGTCTTTATAAGAGAAATTCAGAAACAGAGACCTGCAGACATACAGAAAGTAGAGTATTATATGAAGATGGAGGCAGAAATTGGAGTGATGCTACCTTGAGCCAAGGAATGCCAAGGATTGCTAGCAACCACCCACAAGAAGGTAGAAGAGGCAAGGAAGGAATCTCACTAGAGGCTTTGGAGGTAGCAGGCCCTGCTGACAGCTTGATTTTGGACTTAGCTTCTGAAACTGTGAGGGAATACATTTTTGTTTTAAGCTATCCATTTGTGATAATTTCCATGGCAGCCCTAGGAAACTAATCTGTCTGCCTCTGCACATCCTACTCATTGTTCCAGTCAAATTCAATTTCTGTCTCTTTTGGGAAGCCTTCTTCCTCCACACATTTAGATATCCCTTTTCTCTAAACCCTGAGAGGGCTTATTGTCTTGAGAATTCCTACTCTTCCTTCAAGATTAGTGCAGACATTGCCTTTCCTGAATATTGTCAATACCTTAATAAGCATGGAGCTTTTGCTTTATGCTCCTGTAGCTCCCAGGTTTTTACCTTTATTATTATACTCATCAGGTTATTTTCATTGTTTATTTACCTGTGAGTCATCTGAATATAGAGATTATGTCTTTCATTTGTGTCTAATGTTATAGATCCTCAAGTGTGTGCTTATTGAATGATATGCATGAAGAAGCCTGGGAGACAAGGAACTTTGCTCAATTGCATTTGGCAATGGCCTAGTGATTCTTATCTTGAATTCCTTTAGACCCTGCCTTTATTTTCTCAGAGCTTGTGGACTTACAAGAAGTGTATACTTAATGTAATAAATGATTATAACCCTGGGTCTTTTAATACCTGAAGCATCTTCAGAGAAGTTGAAAATGTATTGGAGATGCTTACAACATCCCTGTGATTTTCTGGCATATTAACCCCTATCATTTTCGTCTGCTTCCTTTAACACCTTTCCCTTAGAGTTTAGTTCTCTCATGAGTTTAAATTGTAAAGTCATTACTAAAATTGCATTAAATAATGTTTTAGAGAGAACATTCATTGTTCCTTATTCCACTATACCTAAACCTCATGATTTTACTTTCATAATTTTTGGTTGCTCTTTTCATATCCATGCTTAATCTTTATAACTTTAATCACAGTGTAACTATAGTCTTGTTTTGTGTTTACAGTGCATGAATGTTGCTGTTTCCTGCCCCTTTTCTGGCAGAAAATCCAATCCTCAGTCTGTTTTGTCAGTCCACTCCTCTTTCACTCTCAGTCCCTGTGGCTCTGCCGGGATGACTCCAGCCCTAGCTCTTGGTGTGGACATATAGCCCACACTTTCTGGATTTCTGAGCAAAGAAATAGACAATATGGTTGGAATATGTTTGTCCTGATATTGGCTCTCAAGTAAACTATCCATTCATTCCCACAACCTAGATTTATTAATCCATGTATACCACAAATATCTACTGAGCACCTACTATGTAGGTTTGGATTCGGGAATGTAAGTTGAACAAATGGAAAATCTATACTCTCATGAAACTTACAATAATTGAGGTGTGGGGAGGAAAGAGACCAAAAAAACCCCAATAAGTGGACATATTATTTCAGATAGTGATGAAGTGCCATGAATACAATAAACATGCGATGTGCTATGAAGAAAACAGAACATGGAGCTGTGGAAGTTAGTATCTGGTGTATGAGTGGGAGAAGCTAATTTAGACTAGGTGGTCAAGAAAGACATTTCTTGGGGGACAATATTAAAGCTGAGACTATGATGAAACAATAATGATGAAAAGAGCCAATCAAGCAAAGATGGGGGAAAAGCAAGAGCGAAGGACCTAAAATGAGAAGAAAATGAGCATATCTGAGGAAAAGAAGAAGGTAGGTAGTGGTAGGAGACCAACTCAGAGTAGAACGTGAGGTTTAACTCATGAGAGGGCCTGTCTGCTTTGTAAAGAGGTTGGATTTTATTCCAAGTGCAAAGCAATAGGGAGCAGCTGGGAAATTATAAGCAAGGGAACAATATGAATTGAATTATGATAAAAATAATTTTTATGTGACTGTTGGATTGGGAGAGGGCAAGTGTAGGAGCAGTGAGGGCAGGTAGGAGGTTATTGCAGTAGTGAAGATGGTAGATGGCATTGGCTTAGAGGAAGGGGTGGCAACAGAGCTGGTGAGGAGTAGATTCAGGGTATGGTTTTGAATTAAAATTTATAGATGAATTGGCTATGGTGGCAGAGGAAGAGAGGGATCAATAAAATTAAAGCTTGAGAATACCCTTGGCTGATGGTGACATGTTCTTTTTTTTTTTTTTTTTTATACTTTAAGTTCTAGGGTACATGTGCACATTGTGCAGGTTAGTTACATATGTATACATGTGCCATGCTGGTGCGCTGCACCCACTAACTCGTCATCTAGCATTAGGTATATCTCCCAATGCTATCCCTCCCCCCTCCCCCCACCCCACCACAGTCCCCAGAGTGTGATATTCCCCTTCCTGTGTCCATGTGGTCTCATTGTTCAATTCCCACCTATGAGTGAGAATATGTGGTGTTTGGTTTTTTGTTCTTGCGATAGTTTACTGAGAATGATGATTTCCAATTTCATCCATGTCCCTACAAAGGACATGAACTCATCATTTTTTATGGCTGCAGAGTATTCCATGCTGTATATGTGCCACATTTTCTTAATCCAGTCTGTCATTGTTGGACATTTGGGTTGGTTCCAAGTCTTTGCTATTGTGAATAATGCTGCAATAAACATACGTGTTCATGTGTCTTTATAGCAGCATGATTTATAGTCCTTTGGGTATATACCCAGTAATGGGATGGCTGGGTCAAATGGTATTTCTAGTTCTAGATCCCTGAGGAATCGCCACACTGACTTCCACAATGGTTGAACTAGTTTACAGTCCCACCAACAGTGTAAAAGTGTTCCTATTTCTCCACATCCTCTCCAGCACCTGTTGTTTCCTGACTTTTGAATGATTGCCATTCTAACTGGTGTGAGATGGTATCTCATTATGGTTTTGATTTGCATTTCTCTGATGGCCAGTGATGATGAGCATTTTTTCATGTGTTTTTTGGCTGCATAAATGTCTTCTTTTGAGAAGTGTCTGTTCATGTCCTTCGCCCACTTTTTGATGGGGTTGTTTGTTTTTTTCTTGTAAATTTGTTTGAGTTCATTGTAGATTCTGGATATTAGCCCTTTGTCAGATGAGTAGGTTGTGAAAATTTTCTCCCATTTTGTAGGTTGCCTGTTCACTCTGATAGTAGTTTCTTTTGCTGTGCAGAAGCTCTTTAGTTTAATTAGATCCCATTTGTCAATTTTGTCTTTTGTTGCCATTGCTTTTGGTGTTTTAGACATGAAGTCCTTGCCCATGCCTATGTCCTGAATGGTAATGCCTAGGTTTTCTTCTAGGGTTTTTATGGTTTTAGGTCTAACGTTTAAGTCTTTAATCCATCTTGAATTGATTTTTGTATAAGGTGTAAGGAAGGGATCCAGTTTCAGCTTTCTACATATGGCTAGCCAGTTTTCCCAGCACCATTTATTAAATAGGGAATCCTTTCCCCATGGCTTGTTTTTCTCAGGTTTGTCAAAGATCAGATAGTTGTAGATATGCGGCATTATTTCTGAGGGCTCTGTTCTGTTCCATTGATCTATATCTCTGTTTTGGTACCAGTACCATGCTGTTTTGGTTACTGTAGCTTTGTAGTATAGTTTGAAGTCAGGTAGCGTGATGCCTCCAGCTTTGTTCTTTTGGCTTAGGATTGCCTTGGTGATGCGGGCTCTTTTTTGGTTCCATATGAACTTTAAAGTAGTTTTTTCCAATTCTGTGAAGAAAGTCATGGGTAGCTTGATGGGGATGGCATTGAATCTGTAAATTACCTTGGGCAGTATGGCCATTTTCACGATATTGATTCTTCCTACCCATGAGCATGGAGTGTTCTTCCATTTGTTTGTATCCTCTTTTATTTCCTTGAGCAGTCGTTTGTAGTTCTCCTTGAAGAGGTCCTTCACATCCCTTGTAAGTTGGATTCCTAGGTATTTTATTCTCTTTGAAGCAATTGTGAATGGGAGTTCACTCATGATTTGGCTCTCTGTTTGTCTGTTATTGGTGTATAAGAATGCTTGTGATTTTTGTACATTGATTTTGTATCCTGAGACTTTGCTGAAGTTGCTTATCAGCTTAAGGAGATTTTGGGCTGAGACAATGGGGTTTTCTAGATATACAATCATGTCGTCTGCAAACAGGGACAATTTGACTTACTCTTTTCCTAATTGAATACCCTTTATTTCTTTCTCCTGCCTAATTGCCCTGGCCAGAACTTCCAACACTATGTTGAATAGGAGTGGTGAGAGAGGGCATCCCTGTCTGGTGCCAGTTTTCAAAGGGAATGCTTCCAGTTTTTGCCCATTCAGTATGATATTGGCTGTGGGTTTGTCATAGATAGTTCTTATTATTTTGAAATACGTCCCATCAATACCTAATTTATTGAGAGTTTTTAGCATGAAGGGTTGTTGAATTTTGTCAAAGGCTTTTTCTGCATCTATTGAGATAATCATGTGGTTTTTGTCTTTGGCTCTGTTTATATGCTGGATTACATTTATTGATTTGCGTATATTGAACCAGCCTTGCATCCCAGGGATGAAGCCCACTTGATCATGGTGGATAAGCTTTTTGATGTGCTGCTGGATTCGTTTTGCCAGTATTTTATTGAGGATTTTTGCATCAATGTTCATCAAGGATATTGGTCTAAAATTCTCTTTTTTGTTGTGTCTCTGCCCGGCTTTGGTATCAGAATGATGCTGGCCTCATAAAATGAGTTAGGGAGGATTCCCTCTTTTTCTATTGATTGGAATAGTTTCAGAAGGAATGGTACCAGTTCCTCCTTGTATCTCTGATAGAATTCGTCTGTGAATCCATCTGGTCCTGTACTCTTTTTGGTTGGTAAACTATTGATTTTTTTTTTTTTTTTTTTTTTTTTTTTTGAGACGGAGTCTCGCTCTGTCGCCCAGGCTGGAGTGCAGTGGCGGGATCTCGGCTCACTGCAAGCTCTGCCTCCCGGGTTCACGCCATTCTCCTGCCTCAGCCTCCCAAGTAGCTGGGACTACAGGCGCCCGCCACTACGCCCGGCTAATTTTTTGTATTTTTAGTAGAGACGGGGTTTCACCGTTTTAGCCGGGATGGCCTCGATCTCCTGACCTCGTGATCCGCCTGCCTCGGCCTCCCAAAGTGCTGGGATTACAGGCGTGAGCCACCGCGCCCGGCAAACTATTGATTATTGCCACAATTTCAGCTCCTGTTATTGGTCTATTCAGAGATTCAACTTCTTCCTGGTTTAGTCTTGGGAGAGTGTATGTCGAGGAATTTATCCATTTCTTCTAGATTTTCTAGTTTATTATTTGCGTAGAGGTGTTTGTAGTATTCTCTGATGGTAGTTTGTATTTCTGTGGGATCGGTGGTGATATCCCCTTTATCATTTTTTATTGCGTCTATTTGATTCTTCTCTTTTCTTCTTTATTAGTCTTGCTAGCAGTCTATCAATTTTGTTGATCCTTTCAAAAAAACAGCTCCTGGATTCATTAATTTTTTGAAGGGTTTTTTGTGTCTCTATTTCCTTCAGTTCTGCTCTGATTTTAGTTATTTCTTGCCTTCTGCTAACTTTTGAATGTGTTTGCTCTTGCTTTTCTAATTCTTTTAATTGTGATGTTAGGGTGTCAATTTTGGATCTTTCCTGCTTTCTCTTGTGGGCATTTAGTGCTATAAATTTCCCTCTACACACTGCTTTGAATGCGTCCCAGAGATTCTGGTATGTTGTGTCTTTGTTCTCGTTGGTTTCAAAGAACATCTTTATTTCTGCCTTCATTTCGTTATGTATCCAGTAGTCATTCAGGAACAGGTTGTTCAGTTTCCATGTAGTTGAGCGGTTTTGAGTGAGATTCTTAATCCTGAGTTCTAGTTTGATTGCACTGTGGTCTGAGAGATAGTTTGTTATAATCTCTGTTCTTTTACATTTGCTGAGGAGAGCTTTACTTCCAAGTATGTGGTCAATTTTGGAATAGGTGTGGTGTGGCGCTGAAAAAAATGTATATTCTGTTGATTTGGGGTGGAGAGTTCTGTAGATGTCTATTAGGTCCGCTTGGCGCAGAGCTGAGTTCAATTCCTGGGTATCCTTGTTGACTTTCTGTCTCGTTGATCTGTCTAATGTTGACAGTGGGGTGTTAAAGTCTCCCATTATTAATGTGTGGGAGTCTAAGTCTCTTTGTAGGTTATTCAGGACTTGCTTTATGAATCTGGGTGCTCCTGTATTGGGTGCATATATATTTAGGATAGTTAGCTGTTCTTGTTGAATTGTTCCCTTTACCATTATGTAATGGCCTTCTTTGTCTCTTTTGATCTTTGTTGGTTTAAAGTCTGTTTTATCAGAGACTGGGATTGCAACCCCTGCCTTCTTCTGTTTTCCATTTGCTTGGTAGATCTTCCTCCATCCTTTTATTTTGAGCCTATGTGTGTCTCTGCACGTGAGATGTGTTTCCTGAATACAGCACACTGATGGGTCTTGGCTCTTTATCCAATTTGCCAGTCTGTGTCTTTTAATTGGAGCATTTAGTCCATTTACATTTAAAGTTAATATTGTTATGTTTGAATTTGATCCTGTCATTATGATGTTAGCTGGTGATTTTGCTCGTTAGTTGATGCAGTTTCTTCCTAGTCTTGATGGTCTTTACATTTTGGCATGATTTTGCAGTGGCTGGTACCGGTTGTTCCTTTCCATGTTTAGTGCTTCCTTCAGGAGCTCTTTTAGGGCAGGCCTGGTGGTGACAAAATCTCTCAGCATTTGCTTGTCTGTAAAGGATTTTATTTCTCCTTCACTTGTGAAGCTTAGTTTGGCTGGATATGAAATTCTGGGTTGAAAATTCTTTTCTTTAAGAATGTTGAATATTGGCCCCCACTCTCTTCTGGCTTGTAGGGTTTCTGCCGAGAGATCTGCTGTTAGTCTGATGGGCTTCCCTTTGAGGGTAACCCGACCTTTCTCTCTGGCTGCCCTTAACATTTTTTCCTTCATTTCAACTTTGGTGAATCTGACAATTATGTGTCTTGGAGTTGCTCTTCTCGAGGAGTATCTTTGTGGCGTTCTCTGTATTTCCTGAATCTGAACGTTGGCCTGCCTTGCTAGATTGGGGAAGTTCTCCTGGATAATATGCTGCAGAGTGTTTTCCAACTTGGTTCCATTCTCCCCATCACTTTCAGGTACACCAATCAGACGTAGATTTGGTCTTTTCACATAGTCCCATATTTCTTGGAGGCTTTACTCATTTCTTTTTATTCTTTTTTCTCTAAACTTCCCTTCTCGCTTCATTTCATTCATTTCATCTTCCATTGCTGATACCCTTTCTTCCAGTTGATCGCATCGGCTCCTGAGGCTTCGGCATTCTTCACGTAGTTCTCGAGCCTTGGTTTTCAGCTCCATCAGCTCCTTTAAGCACTTCTCTGTATTGGTTATTCTAGTTATACATTCTTCTAAATTTTTTTCAAAGTTTTCAACTTCTTTGCCTTTGGTTTGAATGTCCTCCCGTAGCTCAGAGTAATTTGATCGTCTGAAGCCTTCTTCTCTCAGCTCGTCAAAGTCATTCTCCATCCAGCTTTGTTCCATTGCTGGTGAGGAACTGTGTTCCTTTGGAGGAGGAGAGGCGCTCTGCGTTTTAGAGTTTCCAGTTTTTCTGTTCTGTTTTTTCCCCATCTTTGTGGTTTTATCTACTTTTGGTCTTTGATGATGGTGATGTACAGATGGGTTTTTGGTGTGGATGTCCTTTCTGTTTGTTAGTTTTCCTTCTAACAGACAGAACCCTCAGCTGCAGATCTGTTGGAATACCCTGCCGTGTGAGATGTCAGTGTGCCCCTGCTGGGGGGTGCCTCCCAGTTAGGCTGCTCGGGGGTCAGGGTTCAGGGACCCACTTGAGGAGGCAGTCTGCCGGTTCTCAGATCTCCAGCTGCGTGCTGGGAGAACCACTCCTCTCTTCAAAGCTGTCAGACAGGGACATTTAAGTCTGCAGAGGTTACTGCTGTCTTTTTGTTTGTCTGTGCCCTGCCCCCAGAGGTGGAGCCTACAGAGGCAGGCAGGCCTCCTTGAGCTGTGGTGGGCTCCACCCAGTTCGAGCTTCCAGGCTGCTTTGTTTACCTAAGCAAGCCTGGGCAATGGCGGGCGCCCCTCCCCCAGCCTCGCTGCCACCTTGCAGTTTGATCTCAGACTGCTGTGCTAGCAATCAGCGAGACTCCGTGGGCGTAGGACCCTCCGAGCCAGGTGGGATATAATCTCGTGGTGCGCCGTTTTTCAAGCCGGTCTGAAAAGCGCAATATTCGGGTGGGAGTGACCCGATTTTCCAGGTGCGTCCATCATCCCTTTCTTTGACTCGGAAAGGGAACTCCCTGACCCCTTGTGCTTCCCAAGTGAGGCAATGCCTCGCCCTGCTTCGGCTGGCACATGGTGCGCTCACCCACTGACCTGCGCCCACTGTCTGGCACTCCCTAGTGAGATGAACCCGGTACCTCAGATGGAAATGCAGAAATCACCCGTCTTCTGCGTCGCTCATGCTGGGAGCTGTAGACCGGAGCTGTTCCTATTTGGCCATCTTGGCTCCTCCCCCCGACATGTTCTGAGATAGGAAAGAACAGAGGGAGGAACAAGTTGGGTGGTGAGTGAGTCATAAGTTCAGTTTTGAGCCTGTTATATGTGAGATGTATATGAGACAGAGAATGAACAGCTTAATATATGACTCTGAATTCTTTGGGGAGATTGGGACTGGGGATATAAATTTCTGAGTCATTGGTATATAGATGTTGTTTAAAGCCATGAAACTGGATATGTTTACCTAAAGACAGTATGTAGATAAAAGAAGAAATTTAAGAAAATAGGCTGAGAACCCTCTAGCATTTCCAGTGAATTGAGATGGAGAAATCAGGGTTAAGGCATCAAGAACATTATTGAATCAAGAATAATTATTAACATATAGGCATTTAAGAGAAGAGTTCCAAAATGTGTGAAGCAAAAACTGACAGAATTAAAAGGAAAAACAGACATTTCAGCAATAATAGGTATTTCAATACTACACTTTCAGTAATGGATATAACAATTAGAGAGAAGATAAACAGAGAAATGGAAGATTTGAAAAACACTATAAACCAACTAGACATAACAGGTATCTATAGAGCACTCCACCCAACAATAGCTGAATAAATTCTTCTTAAATGAGCATTGGAAATGCTACAGGATAGACCATATGTGAGGACATAAAATAAACGTCAATAAACTTACAAGGACTGACTTCATACAAAATATATTCTTCAGACACTCTAGAATAATATTATAAATCAATAACACAATGAAATTTTGGAAGTTTAGATATGTGTGAAAATTAAACAACACATTCCTAAATAAGAAATAGAACAATAGGGAAAAAAAGCACATAAAAAATTGGTTATTTGAAAAGACCAAAAATTTGACGAACTTTTAGCTAGATTGACCAAAAAAATTTCAGATTACTAACATAAAACTTAAAAAGTGGATGTAACTATAGACTTTATAGAAACAAAAAAGAATTACAAAGGAATAATATGAAAAGTTATCACACCAGTAATCCTAATACTTTGGGAGGCTGAGGCAGGAGGATTTCTTAAAGTTAGGAGTTCAAAACCAGCCTGGTCAACATAGCGAGACCCTGCCTCTGCAACAAATTAAAAATTAGCTGGGCATGGTGACACATACCTGTAGTCCTAGCTACTACAGTAGAGGCTGCATTGGAAGGATTGCTTGAACCCAGGGGTTTGAGTTGAAGCAACAGTGAACTATGATTACACCACTGCACTCTAGACTGGGTGACGGAGAGACAGAGTGAAACCCTGTCTCAGAAAAAAAAAAGAAAAGAAAAGAAAGAAAAGAAAAAGGAAAAATTGTATGTCAACAGATTAGACAAACTAGATAAAATAGATAATTCCTGGAAATATACAAACTATCAAAACTGACTCAAGAAAATATAGGAAATCTAAATAGACATGTAACAAATAGTTGAATTGGTAATCAAAAAACATTTCACAAAGAAAATTCCAGGACCATGTATCTTCCCTGGTGAATTCTACAGAACACTTGAAGAATACAATGAATGAAATGCTATCCCTCACAAACTCTTCCAAAAAATAGAAGCAGAAAGAACACTTTTCAACCCATTCTATAAAGTGATTATTACCCTGTCACTAAAACAGACAAAAAACTTCCAGGAAAAGAATAGCACAGACCAGTATCCTTTATGTATATAGACGCAAAAATCCTCAACAAAATAATAGCACACTATATAAAGTAAAAGAGTTATATACCATGACTGACTGAATTTTCCCCAGGAATGCATGTTTGGTTTAACATGCAAAAATCAGTCAGTGTAATACACTATGTTAAGAGAATAAAGGATAAGAGCCAATTAATTAAAATTAATTAAATTAGTTAAATTAATTAAAAAGACAACAATTAATGGAGAAAAAGCATTGGACAAAATCCAATACCATTTTATGATACAACATTAAACAAACTAGAAACAGAATGAAACTTTGTCATCATAATAAATAGCATCTATGAAGAAACCATAGTTTCATGCTCAATATTATGAGGCCAAAGGCTTTTCTTATAACAGGAACCCAACAAGGATGTCCACTCTTGCTACTTCAATATTGAAGTAGAGATTCTAGCTCAGGTATTTAGGCAAGAAGAAGAAATAAAATGTATCCAGATAGAAAAAAAGAAGTAAAACTATCTCTATTTGCAAATGATATGATCTTGCACATAGAAAATCCTAAGGAAACAACAATGCTAACCAAGAAAATCCCATTAGATGTAATAAATGCGTTCAGAAATATTGCAGGATCCTGAACAAATGTACAAAATTAATTGTATCTCTATATACTAGGAATGAATAATATAAAAATAAAATAATGTCACTAAAAGAATCATTAAAAATAATTAAATACATAGAGACAAACATCAAAAGAAGTAAATGGCTTACACACTGATTAAAGAAATTATTGTTGACAGAAATTAAGAAGTTTCTAAAGAAATGAAAAAACATTCCATGTTCATGGATTGAAATATTTACTTAAGATGGAATACTCTCCAAATTCTTCTACAGATCTAATGCAATACCATTCAAGATACCAGCTGGCTTTTTTTTCTTTAGAAATTAGCACACTGATCCTCAAATTTGTGTGGCAACACAAGGAATACAGAATATCAAAAATTTTGTCAAAGAACAAGTTAGAGGATCACATTTCTGATTTCAAAACTTGCTGCAGAGCTACAGTAATCTCGAATGTGATGTACTGGCATAAATATAGTCACGTGGATCGATGAAATCACATGAGAGTCCAAAAATAAACTCTCTTATTTATAGTCAGTTGATTTTTGTCAAGACTGCACAAATAATTTGATGGGAAAAATAGTCTTTCCAAGAAATGATGCTGAGATATTAAAATATCATTGGGCTTCTGCCTCTCACCATATAAAAAATTAACTCAAAATGGATGAAAAAAACCCTAAATATAGGAGCTAGTACTATAAAACTCATAGTTATGACACCAAAAGCAAAGTCAACAAAAGAAAAATGAAAAATTGGGCTTTGTCACCAAAATTAAACTTTTGATGCATTGAAGGATACTATCATAAGTGAAAAGACAACCCCACTGAATAGGAGAAAACATTTGTAAGTCATACACCTGATTAGATCCTAGTATCCAGAATTTGTATAGAACTCTTACAACTTGTGGTAGACAGAATAATGGTCCCTAAAGATTTCCAAGTCCTAATCCCTGCAGCCTGTGAATATGTTACATCAGATGGCAGATGGTACTTTGGAAGTGATTAAGATAAGGACCTTCAGATGGGGAGATTATCTTGAATTATCTGGGTGGACCCAATGTAATCACTAAGGTTATTATAAGAGAGAGGCAGGAAGATCAGAGCTGGAGAAGAAGATGTGACAATGGAAGCAGAGGTTAGAGTCATGCAATCATGGACCAGAAGATGTGGGCAGCTTCGGGAAGCAGAAAATGGCTTGGAATGGATTCTCCATTTGAGTATCCAAAACCTCTTCAAGTGTCCAAAACTCTAGAAGGAATGCTGCTCTGTTGGCACTTTGAATTGAGCCTAGTAAGATCCATGTTTAATTTTTGATCTTTAGAACTATAAGATAATAAATTGGTGTTAGTTTAATCCACTATGTTTAATCTGTCATAGCAACAATAGAAAACTCATATAGATTCTGGTGCCTGCAAATGTGGTGCTTCGGTAAGAAATCTAGAAGTGGTTTATAGAACTGGGCAGTGCGCAGAGGCTAGAAAAATTTGAGGATCATGATAGAAAAAGCCTAGATTTTCCTGAATAGATTGTTAGTAGAAATATAGATGCTAAAGGCTCTGCTGGTGGAGGGCTCAGAGGGAAGTGAGGAGCAAGGTAGAGTAAGTCTATATAGTCTTACAGAATACCTGAATCACCATAGACAAAGTGTTGGTAGAAATATGAATGCTGAAAGTGTTGTTGGTGAAGTCTCCAAAGGAAATGAGAAACATCTTATTGGGAACCAGAAGAAAGGGAATCTTTGTTATATAGTGACAGAAAACTTACTAGAATTTTGTCTTGCAGTTATATAAGAAGCAGAGCTGGTAAATGATAAAGCTCCTTTGTATTTAGCTGGGGAGATTTTTTTTAGCAAAGTGTTGAAGAGGTCACCTTCTTTCTTCTTCCGTTTGTATGAGAAAACAGATTGCAAGACACTAAAATTAGGTGATTCATTGTCAGGACCGAGTGCCTTGGAGAGAAACCCAAGAACACAAGTGGTTATTTCGCTAGTACCTAGGAAGGATTAAGAGATCAGAATATTTGGCCGGGCGTGGTGGCTCACACCTGTAATCCCAGAACTTTGGGAGGCCAAGGTGGGTAGATCACGAGGTCAGGAGATCGAGACCATCCTGGCTAACATGGTGAAACCCCGTCTCTACTAAAAACACAAAAAAATTAGCCAGGCGTCATGGCGGGGGCCTGTAGTCCCAGCTACTTGGGAGGCTGAGGCAGGAGAATGGCATGAACTCAGGGGGCGGAGCTTGCAGTGAGCCGAGATCATGCCACTGCATTCCAGCCTGGGTGACAGAGCGAGAATCCGTCTCAAAAAAAAATGAGATCAGAGTATTCAAATAACACAGAGAGCTGACTGAAGAGGTTGGGTGTGTGACTCAGATATCTAAGCAGAACCAGGGAAAGAGATGGAATTACCCAGGAAAGATCTCTGGAGGAGCCTATGGTCTAAGGGAATGAATCTCCAGACATATACAGGAGACCCACAGGGTTCTTGAGAGTGTTTTATCAGCAGAAACACTGACAGCTTGAACAACAATAGCAAAAAAAACCCAAAAAAACAAAAAACAAACAAAAAAAACCAGAAAAGATGAAATAAAAGACTTCAGAAATTCTCTAGGCAGTAAACAGGCTAATAAACAACCTACCTGGAAACTTGTGCGATTCCTCCCTGGAAAGGCAAGGCAGCCTCAAAGAGGGAAGTAGCCAGCCCAAAGGGACAACAGTGGCATGTTCTCAAGCACTGGAAATAGAGGGTATAGGATTTTCTTTTGAGAGTTACAAGGTAATATGAGTATAAATAACAGTAAGAACAGCAATGGCAGCAAGAGGTGTCATTTACTGAGTGCACTCTAGACAACATTCTGTGTGTGTTTTATATATTAAAAGTAATGGCAAGGACCATAATTATTTTTGCACCAACCTAATATTATCTCATTTGATCATTTTACCAATCCTGTGAAGTAAGTAGTCACACGCCCATTTTCAAACATGTGCAAATTATGGTTTGGAGAGACCAAGAAACTTGCCCATGGCCACAGAGCAGGGGTAAAGCAGGCTACTTTCAAAGCCCAGATTGGGTGCCACTGTGCTGTGTTCCCTCCTCATTCTATAATGGATTAGAGTGACATATTAAAAGTCACCACAAAAGTACTAACTCTCAGTCTATAGAGGGATTTGTAGGGAAACTGATTTATGGCATTAGTATATGAGAAGAAGAACAAAAAACTAACTAATGTCAGTAATTCCTCCTATAAGCACCCAAGTACAGAAGACATCTTAACAAAGAATTTTGAATATTTAGATCTCTGCCCTTGTTAACCTCATACTGAGTTGTGAATACTTCGAGTTACCTCAGCTCTTGGATAATCTGCAACCCAATGTATCCAAATATTATATGCAAAATATCAAATTAATTGCTCACCAAAAAGCTACAATTTTAACATCCTTCTTGTAGGTTAGCTCCAAATAGAAAATGTGGAGAAAACATACACCTAAGAAATGTGGCCTACAGGAAAGTTATATTTCTCATTCAAGTCACTAAAAAGGACATTCCTGGGGTTCCATAATTAGGTGATGTAATGTGGTGGTTAAAGCGTAGGTTTCAGAGGACAGACTTAACTTTGAATTATGGCTCCATTACTAATTAGCTGTGTAACTATGGGCAACCTGTCTTGTAGGATAATAGTGAGGACAAAATGTGATGTACCTAGCATAGTATCTTATACAGATTAACCATTCAGTGTAGTTTAATTATTGTTATTATGATTATGTCATCTCTCAGAAATAATAAATCAGATTCCTGAGCCTGTAAGATGGGAGAGAAGACCTGGAATTCCAGAAAAATTATTCCAGGAGTGTCCTACTCTGCCCGACTCCCATGGGATTTCATAAAACAGAATAATTTCAGAAAATAAAAGGGAGGAGGTGGAGACCAAAAAAAAGATTGCTAACGTTTTATGTTATCAAGTAAGACGTTAAAATTCAATCAAACAAAACAAAGCAAGCCACAAATGAAACAAATAAGCCTGCTATCACCTAACCTCGCCATTGTTTCTAAGCAAAAGGGCATTTCAACATCAAAATGTCACAAAGAAATAATCTTAGAATGAAGAATGGTACTTTGTATAAATTTAAATTAAGTGATGAAAACATCACTTAATTTATTCCATTTCCTGTTTAATAGAGGTCAGTGAAAACGTTATCTCTTTTGGTGCCAGTATGTGGACAAACATTTGGAAAAGATTGGTGGAGTCCACTTTGCCAAGTCTGCTGTCATCCAACTAGTTGATGTTGCTGGTAGACACCTACATTGCTTCTCTGTTTCTATGCAAGGTCACACTACAATTAATAGAGTGCTCTGTTTTTCTATAATCAGTTTTGTGGACAAATATCGTGCATATAATCTGACCATGTCAGGCTGCAGAGAGTTACTGCTGGTACTGACCATGTCAGACTGCAGAGAGTTACTGCTGATACTGAGATAGAATAGAAGATCACATGAAAATTTTAATTTTCTCCTTAAAAATTTCTAACACTTGTCAAGCATATATTATTATGTTCCAGACGCTGTTTCAAGGTTTTATGTAAATATATTCTTTTACCAAAGCTCCACAGCATTCTTTTTAGTAGGTGAAATTACTATTCTCATTTACAGAAAAGGTGTATAAGGCATACAGAGGTTCAGTGTCACAATCTAGTAAATAGTGAGCTCTTACTCCATCACCCAACTCAACTCATCATCTCTTCATCTGCAGAGCTTGTCATCTTGTGAGGGAGTTGGTCACATAACCAGATTTTTAACAATGTAAGACTGAGGCAAGCATAAATGACTTAGGAATATATAGAATTAATTATTGGACCATCCTGAGGTCCAGGCTGCTTCTCCCTCCTCCTCTTCCTCCTCCTCCTCCCCCTCCTCCTCCGTCTTCTCCTCCTCCTCTTCCTCCCCTTCCTCCTCCCTTCCTCCTCCTTTTCCTCCTCCTCCTCCCCATCCTCCTACTCCTCCTCCTTCTCTTCTCCTCCTCCTCCTCCTTCTTCTTTTTCTCCTTCTTCTTCTTTATTCTTCCTCTTGAAGGAGTTTTTCTTTTGTATAACATTAATATTTGGTGGGGTGCAGTGGCTCACACCTGTAATCCCAGCACTTTGGGAGGCTGAGGCGGGCTGATCAAGGTCAAGAGATCGGGACCATCCTGGCCAACATGGTGAAACCCCGTCTCTACTAAAAATACAAAAATTAGCTGGGCGTGGTGGTGCATGCCTGTAGTCCCAGCTACTTGGGAGGCTAAGGCAGGAGAATCATTTGAACTCGGGAGGCGGAGCTTGCAGTGAGCCGAGATCGCACCACTGCATTCCAGCCTGGCAACAGAGTGAGACTCTGTCTCAAAAACAAAACAAAACCAAACAAAAACCAAAAAACATTAATATTTATAGGTTAGTCTACTATGATAATGGAATTTGAGGGGCAGAAAACTTTCTTGCTATGCTCCCTTCACTATTTATTGCAAGGGAATATCTGTAAGCAAGAGGGTGACTTTATATGGCTGTTGACATCATAGATTTTGTTTGCTTCTTTTCTGTTTGGTTAATTAAGTTAAGCTTTTAACAAATCTAAACCCTGGATCTAAACATGCCTATACATAGAAAAGATAAATAATACATGCTTCATTGTATCTGAAGCATTTATATCTACAGTTTTTAAGGTTTGGCATGGAACTTCTTGGAGTACATTTATTTCCTACTTGGAATATTAAAAAATGAGACAATACCACCAGAAAAGAACACAAAAGGCCTAGCACAAAGGGCTGGAGTCTCTCCTGATACTGAACTCTACTTCCTCCCATAGCATGCTGAGGGAGGGATTCCCACTGTTGGAGTGGGAAGCATTTTAGTAACATGGTTCTCATGAAGGTATGTTAATACTGAAACATATATTAAGCCTACTCTCTGTGAAATCAGGCTTGGTTGGGACTATTATTCTACTCCTATGGCACATGGAGGCCATGTGATCAATAATACTTCTTAAAATCCTGCTGTTTTAATTCAATGAGTTTAGTGCCTAGAGATCGCAACTATAAGAGAGCAAGGGAAATGATGCAAGAGAGCAAAAGAGAGCTAATTCATGCATGGCCTTGCAGGCTTTGTTAAGAAGCATGCAAATGGTTGGAAATCACTGGTGAATTTTAAGCAATGAATCTCAAATGGTCAGATAGAAATGTGGAATATTCACATGGCAGTGTGGAAGATGAATTAAGAGGTCAAAGATTGGAGAAGAAGCTATTGTAATTATTAGATAGTAGGAGCTTGGGCTGTAAAGTCAGATAGGCCAATGTTCAAACCCCAGGTCTACTACCTAATAGCTGCTTTGAAACCTGAAAAGCAGCTTCAATCTTTCTAAGCCTCCGCTTCTTACCTATATGGAGGAAGATAGGGTAAATGGGCAGGGTTATTTGAGATGTAAGAGATTATTTGAATAGAGTGTTCCACAGAGCACCTGCCATATTAAATAAATAGCATTATTATGTCATGCAATTTTTAGGTGTCCATCACATTTTTCCATTCATATGCAATGCTAATATCAGAAAATTCTTGGAAAGCTAATGACATTTTTTTCTTTGTGCAACTCAGTATAAAACCTAGAATGAAAACTTCACCATGAAAAGCACTTACTGCTTAAAATTAACCCTGATGAACATACACATGATTGACAGAACATCTTAACCTGAAACTGAGGAGTATAACTCTCTGATGGGAGAGAAAGAAGGGATGAACAAATTGCACAACAAGAGGCTGGTCGGTGGTGAGCATGTTGAGAGCAGAGGCAAATACTGCACAAAAGGCTGGACCTACTAGTTAGATTCATCTGCAGTCTGGCTCAAGCTAAAAATCCTAGTTCTTTCTCCTCATAAGCTTTTCTGAGTTTTCGATATTATTTCCTCATAAAATAGCACTTTGTATCAAAATGGAATTCCTTGAATGCAATTTAAGACTGGGTCTGTGTTATTACTAAGTGATCCTCTAGCTCCATTTTTTGCCTCTACAAGTAGTTTCCAAAGTAGAATCTGTAGTCTTGCAGGTGGTTTGAAGTGGCTTTTTGGAACCAGTAATACTCTTGCAGTAGACTGTATTTATTCAGTGGTGAAGCAATGAGGTCATTGTCATCCTCTAGAATAATGGGTTTATTTGACGGCGTCAGATGTCTACATTCGAACAGAAACACTGCTGCTCCAATCAGCAGTGAATTTAATTGGATACTTTTTGGTTAAAACTCTGGAAGAACAACTTTTGGACACAGAATGAAGCCATGCATAAGTTGGACTGAACTGATGAGGTGTAGAGTCCTTTGAACTTTTTGTGATCAGAACTAAAATTAATTTTTCCCTATGGTTTTAGGATGGGAAGCTCTGTTTCCTAAGCCATCAATTTCTTTTTACATTTTTCCAAAGTAAGTTGAGTAAGGAAAGGTTTCCGTGACAGCCACTTACAGATAGTAGATACAATGGAGATAAATATATATGTATATATTTACAGGTTAAAACTGGTCTCTCCTCACATTAAGTCTTTAATGAAATGTTTCTTCTATAATTTATAATTATTTGAAAACAAAAAGATTATTATTTGAACAAACAGCCAAATGAAAATGATCCAGTAATTCAAATACAATCTATTTCTCCACATCAGCACAACAGTTCTAACGCAGGACAGGATGAATTAAGGAACAGTTTATTACCAAAAGGATAAATAAATGGGGATGGATAGAATAAGCTAAATTATTTCTCTTAAAGCATATGCGTTATGCATAGATAACATTGGCAGCAGCCTCATTCACAGTGAGATGTAAAGGCTCTCAAAGATCCTTCTGGCTTCGGGTTCTGCACCTTATGTTCCATAATGCCACAGCTTCTTTAACTGATCCCTCTTTTGGGAGGGGCTTTCTGATGTGGCTTATCCTTTCTTCTACTGTCTATGTAGAGATTAGCACTTTGTTGATAGAGACCCAGGTGTACAGTATGTTTCTCCATGTCTCACCTCGACTGCTCATGGCTGTCCCAGAGGTGTGCAGAAGCAGCCTACCAGAGATATATGACTAGTGAGACCCAGCTTGTGTAGCTAAGCTGGGTCAGTCAGATTTTCCTGGTGCTCTGAATTGAGAAATACTGAGACATCACGGCCATGTGTAGGAAGTCAGAAAGTTCCTTTCGGGCCCTGGCCAGCAAATTCTGACATGTAAGCTGAGAAAGGAGACAAGATATTGGCTACAGGGTGAGGAAATGGAGAAAGACGGAGGAAAGGAGCAACCATGCAGAGAGAAACTGAGGCTTGGAAAGGGGAGAGAGAGACCCAGAGGAGATGGACAGCTCAACACTCCAGTTCTTGCCTGACTCTTGTCCAGCAGCCTGCCCCTACATCCTTAGAATAGTAGCACTTTCTCTCCAGTAGCTTAATATACTATAGGTCTTGGATTTTCACAACCTAAAAGCTAACCAAAAACAAATATTAAAAATGTTTCCATTGGGAAATGTGTTTAAGAAACATTGACATGATATTTTGTAAGTGCCTGTTGGTTAGAACCAAGTTAATGAAACTGACGAACTGGCCACACAATGGGCTTAAGTGAACATGGCAGGAATTGAAAAGGTCTGGTGGGAAGGGGAGGTTCGGGAAGCTCTAACATCCTGCACTGGTTATTCCTGAGTGAACTGTGGGCTGGGAGTCTAAGGAGATGAGAGAGAAACAGTGCAAGTAACACATTTTTTTCTCCCTCAGTTAGATGACTTTCACTCAGTTGTGGTTCAGTGTTATGCCCTAAACTTCCATTGAGGCATCAGAATAAACTGCCTTCTGAGGCTCACACTTGCTTTTCATACTAAGCTGTGGTTAGCGTTGCCATCTACAACACTGCTTGTGTTCCTTTTAAGTTTTATGTAGGACATTTCTTCCAAAGCTGAGTGCTAGGTAAAATTTTGCTTCCTCTTAAGAACTGTCATGATTTGTCTTCATGAACATTGAAAAAAACCACTGAATAAATTCTGTTACCATTTTTATTTTATTTTCTTATTGTATCTTTAACATTGTTATTAACTATATTCACCGTGTTGTACAATACCATTTTTATTTTGGTTGTCAGGAAGCTCAGAGGTAAAGTCCTGGAGGAGCTTCTGGCCCGTATATCTTTATCCTCTTTCTTTTCTTCCAGGCACAGCCTCTTGGGTTTAATTCCATGTTCACTAGATTTGACATTGACACATTAATGTTGTAATTCATATTTTAATATTTTATTGCATGCATTTCTTTAAGCCATATCAGACTGAAACTCAGGTTTTTCCCCCAGTGTCTTTATTGACTCTGTTCCTGTTCCTTCTGCCTGGAAATTCTTTACCAACCCTCACTTCCACCCACCACAAGAATCCTCACATTTCCTCCACAGGTACCACCTCCTGAAATCCCTGCTGTTGACCTCAGACCATGGGCCCTGCCCTTTGTTTGGCCTATGCTCACCAGACAAAGCTGCCCTGCATTTGCTGTTATCTCACTGTCCCTCTCTCTACACTGCCAGCCCCTGAGGGCAGAAACTACTCTTCATGGTGAAGCTAGTGCCCCACATGTGTTCAGAGAATAAATGGATGAAGCACTTGCTGCTTATAAAGAATTATAATTGATCACGATGCAGTACTCACTAGGTGTCAAGCAGGTATTTACGTTTTTTTTTTTTTTTTTTTTTTACATATTAACTTATGTAATTGCACCTCGTCCCCTTAAACAGGTAGTGAGGACTATTGTTTCCTCCTTTGGCAAATGAGAAGACAGGGGCCAGAAATGTTAAACGACTTGCTCCAGCTCACATACCTAGTGGCAGAGGAAGTATTGGAATGCGGTGGTCTACCACCTGAACCTCACACTGATGTGCTTTGCTGTGCTGCCCCTCTGTGTCTTCACATACAAAGCCTAAATTCATCTTTTGATGTGAATGTTTTAGTCAATATACCCTTTTATTTTTTTCGCACCATGCTATACATATATAGGCATTCATATGGCCCAGATCTGAAGCCTTCCTTCACTCCTTTGACTCTCCTTCGATCCTGCAGCTGAGTTACTAGATGCAAAGGAAATATAACCTCGTTCAGTTCCTAGCACATATTAGACAACTGATAAATGAAAACTGTTATCTTTGTTATTATTATTGTTATTACTACCAGTTATCTTCTTGCTAAACTGCCGTTTTCTTTAGGGCAAGGATTTTTGTCTTATTCATCTCAAATATAATTGGTGCTTGTAAATGTTAATTTGGATTGAACTGCTCATGGCAGATTAAAGGATGGCAAGCTTGTACATCTGAGACCAGAGACAAGGTAGTTCTGTTCTTTCATTCAATCAAAAAACATTTATTGAGCACCTATGTAGCAGTTACTACTCTAGACCATGAGGGATCCAACCATGAGGACACAGATGATGATCCCTGTTCCACGGGGTTTGTGTTCTGGTAGAAGGAGGCAGAGAATCAAAAGCATAAAAAGCTGAAATATATAATATGTGAGATGTGCTGTAGAGAGAACTAAGCAGACCATGAGAAGAGGGAGCACTGGAGGCATTCCAGTTTTAGAGGTGGTAATGGAAGAACTTGCTGAGAAGGCGATACTTGGGTAAGATGTAGGAGAGCTGAGAGAAGGAGCAACATGGCGGAATGGAAATTAGCCAGGGAAAGTGGTCCAGCAGAGGAAATAGCAAGTGCAAAGGCTCTGTCTTAGTCCTCTTGGGCTGTCATAACAAAGCTACCATAGACTGAATGGTTTAAACGACAGAAATTGATTTCTCTTCCAGAGGCTGGGAAGTCCAGAATCAAGGCACTGGCACATGGAGTGTCTGTGAGGGGCTGCTTTCTGTTGCATAGACGGAGCCTTCATGCTGTATCTCACGTGGTGGAAGTGGCAAGACAGCTCTCTGGGGCCTCTCTTATAAGGGTTATTACTCCATTCATGAAGGTGGAGCCCTCAAGACCTAATCACCCCCAAAGGCTTCACCTTCAGATACTGTCACAATGGTGATTAGATTTCAATATGTAAATTTTGTGGGAGGGCGGGCACAAACATTCAGATTGTAGCAGGCTCTGAGGGAGAAGTAGGATGCACAGGCTTTGGGAGCAGCAAGCCAGCCAGTGTAGGCCAGTGGAGGGTTTGTAAGTGGGAGTTACACAAATCAGGGCAGTGGGGAGATGCAGATTGTGTAGAACCTCGCAGGCCATTGTAATGGTTTTAGTTTTCCCTTGAAATAACACAGGAAGCTACAGAAGGGGTGTAAAAGGGGATGTGAGATGATATAACCTATTTTGATAGCAGTGTTAAGAATAACCGAAAAGATAGGATGGTAGGCAGAATATAGATCACAAAGGCAGAAGGAGAAAGAAGAAGGTGTTTCCGTAATCTGTGACAATGATGGTGCTGGCTCGTTCCAGGTTGGTAGCAGTGGAAGTCATGAGAATTCTTCCACTGTGCATATATTTTGATGGCGACATTGGCATGATGGGAGATTTGATGTGGAGTGGGAGAGTAAGAGAAGAATCACAGATGACTGGGTCTGAGTGATGCAAATGATGGAGTTGCCAAAACTGAGATGCAGAAAGCTGGAAAGAACTCTATTTGGGACATGCTAGATTTAAGATGTTTATTAGATATCTGTGTGGGGATGTTAAGCAGATAACTGGAGACTTGAGTTCAGGGGAAAGGACTAGAAAGGAGAGTCACCATTTGGGAGACACAAGCCTATAGATAGATTTTAATGCTGTGAGACTGATGGCACCATGAAGAAGGTGAGTATATTGAAAAAAGAAAAGATGTCCAAGACTGAGTCAAAGAGATGAGGTAGAACCAGCAAAGAAGATATAGAAGTAACAGCTAAGGTGGGTAGGGGGGGAAACCAGAGAGGGCGACATCCCAGAAGTCAAATAACAGGAGATTATCAAAGAGCAGGGATTGATCAACCATGGTCAAAGGTGCACTGAGGACAAAGAATCTTGACAGTTACATCTATTACAGCAACATGTGACTCAGTGTTGACATTAGAGGGAACACTTTCTTCTTCAAGCAATAGAAGGTCAAGGGAGTTGGGCAGAGCTGCTATCTGTAAAGAAAGGGAATGGCTACCAGGAAATAAGGGGTCAACACCAAGTCTGGAAGGGACACAAGATCAAGCTGGAAGCCGCTACTCCCAGATTTTGGAGTGGGAGGAAACAGAATCTTAGTTAAAACAGGTTTACAAACAAGCAAGAATTTCCTGAGAAATTATTTTGAGTACAATGTGGTGTTTCTAGTTGATCTTTGTAGGAGATGAATGTGTGGCGTTTGAATGTTTCAGCCAGCTCATGATATGGGTAAAAGAATGAACACAGTCTCCATTTGGAATGTACAAGTAAAAGTAAAATAATAATAAAATATAATTGTGGACATTTGATCCAAATGTATGTGGAAAACATTTTTAAGAGAAAAAAAATGATCAGAATAACTACATTACCGCATTTTTAAAATGTCTTGGGGTTGCTGTCATTTTATCCTTTTTAAAACATCCTTTTAGAGTCTACCAATACCCTATTTTTACAGAAAGTTGATTTTATTTTTGGACTGCACATTAATTTCATTTCCCAGCATAATGAAATTCCACTGAACAATTTCACTATCCCTGAAAAGTGATTTGGTCATTTTGAGTCAGAAAATTGGCATTAGGCAGAAATACAAGATCTCCCATTACTTTGTATTAAAAAATAAAAAAGCTAAAAAGAGTTTTCTGTTTTTACCGCATCTAGTGATCATTCGGGTGAAAAAAAGTGTGTGTTCCATCTTTTGCAGTGCCAAATTTCATCGCCTTTCCTTCACTGCACAGCTTGTTAAACATGAACAAGCACTTTGGATTTCATGGCAGCATTAAAATTCTTACTTAAATTGCCTTGGAACTTGGTGACCCCTTAATTAATGCAGTCACTGCTCGACACTTTGTGTAATATTGTTTATAGAACTGATAGAAAAAACACATCTGTGCTGCAAGGGCTGCAAATATAGTGAAACAGCAAACGTAGACAAACGTTTAAATGTAGCCATGTGAAATGTCCCAACAATACACACAGAATATAGTTGCTGTTATTATTATGATTAATGTTGCTATTTTAAAGATCTTGCAAAGAAGGACTGTGTAAAAAGATTTAAATACCAGGCTTGCCTTGGGTTTTGTTCTCTGATGGAGTTGCTGAAGGAACTTGAGCATGAAAACGACATGTTCCTTCCACTCTGGTGGGTCTCTGGAGTACATACGAGAGGAAGCTGAGACTGCTAACAAAGAACTGAGCTAACAGGTTACTAAAATTGTCCAGATTAAAACAATAGAGCTAGACCTACACTAGAAGAGACAAGGGCAATGGCTATGAGGTGGTAGATGTTAATGGGATATTTCACATTCTGCTGTGTCTTTGATTCTAGAAAATATAAGAATGACCCAATTCTCTCTTCTCCAGAGTTTTCAATTCTAATATTTGTTTCCTAACTTCACTTTGGTTAGGTGCTCCAATGTGTTCTGTTTCCTTGAGTTTGCTAAATTGGTGCTACTTCTTTCTAAAGAGCAGAGCTTAGCAGCTAAAGCAACTGGTTATTTCTTTATGCAATTCGGTAATCTAAAAGTTATCTTTGGGCAATCTTAACTCATTGTATAAATCCATTATTCTTTTACCAAATCCTAGAAATGAGAAGAGACATCAAATTTTTTCCTATGTGCCAACTATGTGTGCCTTACTTACTTCATCTGGTTCACTTTATGGTAAAACGGAGAGGTTACAATTTATATTTTGGAAATAAATCTAGCATAATTGACTATGGCAGAATGTGGTGTACAATAATTCCTGGTATTCTATTGGCTTGTGGATTAAAAGTAGAGATTGAAAATAACCCTTCAAAACTCTTAGCCCAAGAGCATTGCCTGCTGATATATCTTAGGCATAAATCTTTAAGTAGAAATTACATTTAAAACAATCAAATATTTAAAAAGACTATTATGACTATTTATGACTCTTATATTAATCTTGAGAATTCCAAAGGAGATTCCAGTCATAATAGCCTTGCTTCCTGTGCCAATTTTTGCTTAACATGAAAATAGGCAACAGAGGCCATTGTTCCTCTGTAAGTGCTATTAGCACATGGACAAATGCTCTCATTTTTACATCTTCTGCCCCCTTCTGGCGCCTGGCCCTTAAGATGCAGCCAATAAATTGTGTTGAAACTGTATATTCTCAATAGCAGTCTAATTTGGCATATTAATATGATATAGGAAAAAAGCCTTTAATGATAATTTACATAAAAACTACACCATTCATTTATGTACAAAAAGTCCCACATGTACCCATTTATCATTTTCTGAGTTTCTACTGTGTATAGCAGGCAGTAATTATGGCTGAGATCTTCTGAAATGATTATAGCACTGCTCTCATCCTTCAGTTCACTGTCTGATGGAGGTGACAACCCTATAAATTATTACAAAACAGTATGAAGTGTTGTCATAGAGATGGGCAAAGACTTATCATGGTATGCCTGGAGGAGGCCTTGTCAAGCTTGTTTTGATCTGGAAACACACAATCATATATAGATAGATGCTAGATGCTAGATAGATAGATGGATAGATAGATAGATAGATAGATAGATAGATAGATAGATAGATATTTTAGAGTCGGAGGCAGTCTCAGAGGTTGTGATACAAACTTTTATTCTCTCTTCCTAGAAAAGTTAAATAAAACTGTCTTTCAAATGAATCACAGTAAATAGCATGAATAAAGACACTCCATCATTCACTAGTATAAATAAATAATTTTCCTTTAACAAATAATTATGTAACATCTACTATAGGCCAGATACTTCTTAAGAACTCAAATATTATTATCTGAATTTAATATATTGAATATCTATTTACATACCCTAGTGTCTTCTGTTCTAACTTCCTGACAGTTACAAATTCTAGCTTTCAACTCTTAATTTCCCTCTCCTTCCCAAAATAATATTTTCTGTATTATTGGTTTCAACTTTGTATAGGAATAGAACTGACCGGAATTCAAAAAAGTGTGAATTTAGGAACAGGTACACTGGTGAACAGTTTATGTTCTCAAAGATTTTCCAGCCAAGAAATTTTTTTAAAGCATAAAATGATGGCTGAACATTGAAGACCATGAAGACTCTAGATATTCAGAAACAACCTCCAGGTTCAATAGAGAGGATAGGTCCTGGGCAATAGGTTCTTCTCAGTAAGAGAAGAAGTGGTTATTTAAGGAAGTAAAATGAAAGAGACCAATGAACTTTTGCAATAGTTAGCTATGAAGAGTACAGAATTGATTTCAAAAACAATTTTTTTCCTTTTCACACTTTTCCCATCCTCCTTGCTGACTACTAGACATGAAAAATAAATTCTGACTACTTTCTGCCATTTTGGGAGGTAAAAGTGAGTTAAGGTCATTAAATTGTAGCAATTACATAGCTGCATTGTTTTTTGAGACTCTAGCAGGAGAAAAAAATCCACACACTGATCAGCAAAGAATATTCTTTCACATATGAGAAAGTGACTCTTCAGTGGAACTCAAGCATAGAAGGACTAGAGGAAGAAAAAACTTAAAAGTCACATAAGACATATGATTTCTGGTAATGGCAGAGTGGCTTGTTTGAAATAACCTGTCTATAATTTTAAAATATAGAAAATATATTTGAAAAATACAAGTATTTAAAGGCTCTCAATAGCAAATATGGAGAAAAAGGAATGAGGTTGGAAAATTGGCAGCTTTAGGCCTAAAGGCCCCCCAAGCCTCTACTGCCCCATACTCAGCTTGCATGCTGCTTCATCTACAGAGAGCTACTGCCTTATTGGTATGAGGTGTCAGAGGATACAGCTCAGGCTAGCAGAACAATGACCAAGTTTTGGGAGAGTACCTGGAAAAAAGGGAGCCATAGAGAGTGTGAACTCAATAATTTACTGAAAAAATCCACCCAAGAACTCTGTCTGCAAGGGGGGAGACTTTGCAGGGGGTTTTCTTAAAAAATACAGCAGCTGGAAACTAAGGAAACTGTATTATTCTGTTTTCACATTGTTATAAAGAATTACCTGAGACTGGGTTATTTATAAAGAAAAGAGGTTTAATTGACTCACAGTTCCACATGGTTGGGAAGGCCTTAGGAAACTTACAATCATGGTGGAAGGCAAAGGGAAAGCAAGGCATGTCTTACATGGTGGCAGGAGAGAGAAAGGGGGCAAGTGCCACAATTTTAAAACCAGCAGATCTTGTGAGAAGTCACTCACTGTCATGAGAACAGCATGGAGGAAACTGCCCCTATGATCCAATCGCCTCCCATCAGGCTCTTCCCTCAACATGTGGGGGTTATAATTCTAGATGAGATTTGGGTGGGGATACGGAGCCAAACCATATCATTTCACTCCTGGCCCCTCCCAAATCTCATGTTCTTCTCACATTTTAAAATACAGTCATGCCTTCCCAACAGTCCCCCAAAGTCTTAACTCATTCTAGCATTAGCACATTTTTCAAGTCCAAAGTCTCATCTGAAACAAGGAAAGTCCCTTCCACCTGTGAGCCTGTAAAATCAAAAGCAAGTTAGTTACTTCCAAGTTACAATGTAGGTGCAGGCAGTGGGTAGATGCTCCCATTCCAGATGGGAGAAATTGGCCAAAACAAAGAGGCTACAGGTCCCATGCAAGTCCAAAACACAGCAGGGCAGTCATTACATCTTAAAGTTCCAAAATAACCTCCTTTTATTAATCTCTTATATCCAGGGCATGCTGATGGAAGAGGTGGGCTCCCCAGGCCTTGGGCAGCTCAGATCTGCAGGGTACAGCCCCCATGGCTGCTCTCCTGTGGCTGCTTTCATGGGCAGGCTTTGAGTGCCTTTGGCTTTTCCAGGCTTACAGTGCAAGTTGTTAGTGGATCCACCGTTCTGGGATCTGGACAACGGTGGCCCTCTTCTCGCAGCTCCACTAGGCAGTGTCCCGGTGGGGACTCTGTGTGGGAGCTCCAACCCCACATTTCCCCTCTGCATTGCCCTACTAGAGGTTCTCCATGCAGGACCTGTCCCTGCAGCAAACTTCTTCTGCCTGAACATCCAGACATTTTCATACATCCTCTGAAACCCAGGAAGAGTTTCCCACACTTCAACTCTTCTGTGTACCCACAGGCCCAACGCCACATGGAAGCCACCCCGGCTTGAGGCTTGCAATATCTGAAGCAATGGCATGAGCTGTACATTGGCCTCTGTCAGCCATGGCTGGAGCTGGAGCGGCTGAGACACAGGGCACCGTGTCCCAAGGCTGCACATAGCAGTGTGGCTCTGGGCCCAGCCCATAAAACCATTTTTCTTTCCTAAGCGTCTGGGCTGGTGATGAGAGGAATTGCTATGAAGATCTCTGAAATACCCTGGAGACATTTTCCCCATTATCTTGGCTATTAACATTCGGCTCCTTGTTATTTATGCAAATTTCTGCAGCTGGCTTGAATTTCTCCCCAGAAAATGGGTTTTTGTTTTCTACCACATTGTCAGACTGCAAATTTTCCAAACTTTTATATTCTGCTTCCCTTTTAAACATAAGTTCCCATTTTGTATCATCTCTTTGTGAATACATGTGACTGTACGCTTTCATAAAAAGTGAGGTCACCTCTTGAATGCTTTGCTGCTTAGAAATTTCTTCTGCCGGATACCCTAAATCATCTCTCTCAAGTTCAAAGTTCCACAGATCTCCAGGGCAAGGGCAAAATGCCACCAGTCTATTTGCTAAAGCATAGCAAGAGTGACCTTTACTCCAGTTCCCAATAAGTTCCTCATCTCCATCTGAGACCACCTCAGCCTTGACTTTATTGTTCATGTCACTATCAGCATCTTGGTCAAAACAATTCAACAAGTCTCTAGAAAATTCTAAACATTTGACATCTTCCTGTCTTCTTCTGAGCCTTCCAAACTGTTTCAATGTCTGTCTGTTACCCAGTTCCAAAGTTGCTTCCACATTTTCAGGTATCTTTATAGCAGTGCCCCAAACTACTGGTATCAATTTTCTGTATTAGTTCATTTTCACACTTATATAAAGAACTACATGAGACTGGGTCATTTATGAAGAAAAGAGGTTTAATTGACTCACAGTCCCACATGGCTGGGGAGGCCTCAGGAAACTTAAAATCATGGTAGCAGGAGAAAAGGAAGCAAGGTACGTCTTACATGGTGGCTGGAGAGAGAGAGACAGAGAGAGAGAGAGAGAGAGAAAGAGGTAGAGACAGAGAGAGAGAGAGAGAGAGAGGAAGTGCCACACTTCTAAAACCATCAAATCTCATGAGAACTCACTTACTGTCATGAGAACAGCATGGGGGAAACTGCCCCCATGATTCAGTCGCCTCCCACCAGTTCCTTCCCTTGACACATGAGGATTACAATTCTAGATGAGGTTTGGGTGGCGGACACAGAGCTAAACCGTATCAAGAACTAAGGGGAGATTTCAGCTGATTTTTACCACAGGGGAACTGGAGTCTGGACTTTGAGTATAGTCAAAGTGACTATCTTCTAGACCAAAAACCATTGTTTAGAGGAATATGAAATATTCCAGAGTCTTCACAAATGTATCATTTATAATGTGTAGATTCAATTTAAAAAATCACTCAACATGCTGAGAACAAGCAAAATGTTATCCATAGAGAAGAAAAAAACAAACAGTCAATATAAACTGGCCTGAGAGGACCCAGATGCTGCAATTATCAGAAAACTTTTAAAGTAGTTATTATAAGTATGTTCAAAAACTTAAGAATGTTATACATATAATGAATAAACAGATGGGTAATCTTAGCAGATGAACAGAAACTGCAGAGAAAAATACCAACTCAAATTCTAAAGATGGAAAGTGTAGTAACTGAAATAAAAATTTTACTAGAAGAATTTAACAGCAGAAGAAACAATTGAACTTCAAGGCAGGTCAAAATAAAATATCTACTGTAAAATCTGGAAAGAAAAAGAAAGTGAAGAAATATGAACAGAACTGTAGAGACATGTGAGACTACCAAGCAGTAACCTATGTGTAATGAAGTCCCAGAAAGAGAGGCAAAGGAAATTTTCTTTTAAATGCTTGAAAACTTTTAACTTATGTTTAGTGAGACTTACACAAGATAAATGAAAAGAAAACACCGGGAACATCACAGTGAAACTGCTGAAATACAAAGATAAAAAGGTAACCTTGAAAGCCGCTAAAGAAAACTGTCACATTACACACAAGAGTACAATGATAGAAATGGTGGCTGACTTCTCATCATCAACAATGGAGGACAAAGTAAATGGAACACATCTTTGCAGGGCTAAATGACAAACACTGACTACACAGAATTCTACATACAGCAAAACCATCTTTCCAAAACAAAGGTGAAATAGACATTTTCAATATATACAACAATTATTTATCAATAAAAAAGAATAAAAAAGATATTTTAAACAAAAATAAACAGGAAATTTGTTGTTAGCATATCTATTCTGTAAGAAAAGCTAAAGGAAGTTATCTTTTTCAGGCTGAGGAGAAACTATACCAGATGGTAATTTTAATCTATGTGAGGAAGCAAATCACTGTAAAGAGAAAATAATGTAAGTAAATAGAAAAGACTTAAGATTTTTTTCTTTTCTTAATTTTCCAAAAAACCACGATTGTTTAAAGCAACAATTATAACACCATAGCATGGAGTTCATAATGTTTATAGGCATAATGTATCTGACAATTATAGTGCTAAGGATGATGGTGGTGAATTGAACTATATTAGGTTTCCACAATTTTTACATGAGGTAGTAAAATATCAAGACCAAGTGAATTATTTTATGTTTAAGATACATGCTGTAATTTCTGGTAAAACCACTAGTAATACTGCAAAGAAATTATAGTTACTAAAATATCAATAAAGAAATAAAAATGGAATACTAAAATATTCAATTATAATATAACATCTAATATGTAACATAACATAAAATAACACCTATAAATAAAAAAGAAATACACTGAAACTCCAATAAATGAATGAAATAAGAAGCACCAAGGAATAATCCACAAAGAAAAGAAAATAGAATTGTCAGCCCAGCTTGGTGGCTCATGTCTATAATCTCAACACTTTGAGAGGATGAGGCAGTAGGATCACTAGCGTCTAAGAGTTCAAGACCAGCCTGAGGAACATAATGAGACCCTGCAGAAAAAAATATCCCTGCATGGTGATGCATTTCTAGTAGTCTCGGCTACTCCGGAGGCTGAGGAAGGAGGATTGCTTTAGTCTGGGAGGTTGGGAGGTTGAGGCTGCAGTGAGCCGTGATTGCACCACTGCACTCCAGCCTAGGTGACAGAGTGAAACCCTGTCTTAAAAAAAAAGAATAAAGTAAAAAGTAAAGTAAAATAGTCAATATAAAGGGATGTAGGCAATTTTTGAAGAAAAAATTCAGAAGAGCTTTCTGAAATCATTCAAAGCTATACTGTTATTTGAAAAGACAGCCAGCAAGAAATCTCTTTGGGAGATGTTCTAAAAATTTCTAGGAAGAGTCTGAAATAAGCTTGCATTTTTTCTTGCCTTATGCTGTAAATTTATCTTCAGACTTTAAATAAAGTCCACTATACTCAAGAATCTTGTGTTAATAGTGTTTGGAGAAATGTTATTATAACTACCATTATCAATATAATTTATCCTGCTATTTTTCCTGACTTTCTACTTTTACAAGTCAATGCAAGCCCATGACCTACTCTGTGCTAAGCACTATGCTATACACTTGTGCATTTTACCTTTTAGTCTGGATTCACACCCATTTCACGGAGGGAAAAATATGGAGGCTTAGGGAGTGTAAGTGACTTATCGCAAATCACACAGCTAGTCGGTGGTGGATGAGCAAGTTGGTATCTGGCTCTCTGACTTTGGTGTCAACATGTGTAATCATAGAGCTATGCTGAAGGAAGAGAGATGGTACCCGCATGCAAAAAGTAAGCTAAAAAGAGATGCTGCCTTAAGGCTTAGAGTTAATGATTGGTAGCAGGTGTAGATGTTAATAGTTAAGAAGAACACTGCAGACTGGAAGATGTTGAAGCATTCAGGCAGCTATTGTCTGTATTACAAAATGACTTACGATTAACATGGGATAATGATAATTTAAAAAACCAAGTGAGATACAAAATTGTAGTATAAAAATGTGATTAACATACATGTATTTATTATTACTCATATAAGAATAACGCAGGAATTCAAATTTAAGAAGTGATATATCAGAATATTAAGAGTTACCTCTGTGTTTGGAAAGAGAGATCACATTGATCTCTGCTGTTCTTTATGCATTGTATTTTCAAATTTTCTATCTTGAACATATCTTGTTTCCATACGCAGAAATGTATTTCCAAAAGAAGAAGAAAATAAAAACACGGCCATTTCAACTGCCCCAGGAAGAAATGTAAAAGGATAAACATAATTTCATCAGGCTTTAAAGAGTGTCTCTCATGGCAACTGCTTCTGAGAATCTGATATCTTCTCTGAGGGAAACTGCTCATTAAACAGTTTTCAATAATGTGGTAAAGAAATACAGCAAAGTTATTAAAGAGATGGTGGCTCTCCTAGGGTACACATACCACAGGGGCCAGAACCATTCTTTAAATATATTTTCATTTGACTACTGCTCCTACGGACTGTGGCCATATTACCATACCTAATTTCTAAAACTCCTTTTTAATGGGGGTCATTCTTCTTGCCTTAAAACTGGCTCATTTTATTGCCTCAGTGACTTTGTGGAGCCTGGTGGTTTTATGTTTTTTGATACTCACATATGGTTTGGTTTTTGCTAAATCAAAGGATATAGTCTGCGTGTGATGACTTTAGGAGCCTTTTAACACCTCACCTGCTCAGTGGTTGCTAAAATTATCTAAAAGTGTTTACTTGTTAATTATACAAATTACAGATAAGGTTTAAAAAACAGAGCACCTGGAAGTGGTCATGCATGGCAGTAAAATTACACTAAAGTATACATGTCTACTTGTTACGCATCTATCTATCTATCTATCTATCTATCTATCTATCATCTATCTATCTATCTATCTATCTATCATCTGTCATCTATGCTTTAAACAATCAGAATTGATGGGGATTTCAGGAATCCCAATATTTCTGAAATGGAGGGTGAGGAATAATCAAACCTCAAACCACAGAGTTTTTGTTATGGACAGCGTATTCTTGTCTTATTGAGTACATACCTTGTTTATTAAACAGTTCTGCTCCAGTTTGACCCTAGCCAAAGGAGTTTGTATGGCTCTGTTGAAAGACTGTGAAGGTATGTAATGGACATACCTGGGTGAAAGTCCTCTTTTCCTCTCCTCTGGCTGTGTGATTGAAGGCTGGGTATTCAGTATCTCTGAGGCCTGGTTTCTGTATCTGTCAAATGAAGGTCGTGTAAACCAATGATCTACTCTATGCCAAACACTGCAATGTGTATGCACTTGACATGTGTTTAATCTTTGAATTCACTCCCATTTCGTGGATGAGAAAATATTGAGGCTCATTGGTTTGTTACGGGGGTTAAAAGAGAGAAGGCTTGTAAAGTACAAGGCACAGGTGTCATGTCTCATAGGCACTCAATAAATATTTTTCCAATACTCCAATGTCCTTTGACAAGGGCAAAGCACACCAAGAGAACTAACTCCAACCGTAAATTAATGACTTTAACTTTTTAAGCACCTATTTATTTTCTGCCCGTAAAGATGTGTTCCTTCTTTTTTTCTCTGGTGAATTTCTATCCTATATTTCAAGTTCACATTTTATCAACTACACGAGTCTTTCATATTCACTCTATGAATGCTCATTTTTCCTTCCTTCAAATTTCTGTGTCTTAGAATTTATGCCCCTTGTTCTGGCTCCATATATCATTCTGTTGGAATTTTGGTCTATTTTGTAAACTTTAGAGCCCAAGAGTTGTAGTCTAATTTTATGATTTACTTCATGAAGATTCAAGGAAAAATATTTAATATTTTGGGTCCTAGTTTCCTTATTTGCAAAATGAGGAGGGCAGGACCTTAATTCAATATTCCTTGAGGGTTAGTCCTTAGGTCAAGTTAAATAACGTATGTGGAAGTGTCAACTGCATATATGTACACAGTGGGTTATTCACAAGTGCTAGTTCCTGCTGTCAATAGTCCTTCCTAAAACTAATATTTTTGAAGCACAGACCATTTCTTATTTTTTGTTTGTATCTAATACAAGCCCACTGTCATGAATTATTCTGGTCACATTGAAACATGCAGCTTCCTACATGTGCTGTTCTATGACAAGCATGTTGAAATTTTTTACCTAACTAACTCCTATTCATCCTTCAACACACAGCTCAGGCCTCACTTCCTCCTGGAAGCCTCCTGGGCTTATTTAGGCTGGGGTTTTTCCTCCATTCACAAGGCACTATGTGTTTCTATTATTTTCCTTATTATATTCCATTGCCCACATACATATTTTAGAGAGTAGGCCTTGAGACTCTTAAGTGATTTATTTGTCATTATATCCCTAGAAGAGAGTTCAGGTCATGAAATACAGTTGCTCAATGAACAGTTGCTGAATGAATAAGTGAAGGAATGGATGTAGCAAAAGACTCTGGGGAACTGAGTGCTGCAATTAAGCAAAACATCAGGTAAGATCCTGGAGATGTCTGATTGCCAATGAGTATGTTCAGCATTAAATTACCCCACATACTGTTGGCATTTTTGGTGATTCTTTTATTCCTCACCCTCTTCCATGTCTCAAACTCTTAAATATGGCAAAAGACAGGTCAACAGTTGGCTCATTGGTCAGCCATCATGATGACCTTTGGAAATTTAACCACAAGAGATAGTTTGCCTTTATTCAGCAACTGGTTTATGTAACTTACAATCACTGTAATGGTTCAAATATCACAGTATTTGTATGCATGCAGTAGCCGATCTATAAAACATATGGCATTTTGAAATATTGATCTTTTCAGTGCCAGCAAGTAAGAGATATTAGTGTAGCCTGGGATTCCATTTGTAACTGTGGGATTAGAGTCAGAGAAGTGGAAAATTGGAATAGACCAAACTTCATGTGAAGTGGAAAGTACATCTGGCAGTAGTGCTAAAGAAGGAGAATAACAAATAAGAGAAGCATTATTTTAAAAGCTGACTCAACCATCAAATGGGAAAGGAGCAGTCAGATGAATAGGCTTTAACTGCCTTGGCTTCCTATGCCTCCAGTTTGGCTTTGCGGACTTAAATCCAGCACAACAGCTGGAAAAGGCAAAGCTGAATTGATTTGGAAGCAGGAAAATGTGGCACCCCTATGGGCTCCTGTCACTTCTGTTAAGCAAATAAATGAAAAGAAGAATTCAGAAAGAAGTTCATTGTGGTCAGGAAAGGCTGAAAAAATTAATAGAACATTTTCCTAAAGCGTGGAATAATACCTTATAAATTTCTTTCAATGTCGTTTGCACTATGAAGTCCTTCTAGATCCTCACTTTCATGTCCACCTGCAGATCTGATCCTTTTCTTTTCTTTCAGTTCTTAACTCTTTGAAATATTTTGGGATAATGCCTTGTGTGCTTGACTTTGTGTATTTACCCATTTCCTTTGCTTTGGGTGGGAATCTGGTTTTATTTGATTTTGTGCATCCAGAGACAAAGTATCTGGCACACTAGCTGGCTATTTTGACTGAGTGGCTGCTAAATCAATCTAGAAGAAATTTAGGAATATTTAGTTCATATCCTACGCACTAGACCTCTAAATAATTTCTATCCAAGAATTTATTCCCCATTCTCAGATGGGGCCAATTTCTCCATTTTTCACTTTTTCTCTGCAATGAAAAAGTAACTGGGATTCCATTTGTTGAAAAGAGGAAACGAAATTGACTGAAAAGAAATATTTCATGTAACAGTGGTCAGCAGTTCTCATCTCCTTGGTTCTTCTTTCTTTAGTAGTCTCTTATAGGTTAGTGTCTACCATGTTCCTGAAATCAAGCCATAAAAGACCACCTAGAAGATTCTGAGAATTTTTATACTAAGTGGAAAAGACAGTAATAGTCAACAAATATTTTATTGACTCTTCTTTGTTTCTCAGTTTTCTTTCTTTTTTTTGCTCTAATTATATTTTAAGTTCTGGGGTACATGTGCAGAACGTGGTGGTTTGTTACATAGGTATACACGTGCCATGGTGGTTTGCTGCACCCATCAACCTGTCATCTACATTAGGTATTTCTCCTAATGCTATCCCTCCCCTAGCCCCCCACCCCCCTGACAAGCCCTGATGTGTGATGTTCCCCTCCCTGTGTCCATGTGTTCTCATTGTTCAACTCCCACTTATGTGTGAGAACATGTGGTGTTTGGTTCTGTTCTTGTGTTAGTTTGCTGAGAATGATGGTTTCCACGTTCCTCAATGTCTCTGCAAAGGACATGAAGTCATCCTTTTGTATGGCTGCATAGTATTCCATGGTGTATGTGTGCCACATTTTCTTTATTCAGTCTGTCATTGATGGGCATTTGGGTTGGTTCCAAGTCTTTGCTATTGTGAATAGTGCTGCAATGAACATACATGTGCATGTGTCTTTGTAGTAGAATGATTTATAATCCTTTGGGTATATACCCAGTAATGGAATTGCTGGGTCAAATGGTATTTCTAGTTCTAGATCCTTGAGGAATTGCCACACTGTCTTCCATAATGGTTAACTAATTTACACTCCCACCAACAGTGTAAAAGCGTTCTATTTCTCCACATCCTCACCAGCATCTGTTGTTTCCTGACTTTTTAATGATTGCCATTCTAACTGGCGTGAGATGAAGAAGACATTTATGCAGCCAACAAACCTATGAAAAAAAGCTCATCATCGATGGTCATTAGAGAAATGCAAATCAAAACCACAATGAGATCTCAGTTTTCTTTCAAGTAGAGAGGGCCATGCAGCCACTTCTGGCCAATGAACTGTCAGGAGGTGCTCCATCTCCCTTTCACACTAAAGTAGTAAAAAAGCCCAAGTGCAATTTGCTACCTTTTCTCTTGCCTGTTATAACAATAGAGGAGGCTGCATACCACAGACGGTGTTCTATAAGATAGAGGAGCCTCCCTTAACCCAATCTTTTAGTATTATGAAACCCCCACCAACCCACTGGGGACATACATACAGCATAAGGAGAATCAATTGTGTGTTTTAAGTAGCTGCATTTTGGGGACTGTTTGCTATGGCAGCATAACCTAGGCTATCCTGACTAATACCCATTACTTACACATTATCAGCAATTCATATATATATATATATTTCATTTATGGATGATAGGTTCACAGAGTTTGAGTGAAATGAAGCTTCTTGAAGCACGTTCTTATCCTTTGAAGGAGATGTCATGATACCAAGTGACTGTTCTTAGTATAGCATCATTAGTGCCACTGAAACTCATGAAACAATTGATTTGCTAGTGTGGTTTGGTTGAGCCAAATTATCATATTTTATGTATAACTCTGTACTTGATGCTATAATAGGGGAAAGGGAGAATAAAGGAGGATTATAAAATATATTTTCTGTTTTCCAAAAATTGATAAGTAAACTTTATTGTTTTGAGGAAGAGAAATATTATGCAGTTGAAGCAATGATGTAACAAAGCAGGAAAATATTGTATAATACTGAATAAATGTAATCTTCCATTGAGGCCCAAACACGTGGATAAAGGTAAATCTGCTTTGACATAATTGGACTCTACCATCTTGTCTTTGAATCACTGTGGTGATCTCTCAGACAATTGTTCTTGAAGAGTGCCTCGTTTTCGATGCTGAGCTCTAAATGAATGAGGTGGAGTAGGTTAAGAGGAAGTTTCTCAGAGGGACTGTAAGTTGAACTTGACCTTGAAGGATGTACAAGAAAGAGGTGGGAAAAGCATTCAATGCTTTGAGAAGAAAGATTAGAATGGAGGGGGTATGGGAATGACTACTTGGGTGGACCAGGGGATATGTTAGAAAACAATAGAGGAGGTCCAGGTTGTAGGGGCTGGGGGGACTTTTCTTATTCACTTAGAAAAATAATTCTTCATTAGCTAACCTTGTTTGTTGGTTAATCTTGTGCATTCTTCACTGTCAAGTTTGTAGTTTCTATGAGGTGATTAAAATGTGAGAACTTTTCAGTTTTCACCAAGGTATATGGTTCTAAATCATTTCACTATCCATACAAAGCCACAAACTCATTCCCTAATCTCTATCATCATCTATCCTTTATCCTTTTTATCATCACTCTTGCTCTTACTGTTAACACCAGATAGATACACAGGCTGAGGTACAGCAATGAAGTTTCTATGAGGATGGCTTGTATTCTAGATGGAACCTTAGGATGATGTTTACTTTCTCATGTCTTCGTTTATTCTTCTGTTTATTTGGCAAGTGTTAATTGAGTGTCTGCAATTGGGCTAGGTGTTAGGGATATAAAGAACAGTGTATTCTCTGCCCACAGAGTCTTAGAAGGGAAATAGGCTTACAATATTCTGCAGCACAGAGGGTTAATTATATAAGAGTTATGTTTGAGGAACAGTAGAGAGACTTAATTCCTGACAGCTGAAGTTCAAAACTGACCAGAATTTTATGTCAACTGATCTCTGGGTTTGAATTACTTGACTTGGCTACAACTAAAATATTTCCTTTTGGGTTAGTCTGATCCTGATGCGTAACAATGGACTCAATATCTTCCACTAGGGGTGCTTCCACCAGCCACATGCCACATGAAATAGGAGTTTGGGTACAATGACCCTCCAAAATAATTTTGGAGTATTATTGCCAGAAAGAGGAAGAAAAACATACAAATAGAATAAAAATCACAAATATCTACTACCTGTTGGTGAGCCTTTCTCAACAGAATTTTAGGAAGCCATGGAACATACCAGTTCAGAGGAGAGAAACCTAGAATATAAACTAAATCTTTCTTGAGGGAAAGAAGAGGTACATGGAAGTGTGATACTCTCTTTTTCCCTTCACATTCGATCTCTAGCCTTCTTTCCACCCTCCTCTGTTTGCCAAGAAACTGGCTTCCATGGGATGCCCTAAGCAAGATTCTTTGCTCTGTGACTTCCTCACTCAGAAGATGAGAAGGTGGAAGCAGAAAGAGGGAGAGTGTGTATTCACCTGGCTCCCTCCCTGCTGAGCTGAGATGGGCATAACCTTCTATCCTGTCCCATGATCCCAAGTGGGAGACAACATCTACAGCTGCTACTAAAATTATGGCAATCACCCTCACCAAGGTCTACAATGTTTTCTCTCTTCTTGCCCTTTCAAGGCTAAGGGATGGAGCTGCTGCCTGCTGTTGCTGGCCCTGGGGTGCTTCACTGTTCCTTGCTGGCTCCTCTTAACCTTATTCACATCGTTTAAGCACGTGAAATATTACTCTGCTTGAGTGGGGTGTGTTTCTTGCTGGGTCTGCTAATGCAGGGTGGGACCTAGGTGCTGGTGTTGGGTGAAATGCAACTGAGGACGTAGACCTCCACATTTAGAGACTACAGAAATGGATGGCAGGTCACCACTGGCCCAGGCAGGTGGAGTTGCAGCAGGCTTGCAGAGCATGTTGAATGGTAGCCCAGGAGCAGGCAACACACACACCCAAGCTAGGCAGGGAGGGGGCTGATGGCAAGTAATAGCAGGGCCACTGCACTGGATTGCTCCAGTGATCACTATTCACGTTGCTTTCTAAATAATACAAATATTTTCATTGGCATTCAGAAGCCAATTCTGGCCTTAGGGTGAGAGTTACCCAAGATAAAGTACTGATAAATGTAAAGATGATGGTAATAACACCACTTTTAAAAATTCAAATGAGAGTACTAGCAATTCTTCCAATGGCTGCATTTTCCTTTGATAGGTTTTCTTTAATTTTAATTTTAATTTTTATACTTTAAGTTCTAGGGTACATGTGCACAATGTGCAGATTTGTTACATAGGTATACATGTGCCATGTTGGTTTGCTGCACCCATTAACTCGTCATTTACATTAGGTATTTCTCCTAATGTTATCCCTCCCCCCGTCCCCTACTCCATGACAGGCCCCCATGTGTGATATTCCCCGCCCTGTGTCCAAGTGTTCTCATTGTTCAATTCTCACCTATGAGTGAGAACATGTGGTGTTTGGTTTTCTGTCCTTGTGATAGTTTGCTCAGAATGATAGGTTATTTAAACTCTCTAAGCCTCAGTTTCCTCATCTATGGACTGAGGATAATGATAGCCGCTCTTGAGTGAGAGCTAATCTTGTAGCAGCCCATGGGAAGTACAGGCTTGGCAAAAATGTGGTGATGGATTTCTGAGCACAGCACCTGAGGTCCATTGTGTGTGCCCTGTAGCTAGAAGTTTGTGATGTGCATTCTCTTCTGCATCATGTAGCAGAAGTCTGATTTTAAGGAATGGTATACAACCTCAGAGCCAAACTAACCTCCAGGTTGCCTTGGTGCTGAGTGACCTGAATTAGAAAACTCAGCCGGCTGGGCGCGGTGGCTCATGCCTGTAATCCCAGCATTTTGGGAGGCCAAGGTGGCAGATCACTTGAGGTAAGGAGTTTGAGACCAGTCTGGCTAAAATGGTGAAACCACATCTCTACTAAAAATACAAAAATTAGCCGGGTGTGGTGGCACATGCCTGTGTAATCCCAGCTACTCGAGAAGCTGAGGCAGGAGAATTTCTTGAACCCAGGAGGCAGAGGTTGCAGTGAGCCAAAACCGCACCACTGCACTCCAGCCTGTGTGACAGAGCAAGACTCTGTGTCAAAAACAAAACAAAACAAAACAAACAAATAAACAAAAACTACAACTATTTAAAATTCTTCCTGAAGAAAGGACAATGTCCTTCTCAGAGTATGGGGTTAGGTTAAGCAGCAAAAATTGATAGTAAAACATTGCAATGTGGTACAGGGCTTAGGCAGGTATTATATTATCATGTGGGTTATATGACAGAGAAAAACACACAAAAACCCCAAACAAAACAAGAAGCATCTGAGATAAGCAGCCTTATTTTTATAGGTATTTAGCAATGCTAAAGGGTATCAAAGACTTTCATTAGGAAAGCAGGCTTCTTAGCATTACTCCAATCCCACCCAAGCCATCAGAGTAATTAAACTCCATATGCCTCCATCACAGGTCCTGTATTTTTTTTTAAGTATTCAGAGTTAGCTTGTTTGTTACGTAATACAGTTGGATGACAATCTAAGTAACTGACCTAATAATTTATTTAAAAATTGAACCTGTGATGTTTTTGCATCTTTTCAAGATTTTTTTTTGTTTCAGAAAATCAATTTTAATGAGATTATATCAAGAGTTAGTTTTAATGAAGGGTTTATTGGAAAGGCAGTCCAGTAAGTACTTTTATCTAAGAGGCCTAAAGGGCAATAAAAACATACATTTGTATACCTATCAGTTACAGACTTATCTAAAATAAACAATAATAACATTGTAATGAGAATGAAAAATTCTATCACGCACAGCGATTAGAAGCAGCTCGGCATTAAAGTATAACTGATGACAATCCAATTAAGCCATGTATTTCCTCCTTGGTTTAGGGTTACTTGCTTGAAGCACTCCATGGCTCCAAACAGGCTTTTGTATTTGCTCTGACAACAATTGGTGTCATAGCTTACCATCATTTTCAATTTTATGGAAAATTACAATGCAGTATAACATGCTTTTAAGACATAATGATTATGTATTTGGAGAGTAGAGTGAATTATTAAATCACAAACTCTGGCATTCTCCCTAAAACTGATACGTCAGTGAGCCAGTTTGTCAAACTTTGATAAGAAGTTGGGATGGGTAGTGTTGAAATAAGATGAAAGGGGCAATAGGGTGGCCATATCCCAGTGATATCTGCCAAATATTTAATTAAATAGTATCTGAAGGTGTAGACCAGTTGGATCAGCTTTTTTTGTTTTTTTCTTTTCTTGCATTTACACACTGTAGAAAGATCAAATCAACCAAAATATATGTTTAATCTAATTATCTATGCTGTCATTCTGTGTGCAGAAATGGGGGCCAGGGAGGGGCCTGGGTGGGAGAAGGGGGTTCAGAAGGGGAAGCACTGGCTCTTGTACATAAAATACGATAAATCAAGCCCACTCTGTTTCAGTTTGACACATACTCTCTTCATACAGGCCCAGACCTGATCATGATAAAAATTATTTATGTTTGCTAAACTTCCAGAAGGAGCTAGTAGATTAAAGAGGAAATGAATTTTGGTATTTTCACTAATTGATTTTACTCATCTAATTTATTTGTATTTCTACAAGAAATTAGTGAGCTGCTGCTATATTTCAGGCACCATTTCAGGCACTGGCAACATAAAAATGAGTGAAGCATGGTTTCTATTCTCTTTAAGTTTACAGTTTACTGGGGGAAGGCACATATGTTTATAAATCAATACTGATAAGTGTCAAGAGTGCTATCACAGAGATTGGTAGAGGGTAGAGAAGTTGCCAATTTTTTAATTTTTTTTTTGAGACAGAGTCTTGCTCTGTCACCCAGGCTGGAATGCAGTGCTGCCATCTCGGCTCACTGCAACTTCCACCTCCTGGGTTCAAGCGATTCTCCTGCCTCATCTTCCTAAGTAGCTGGGATTACAGGCCCATGCCACCTTACCTGGCTAATTTTTGTATTTTTAGTAGAGATGGGATTTCACCATTTTGGCCTGGCTGGTCTTGAATTCCTGACCTCAGGTGATCCGTGCACCTCGGCCCCCCAAAGTGCTGGGATTACAGGCATGAGCCACCAAGCCTGGCCGAAGTTGCCAATTTTTGTCAGTGGTAGGAAGAGGATAGCAGTGAGGGCCTCTGGGTGAAGGTGACAGCTGTGCCAGAGTGCACAGGTGGAACTTTGGAAAAGCCTGGTGTATTCATCAGCCTAAAGTAGAGAAGCTCACGTTAGCTGGAGCTGTAATGAGAAAAGAGGCTGCAGATATTAGTGGGGACTGATTGTGGGTCTCTGATGTCTTATTAAGGAGCTTAGAATTCATTTTAGAAGTTCTGGGAGAAGGTTAAAGGCAGGATAGAAACATGGCCAGGATTCTATGTTAGACAGGCATCCATAGAGAGGAAAGATCTGATGGCATGTGTGCAGCTGGAGATGAGGAGACAATGGGGATGATATTGCAAGAGCAGCAATGGCTGAAATTTACTGAGCTCTTAATGTGTGCCAGGCATGTTATATGGATTTGTGGATTTAATCCTTACTATGACCTGAGTGGTAGTTACTATCAGTTAATGATAGTTTATTAAACAGAGAAAAATATCTGGGGAGGTTAAATAACTTGTCCAAGGTAGGAAAGTAATGGCTGAGCTGGACTTTCACTCAGTCACTTAATTACTCTTTGGTCCTTCCTTCCCAGGGAAGGTGTGTGGCCATCATGACCCATGACAAAGCGATGGCAGATGGAAGGAGACAGGGCACAGTAAAAAGACATTAAGAAGGTGAAATTTGAGATAGCTCACTTAACTGATGCAATAATTTCTTTGTAAATATGCCAGGTCTTCAAATCCAGTAGTCTAGAGCTCCAAATTAACTGATTCTGAGGCTACTATGTTTCATTCTATTAGCACTTTTAAATTTACTGTGGAATAATCCACGAGCTTTGTTTAAAGCAGGAGTACTCTTAGCTTTTGAGGCTAAAAGCCAAACCAAAATGAAGCCTTTTAAGGTGTCATGGGTCAAGGGCCCCTTGAGCATCCTCTGAACTCTCAGAGTGGCCTGTGTTTATTTCTTTCTTAGTATTTACCATGCTGCACTGGAACAATCTGGCTGCTGCTCTGTATCTTTCTCCAAATTGATGTTTTTGAGGGCAGGGATCATTTTCCAGGTCAGTTAAATTCAACCAACATGCATGGAGAGTCTGCTGTACCATAGGAGGTAGGCATTATTTTAGGCTCTGGCAATAAGTTTATACACAAGATATTGTTCTGGCCAGACAGTTGAAGGGGAAGCTGATGCATTTTCAGCCCATTTCATTGCAATGTGGTGGGAGTGCTCATGAGGGCACATGTGGGGTCTGTGGAGGTATAGATGAGATGTACTGTATCAAATTCTGTGTAGAGAAAAGGGATTTGGATAGATTTCCCAAAGGAGGTGATTATGGAGGTGAACATTTTAAAATGTAGATCTTATTATTATTCAAGTATAGTGAGGCCAACATATCAGAAGACAATTGTCATTGAAAAGATAGTTTGTTACTGAAGGCATCACTGCAGGATTATAACTGAGAAAATTATTACAGTGAAAGAGATCTGATCTAACCAACTCCAAGCTGTCCTTTTTCCCTCCTGGGTATAGACCAAACTAACATTAGGAGAAACCTAGTTTATAGTTTAACTTTGAAACAAAGACGATAACTGCCCTTTCCCAAAACAAACTCTCTTCCTCACTGGGGACTATAATGCCTCTGTAGGGCTAACAAATTAGCCTTAAGATGAGAAATTATAATTTAGGAGTCATGCAGCTGGAGGCTACAAGATTCTGACCCTCCCCATATTGCTCCTAGAGATAACATCACTATTGAAAAACCTAAGGTCAGTGTTTGAGATATTTTGCAGATCCTGCACTTGATGGATCAGCTGGTACCACCCAGATTGATAAACTGGCTCATTTGATTTTGCAGTCCCTTACCCAGGACCTGACTTAGCACAAGAGGGCAGCTTTAACTTCTTATGATTCCATCTCCGACCCAACCAATTAGCACTCCTGACTCACTGGGCCCCCACTCACCAAATTACCCTTAAAAACTCTGATCCCTGAAGGCTCAGAGAGACTGATTTGAGTAATAATAAAATTCCCGTCTCATGCACAGCTGGCTTTGTCTGAATAACTCTTTCTCTATTGCAATTCCCCTGTCTTGATAAATTGGCTCTATCTAGGCAGCAGCCAAGTTGAACCCATTGGAGAGTTATACTACTTACAGTTCCCAAGAAGAAGGGGCACACGATGCCATGCTTTGTGGGGCCACTCAGGGAAGAACCAGGGTTATGCAGGAGGCAGAGGGAGTGAGGGAGAAATGTGAGCAAGGGCCTTTATTATGGTTTATGTGGGAAGAAATGAGGGAAACAAGACTAACAGACTTAGGGTTGGCAAGTTTGAGTAATTTCAGCAGGCTCTAAGTTGTAGGGGCTGTCCCTAATGGTCTGGTATCTGGCTCTGGGGTGATGAGGGCAGGGGAATTGTCAATTTGAGTGACATTCCAATAGAGGAGGTGGTTGGGTGTGGACTCTGGATTGGTTGATTTGCATATGAAAGATCCACTTGCAGGTGAGTTGTTTATTATTTTTAGGAATTGCACAGCCCTGGGAGGAGGGTCCCCCTAAGATCAGCAAGGCCCCAGATGTCAAAGCATCAGAATGCAGAAAATACACGATTAATACGATAAATCTTGGGGCAATGAAAAAGAATTATCCAAGCAAAGCATTGGTCAAGGGCACACCAAGGAGACCAAAAGCTTGAGCAAGTAGGATACGCACAGTTCAGTGCAGTGTGCTACCTGTAGCTCAGGTTCAGTAGAAATGCAGAATTAGAAATGGCAAGAGGTAAGACTGCAGGAAAACACCAAAGGCAAAGTTGGGAGGAGTTTGGAAGGTCTCCTGGAGGATGTGCATTCTGGAGAGAGGATGAAAAGCAGCTACAAGAACACCAGACAGAAGGCTGTTATCGTCACTCTAAGTCAGAGAAGGTGAAGGCTTAGACGAAGAAGGAGATGGCCGCGTAAATGAAAAACAAGGTTGCATAGTAGAAGTGAAAGAGACAGGATTTGTTAGGGATTGACTATTGGGGCAGCATTAATTTTGTGTTGTGTCTCCATGTCTTGCCGTGTGGGAGATATTCAGATCATATTCGTTAAATAAATTCATTTCTGGTCAAAAGATGCTTTAAATTTTGTTTTTTGCAAGTTCTTACATAAACCACCTTATTCACTGGAAATCTCAAATTTGAGATTTATAGTGGAGCTTTCATATTTCCTCAAATGGCTAAAAAACCAAGTTAGTTACTTCCAAGATAGAGTGGGGATACAGACATTGGGTAAATGCCCCCATTCCAAAAGGGAGACATTGGCCAAACAAAGGGGCTACAGGCCCCATGCAAGCCTGAAACCCAGCAAAGCAGTCATTACATCTTAAAGCTCCAAAATAATCTCCTTTGACTTCATGTCTCATACCCAGGGCACACTGATGGAAGGGGTGAGCTCCCACAGCCTTGGGCAGCTCCACCCCTGTGGCTCTGCAGGATACAGCCCCATGGCTGCTTTCACAGGCTGGCATTGAGTGCCTGTGGCTTTTCCAGGTACGTGATGCAAGCTGTCTGTGGACCTACCATCCTGGGATCTGGACAATGGTGGCCCTCTTCTGACAGTTCCACTAGGCAGCTATTGTCTTGGCTATTAACACTCGGCTCCTTGTTATTTGTGCAAATTTCTGCAGCCGGATTGAATTTTTCCCCAGAAAATGGGTTTTTGTTTTCTACCACGTGATCAGACTGCAAATTTTCCAAACTTTTATGTTCTGCTTCCCTTTTAAACCTAAGTTCCCATTTCAGATCATCTCTTTGTGAATGCATATGACTGTACACTTTCAGAAAAAGTGTGGTCACCTCTTGTATGCTTTGCTGCTTAGAAATTTCTTCTGCCAGATACCCTAAATCATCTCTCTCAACATGTGGGGATTACAATTCAACCTGAGATTTGGGTGAGGAAACAGAGCCCAACTATATCAACACAGATAGCCTTAAAGAAAGAACTTCTCTTACAGAATCAGAGAGAAGATTTCCTATGGCAGATCATACTGGTTCTGACAGCAAGAAGATTTTGGATGCTTCAGTTAATTAGTTTTATGGCAAATATATCATAAACATGTCCCTTATTAGTCTTAAGGGGCTTTATTTTCACAAGGTTTTGAGAAACTGGACATACCATTGCAGTGTCTAACGACTACCTTGGATCCAGGTAAAAAAAATCTGAAACCTTGCTCATGGCTGTAAGCCAATAACACCCACACTTGTCTGTCATGGTATTGCAGTCATAAACTTTGTGATTGCTGTGATTGACTGGGGTGATGCAATCAGCTGGAAAGACATTTCCTGTTTGGTGTCTAACTTTCTGACTGCATGCTTATGAAGAGACAAAGACATCATATTTTTTGCTCAGAAAAGTGTGTTTTTAGCTTAGTTTTCAGTGAAATTTCTTCTCTCATTATGGTAAAGATTTTACTATATAGGAAAGTAATGTGTATCATGTAAAGGACTTTGCAGAGATAATTTTATTTAATTCTCGCAGCAGCTCTGGAAGGAAAGTATTGTATAACAAACTGGATGAAAGATAACAACAGTGCTTGGGGGTGATATGGGGCTTGTTCATGGTACCATGATTTTGTTGGTGCAAATTTTTTGTTTTGGCTGGATATAGGGTATTATGATTATTTAGCATGGCAAAAATTTAAATCAGATTTATTGAGCTCATATTCTTTCCACTCTTATTAAGTTTATTATTATTATCATCATATTATTATTATTATCATCACAAAAGGGATGCTTACTGACTATAGAAAATTTTTTAAAATAACAAGAAACCTTACCCATAACCCATTATAAACATGTTTGTCTTTTTTAGTTTTTTTTCTTTTCTAACCATTTTTCCCCTATTTTTGCATGGCTATGAATACACTGCAAAGGTAATTTTGTATCATTTGGAAAGATTTAAATTATTTTAGGAGAAAAGAGTTTAAAAGATATGAGAGGGGCTGAAAGTAGGAGGGAACGTAAGCAGGAAGAAGTGGAAAGAGATATGAAGAACTAAGAAACTTTGCAAACTCAAGAATATGTCAATCATAACTTATTTTGAAATATTTCTGTAGTCTAAAAGGAATAGCATCCTGTCATTGCCAATACCTATACTTAGAAGACACCTGTACCATTATGTAGCCAAACTTCCAGAGACTCAGGAAATTCTTATTAGAGTAATTTGCCTTCCTTACATATCAGTCAAATATTGCAATTACTAGGTCATTATGACAGTTGCATTCCTTTCTCTAGACCAGGAAATAGTCGCTGAAGAGCAAAGTTGCATGGACAGTATTTGTGAGACTGTAATTAATTATGAGACCTTCTTAACTCATCCAATAATGGAACTAGATCAAACTAGAGAAAAAATGAATGTGATTACCTGTATTAAGAAATTCCTTCCAAGCAATATTTTAAAATGGTAATCAGAATTCAGCTACTCCCTGGTGACTGATAAATTTAAACTAAAGTTAAATAATTATTTTCAAAAAGTTAATTATTATAATGTAATGCTTGGCTTCATTTCCTTAATAAATGAATCACCTTATTTCAGCCTTGCAAATTAGCATGTAATATGGAATCCAGCCAAGGGAGGCATTAGGACTTGAGGAAACAGAGGACGTTCTACATGCCCTTTCTGCCATCTAACTGCCTTTAGGGATAACATTTTACTGGTTCGAGTTTCTTGTTTTAGCTGGATATAGAGTATTACGATTATTTAGCAATGGATGTCAATGCCAAGAATCAATCTGTACTGTACATGACTAGAATTAGCAGAAATGTGATTTGAACTATGTAGGACTAATCATGAAAGTATGCAATTAGGTGGATTGTTTTGTCTGAAGATAGAAGTGCAACCTTTTGTGTTGGCTGTGCTATCGGACCAACAGGTTCATATACCCACTGTGCAGTAACAGACCAATACACTTTCTTTGTGGCAGGGTTTGCAGCTGAGAAAGAGTTTAATAACCAAAGGGCACCGACAAGGAAATGGAAGGAGACCCTCAAATCCATCTTCCCAAGGAGTTCTGAGCTGGGGCTTTGAAGGGGATTATGGAGGGTGAGGGCTTGAAAGATTGGGCCTCTTGATAGATCAGGATAAGAGGGATAAAATCATCAGGATGTGGGCCGGGCGCGGTGGCTCACGCGTGTAATCCCAGCACTTTGGGAGGCTGAGGCGGGCAGATCATGAGGTCAGGAGATCGAGACCATCCTGACTAACACGGTGAAACCCCGTCTCTACTAAAAAATACAAAAAATTAGCTGGGCGTGGTAGGGGCGCCTGTAGTCCCAGCTCCTCGGGAGGCTGAGGCAGGAGAATGGCGTGAACCTGGGAGGCAGAGCTTGCAGTGAGCCGAGATCGTGCCACTGCACTCCAGCCTGGGCAACAGAGCGAGACTCCGTCTCAAAAATAAAAATAAAATAATAAAAAAAAATCATCAGGATGTGGAAACTGCATTCTTTAGTGAGTCAGCTTCTTTGGGTCCTTCAGACCAGCTGACGTCAGTAGTTTCACCGTTAAGCAGGACTTGAAAGAAATGAAAAGCTTAACATTTCATATTGTTCAAGTTGTTATCTGTAGAGCAATTAAGGGGAACTATAATCCTGTAACAGGGTCTATGCGATTCTGAGGCAAGAGGCATGAAACAACTCTGAGGAAGCAGGTCGGAGAGCAGCTGACCTGGTGATCAAGGTGAGTGTGCTGCAAACTCGGTTTTTTTTCCTTTCTCCCTATCCCTTCTTCTCTGATTAACTTTGTAAAGTTTATACAAATGGTTTCAGCAGTGAGGTCAGTAATACATGCTCAACAGAGAAGGCAGAAGTTACATTTGATGGATGAAGCCAAGTAGGAGACCAAAAAGCCACATGTGGAGGAAAACATTCAGATTCCCAGACTGAGAGTGAAGGTGGTTCAGGATCCAAATATAGGTAATATATTGCGAACAGGTACTGATATGAGATGGCCGTAACTTTGACAAATGTCCCCTTGTTACCATAGATGGCTTTTTTGCTCCAAGTAGGTGATTATCACCCCTGCAAGGTCATCTTGAGGAAATCACGATGTTGGAATAATGGAACCATCTCTGACCAATGAGCTAAATTTAGGTAATTGGATAAAGCCCAGATTCCCAGGTTAAGCTGTCCCAAAACAGACGCATTAAAAATATTTTAAATAATAAACATGACAGAAACATGGCAAAAATAAAGTTATAATCACTGGGGTTAAGGAAGTTATTTCAAATAACTTTAAGCAGGCCATTGGTTAGGTTACTAATTTTCCAGCCACTGGAAGTAACAAGTTACCTGTCAATCCTCCTCCCCTTATCCATAGGCTCTGGGTTTTTTTAAAACTCAGATTTCATCTTTTTTCCCAGGTATCACAGCAAAAAGTCTGAAACTCTCGTTTTCCTCCACAATAGTTTTCATTCACTTCTTTTAGATGACACGTGTTTGTGACTTATTTTCTATCCTTATTTATATCTCCTGTTCATATCTTATTTTCTTAATTGATAATAATCTTTCTGAGGGCAGAAATGAAGACTTGGAACTTTGCATTTTTTCCAGTCATGCTGACACAGTACCCCGCAGACAGCACTTACTAAAGGGATGAGGGACAATACGGTGAGAACCAGCCATTACCTTCAAATGCCTTTTCTGGTGGCTCCTCATTCCCACCTTCCCATTTTCAGTAAAACTTACTTGGAAAACTTTTTTCCTCTGTTCTTTTTTTTTTTTTTTTTTTTTTTGAGATGGAGTCTCGCCCTGTCGCCCAGGTTGGAGTGCAGTGGCACGATCTCGGCTCACTGCAACCTCTGCCTCCTGGGTTCATGCCGTTCTCCTGCCTCAGTCTCCCGAGTAGCTGGGACTACAGGCGCCTGCCACCACGCCCGGCTAATTTTTTGTATATTTAGTAGACACAGGGTTTCACTGTGTTAGCCAGGATGGTCTCGATCTCCTGACCTCGTGATCCGCCTGCTTCGGCCTCCCAAAGTGCTGGGATTACAGGCGTGAGCCACCGTGCCCGGCCTTCTCTGTTCTTTTATGAAGAAAAGGGAGCTAATCTCTGTGTTATAGAGGCCTGGGACCTGGGGTTAATCCTCTGACCTACAACATTTTCTAATTCGTTAGTTGATGAGATAAAATAATTTATGTGAAAACACTATATAAACTATTAAGTCCCTCTAGAAGTTGTCACTGATATTTGATTAAACTTCTGAGAGCTGATGATTACTTTGTAGAATTTTTTAAAAATTTGCTTATCACTTGTACAATATTATTTTACATTCACTTTAATAAATTTTGATCTTTATACATAAAGACATTTTATGTTCATAGTACTAGAATGAAACACTGTTAGAGTTAGAATTGACTGTTTTAGTTTGCCAAGGCTGCCATAACAAATACTACAGACTGGGTGGCTTAAACACAGACATTTATTCTCTCACAGTTCTGGAGGCTGGTGTCCAAGATTAAGGCGTTGGCAGAGTTGGTTTCTTCTGAGGCCTGTCTCCTTGGCTTGCAGATGACCACCTTCTCCTGTGTCCTCATATTACCTTTCCTCTGTGCTTACGTGCCTCTGGTGTCTCTTTTTCTTCTCACAAGGATACCAGGCCGGGTGCGGTGGCTCACGCTTGTCATCCCAGCACTTTGGGAGGCCCAGGCTGGTGGATCACAAAGTCAGGAGTTCAAGACCAGCCTGGCCAACATGGTGAAACCCCGTCTCTACTAAAAATAAAAAAAATTAGCTGGGCCTGGTGGTGGGTGCTTGTAATCCCAGCTACTCAGGAGGCTGAGGCAGAGAATTGCTTGAATCCTGGAGGTGGAGGTTGCAGTGAGCCGAGATCGTGCCACTGCACTCCAGCCTGGGCGACAGAGCGAGACTCCATCTCAAAAAAAAAAAATAAATAAATAAATAAAAAGGATACCAGTCCTACTGGATTAGGACTCTACCACTGTGACCTCATTTTACCTTAATGGACTCTCTAAAGACCCTATTTCCAATTACAGGCACATTGAAGATTAGGGCTTCAACATATGAATTTGGTGGTGGAGTTGGGCACAATTCAGTCCACAACAGTGACTTCACTTTATGGTTTAATCCAGCCTCCACATTTTACAAATGAAGGAACTGAGGTTGGGAAATAGAATGTGCCCAGCAAATCAGTGACAGAGGCAGGTCTGTGGCCCTGGCCCTAATCATGCCGTCCTTCTGCCTTTCTTTTTCATGTTTTCTTTGTTTTCTTCAGCTTCCATTCACTTAGTACATAAGCAAAATATGACATGCAATGCATTTATTTCCATCCTCATACCCTCAAGAATTTGTTAAACATAGAGAAGTCAGTTAAACATTACCTGAAATATACTAGCAAATATAAAACTACTGGGAATATTAGTGGTGTTAACAATATTTTTCTTATCTTCTGATTTCCAAAGTATACTGTGCATGTACGTGTATATGTGCGGTGTGTGTATATGCGTGGCATGTGTGTGTTTGCATGCACATGTGTGTGGTGTTATGCACATGCATGTGTGTGTGGTATGCGTATGTGCATGTAATCATGAGGGTTGTGTGTGCTGTGCATACATGTGTGGGGAATATGTGTGGGTGTACGTGTCTGTGTGCATGTGTGTGGCATATGTGCATGTGTGTGGTATGTAAGTATGTGAATGTGTGTATTTCCACAGTATGTGTGTGTTTATATGTGCACGTGTGTGTGTGTGTGTGTGTGTGTGTGTGTGGTGTATTTGCGTTTATGTTACAAAATATGAGATTTGGACATGACCACATGTTTTGTCAGCCTTTTTTTACATGTAGAAAATATGAACAAGTAGAACGCAGGACAAAAGAAAGACAGACATAGGAATAGAGTATGTCCATGCAATGAAAAAGTAGTAATCTAAACAGTAGATCTTTTAGAACTTTTTTTCTAGTTAAGACTACTTAATTTTTGTCTCAGCAAAGTCATGAACATTGAATTTGGGGTGGCGTGAATACTTTTGTGACTGGCTGGCTACACACTGCCTGTCTACACACTCATTCACAGACAGGTCGTGCTCCTTTTACAGCCAAACTTTTCTACCACCATACCTACTCCTGCCACATGGAGGGTTACCTGGGGAACTTGATGTCCTTTTAACTCAGATAGGGGATTAACATTCCTCTCTTGATGTATGAGATGAAAATATAGAATAGCCAGGTCAATACTGTGAATAATGAAGCATAACTTTTTTTTTTTTTTTTTTTTTTTTAGGACAGAATCTTGCTCTGTCACCCAGGCTGGAGTGCAGTGGCGTGACCTCGGCTCACTGCAACCTCTGCCTCTGGGGTTCAAGCGATTCTTCTGCCTCAGCCTCCCGAGTAGCTGGGACCACAGGGGCCCGCCACCACGCCCGGCTAATTTTTGTATTTTTAGTAGAGACGTGGTTTCACCATATTGGCCAGGCTGGTCTCGAACTCCTGACATTGTAATCTGCCTGCCTTGGCCACCCAAAGTGCTGGGATTATAGGCGTGAGCCACCGAGCCCGGCCAGTTTTTGATATTTAAGTTGTCATTCATTGATGTTGAACATCCTTGTAGAGGATATGCAGTATTTCATTGGAGAATAACAGACATGAATTGTCTTCAAACCTTTTTGTATCTTCTTACTTATAAGTAAATTTTTTGAAAACTGCATCACTAAACTACATAAAAATACTTTTTTTCCTTCCCTTTGTTATTGAATAAGTGGAATAAGGTGTCAACATACTTGAAATGTTGAAATGTTTAGTAGACCTAGTTGATATGGAATTAGATCTTAATATTTGTGTTTACTGTTAAGCCAGAGATTAGCAAACCAACAATGACTAATCCTCAGCATTAATAAAGGAAAGAAAAGGTAGAGAAGAGATGCTTCAAATAATTAGCTTCTTTTTTTTTCTGCATCCAGGTATTGAACTTTGTTCTCTGAGTTTCTTTCTCCACAGGAGGGGCAGCCTGCTAAAAGCAGGGGCAGCAAGACGACATCTCCAGCTGAGAGACACATGTACCACTTAGAGATGAGAAAGATGCACCAGGGTGAGGATTTCCACTGTGAGCATGTTCTTCCATGTCTAAATATATCCCACATCTGCACAGGCCCTGGAGACTCTCTCCACATGTCTTAGCTACCATCTTTATAACACTTCCTATTGAGCATATTATGAGAGATTCTTGATATGAAGTTGAAAAATCATGTTGATGATACTTTACAAAAAATAAATGAGGTTGGTTCGTCCCATAAAACTAATATAATTTTTCCCCTGGTACAAAAGCAGTAAGTCTGAAGGGGTAGTTTGGAGGATCATGAGATTCAAGTTACGAAATATTTACCAAATTTGGTTGGCTCCAGGGAAGCATCACAGTTTTTAAACTGACAATAATGCACCAAGAGGTGCGCAACAGAAAGCCTGATCTGGCGGTGGAGTTTAGGATGGGTTGCAAGTTGGGCTAACCCAGGAGAGGACAGTAAGCCCTGGTAGGGGCTATGAAAAGCCCAGGTGACCCAGGATTTGCACAGTCCTTCTTGATACATGTTTTGGGAAACAGTTTCAGTAGAGTAGTGTATAATAGGGAGAATATGAGATGAAAAAGTTCTGAAGAATGAGTGTGATGTTGGAGGTGTTATGTGCTATAAGATGCTCTTGGAGATAGACTGGAAAAGTTTGGAATTTAAGATAGGTGGAGAGGAGAGAACCAGACTTAGCAATACCACAATGAGTTGGGAAAGGATGAGAAGGTGGAAGATGGTGTAGAATGAGGAAAATGGTGGGAAGGTTAATTTTATGTGACAACTTGACTGGGCTAAGGGATACCTAGGTAGCTGGTTAAACATTATTTCTGCGTATGTGTCTCTGAGACTGTTTCTGGAAGAGATTAGCATTTGAATCAGTAAATTTAGTAAAGAATATCTACCCTTGGGCCGGGCGCGGTGGCTCACGCCTGTAATCTCAGCCCTTTGGGAGGCCGAGGCAGGCGGATCACGAGGTCAGGAGATCGAGACCATCCTGGCTAACACGGTGAAACCCCGTCTCTACTAAAAATACAAAAAATTAGCCGGGCGTGGTCACCGGCGCCTGTAGTCCCAGCTACTCAGGAGGCTGAGGCAGGAGAATGGCGTGAACCCGGGAGGTGGAGCTTGCAGTGAGCCAAGATCACGCCACTGCACTCCAGTCTGGGGAACAGAGCAAGACCCCGTCTCAAAAAAAAAAATAATAAAAAAAAAAAGGAAAAGAAAAAAAGAAAAGAATATCTATCCTTACCAGCAAGGGTAGGCATCATCTAATTCATTGAGGCCCAGATAGAAAACAAAAAGGTGGAGGAAGTCCAAATTCTCTCTCTCTTCTTGAGCTGGGACATCCATTTTCTACCCTCGGACGTTGGAGCTCCTTGTTCTTGGGCCCTCAGACTCTGGGACCTACACCAGCAGGCCCTCCCCTTCACTCTTCTGAGGCTTTTGGCCTCAGAATGGGAGTTAAATCACTGGCTCCCCAGGCTCTCAGGCTTTTGGACTTGGACCAGACTATACCATGGGCTTTCCTGGTTCTCCAGCTTGCAGAGAGCATATTTTAGGACTTAAACTTTCAGAGTTGTCCTAAGGATTAAATAAGATAATTTACGGAAAAAAGCGCTTGGTAAACTTTAGCTTGAAAAGTGATTATTATTTGACTTAAAGATGCTTTCTGGAGCATTCACAAGCAGAAAAACAGCCTGTGACCAGCCGTCAACACAGCTCTTCACCACAGCATTTCTTTTCCCAAAGAGAGTGAAAATCATTAGCCCATCACTGAATGTCAGATCATCAAGGAACCTAACAACTTTGTTTATCTCTGAGGCGGCATTCAGGAATGAGTTTTCAACACTTGTTGTCTGTGGGTTGGAAGCTTTACAAATTCACATCCCAAACAAGAACCTGGGCATACTTGACAAGCATCTGTGAGACCAGCAGGAGGGGACTGGGCATTTCTGATCTGAGAAGAAACGCATTGGGGTGCATCATACTGTGGCAAACCTAATCCAATATTAATTAGGATTTAATGATTTTACAAGAACATCCAACAATTTTAGCTGCCTATAATCATGGCATGCTTATTCTATAGCAACGTTTTTCTCCGGAATTTGCTTTTCTGCATCTTCCTTCTCCAAATCCTTTCCTCTTCTCTACATCTTACATACCCTGCACTCCAAACTCACCCTCAGCATCAGATCTAGGATTCTTTAAAATACTTAAAGTAGGTACTTGATTTTCTTAAGCAACTTATGCAAATTCAGAGTTGAGACGTGACTCCTGGCATTTCCAAATTCTTGGGCATTAACCACAAGGCTATCCCTTGTAGAAAACATGTTTCATTTATTCACAAACAGTGGGCTTGAACCATATGTAGTTCTGGCTTACTTCAGGTTGTTTTTAGATGTGCAATATATTGTTTGCTCTCCCTGTCCTCAGTTTTTTTATTTGAAAAATGAGGTCTAATCCCACTTTCATCTGGTTCATTCATTTTAGAAAAGTTTTGTTTATTAATTGAGAGATTGGTTGATATACTCAACAAGTGTTTATACATGCAACAAACACCTGTGCTAGGTAGATATGGAGAAGCATGATAATATTCACCTGGAACTCAAAAAGCTTGCAGCCCAGGTGGTAAAGGAGCTTTTAAAAAGGAAGGGCAGGCCAGGCGTGGTGGCTCACACCTGTAATCCCAGCACTTTGGGAGACCGAGGCAGGCGGATCCCTTGAGGTCAGGAGTTTGAGACCAGCCTGGCCAACATGGTGAAACCCCATGTCTACTAAAAATACAAAAATTAGCTGGGCATGGTGGCACACACCTGTAATCCCAGCTGCTCCAGAGGCTGAGGCAGGATAATCGCTTGAACCCAGGAGGCAGAGCCTGCAGTGAGCCGAGATTGTGCCACTGTACTCCAGCCTGGGTGACAGAGCAAGACTCTGTCTCAAAAAAAAAAAAAAAAAAAAAGAACGGCATGGGTGTGGCCATGGCCTGAATGTTTATATGTTGAAATCCTCACCCTAAGGAGATGATGTTAGGAGGTGGGACCTTTGAGAGGTGATTAGATCATGGCTGTGGAACCCACATATGGGACTAGTGGTCTTATAAAAGAAACACCAGAGAGCTCCCGTGCCCCTTCCGCCATGTGAAGACACAGTGAGAAGGTGCTGTGAGGAAGTGTCATCAGACACTGAAACTACCGTCACCTTGGTCTTGGTCTTTCCAGCCCCCACAACTGTAAGAAGTAAATTTCTGTTGTTTATAAATCACCTAGTCTATGGTATTTTCTTATTGTAGCCTGAATGGACAAACACAAGTAGTGACTCTTGGTCCAGCACAGGGAGAGTTATCCTTAGGCTGAGCCTTGAGGACAAATGAGAGTTCCTGTTTCAGAAGGGCCTAAGTGGGACACAGGGCAGGCAGAGTTCCCAGCTTGTGCAAAGTCCTGAAGGTAAGAATTTTCTTGGTATATTGAAGCTAGACATCAGAACAGGTTTAGGGGGGTCAGAAGTGGGAACCCCATTGAGAAGAACCTTCAGCTCTATAATGAGGAGCTTCTATCACATAGGCAATAGTAAGCTAGCGATGGATTTTAAGCAGGGTGATGACACAGATTTGGATTTTGAGATGTTCATTTTAGCAGGAATGGGGAGAATACATGTGAGTGTTCATTAACACACTGATTAAGTCATTCGAAGGTTCACAAAATTAGTGTGGTTGGTTTTAGCATGAGGATTTGAAGGTAAGCTGAGAGCTCCCTTTCCCAAAATATCTCCTTTAGAGCTACCTGAATTTCTTTATTGAAATTAAGACGAAAGCACATTTTTGTGAATGAAGGTGCTTTCTTTTAGCAAAGCAATACCTGGGATGGGTTCCAAGGTTATCATTCATATCTTAGCATATATGTGTCTCCCAAGTTTAGATGGAATTACAGCCTGGTAAGATTTTGAGTTTTAGCAGTTGATGTGATGGATGGGATCATATTGGAGCCTGAATCACTGCAAGAAGGGCATGTTGAATTTTTCTTTTTTTTTTTTTGAGACAGAGTCTCGCTCTGTTGCCCAGACTAGAGTTCAGTGGCGTGATCTCTGCTCACTGCAACCTCTGCCTCACAGGTTCAAGCGATTCTCCTGCCTCAGCCTCCCGAGTAGCTGTGATTATAGGCACATGCCACCACATCCAGCTAATTTTTGTTGTTTTAGTAGAGGCAGGGTTTCATCATGTTTGCCAGGCTGGTCTTGAACTCCTGACCTTAGGTGATCTGCCCACCTCGGCCTCCCAAAGTGCTGGGATTACAGGCATGAGTCACTGTGCCCGGCCCATGTTGAAATTTGAACAGCAGAGGACAGAATGAAAGTGTGCGTGCCTGAAGCACATGGCATATGCCCTAGAAGGTAGAAAAGGGTCAAGGGTCCAACCAGATCTAGCCCAATGGTTGTTGCTTGGTTGAAATGACCTTTTAGGATGGGTTTCATTACCAATCGGAATTTCATTACCATTCTCAGAAGGTGCCTCACGGCTGAGAGCTCAGGACAGGGAATAACAGACTGGCGAGATGAGTAGGCAGTGCTGTATTTTTAGAGTCTTGAACATTCACTTTCAGCAGCTACAAATCATGGCCTTCCTGGATCTGCCTCCAAATTCCAGCCATATCCTGAGTGAAGGTTGGCAAATGGTCATTCACCTCTTTGACAATAGAGGCATCTCTTTTAGGCCCTGTAAGGATTATATAATCCAGGTTTACCTATAAAGTTAAAAAAAAAATTAACAGCATAGAAAAAGTGCCGTGGATGCTTTCCAAAAGCTGGTCTTGTACCCATGATATAAGCAGGTGTCTCACAGCATGTAGCCTTTCCCAACAGACAGTCAACCCACACTTTGTACATTCAAACTCAAAAAATTAATATGGAATTATTTTAGTGAAGTTGACATATGATGTGCCTTAATCAAATAATCAAATGAGTTGTAGTGGGTGTTCTTAGCAATCAATAAATTCATTTAATTGATCAATGAATTTACACATATGTTTAATGAATATTTATTAAACATTTTCTTTGTGACACAAATGTGGAAATATATTAATACCCCTTCTGTTTTATTCTAAAAACCATCTTACATTAATTAGCTTCATTCTATTTTTTGATGATAAATTATCACTGCCTATTGTGTAAAAAAAATGAGATCTTTCAATCAAGGGCTGTACGTCTAGTGGGGCATGCACAGGACAACTCTAAAAAATAGGCGATCCCAGGGAGTGACCTGGCCAAGGCCCAGATGGAGTGACGGGGGAGTACTGGTGAGGGATTCCTCCTTCTAAGGGAGAGAATCAGGTCAGGGTGTGTAGAGTGGAATCTTGAAGAATGTGGGGATTCTGGTGAGTAGCAAAATGGAAGAAGATTCCTGGTGGGAGGTCAGCAGGAGCAAAACCCCCGAGATTGGAAAACAGGTATAGGATGAGGGGAACAGTGAGTTGTTCAATATTCTTGCCATAGCACGTAGAGAGAAGATTCATAGGAAATAAGATTGAAAACATCCAATGCAGAAAAGCCACGGAGCCCTGGAATACCAGGCTGAAGTGCTTGTATTTCACAGATTTTTCGGAATGAATATGATTTGGCTAAAGCTATGTATGCTGCATGAAACTTAATCTGGTAGGAGGCAGCTGAAGCCCTGAGACTAGAAGAGATGGTTGCCAGAGAGCTGAGTGAGAGAAAAGACTCTTGCAGGTGGCTTCATTTCTCTGGGTGAAGCAGGACATCCCCACCCCATCACTAGTGACAATGGGCAGGACACTTCTTTGTCGTGCAGGGCTGTTCTGTGTACTGCAGAATGTTTAGCAGCATCCTGGCCTTTGTCCGTGGAGGTGAGTAGCACCCCTCCCATTCGTGAAAACCCAGATAATCTCCAGACATTGCCAAATGTTTCCTTGGGCAAAATTTTCCCCACTGAGAACCGCTGGAGTAAAGGAGCCAGAAGTAGTCCGAGAGTCCATTAGTAAAAATAATGGAGCTAAGGTTCAAACCTGGCCCTTCTAAATGTAAAAGGCCTTTTGCACCAATCAGCACTGTCCCTTATGCTTCTACTTCATCCCCTGGTGTGCACTCACAAACACAAACACACACATACACTAACACACACAGACACATACAAACATATATATTCTAGTACACACATACACATCTACACACAAGTACACACACATACATACACAGATATAACCTAGGTAAAGTGAAGCCTACAGGGTGCTAGGAAGCTGGGTGGGAGCGAGTGTGGGCCTGGAGTGCAGGGTAGGGGAGGTGGAGGTGCAAAGCTGGATGAGGCTCTGTTCTGGGGACTCTCACTGTTCTCCTAACCAGTCCCAACTCCTGATAAAGGAGGACAGAGAACATGGTGGCTTTGTGTCAGTGACGATGGGACTGGCAAGGGGGGGACAGCAGTCCAGCCTGGCAGTGTCAGGATGACCAGGGATGATGGGATCTGCTTCCTTGCCATCTGCCCTTTGGCATGGCCTTTTGCTATGGACTCAGGGGTGCCAGAGAGGAATGGTGGAAACAATCAAGAGTTTTGGGAGTGTTCAGTCTCATCTCACTGCTAGATCTCTGGCTCCAGCAAGCAGCTTCAGCTCAAGTTCTCAGGGCCTCTGTTTCCTAATCTGTTAAATACAGTTGTTTTCATTACACGAGAGGATATTATAAAGAACCTGATGGCATCAATCACAGTGTAGAAATGTGACAAATAGTGGCTATTTTATTATTATTGCTATAAGCTTAAATGATATAATCACATTATATCTAAGATGATTTTGATACAAATGCTGTGAACTCATCGAGACGGTTGACTCAGAACCTTTATGAGTTAATGCATTTACACATCTATCAATTAGTCTTTATTAGATATTGCTTGTTTGCATTTCTTAACTTAACTTGATTCCTTTGGGTGTTAAATTTCTACTCCTAAGAAAACCTGTATTTCATATTACAAGTTAACAGTATATAATCTATTTCCAAATTTCTGGGTTATTAGATAAAGCCTCACATCTGACTGACCAAATTAAATATACCCCTGTGGTTTTCCCTGGAGTTATAATGTCTCATGTTAGCAGTCTTTTAAATATGTTTAAATCTGACTCTGTGCCTATAAAATTGACTTCAATTAAATCTTTTATGAGCTTTCATAACTCTAACTCACATCTTATAAATATTTGTAAGTATCTGATTATATGAAGTTTTGTGTAATATATGTGCACGCGTGCACACGCACACACACACACACACATTCTCATACAAGTGTGCACATTCATCATTGTCCTTGCTCCATCTACTTATCCTGCAGTGTTATCCACTAATCAAATAGATTTGTTTGGCATCAATTGTCCAACTCAGTCCACTATTTCTGTTCTCCTTTCTGTTGTTCAAGTAGGAAAAAAAGTCGTTTTCTTGCATTACTTTTCAAGAGCCACATTTAGACTTTTTGGATGTCAATTGCCGTATGCGATTTGCTCAGGTTGACGCAAAAAAAAAAAAGTGATGAACTTTTAAAGACATTTCCCACAGGACATTTGTTTTCTTTGACACTGTTTTGCTGCTAGATGCTGGGTGTTTTTGTTTCTCAATGTTATGATCGTTGCTGGTTTTATTAATTAGTTGATGGTTAGGAATTTATTTTGAACAAATATTGCCAAGCTTACAGCATACCATTCTTTCAGGTTATTTTTGTAGATTATCATCTTATCTCATTGTTACTAAGCAATTAAGAAGTCCACTAAAAATAAGCCTTTAGCAAAGATTTAAGAGTCATCAATATGTAATGGGATTATTGCTTTCCAAAAGTATCAATGGATTGCTTTTTATACATTTGCTCCCTCATTTCTGCTGAAGCACATTTGTTATGACTTTGGAATTATCCTTAAAAACACTCTCCTTTACCATCTGTATATTTGCAAGTACTTCGGTGGAAGGCAGAAAGAAGTTACTATCATTATTATTTATTATTATTTTATTGAAGGAAGTTTGAAGTCAGACATGTTTGCATTTCATCCTGGCTTCGTCACTTGTGAACTGGGTGGGCTTGGCAAGCTACTCAACATCTGTGAGCCTTCGATCTATTGCCTGTAAGATAGAGTGAATAATACCTCCTCCATCCAGTGCCTGGTCTGCTGAATGTGCCTGCAGGAAAACACACAAAGGTGCTGGCCAGTCAGACTTCATGAGTGATCTCAACTGTCCAATTGTTTCATCCCAACAGGCACACTTCAGTATTACAAGAATTTGCTCCTCCTCTTTCTGAAATTGTTCCTCAACATTTTCCTTTGCTGGCCAATTCCTACTCTTCACTGGAGACCTTGCATCATGCTTCAACGGGAAAAGAAAATTCCCCATTGGAAAGCTCTGTCTTACCTCTGCTCAATTTCCCACCATGCCTGCCTGTGTACATGGGCCGTGTCTCCTGTTGGCATGGGTGACCTATGCCATGGGTAGCAACCCCACCTGGTATCTGGCTTGGGCTTTTCTTCCACACTTGAGGACTTTGCTCCTGCAGTTTCTTCTCTCTTCCGCATCTTTCATTTCTTCTCTGTGGATCATTTCTATTAATGTAAAAATAAGCTCCGGGGTGATCTAGTTGTGAATGAACCCTTCAGAGATCTAATATATACCTCAATCTATTGCTTTATGTCTCTGTTTTTCTTTTCAACACATCTTCCCAAAGGAATTGTAATGCCCACCGCTCTCTTTCTCATTTACATCCTCTCTTCTCTGTGTCACTCTGCTGATCACCTGACTACTCTACTCTGACTGCTGGGCCAGGAATGCCCTTAATTTATTTTGGCAAATCAGTGCCATTTTTGGCCCTTATCTTGCATGACTTCTCGGCAGCATTGGACACAGTTAACTATTCCTGTGCAACACTCTATTTTCTTGCCTTTTGTGGCCCTATGCTCTCTGAGTTTTCTTTATATCATGCCAGACTTTCTCCATTCTTTGCTTATTGAAGGTAGGACTACCTTCTCCTCAATCCCTGCCTCTGACTTCCCTTTCTAGGCCAGACCTCTGAATACCAGAATACCTGAGGGCATTGGGAATGATGTGGGATTATCTTTGATTCCTCTCTTTTTCTTTTCACCACATCCAATCCATCACTGAATGCTGTAAGTGCTCTATGGAATATCTGGCATCTGTTTACTTCTTCAATCCATGTCAAATCACCATTGTCTCCCAGCGGATGACTCCAAAATAGATCTTTAATTCTATTTTGCTTCCTTGAAGCTGATTCTCCACATAGCAGCCAAAATGGTCTTTTAAAAACACAAGACATAGTATGTTATTCCATTACACAAAACCCTTGTACAGCTTTCTGTTGCCCTTGGAGTATCATCTGTTCTCCTTAACATGACCTAGATATGTCTGAGTTCTCCCTTTATCTTGTACCCCACAATCTTCACCCACCAAATTCCCAAACTCACCAAACTCATTAAGTTTTGACCTTTGCATCATTGCTTACCCACAGATTTGGGGCTCAAGATAGTAGCTATGTTATTATTAATTACTTTCTCTTTTAAAAAGTTCTCTTTCAGATTCCTTTTGGAAACATAGTTTTGGGTTGTATTTTTGGGTAATGATGGGAAATTGGCACTCAGTTTGTCTCAAGCCAAGAGTCATTTTGTTGCAAGCTTTTTGGTATTGTGACATCTAAGCCTAGAAGGCATGAGCTATGTAGTGGAGTAGAAAAAAAGGAGTCAAACCTGCACGTTGTGCACATGTACCCTAGAACTTAAAGTATAATAAATATATATATATATATATATATATGAAAAAAAGGAGTCTAAGAATAATACAATGAGAAGAGGATGCTGAAAGCAGAATCTGAAGGTAATTCAACAAGGTCCTTCTGCTAAGGCAGAGATTTTACAGATAAATTCTCAATAGGTAGGAAACTATTCTATTCTAGGTATTGCAGAGACTGATACAAAAGGCTTTCTAGCTTTTTTAAGGTATAAAAGGAAAACAGTATGAAGTTTTATATAAGTTTATTCCAAATTTAATTCTAAATTAAGTGTTTTTAATACTTTTTATGATCTTGCAAGTAAAATACATATTTATAATCATTTTCTTAACATTTTAAACACAATTAGATCTTATAATTTCTGCAACTTATATTTCTCACTTAAAACATATCATGGATAGCTTTCCAGGTTGCTTTTTAAAGATACAACTCATTATTTTCATGGCTGCAGGACATTTAGTAAGATGGATGTACCATAATTCATTCACAATTTTTCTATTCATGTGGGTATTTAAATTATTTCCAGTTTTTTTGCTATTACAAACAGTGTTTTGCAATAAATATATTAAGGTACATGCCTCCTTTGGGCATTGAAATTTTTATTTCTATAGAATCAGTTCCTAAAAGGAAGATTGTTGAGTTGTTGGTTTTAAAGTTATTCACCTATAACATGCTTGCCATTTTGATCTATGAAAACTGTATCTTGTTTTAATTTACATGTTTGCAATTACAAGTGCGGTTTAGCATTTGTTCATTCAACAAATATTTACCGAACACCTACTATGTGCTAGAGCAGGCCTGTATTGGCTTGTGATGGCTGACTGGGAATAGCTCTTTCCAGCTCCATGTTCACTGAGGTTAATTTGGTTGTTAGAAACCTGCCAAGGTGAGAGACCTTAAACCTAGAAGATGATAATATTTTATAATAAAAGAAAAAATAGAGCAAGGTAAGGAGGATTGTGAGTGTGTGTATATGTGTGTATTTTTGTATATGTGCCTGTGTGTGTGGTGTGTATCTGTGGTATGGTGTATGTGTGTGTGTGGTATGTGTGTATGGTGTGTGTATGTTGTGTGTGCATATCTGTGTGGTGTGTGTGGTGCATGTGTGGTGGTGGGGGTATTCAATTTTACATGAAGTGGTCAGAGGTGGGCCTCTTGAGAAGACATTTGAGCAGGTTTGAAGGAAGTGAGGGAATATAGAAATCTTGAAGAGAAGCATTCAAGGTGAAGGAGGCATCACTGCAAAGCCCCGATTAGGAGCATACCTGTGTTTCTCAGAAGCAGCACAGCAGGCACTATGGCTGGAAAGGAAGGAGCAAGAGGGAGATTAGCAGGGGGAAAGTTCAAGAGATAATGGGGCCTGCAGGTATGGTGAGGTCTTTGCTTTCCCCTCTGAGTGAAATGAAAGCCATTGCTGGTGTTATGGACTGAAGGTATCCCTCTAAAATCCATAGATTGAAATTTTAACTCTCATTGTAGTGGTATTGGGAGGTAAGACTTTTGGGAGGTGATTAGGTCATGGGAGCTGAACCTTCATGAATGGGATTTGTGCCCTCTGAAAGGAACCCCAGAGAGCTCTCTAGCCTTTGTGAAGTTCAGCAATCTGCTACCTGGGAGAGAGCCCTCACTAGACTCCAACCATGCTGGGACTTTGATCTTGGACTTGTTAGCTTCCAAAACTGTGAAGAATACATTTCTGTTGTTTATGAGCCACCCCGACCTGGGCTATAGCCAGTGAACTAGTTCCCAAATGAACTAAAACAGCCAAGTTTTGAGCAGAGGAGTGACCTGACCTCATTTATGAAGAGCATGCATTCTTAAGTTTATGAGTGTTTTGAGTTTCTGCTTTTGAGCATTGCCTGCGTATATCCTTTACAGATATATCAGTTGGATCAGTTTAATTTTGCTTATCAGTTTGCAAGAACTCTTTACATGTTACATATAGTTACTGTTTGCTCATCATATGTTCCAGCAAATACTTCTCTTAGGCTGTAGTTTGTCTTTTGATTTTGTTCAGTTTCTTATGCTTTACTTTTATACAGTTAAGTAACAAATGTGTAAGTCATTTCCTTTCTGTTACCTGAGTTGATGATCTATTGAAAAAGATCTCTTGATTCCATTTTAACGTGGATGAAGCTGGAAGCCATTGTCCTTAGCAAACTAACACAGGAATAGAAAACCAAATACCACATGTTCTCACTTATAAATAGGAGCAAAATGATGAGAACACATGGACACATAGAGGGGAACAACACACAATGGGGCCTATAAGAGGGCAGAGGGTGGGAGGAGGGAGAGAATTGAGAAAAATAACTAATGGTAATAGGCTTAATACCTGGATGACAAAAGAATCTGTATAGCAAACCCTCATGACACAAGTTTACCTGTAAAACAAACTGGCACATGTACCCCTGAACTTAAAATAAAAGTTAAAACAAACAAAAACAAACAAAGCCTCTTTACACTGAGCTTATAAAACTCTTCTCCTTTTAATATGGTTAGCGTTAATATTTTTGTTTTTGTTTCTTACAATAAGGTTTTAAAACTATCTGTAATTTATTTTTGTGACATAACAATATTCACTTAAATTTCTTTTAGTTAGGGGTTGGTAAACTATGGCCCATTTGCCAATTCTAGTCTGCTGCTCATTTTTCTAAAAAATGTTTTATTGGAACACAATTATGCCCAGTTGTTTACATATCATCCTTGGCTCTTTTCCTCTCATAATATTTACTGTCTGTATGTTTATAGGAAAAGGTTTGCTTTAGCTTATGCATAGACAATTATTTTAATGTCACTATTAAAAATAATAATTTCTTAATAGTTTAAATATCACATTTACATAGATTAATTTCCAATCATGCATATTGTTTTGTACCACTACTATTTGTTTTGTTCTCTCATCTGTTTATTCCTGTGTCAATACTGCTCTTATAATACCTTTGTGTACATTTAAAACCTTGAAAAGCAAATTACTTTTCATTATTTACTTTCAAATTTTTTCTAGGAATTTCCCATGCATTTATTTTTTACATAAAGTTTAGAAAAAAAATTTCCACTTTAAAAAACTGAGATCCTGATTACTGTTATAGTAAGATGACATATCGGTTTAAATAAAATTGGAAATATTGTGATATTAAAAGTCTTCCAATCCAGAAACATGCTATGTCTTTCTATTTATTCATGTTTTAGTTTATGTCCTTTTATAACTTTTTATAGCTCTTTTCATGTAGGCCTACTAATTTTAAGTTAAATTTAATCTATGATATTTTGTAGTTTTTACTACTTTTTAAAATGAGATTTTCCTTTTGCATACCTATTTCTAACATGAAATTGTTAGCATTAAAATCTAGCTAGTCAACTTGGATTCAGCCACTTTACCAAATTGCTTTATTATTTTAAGCACGTTTTTAGTAGTCTTTTATATTTTTTAGGCAAGCCATCAAATGGAGATATTTTTGGTTTTTGACTATGGGAATAGTTACTGTTCCTGTTTTTTAATCATGATGACTTTCATATTTCATCTTTGTTACTACGTTTTTACTTGGATATTGTTAATTATACTTTTCCATGTTTAGACTGTTTCTTCTATTCCCATGTCACTATGAATTTTAATTAGGAATGTCTTCTAAATTTTATTCAATACGATTTTAGCACATGTTGATATAATCACGTATTTTTTGCTTTTTTCTCTTTAATTTGTTTATATAATAAATTATATTGAGAAATTTACTTAATGCTGAACCAGTAGCCATGGAGTATACTTTACTTAGTTAAAAATGTGACATTCTAAAATATGATGCTGTATTATTTTGAATATAATTTATTAGGAATTTTTATATCTATCTTGAAAAAGAAACTGGCTATAGCTTTCTGTGATAGCTTTATCAAGTTTTGATATCTTGGTCTATGTCTTGAGAGAATTTAAATAAAGGATAATTGCTCTGAACAAAATTGTGTATTTACAAAATTTGTGTGCTGAGGCCCTAAACTTCAATGTGATTGTATTTGGAGATAGGACCTACAAGAAGGTGATTAGGTTTAAATTAGGTTATAAAGGTGGGTCCCTGATCCCATAGGATTAGTGTTTAGTGAGTTTCCTAGTAAGAGACATCTGACCTCCCTTCCTTCTCCACCCCTAGCTCAGTCACCATGGAATGACCTCCCGAGCAAACAGTGAAAAGGTGGCCATCTGCAAGCCGTGGGAAGGGCCCTTGCTGGAAACAGAATCTGCCAGAGCCTTAATCTTGAACTTTGTTTTAGTAGCACCCCACCCTTGGTACCGATTTACTGTACTAGAACATTTTCACACAGCTGATAAAGGCATACCTGAGACTGAGCAATTTACAAAAGAAGGATGTTTAATTGGACTTACAGTTCCATGTAGCTGGGGAAGCCTCACAATCATGGTAGAAGGCAAGGAGGAGCAAGTCACGTCTTACGTTGTGGCAGCAGACAAAAAGAGAGAGCTTTACAGAAAAAACTCCTGTTTTTAAAACTGTCAGATCTCATGAGACTTATTCACTGTCACGAGAACAGCACAGGAAAAATTTGCCCCCATGATTCAATTACTTCCCACCATGTCCCTCCCACAACATGTGGGAATTCAAGATGAGATTTGGGTCGGGCCACAGCCAAACCATATTACGGGTCTTCTTTTTCTTCTTCTTCTTATTCCTCTTCCTCTTCCCCTTCTCCTTTCTTTCCTCCTCCTCCCCACCCACTTCTCCTTCTGCTTCTTTCTCTTTTGTGAAATACTATCCTGCCATAATTGACTGGTTTATCATGCTCTTACTGGTTAATTAGCCTGCCCAGTTACCACCTATAAGCTGTGTGACCTTGAGTCTAATATTGAGCCCTTCTCAGCTTCAGTGTCTTTATCTCTGTTTTCTGTTGTTACAAGGAATGGTGGTAATATTTGCCAAGTGACTAGCAAGGTTTATAAAGGGGTCATTGATATTGTCATTATTATTATTAATTACTTACTCACTGCTTTGGCAGTTTATGTCAGCAAGGCTGTCTGTAATTGAGTCAACCATAATAGTAAGGAGATCCATGCTTTTTGACTTTGGAGATGCTGCTCAGTGTTCCAGACTGAGTATGCTGATGTGGGAGGGGACTGTCTGAGTTCATCCTGGCCATGGGCTCCAGTTCTTTAATCGAAAATAAAAAAAAAAGAGGGGGAAGAGAGAGAGAGAGAGGGAGGGAGAGAGAGAGACAAAAAACCGCCAGGAAAACTGTCTACAGAGGTCATTTAGAAATACAATGCCACGAACAATATCACAAAACTGGTATTATTTAAATTCTGACTTGGCCAGTGTTAGACTCGCAGTGTTATTTTAGCAATTTGAACAGGCCCAGGAGTGCAAATATTTGTAATTAAAGGCTTCCAGGAGCAGCCCTGTCAAGTCCTTGTGTGTATCACATTTGGCACATGTTTCAAAGCCGAGAGCGATATTAAATAGACCATCTGTTGGTTTTCATTAGGTTTCCTCTCATCAACAGCACTATTAAATATAACTGAACCCGGTTTTTAAAAATCCCTGACATCTGTGCTTTCAATTGGAATGTTGATCAATATTAATAACAATGCTACTTCCCCTGAATTTATTATTAATGAAAAGTTAAATACAGCATAAATATGAATGTTTGCCCTACAACACTTTTAATACTACTTATCCAAACAAAGCCGGAGAAAGCACCTCTCTTATGAGCAGAAATGTAGAAAATGCCTGGATACAGGTGTTCCACTGAATTCCATGTGTGGCCAGCATACCTGCAGCTTCTGGACATGCCAATTTCTCTCCAGCAAACCCTTATTTGCAAACTTCACCTGGCAAACTCTTACTATCCTTCAACAACCAGCTGAGGCATGACCTCCCCTCAGAAGCCTTCCTCATTATAAACAGCATTGACTTGTTCTTTCCTTTCTCCTCCTCCAGTTTTTCTATATGTCTCTTTTATCAAATTTCACTTTCTTTCCAGGAAGAGTGAAATCATGCCTTATAGCTTAACATTAAACCTTTTGCATGGTAGGCACTCAGTTGACATTTTAAAAAAAATAAGTAAAAGAATGGATGAAGTAGAATTCTACTAGAAAGAGGAAAGAAAACTTGGTTGGATCCAATATTTGGTGAAGACTTGTATTTTTTCCCAGCACACAAACAAGGAACATGACAAAGCTAGAAGGATTTATAGATGATCCCAGATATTAGCTCTCAACTTAAGAATGTAACTTCTTTCTTGTTTCTTTTCTTCCCTTCTTGCCCTACCACCTAGCCCCACATGTGGACTTGGCTACTGTCATATTTTCCCCCTTTGGGGGGCTCAAAAACACTTTGGGTCAGTGGAGAGAAAATGGGGCTACATGCCTCTGTAGTTTATTAGTCTGTTTGGTTCCAGAAACTTCTCACAGCATAGCACCTCTCCAAGCTGAGGGTGTGTACTAACATCTTTCTCTTATTCACACACATGCTTCTCACCTGAAGAATGGGGAAAAATGATAAATAGTATTGTGGTTACTAAATGTAATGACATATACAAAGTGCTTAGAAAAGTGTCTGGCACTTCATAGATGCACAATACAATGAGAGTTGCTATTACTTCATTATTATTAAATTACTGTTTTATTCTTCATGCATTAACACCTACCATGTACACAGAATTTGATGAAGAAGCACTATACAGGTGCAATCCAAAGCCTAGGGAATTTATAATTAATATGGGGATTTAGGACTTAGGTTCTTGAACATCCCTCTCTTTAATGATGCTCTGTAGTGTATGATGCAGGGTAAGTACATCAGGAGACATATGGTAAGTGTTGGCAGTTTCACTGGAGGGGAGGACAGCTTATAGCAGTGGCTATGGACGGCCCCATGGATTTAATATATACCCTGGCTTGTTTCAACATTTTTTGTAGAAAAAGTTGAAAAGGAAGGAAAGGAACATATGCAGATTTCTAAATAAAATTCAGATTGTTTCTCATGGGAGAGCCAAGTGTTTTGTGGGGAGACGGAGGTGGAAATAAGGATGCCAGTGAAAGGTGGGGTCAGCTGGGGAGGGCTAAGATGTGCCTTTGACTTTGTCCTGAATGCCTGACCAGTAGAAGTCACTTGTAGCTGAAGACTGAGGGAGGAGGCTTTGTATTACCAGCCACGCACAGGAGGTTCTCCTTTGAGCAAGTAACACACTGTTCATAATAAAGTGAGCAAGTAACACAGCTCAATATGTTGAATTTAGTAACCGGTGTTAACTGAAAAGTTAGAAACAAAATAGCTTTTAAACATCTTAACATCTTATATTTTAGTTGTTAATACTAGCGTCCTTTTTGTTTTGGGCTCAAATGTTGATTTTCCATTTATATACTTGCTGACTTAAGTAGTGTCCCTCCAATATTCGATGCGTATTTCAGCAGGATTTAAAAATGGTTCCTTGGCTTGTTAAGAAGGCAGCCAAGACTCCCTCCCTTAGGGCAATATAAAATTCTCTGTCCATACTCGGCATTGATCACAGATAATGTTTTTGTGAACTTTGTACAATGGGTCATGCAATCACAAATACCCTATCGCTTTATAGAAGAAAATACATTACTTGCTAGCTACTGATTCTTTTAATAAGCTACTAATTTAAAAGACATTTTTTTGTTCTACATACAGAACATAAAAGTCATTTTAGCATCTCTGATTACAATTTTTGGAGCTATGTTGGTTTGGTTGTGTTCTTTTACATCAGTCTGATGAACTTTGAAAACATGTTTTCCACTTAAAACAATAAAATTATATCCTACCTTGACTTTGCATTAATTATTCAGATAATTAGGATAAAAATATTTTTGAACTCTACTGAATGACTTTCTCTGGGTGATTGCCAAACCTTTCGTTCCTTTGTTTGTATATGGAAATGGGGATTTCCCAAGATCCTAAGCCGAGTACCTTTGCAAGTCTGGGCTTGTGGACCATGATGGTGGGCTGGGTCTGCTTGAGTCTGTTTACACAGGGTTTTAAGTGCTGCAAAGACAAACGACTGACTCGATGCTTACAGATTGGCACAAAGTCCACTCCTTGGAGTGGAAATCTTCCAGCTTCTAAGGAGTAATGGGGTACTCTTCAATCAATGGATCTTAATCAGGTACACACATTAGCCTCTACCTGTATATGGAAGTATTTTGAAAAACGCAGATTTCAGGATTCTAGATCCACATTGTGACTCTAGGTCTGGGGTTGGAGGACCTGACACCTACTATAAGCGGGTTACAGGCAAGTCTTATATAAACTTTGGGCTGTTAATGACACTAACTACACTTCTGAGGTAAGGGCTAAATGTGGAAGGTGCTTTCCCTAAGCGGGGAGAGAGTTGGGGCTCATGAATGGGTGAAAGCTGGAGTGGAGCAGCAGTCCCTACCTGTGACCATTCACAGTGTCTCCCATCCCTACTTCCTTAAAAACATGTCAGAGTACTAGAAATGTCTCTCAAAGGCAAGTGGAGATCAGGCTTTCTGAAGTTCCCCAGATGTGGCAAGAGAGACACAGGCAATCCAGAATCCCACCCTGGATGAGAGCTTTTGCCTGGCCCTGGGAGCCAGTGCAATGGGTTTGGGAGGGCTGGAATTGCAAGAATCTGTCCCACAGGTGAGCATGGGTCTTGATGCGTAACCGCTGTCCAGCGACTCTTTCGGGTAGCACCTCGGGAAACATCTGCGGCTAAGGTATGTCAGTCAATTGAAAGACATCAAACCAAGCAAATCAAAATGCAAGCTTTCATGTTCCCTCTTTTAATAAAAAAAATTAGAAATTGTGACAACTTTAGTCAGTATATTATGAGATAATGACTCATATACAGTAAATGGCAACATGTACCAAACATTTAGTGTTCATACCCTATCCAATAATCCCAACCCTAGGTTTGTATCCTAGGGAATAATTCGAAATTTGAAATATAATTGTTTATATGATAAGATACTCACCAAGGTATTATTCACAATAATGGAAAATGCCCTAAATAGTTTGGTAAATTAAGGAGAGTTATTTAAGAAAATACTAAATAACCACTAGAAATATTTATGAAAGTTACAATTTGATAAATTGCTGTTAATATAGCACTGAGTGGAAGGAAGAAAACAGCGTATAAAAGATGCTCTAGGCCAGGCGCAGTGGCTCATGCCTGTAATCCCAGTACTGTGGGAGGCCGAGGTGGGTGGATCACAAGGTTAGGTGTTTGAGACCAGCCTGGCCAACATAGTGAAATGCTATCTCTACTAAAAATACAAAAAATTAGCTGGGCATGGTGGTGGGTGCCTGAAATCCCAGCTACTTGGGATACTGAGGCAGGAGAATCGCTCGAACCTGGGAGGCAGAGGTGGAGGTTGCCATGAGCCAAAAGGGTGCCACTGCACTATAGCCTGGGTGACAGTGCGAGACTCGGTCTAAAAAAAAAAAAGAGCTCTAAACTGTAATACGTGTACACAATAAATGATTGCAAGGAGATATGAACAAAATATGAACAGTGGAATGGACTTCCTCAAATTTGGCATGGCAGCTCCCCACCCTAGGTTTCACTTTACTGTGTCCTCAGGATGCCATTCCTCACCACTCAGAGTCGAGTAAGCTCCCAGCCCCACTCTCACTTTCTTCTTTGGAACTCTGTTCTTTTCTTTTATAAAAAGAAAAAAGTACCTGATTATCTGCTCATGTAATAGATGTTGCTTCACTCCCTTAGAGTGAAAAGTAGTATTTCTGTTTTTCCCACTACAGTTTACCTGGCTGCAGTATGGGGAGTCCCAGAGCAGTAGATAATGAACTTGTATTTCCCGTATCACATTAGCTGATGGCATCTGTACCTTTGCTCTCTATTCCTTATATATTATATGTATATAAATATGCATGTAGAAGTATAATTTTCCACTCCATTCCACAGTGTCTGATATTCCACATTTGAGATTTGATTCCTTCGTTTCGCTTTTTATCCTCATTAAAAAATGTAAATCCTGAGAAACATTTTCTTAAGATGTTCCTTTGTGGGTCACTGGTATTAGGCTGTTAAAGAAATGTTCACTCTAATATCTCAGGGAAGGGACCATGGTGGGACCCAGGTTTTCGCCAAAAGCCTCAGACATGAGTAGGTCCTGCCAAGAGCAGTCAAGCAGCCCCAAGACAGCAGATGGAATGGGTCAGAGCAGACATTTCCTATCTCATCTTGGGTTGTGGGCTAACTCTATCTGAGAGAGACAGAAAGAGAGAGAGACCAAGGAGAGAAACTGTGACCTTGATAACAGAAGGTCAATATTTCATCATAAAAATTGTTCTAAAATAAGTACATTTCTAGTTCTTATTTCCACTGACTAAAAGTGCCCAGTCTTACTAACATGATCACTTATTTTTCTCAAGCCTATTTAAAATTTCCCTTTCACCACTTGGGTTCTGACTCCAGAAAACATGCCAGTACAGCTTTATGCTACTCAATCCCATGGGAGATTTCGGATTTCCTCCTAGAAGCGAATCACAATGGGTTCACTTTGAGTTCACTTTGGTTTGGTTCCTACCTTTTCTTATAGAAACATGAGGGCAAACAAATAAATATACATGGATGAATCCTAGTTCCCTCCTAACATAATAGTTCCTCCTTCCCTTCCTCTGTCTTTCCCTTCCTTCTTTCCTCCTTCTTTTTCTTGCTGCCTTCTGCTCTTTCCCTTTTAAACTCTTAAGTCATAGTAAAGATTTAGATGGAAACAGATGAGCAAAACAGATTGGATACATTAACCTTGAAGCTGTCTTTGCCTCTGAAATTAGCATAAACTCTGGTTGTGAATGACTGTTGATTCCTACGCCAAAGGAAGCTGTGATTTCTTGAAAATTAGAGGGATATTATGAACATCTGAAACCTGCAGGGGGTCCTGTTAATTACATTTCTTGGACAAATATTTCATGAAGTACAATTGACACATGCAGGAACATTGATCTGGTGTTCACTGGTGTGCCAATGTTGATGCTTAGAATCTGTTATACTTCTTTAACGAAAGTGCTCATGTGCTAGTTAGGCTGGACCATAGGCATGATTCCTGTATTCCTTGCTAGAAGGCAAGGCAGCCCTCCCTCCAGAGAGGAAAGAGAAGTCTACTTTTATCTACTACTTCTTCACCATCACAACCTTGTTGCATTCTCCAAGACGCACTACACCTTCTATACCCAAGATTTCTTAGTTGTAATACATCTATCTCATAATATGTTATATCTCATCTAGTTTCTGCAATAATTTCCTAATAGGCTTCCCTCTCTTCAATTCTCTCATTTTCCATGGACAGTGCTGATTCATACCTGTTATCTTGGCATAATTATTAAAATTGTCCCCATTTATGCTCAGTTGTGTCTTGGTTTGCATGATACTTGTATGGGCTCCTGATTTGAATCACACCCAACTCTCTAGCCTTATCCCCTTCCTTGTTTCCTCCTGATTTGAACCACACTCAACTCTCTAGCCTTATCATCTTCCTTGTTTCCTCAGGCTCACTGCACTTTCTTTTGTTCCCTTGAGCAATCCATGCTGGGCCCTTGAACATATGTTTCTGCAGCCTGGCACGCTGCCTTCTTCAACCTTCCTATCTGAGCACCTTCAGGAATTGCTTTTTGGCTTTCTTGACCTTCCCAATCTAAGTCAGGACTCAATGCTCAATGTTAAAAGGGTTTCTAGCATTCGTTACAGCTATAATTCTACAATTTTTAGCATGATTATTTCACTGATGCTGATGCCCTCATTAGAGTCTATGAACCCCATAATGTAGATGAGGAAAAAGTATTATAGAGAGATTAAAAACTTGGTTTATGGTGGCTGAAGAAGTATTTGAGCCCACTTCTTCCTTACTCCATCTCTGTGGGATGCTTTGGGTGGATTTCTCTACTCCTTTCTTTCTTACAGGATCATATTTGGCTGGGTGATAGCTGAGGATATAAGACTAGTGAAAATCAAATCCTTTTGAAGGTGGTATCTAAAGCAACTGTAAGCTGAAGAAAGACTATCTTGGATTAATTGATAATTTAAAATATATTTTTCCTCTTTCTATTGCCCTGATGGCTCTTTCTATTGACCTGATGGGTAATCCTGCTTCTGAAAAAAATTCAGCTGTAAAAATATAGATCATATTTATTGCATCACTGATCTTTATTTGAAGGTATCTGTAAGGTTATTCAAACCACTTTTTTTTTCGATAGAAGAGAAAAAAAGGCACCAAGAGAGGTTAAGGAAGTTATCCAAAGTAACACATGGGTTACCCAGAGGTCCTGTGGAAATGAGTTCAGGTCAGCTGTCCTGCATTCTGATGTACTCATAATGGAACTGTGTGTGATGTTCCCTAGACCACATGGAGAAGGTCAAAGGTGCAATGCAAGAGAATTATCCCAGAGTTCCAGACTTGGTTTTCACAGATAATTGTTGCTACTTGAAGTCTTCCTACACCTCCCCTGCTACTCAGTCTGCTAACCACAGTGTCCACAACACATCAAAAGGCCTGAAGGGATCAGCTGCGACAGCTTATAGAAAGCAATTTGAGACATGATCAATCGTTTTCAAGCCAAATCATATGCCATAATCATATCCCAAGTCTGTTATATATAAGTGTTATGTGTGTTTTGTTTCCTACCCCAAATTAATATGTTGAAGCCCTAATTCCCAGTGTGATGGTATTGGGAGGTGGAGCCTTTGGGGGTGATTTAGACCATAGCAAACATAAAAATCAGACTGCCTCCAGTGACATGAGCAGCAAAGTCCTTTGCCTCTAACCAGGAGTCTCAGGTCTTCTTCTGCCAGCATCCATGAAATTGTGTCAGGCTGACTTATCAACTAGGTGAAAGTCTCAGACCCTTTGCAGTTTTTGACAGCATTCGTTAAGGGCCATTTGAATTTATCTATGTATATTTAAAAACCTTTTTTATTGCAGTTTCACATGTAGAAATCTATCCTGCAGAACAAGTTATGCAAACATATCCAAATACAAATGCGAATCTGTATAGTTCAGGGCTGTGCCTGATAACAAGAGATTAAAAAAACCCTGAACATCCATCAGTAGAAATGTACTTAATTTACTGATATGTATCCACATTTTGGACTACAATTCAGCAACCAGAAAGAAAAGCTCTGTATGTGCTGACATAGGACTGTTTTCATAATTCATTGTTCATGGGAAAAAAGCAAGTTATTCAATGATATGTGAATTATGAACTCAGTTTTTCATCGATTTATTCACTCATCAAATATTTATTGAGCATCTACTGTATGTCAGGATTGGTGGTGATATATTACAGGCAATACTAACAATATCTCTACATGTTGTTGGGAAATAAGAGAGCAAACAATAAAAACAGTACATAAGGTAATTATAGTGATGTTAAGGAAATATTTAAGGTAATGTGATAGAAACTTGGGGAGGCCACTTTAGATGGGGCGGAAGAGAGAACTATAGTTTCAGAGAGGAGTTCTGAGGAAATGGCATTTATATTGCTATCTCAAGTTTGAGAATAAGCCAGCCAAGTAGCAATATGGGGGAAAAGCATTCAAGTGAGGGACCTGGAATAGATAAGGTTGCTTTTTTTATTCATGAGGACCAGAAAGGAACTCCTGATGGCCACATAATACTGATCAGGAGGGACAATGGCAACCGTGAGAGACATGGTAAAATATCTGGATCCAGCAGGAGACCACTTTGCAGCAGTGCTAGGGCTGGTTTTCTTATTTAGGTGAACATTCTCACTGCTGTGTGGAAAATGGATTTTAAGACATTCTCTCTTTCTGTCTCTCTCTCTATTTCTGTATACATATGTATATGTGTGTGTGTATACATCTATGTATATATACATACATATAAATGTGAATGTTTTATATATGGGTATATAAATATATGCATTTCATGTAAAAGTTTTGAAATATTAACCAACTAACAGTTCACAGTTTTGAGGGGACAGTTAGGAGGGCTTCAGTACTTATTGTTAAAAACAATAGAAAGAAAAACACTCTGCATGTTAGTAAGCAAGGATGAAAGAGGATAGAATTTCTGGACCAAAATTATATAGAAAATTGAGACAGAATTTTCATCTCACAGATGTAAACAAATTATCTGAAAAAAGGGGCCTAGTTATTAATTTGTTTCTTAATTTTATCACCAGAGGTGATGATATTAGCATTGTTTAGAAACTGTGTGTATATGCATGTAGACATGAACAAATATCCATTGCTTTCTGGTATACAAATACCAATGACCATTTTGAAAAAGGGATTAAATGAAAAAAAAGGGGCCGCAAAGAACGTAGTCAAGAAATCTTGCCTTTGAGGAGTTAATAAACTGCAAGATGAAATAAAAATAGAGGCATAAAATGACCTGGTCAAGGAAACACTTATGAGACCTTCTGATAAACTGGGAAAGATGGTATTAAGGAAATGACCCTTTGCTATTGAAAGACTTTAAAGGTTGCAAAACAGAAATTCAATGCTTTTTTTACTGTCAAATAAACAAAGAAATCTTTATATATATGTGTATATATGTAATGGATATATGTGTATGTATCTTTTTCATAAATACACAGTTCTAACAATTCATTTTTATGACAATTTTTTATTAAACCCTCTTTCACTTTGATAATATAATTATAGCAGAAGATGAAATTTGTTATTGCTGCTGAACCCTCATTTAAGCTTCTACAAGCTTCCTATTTAGAGCTCACTTTGTACTTGGCCTAAATATTGCTTGGGTATTGATAGCCATCTTAGGGAAAGACACACTAATGTGTTTACTGAAATTTTATTACCCCAATCACAGGCATAGACACAGCCACTCCCATTCTCTTTGCCAGTCTGAATTGGTGATTCATCAGGGAGGAAGTATCATTATCTTCTTTCTAAGCATGTATTCACAAACACAAAAATGAAATCAACACAAAACTCAACTAAGTAAAATGGAAGTAAATTGCCTGATCACCAAAGCTTGAATGGTTATAGCTAGTATAAGTGAGGGCCTTTGGCCAGTCCAATGATAAAATGGACAATTCTATAGGCCTTCAATGATTCTGTAATTTCTTATAATGTTGAGGGTGAAGGCTAACAGTTTTGAGAAACCACAGTAATAACTGTGAGAATCTTGGAATTTATTCATAAATTCATCACAAAAACTTTTGAACATCTTCTATGTACCAAGCACTGTAAAGAATGAATAAAACTCATTTTTATTTGTATCCTTTCTAGTTTTAATCATCTTTTATTTGATTTCCACCATGTTAGATATGTCCCACTTTTTTGAAAATTTATAGGTCTTCAAAAAGTACCATGAAATTATATCTCCCTCCAAGGCTTGCATTTTTGTCTTTTGCTTGACTGTTTGGAATTCATAGCAATTGCTGCTGCATTCGAGCAACATATTTCCTATTGTTTTAAGCAGAGTGATTTATAGCAGTGCTTGGAAGGTTTGCTTTTTTGACACACTTAACACTGATGAATTAGGTAAAATATTTTTCAATCATAAGCTTCTGCCCAAGCTTCCTTTTGAATTGGAGCCCAAGTTTTCTCTGGTGAGACAAGAGAGGAAGGAAGAAGTGAATAAAAGATGAGGTGAATGCAGAGCATGGTTCTCGGATTGCATAAAACTTCTACCCACGTAGTGACTGTGGCGGCTCCACCCTGTCTTACTTTGGCACACATCTGGTCCACATTTTTGTGAGTTCATCACTGGTTCTCCCTGAACGTTAGAAGCAAGTTACATTTTGTTTACTTTCCAGGGAAGGAAGAAAACTATAGCTCTTGCCCTTAAAGCCTGGACTTGTACTCCTCCTTACCCGCCTTGGTGTTGCTAGGAATAGACCACGGTTGAAGCAAGTATAGGTATTTTTGTCAACTTTGTAAGAGAGTGTGCATGCTTCCTTGGACCTCTCTTGACCAGGCAATCATGTTCTCTGAGTTCATGTATCAGAAGTCACTTATATAGGAGATTCAGGTGGATCTTTTGATAGGATCCTCAAAGCCCCTATGATATCACAAAACCTTCCTCTTTTCTTGTTTTCTACTACTTATTCCAAGAGGTAGGGCTTCATGAATGTCTCATTTCTGAGAGACTGACTTCTTCAATGCATAGAGAAGATGTGTGGTTTGGCCCTTGCCTTACACTGCCCCGGGTACCTTATGTGCACATAGGTTCTTGTGGCAATTTCAGGACAATTTCCATAAAGCAATGCATTGTAAACTTTCAACTTCATCAGGATCACCTGACGTCCCTATTAGGTACTGCAGATTTGAGGTCGTCACTATCAGAGACTATGATTCCATAAATCTGAAGTAGGACTCATAAAATTGTGATAGTAATAAGCGCCCCTGGTAATTACTGTATAGATGGTCTTAAGTTCACCCTTTAAGGAAGAGTGGGCTGTGATAACAAATAGTGGCTTGTGAATTGGCAAACCTGGTTGAAGTTCTAGCCTCACAACTTTGTAAGACTGTGACTTTCGACAAGTTAATCTTCCTAACAAGAATCACTTTCTTATTAGATAGACCAAGGTTTGTATCCTAGCTCATATGCCTCCTACTGATTTCTAATATGTTACTTAAATTTCTCTAAGTTCATAGTAACACATAGTATGGGTACAAAGAACAAATTTCCGGGGAAACTTACAAGTAAAGGGTCAACAAGAAATGGCACTTGCTTACCCAGATCTATTGGCTTTCTGCAGAGATGCATGCAGTTGAGGCTTGCTGGAGCCACTATGACTTATTCCAGGGAAGGGACCCTGCCCTCTGTTGCTCTCTCTTTAACTGGGTGAGCATGAGAATGACCTTAACAGTGGAGACACAAAGCTGGCAGTGATTCATGATGCCCTGTGACTTCACCTGGTGTTGTATGTAACTATAATGTAATAGCAGATTAGATGCCAGCTGTTTAGGGCCGTGATAAGAAATGCTACCTGCTCAGTACTTGGAGACCTAGGGAGCACTTGGAGGAAAATACAACCTGTCTTCGGGTGAGGGCAGCACTTCCCTTTTCATCTAGCACATTGCCGGACAATTCAGAGACAGCTCCCAGGAAACTTTGCAGATACACTCCATGCTGTCTCATAGAGCTTCTGTGAGCATTAAATAGGATAATATACGAAATAATTTAATTCTGTTTAATTCTGTTCTGATCCACAGTAGGTGCCCAATGTTGGTATTTCTGTCACTGTTCATACTTCATACCTATTCTATATCCTATAGGGCCAGTGACCCATAAAAACTGCACGTTTTACACTCCTCTGTCCCAAATTGGCTAATTGGCTATATTATAATTGTTTTGATGATGTTTCTGTTGTTATTAATCTCATTAATCTAAGTTGAAACATTATTGTGTTTTCTTTCTGTTTTTTTCCTGAGGGAAGTTCAGTCTAAGTGAGAAAATTTTCCTTCTCCTCTGAAGCTGAGGTTGAAGCTCATTATAATTCTAAATTTGCCATAGAGTTTTCCACATTCAAATTGTCAGAAGATTTATATGAGTAGCTGAATTGCTAAACTGCCTTTCCAGGGAAAGAAAGGGCTGAATTTCCTAAATCTTGATTATTTAAAATATTATTATCTGAAGATTTTTCTCTGAAATTGTTTTAATATATTAAATCTATTCATTCACATTTGCAAACATTTATACATGAGGCTATGTGAGCTTACATGGAATTATATATAACAGTATATGTAATTCATAATACCATAAATTCAAATTTTAATAATATTATAAAGTGCATAAGTATACTATACATGTGAAAGCACTATATAAATATGCTGTAATCGCATGGGATGATATAATGTGAGTTCTGTGTTAGAAGTTGCTTTGTTTGTCTTCAGTTTCTGAGAATCTTTTTATTGTTTAGGAGGCCATAGTTGAAGATACTCAAATCATTCTGAAGGCTTTCATCTTGTCTCTCAGAGGCACTCATTCAACATTTTAGGGAACAACCAAGGCCTCTGTTCATTGAAGCCCATTGACTGTCTTCCCAGAAAACACTTCATCATGCTCAGTGAGTGAAGGGGAAAGGGATAAAGTGAGATTTTCCAGTGCTGGAGAAGAACATGACATAGACCAACCACTTCATCTTCCACCGTCTTAGGGAAGCATGTTACTATATACAATCTTTGCAAATAGAGAGAGGGAACAGAATTCTAAAGCACCTAACTCCCCTTCCAAATAAAACTGTCTAATCACATGCTACCTCCCCTATTTATTCTTTCACTAATTATTTTCCTAAAACGAAGGTCTAACCTGGTTGCATTCCTCATCAAAACCCTTCCTGTATTAGTCTGTTTCACTTTGCTGATAAAGACATACCTGAGACTAGGCAATTAACAAAAGAAAGAGGTTTATTGGACTTATGGTTCCACATGACTGGCAAGGCTTCACAATCATGGCGGAAGGTGAAAGGAAAGGAGCAGCACGTCATGTCTTACATGGATGTTGGCTGGCAAAGAGAGAGTCTGTGCAGGGAAACTCCTGTTTTAAAAACCATCAGATCTCATGAGACTCATTCACTATCATGAGAACAGCATAGGAAAGACCCACCCCCATAATTCAATTACCTCCCACTGGGTTCCTCCCATGACATGTGGGAATTGTGGGAGTTACAATTCAAGATGAGATTTGGATGAGATTTGGGTGGAGACACAGCCAAACCATACCACTTCCCTTCATTCCATTTCTGTTTTTTTTTTTTTTCCTGAGTTGGGGTCTCTCTCTGTCTTACAGGCTGCAGTGTATTAATGTGATCTTGGCTCACTGCAAACTCTACCTCCCTGGTTCAAATGATTCTCCTGCCTCAGCCTCCCAAGTAGTTGGGACTACAGGCACCCATCACCATGCCCAGCTAATTTTTGCATTTTTAGTAGAGACAGGGCTTCACCATGTTGGCCAGGCTGGTATCAAACTCCTGACCTCAAGTGATTTGCCAGCCTTGGCCTCCCAAAGGACTAGGATTACAGGTGTAAACCACCTTCCCTGGCTACGTTTCTTACATAATATAAATTTAAATTCTGTAGCATGAAATTCATTTCCTTCATTATCTGATTTCACAGAGCTCTCCAACCCCAATTGCCACTGTTATGGGTCTGAATTTTGGTGACTCCCAAAATTCCTATGTTGGAATGTAATTCCCAAGGTGTTGGTATTGATGTGGGGGCTTTGTGAGGTAGTTAGGCCCTGAGAACTGTACCCTCATGCATAGGATTAGATGCTATTATAAAAGGGCTTGAGGACATGGGGCCTGAGGACCTTTTTTACACCTTCTTGCCTGTGAGGACACAGCAAGAGGAGCCATCTTAGAGGCAGAGAATAAACTTTCACTAGAGACCAAATTTGCTGGTGCCTTGATCTTGGACATCTTAGATTTCACAGCCTCCAGAATTGTGAGCAATACATTTCTGATTGTTTTGCTTTGTTTTGAGACTGGGTCTCACTCTGTTGCCCAGGCTGGAGTGCAGTGGTGCAATCAAAGCTAATTGCATTTTGAACTCCTGGAATCAAATGATCCTGCTGCTTCAGCCTCCTAAATAGCTGGGACTACAGGTTTGTGCTACCATGCTGGCTATTTAAAAATTTTTGTTGTTGTTGTTGTTGTAGAGACAATGTCTTGCTTTGTTGTCCAGGCTGGTCTCAAACTCCTGGCTTCAAATGATCCTTCCACCTTGGCCTCCCAGAATGCTAAGATTACAGGTGTGAGCTACCTCACCTTGCTGTAAATGCCTATTTTTTATAAATCACCCATTCTATGGTATTTTGCTATAACAGCAGGAGCAGAGAAGACATGCACAATACTCTTCATATTCCTTTTATTCTAGTGAAATGGAACAGCCCACTTGCTCCAAACGCATCACACACTTTTGCACTTAGTGTCTGTGGGTAGTGTTCTTTCAACTTAACGATTAACGTGATTCTTCTTCCTACTTTCCTTTTAGGGTTGTTTAATGTCTACTTTTTCTGAAATTTCTCCAGCTCTCCTATAGATACCAATCTCTCTGTTTCCTGTTCTCCCCTAGACATTGCTGGCACCACTACCATGGAACTGACATGCTGAAGCAGGCTATTTGCATGTCATTTGCCTGGGGAGGGGCTGTGCATTTCTCTTTCCATAACTCTATACCCTGCTGAGTCCAGATATAAACTTGCACAAGGCTCAAAGAGAGAAGGAGTGATTACATTCAATGGTTTAAATGCTTTAAGAATCTTCAGCTCTTTGGAACTTCTGGTGCATCTGGTACTATGCTAGGAACTGTATAAAAGAGAGAGAGAAAGAAAAAGAGAGAGACAACAAGGGAAGAGGAGATACTTAATAAACCAATCAAGTATATTGCATGGATTGTATTCCTTAGGGAACTTGAGAATGATTCTTTGCTTGGACATTTAAGTGAAAATTAGGAAAAGCTTGAAAGAATATGTATGTGGTCTTACTGGTTTGCATGCTTATTAGACTGCTGTATGGGTTTGGTTCATCTTGAAAATGTAATGATTGAGCATTCATTGATATTCAGCAGGCATCAATATGTAGTGGGAAGAACTTGAGTTCTAGAGTCAGACGGTATTGGGTTACAATTTTGGCTTCACCTTTCAATTGCTGTGTGGCTTCAGAAATGTCCTCTAACTTGTCTGCACCACGATTTCTTAATCTTTAAAATAAGGATAGTGATAACTACCCCCAAATGAAAACCATGCGTGCCAAGTGCCTGGCACATGAACACTGCCATTTGTTTTATTATTAGCAGTTACAACAATATGACATTAATACAAATTTTATTGAGTTCCCACAATGTCTTTAGCTTTTGCAGTGTGTTTTTCCTAAAGAGGCTCTAAAGAGTCAGCTTTCTGTCTTTCTCACTCTCTATGTATCTATATCTAGCTCTCTATCTATAGATATCTATAGATATAGCTATCCCAATGCCTGCCATATATGGAAACTCAATAAAAGTTTGCTAAATATCCAGAGAACCACCATCATTTGTGATTTGGACATTTTTATTATCCCTAAAGAATCAGTGAGCATGAAACGTTGAAAAATTTAGTAGCCACCGGCCACCCTCAACCCCCAGCAACTCCACCTTCCACACTGCCCCCCAGTAGGGCTTCAAATGTCTATATATGTGAATCAATGCACAATTATTATACCCAAGATATAATCTATCTACCAAAAATTTTCACATCACTTAAGGTGCTGATTGACATTTATGAGGATATTAATATACACTTGAATAAATTGCTCATAAACTGCTACTACGAGACTAAAAATGCACACGAAGTCAGAAAGGTTTAAGACTTGGCAGCGACTAAACTACACTAACTGAAAACTGGAAGGGAGATTATCCTTTTGTCATTTGACATTTTGAAATTCATTGACCTTTATCTTACTTGCAACAGTATTATGGTTTTATTTCATATGCTTTCTAGCTCCATTCCCAGCTGGTTTTTTCTTCCTCTTGGTTTCTGGAGGATGAGACCCGCCTGCCTGTAGTCTCACTGTTGCTCCTGGATATTTATGTTGTTTTGAGCTGCACAAACATTTGTTTAGAGACCTGGGTGGGGCATCAGCGGGACTGGCACAGAGGTGTCATCATGCTTGCGTATTTCTGTAAGAGTGAATCAACTGAGACAAGTAAAGAAAATGTAATTAACAAAATGTGGGGAAACAGGAGTCTATGTAAGTAGTAAAAAGGAGGAAGGTCTGAAAGGGGTAGAGAAGAGAGAGAATTGTCCCAGAGTGATGCCAGGAAGGGGATTGTGGTGCTGGAGAGGAACCGCTTAGCAAGCACTATCTGTAGGAAACAGTGCCAAGGCCATGTCCAAAAAATGTGAACACAGCCCCTGCCTGCAAGGAGCAGATGCTCTATTTACGACCACAGAGCATGCCTATTACATCGGTAGCTATTTACAGACCTCTGGCTCCTCAGCTTATGAGTGTGGTGTCTTGTTGCCTTTTTTTAAATTTTATTTTTTAACTTTCAGAACACTTGGTTCAGATAAAAATTTATTTTTAATTCCAACAAAAAGGAGCCACCCTGGCTGAATTCAGGCAGGGGTGCTGATGGCATTTTACTTGCTAGGTTTCAGACCTTCACAACCCTGTGGCCCTAGGAGATTTCCCCAGGACATCTTGAGGTTTCTGGGCTCAGAGGGCCACTGCCGTCTTATAGGGCAGGGTGTGGGTACCTTTGCAGGTGCTTCTGTCCCTGGACCCATGAGCCTCTTCTCATCCCACTCTGTGTCTAGAATGACCTTTTCTGCCTCTTCTGCCTGGCCAATTATTGTCTTCTTATCTTACCATATCTTCCAAGATTCCACTCAAACCATCCATTCTCCTTTGAACTCACCTTGTTTCCACCCCGTCTTGAAAGTTAGCCCACGTCTGCTGCGCTTTTCCTCATCCTATTGCAGCCCTACATCCTTGCATTGCCCATACAGGCTGAGCTGCTTCCTTCCCTTCCAAACCTTGCTTCTCTAGATTGGAGGTCTTTTTCCAGTCTCTCTTCCCACCTATGAGATAAGTAGTGATGTCCTTTTCAGACACAAGAAAGTGGAGGGAGAGTGATCTGACGGCCCATATTCCACAGAAGAAAGTACCTCAAATTAGGAAACATACTCCAGCTCCTGTCTTTTGCTGCCTGTGTCACAGCTTGGCCAGAAAGTCCAGCTCACTGTGCAAAACAGCACACAGGAGTCAAGTGGCAGGTCCTGTCTCCTAGAGAACACCAGTGACCTAACTGCTTCCCCTGGCTCTTCATTTCACAGGTTCCTGGTGTGTGGAAGGTGACTGAGACCCTCCATGAATGAGGGCACTTACTGAATTTTGTGGACAGAACTTTTTCTGTAAGTAGTACCCAAAGGAGATTAGACTTGGGGGCAAGGTAGCTGAAAACCTCACTTTGGCTTCAGTTCCAAACCTCATTTTCCAATTCAACTCTATCAGATACATTGGTTATTACAGATCCTCTGTCAACCCTTTAATACAACTTATACTGAAATAGAGGCTATTGGCCTCTTTTGACTGTTTTCAATTCATAAGCAGCTTCAGATGAGTGACTAGCACCTGCAACCTCCAACATCAATAACCTACTATGTGCACTCACCATAGCAACGGTAACATTTTGCACACTTGTATCTTGACCCCGTATTCCACAGGTGATATGATACACTTACGAATTCAAGTTATAAGGCAAAAGCATGATCCCTTGAGATGCCCAGTGATGTATAGTATATAGATATTCAATAAATTTTTTTGACTCATTCACTGATTGATAATCTGAAATAAGAGGAGATTGCTGCTTACAGTTTCCTGTGGTTTCAATGTATTTGTGGGTGTGTGTGTTTCCATTGTCTGAGGGAAACCATGAATGCATCATGCACTTTTAAAAATTGTCTCTATTAATTTTCCAAGCACAGCTGGGCCTTGCTTATCTTCCTAGCTGGGGAACTGTGTTAGAATGTGTAGCTCAGGGTTCTCTTGAGTTGGGTTTCACAGGGAATATGGTGTGGAGGTTCAGAGCACAAGCACAGTGCTCTCCAGGCTTAAATCCAGCTCCTCCCTTTAATAGTCATGTGATGCTGTACCAGTTACTCATCTCATTAAAATTAGCTTCGGTAATGCTGACAACATACTTAGAATAATGCCTAGCATTCAATAAATATTAGCCAATATTATCATGAACATTGATGTTATTTTAATCTAAATTTCTAACAAGGTATACTTTTCTAATTTTTTCATGTGTAATATTTGAATTACCTCAATGCCACTCTTAATATAATATTGCACTACAAATGTAAGCAATAATAATAAAAAAATTCTATACATTAGGCAATTATATGAATCCCTAATAAATGCTTTCCTCCCTTTCATCAATGTGCTTTCTTTAAATGCATGGTCAAAAAAATTACAGGTAATCTGCTTTTATTTATTCAGAGCCATGGAAATGAGTTTCATTTGGGGCTGAGAGTATTACTACTGTAGTGGATGTCAGAGAGAGAGGGCATTATATTGCAGCTAATGGCCTTCACTAATAGTAAAAGATGAATGCCCCATGTACCTGAAGGAAGGCCTCCTACAGTAAAACAGGAGCTGTTCATCAGCTGAAACTTTCAGGTATCATTTAATTTGAGAAGTGAGAGAAATTAAATTATTCTAGGAAGGGCAATGAGAATCCCATTGAAGGTAATGGAATGAAATACTGATTCCATTCAGGTCTGCATGCAGACTGAATTATGTCATGTTCCTGAAGGCAAGGCATAGGCAAGGAGAACAGGGCTGTCTGTGTTTATTTACTCTTGTAACTCTAAGGCATTACTTCTTCTTGCCATCATTGGAGGATGCGAATAGCAAGGGGATAGTATTTAAAATAAATGTTTTAGAGGTTACCCAGTGAAAAGGAATTATGGCCAAGTCCTGTAGAAAAAAGACCTGCAGATGACAGTCTGAAGATGTGAGGACTGGTGGTGATTCTGGATAAGAAGCATAATATTTCCGGGCCTCCAATTTCTCACAAGAAATTTCTGCTTAAATAATGGTTACTTAAGGGCATGTCAGTTTAAATATTTTATAGTCTTCATATGTGTAATTCTAAGATTCTGTTATCATTAGAAAAAGAGTCAATTCGAGGTTAGGAAGAAAAAAATTGAGTAGAAGTGAATGAAAAAGAGCAGACATAGTTGCTTTATAACCTAGCTGTGGGAAAGAGAAAGAACATTGCAGTTGCAGTTACATCCTTTAACACTATTGTCAATGAGGATCTGTAAATCCTTAATCTTCTTACTTATGGATGTAGCATAATAATATCTATTTCTTGGAGTGTTTGTGACTATGGATACTAAACAAGATTGTACATGAAAAGCACTGAGACCCTCACACAATAAACGTGGTCATTAGTTACTACGATTATGCGAGTTAAGGAGGAGGAGTAGGGCATCATATCCTACAGTGTGCTGACACAGGGTGTCCTGGGTGGACCTAAGCCTCTGGTTTGAGGGGAGAGTCTTGGGGAGAAATACTATCAAGTGCGTATGGAGCATATCCTCTTAGCTGCTCTAAATGAAGCATGTTATTAGAGGTTGCCCTGACCTTTCCTATCCTGAGTCTTCGAGTGACTCCGTCTCAGAGTGACACTGAAAGGTTAGTGTCAACAATGCAGTTCTATGGCTCTATCATTAAAATTTTGTCCCCATATTTACTTTTGTGTACATTATATTGTTTTGGAAAAGTATAAACATTTCAAGAATTGTTTCATTAAAGAATATTCCTTTTTTTTTTTTTTTTACCTGAAGCAAAATATAAGGAGGCAACTAGGAGACTCACTAAGAATTTCCAGCATTTCAACAAGGAAAAATGATATTAGCCTTCTAGGATCTTGGCAAATTAAGTAGATAAGCTTGTCTTCAACACCTTCAGTCTCTCAGCTCTTCATCATGTTCTCATCTAGTGGTCACTTTCTCAAACATTCTCCTTTAGAAAGCAGGATTTCCCATGTAGAACAAAGAAAAAACAGGGTCTGTAAGGATATATAGTGAGGATATTGGAGGGAAGGACAAAGTGGGTGGAAATTTGATTCTTCTTTGTGAGGTTTACTCTTCGTCCTTCTCTTCCACAGTCTGTGTTTGCAGGTAGATGTTTTTAATGGGTTTCCTGCTTTAGGACTTTTTGAACAGCCATGGAAGGGGCCAGGGAGAGGGAAGGAATCTCTAGTCCTGAGCATTGCCGAGTCCTTCATCCATCCTCAGTCCCACCTTTGGATTCCTTGTGGTACAATGATTTCTCCAGAGACAGGCACTTTCCTTGAGCAGGTAAGAGTGGACAGTCTCGTGTGTGTGTGTGTGTGTGTGTGTGTCTGTGTGTGTGTGTGTGTGTGTGTGTGTGTGTTTGGCAGTCAGGCAGCAATCTGGGGGAAGCAGGAGACAAATCTTTCTCTTGCAATTTTTCTTTAAGTGGAATTTCCCACCTGCCTCAGTGAATAATTTACACAACATAAAAGTGATCATGAAACCATAGTTCAATGCTTACAGAAGGAAGCAAGGCTGACTTACAGAAGTTACTGTTTCACTAGGGCAGAGAAAATTGTCTCAGGTGCCTTGAACATTTCAGCTCCCTACACAGCTTGCAGATGCTCTCCCCAAGGTACAGTGGCCTGGCCTTCCATCAGCACAGTCAGTGAGTAAATATGTCCTTTAGTCATTTATTAACCGCTATTACATAATTGAACGACTCTAACCTGTCTTTGCATAGCTCATAGCTCACAAGCTTTTGAGGAATACGAAGTGTTTATTCAATAAACATTTGTTAAACTCTGAGAGATAATTGTGCATGACATCCTTAGATCAGAGTTTCCCCGAGTGTTCTATGGAGCACTGTCCAGCCCAATACCTTTATCAACGTAAACGATGGGAGAGTTAGGGGTACAGTGCTATAATTTCCGTTGCACAATAGACTATTAAATTCTCGCTGGAGGTAGGTCAAGGGGAAAAGAGACTTTATGATTCTTTAAGTAAGGATTTCAAAAATCACAGAGATTCCCAGAACACATTTGTTTTCCTCATTGCCTCAGATAATCAAATGTTTGTTGGGAAATTCTGAACTAAGAAATTTGTTCTACTGATAAAGTTGCTGAAAGAATTTTTAGACTCAAGCAACTATTGCATTCTGAATTCATTCTTCATGGAACAGGGCTTAGCAAAGCTGGTATTGGCATTATCAAAAGGCAGAGAGGGTTTGTTGAACTGAGCACTTCTGTATTCTGAGCAAGTGTCTTGGGGAGCTAGAAAAGTCCTGACATGCTTTGGCAATGATCGCTACAAAACGTTTCACTCAATACTGTCTACATTAATTTCTGAAAGAAATTGCAAAACATTTTGATAGTTTTTCTAAAGGTCTGAGTTTTAAGATTTTGTGTATTTTCACTTAAATCTAAAACTAGAAATTACCAATTAAAAGAATTGTGACAATGTGGTCATTCACTTTATTCACTTTAAATTCTTGATAAATTAATTAATCAAACAATTATTGTGCATCCTACCCTTTGCTAGCCTTGCATTAGTTACTGGAAATGAGGAGATGGGCCATCAGGCTCATGCTTTGTGTGCCTAATACCGAGACCTCTGCAGTTTATGTCTGATTATGCTGTATCAACTTTTGGGAGATAAAATCTACTGAGTTCTGCCTGCTGTTTTAGAAAGTCTTTGATTCATCCCATTTGCTCTAATCAATAACCTTCAGTCTCTGAAAGGCCTATGTCAAAATGCTTACAACAGATTTTCCCATTTCACTGCATTTCATTGCAATAGACCTGCCCATCTCCCTCTGTTCATGGCTCCTGGATTAATCCTTCCAAGGCAGTAATTTAATGACTGTCATGGTCAAAAAGGTAGGGATGGAAAATATTAGTATTTAGAGAAACTTTTTGTGTTAATCTCATGGAGGTCTGGGGGTAGAGAAATCTTGGTAGAATTCATAATCCTTGTCACCAGAAACTACAGGATTGAAGTATAAAAGGGCACAATTCTCCTAACTTTGCCCCAAGCAAAATAGCTGGTCAGTTTTGAGTCTCAATGCCTTCTATAGCATCCAAGATGTAGAAAAATCCACCCAATTCTTAAAAAAACCATTTTAAAGGAGAGTATGAATAGGATGTATGTTTCTAATGTGATGAGGAACAAATTATTTTGTTGTCAATGAATGAAACATCTCGATTCACATATGTATTTGAAGAATTTAAAAATATCTCTTATCTCTTTTACCCAAGTAAATATTCTCAGAAACAATTAAAATTCATTTGTATCTGTCTACATTTAAAGATTTGCCAGTAGGCTAAAATGACTTTTTGAGGATTCTAATCAAATCAGTATAATAAAAAACAACTTGCTAATGTCTGTAGGATAAAAAGAAAATCTCTAACCTTGAAGAAACAATAAATGCAAAATAATTAAGTCATGGAGATAACAATTGCTGCATTTCAGAACGTGTAGCTTTTGTTCATTTTCATATGACTGAATAATGATTGCATTTTATAAGTAGATGTGTTTGAAAACCTATCTATCATAGGCAAGAGTGGAATTACGAAAGGGATCACGGATTTCACATCTTAATCTTTAGAAATGAAATACTGAGTTTGTTTGTTTGTTTGTTTGTTTTGGTTTATTTTTTTCCCTTAAGAATCAGTCACAAACTCTTTGGGAATATATGTGGAAAAAGTCTCCTTCTGACATGGGGATCTGCCTACCATCTTGGCAAAATCCCAAAGGAAATTTTCCTGGCAGCACTATGGCCCTCATCCCCAAACTGAACTGAGTCCTTTATAAGGGAGGGAAAAGAAGTTGGCCAAAAGTACTAGGGGACTAGCCCATAGGAAGAGTTATAAACAGTGGCCAGAGCAATCCACTTCACTAAGAGCTTTGGCTTTTCTCCAATAAAATAAATCCCCAATTTTTATTGTGGCATTCAAGACACTTCGGAAATTTAATCTACCTAAATTAATTTCCTTATCTTTTGCTACTTCCCTGGTACGCTGACCATACACAATATTCCATGCTTTTATTGCCTCCTTGCTTTTTCTCATATTGTTCTCTTTGCCTTGAATGGCATCACCCAGCCATCAAAAACCAATAACATAAGAGTATATGCAGAAGCTGCAGCATATCACAGGTCTGAGAAGTCAAGAACTGGAGTTCAGGAGTTGCTAACATGCAGAAGCACAGGTAAACATTACAGGCTTTAGGTTGAGATCTTGCCAGGAGTACATACTGCTAAGAGTAAAAGTAAACAGCAAAAACAACAAAAATAGACAAACTTTCACAAATATTGAGACCCACTCCTAAATCACTTCAATCTATAATTGGAATAAGGAGAGTATTCCCTAACCGACTGCCTCACAAAGATCAAATATATCCTCTATGAAGGAATGATAACTTCCTCTGGAGACTCATATTCCATTTATAATTTATTTATACAAAAGAACAGCCAGTCTATAAGCACTTACTAAACAATGTTTCATTACTTTAAGGGAAGCATTGTTATGTTTTACATTGAGAACGGTATCGTGGAACGATTAGAAATGAGTACTTATCTTTAGGAAAATAGACTGAAAAAAATTGCTAGGCATACACGAGGAAAGATAAAGTGACTAAATACCAAGAGATGCTAGAAAACAGAGTAACTTAACATATTCAAAATAATATAAGACAGGACTGAAAATTTCTACAGAGTTGAAATCTATAAAAAGATCAAATGGAAAACCTTCAATTAAGAAATATGCTAACTACAGTTAATAACTAAACAGATGGCTCAAACAGAAGAGTGGGCATATCTGTAGAGGAAGACAATATTTCAATAGAACATATACAGTATAAAATATAAATCCCAGAAAGATAGGAGGGTAAAAAAGAGAGAGAGGTGTGTAAGATAGATAAGAAACCTGCGTAACTTGTATCTCAGAAGGAGAAAAGACAGAGGAGAAAAGAAGGTATAAATGGCTGAGCACTTTCTAAAACTAAAGAAAAATACCAACCTGTAGATTCAAGAATTTCTGCAAACCTCAAGTGAGAAAAATATTGAGTGAAATTCAAGAAGAAAAAAGAAAATCTTAAAATAAGCTGGAGAAAAAAGGCACATTAGCTTTAAGGAAACAACAATAATAATGAGAGGCACTTCTTAGAAATAAAATAAAATAAAAAACCAATGTAATGATAGCTTCTTTTTTTTTTTTTTTTTTTTTTTAGATAAAGCAGGTCTCTTCTGCGTATGAGCCTGTAAAATCAAAAGCAAGTTAGTTACTTCCTAGATACTCCGGGGGTGCAGCCGTTGGGTAAATACACCTTTCCCAGATGGAAGAAATTGGCCAGAACGAAGGCCCCATGCAAGTCCGAAATCCAATGGGGCAGTCAAATCTTTTCTTTTTCTTTTTTTTTTGAGACAGAGTTTCGCTCTTGTTGCCCAGGCAGGCTGGAGTGCAGTGTCGCAGTCTCGGCTCACTGCAAGCTCCGCCTCCCGGGTTCATGCCATTCTCCTGCCTCAGCCTCCCGAGTAGCTGGGACTACAGGTGCCCGCCACCACGCCCAGCTAAGTTTTTGTAATTTTAGTAGAGACGGGGTTTCACCGTGTTAGCCAGGATGGTCTCGATCTCCTGACCTCGTGATCCGCCCGCCTCGGCCTCTCAGAGTGCTGGGATTACAGGTGTGAGCCACCACGCCAGCCCGTAATGATAGCTTGCTTTTTAATAACTAGCAATAATAATTGATAAAATAGAATTTAATGCACATCAAAAATAGTCATTTCTAATGAAAGTGAAACCAAAACATTTCAAAACAAACATCATTAGCAATAACTTGGCATCAGTAAATCTACTGAAACACACTAAGTAAAATTCTTCAGACCAGAAAAAGAAGAAATGATGGCGTATAGAAACAAGCAACAAAAGAAAAGATGAAGAGCAATGGTGAGGGTAAATATGTGGATTAATCTAAATGAATATTGACTGCATAAAATAAAAATCAGATTTTTATGGAGTTTTGTCTATACAAATAATTAAAATTATGCAATTAATAGCACAAAAGGAGGTACATGAAGAGAATAAATAAAATTACAATACTTTAAATGTTTAAAGTCTTGCACTTTCCTAGAAGGAGTAGAAATACTAATTTTAACTATATTTTATTTTCAGTTATACATATGAACTCTGTAGTTTAACAACTGAAAAAATGCGTTAAGGAATTTAGAACAGAAAAACAAATAAGGCAAAAATATAATAACAATAATTAGTTCAAAAGTAGGCAAAAAACAAAAAAATCAAATACAGAACAGTGAGATAAATAGAAAAAATTAGTATAATTGTAGAAATAAACATGAATATACTAGAAATTCCATCAAATGTAAACAGACTAAGTATTCTAATTAAAAGACAAAGATTATGAGAATTAATTTTAAGAAAATGAATTTTATTCTATTCTACTTTAAAGAAACTCAGCTTAAATATGAAAATACAGAAAGGTTGAAAATAAAAGCATGAAAAGAGATATAGGCTGCAAACACTAACCAAAAGAAAGTTAGTGTAGCTATGTTACTGTCAGACAAAATTGACTTTATAAAATGAATTATCACTAGAGATAAAGATGACATTTCATGATGATGAAACTGTCAGTCTATCAGGAATATATAAAAATTCAAAATTTGTATGCATCTAGGAAGAAAGTCTCAAAGTATTAAGCAGTCACAGAGTAAAAAAGAGAAATGGATATATCTGCAATCATAGTGGGGAATCTTAACATAACCTTTCTCATTACCCGGTAGAACAAATGGACAAATTTGGATTTGTAGATAGTTTGAACAACTGCAGAATACACAATGTTTTCTTATTCCTATAGAATGTTAACCATAATTGAACATGTCAAGCCATAAAGCAATTTAAACAAGCTCAAGGGTTGAAATCTCACAGATTATGTTATTTGCAATAGTGGAGCTAAAGTAGAAATAAATAATAAATTGAAATCTAAAATTTTTTTCAAAGTTATGCAAATTAAGCAAAAATACATTTGAGTAAGTCATAAATAAAAGAAGAAATCACTATGGAAATTAAATTGAATTCTAAAATATGTGATGCAACAAAAACTACTTAAAGGGAAATTTATATCACTATCAGAGAAACACAGTGTGAAAAGTAATAATTTAATATACAGTTCAAAATATTAGGAAAAAATAACAGAAAATTAAAATGAAAGAAAGCCAAAGGAAGAAAATATGAAATGTAAAAAAAAATTTAAAAACACATAGAGAAGATGCACAAAAATAGACAATGACATAGTGAACAGATACAATTGGTACAATTGGAACAATACTGTAAGGACTAATCAAAAAGAAAATTGAGAAAGCATAAATTACCAATATCCTGCATACATAATTAGAAAATATAATAAAAGGAATGAATACTAATAGATTCAAAATGTTAATTGAAATTGACAAATTCCTTGAAATCACAATTTATAAAATTTGCACTAAAAAATATAAAAAACTTTAATAATCTAAAATTTATTTAAGTAATGTAATCCATAATTTGCAGCCCAGGTGACTTCACCTGTGAAATCAAAAGATAAAATTTTTAAATTTTTAAATAAGAATAATAATTAAACATAAAATCTTCCAGAGAACTAAAAAATAAAAAAATAAAAATACTTTCTAATACCTTTTATGAATCTGTGTAAGTTTCTTATCAAAATTTGACAGGGACTTTACAAGAAAGACAATTTAAGGGCCAATCTTTCTCTTAAATACAAATGCAAAAACCCTAGGCAATATAATAGCAAACTGAATTTAGTTATATAATATGCTAATACATTATATCCAAGTTGATTTATTACAAGGATAAATATTGTATAGCCTTTACGAATTAATAAAATTTACAAAATTAATAAATTTAAGGGCAAAACTGCACAAATATTTTAAAAGTTGAAAATTATTTGATAAAATTTACACTCTAAGTGTTAAAAAATTTTTAGCTAACAAGAAAGGCAAAAAGACCTTCTTCAATCTGTTAGATGGCACCAAAAAAAAAAAAAACCATTTTATTTAATAGTGACACCGGAAAAAGGTAGGAAGCTCACTATCACCACATATTTTCAACTTTGTACTGGAGTTCCTAGCCAGGGCAATAAAGAAACAAAAATAAATAAGCAGTATAACATTTGGAACACAATATGTAAAACATCAAATATTCACATATTGTATCATTTTAGGTATAGAAACCCAAAGGAATCTAGAGTTGAATGATAAAAAGTTATGAGTACATTTAGAACATTTATTGAATAAGGACCATGTAGAACAAACAATAATATATTTTACATATTACTAGTATAAAGAGAATGAATTTTTATTTAAAAAATGATATTTACAATTCATTGAGCAATATTTATTTTCTAGGAATAAATCAAACCAAAGATATTTAAGATCCATGTGCTAGCAAACTACAAGACATTACAGAGAGAAAAAAATATCTGCTAAGTGTAGGGATATACCATGTTCATGAACTGAAGGATTAAATAGTTAAATATGTCAATTTTTCCTAAATTAATCTATAAATTCAGAACCCTAATTAATATCCTAGCAGGTGTTTTGGTGGAAATTAATAAGCTAATTCTAAAATTCATACAGGACTATACCTGACCAAAAATACATAAGACAATCTTAAAGAAGAAAAAGTTACCATCAGTTATCAAGTTTTATTCTAAATCTAAAATACAGTATAATATTAATGAAGAGACAGACAAACACATTAATTAAACAGTATAGAGAATCCAGAAACAGAGCCACACACATAAGCAAACTAATTTTGATGATAAAAGTGGTGCTATAGAGTAGTGGAGAATGATAGACTTCAATAAATAATGCAGGATAAGTTGATTAATTATATACTTAAAAAATGAACATTCACTTCTACCTAACACTTTACAGAAAAGCAAAAGTTTTATTGCAGCTCTACATTTAAAAGATAAAATATAAAACTTCTAAAATACATTATCTTTATGACAGTAAGTTAGGAAAATATTTCTTAAATAGGATGTTAATTTTCCGACAATAGGAAAACATTTAAAAAAATCCACTATGTTAATGTAAAAAACTTGTTTTTTTCAAAAGATACTATTTAAAGAGTAAAGAAGCAAGCAGTACAGTGGAAAAAAGTAATTTTCAACACATATAACTGACAAAGAAGTCCTTTCAGAGTATATAAAAACCTATAAATCAATAAGAAAAGAATAGAAAATCTAATTTTAAAACTGGACAAACGTCTTGAAAAGGCACTTGACAAAAGAAGACATCCAAATGGCTCACATATATCCAAAATGATGCTCAACTTCATTGGTCATTAGGAAAGTGCAAATTAACTCAACGAAAGCATGTAACTATATACCTACCAGAATACCTAAAAGAAAAAGATTGATGGTACAACAAAAATTTTTACCTATTGCTGATGGCAGAATAACCTAGTGAAATCATTTTGTAAAACTGGCTGCTCATGTATATTCCCTATGATGAAGCAACACCACTTCTGAATATATGTCTAAGATGAAGTGGTGCATATGTTTATCACAAGACATGTATAAGAATGAGTTCAGAGACCCTGCGCGGTGGCTCACGCCTGTAATCCCAGCACTTTGGGAGGCCGAGGCAGGCGGATCACGAGGTCAGGAGATCGAGACCATCCTGGCTAACACGGTGAAACCCCATTTCTACTAAAAATACAAAAAAATTAGCCAGGCATGGTGGTGGGTGCCTGTAGTCCCAGCTACTCGGGAGGCTGAGGCAGGAGAATGGTGTGAACCCAGGGGCAGAGCTTGCAGTGAGCCGAGATTGCGCCACTGCACTCCAGCCTGGGGGACAAAGTGAGACTCTGTCTCAAAAAAAAAAAAAAAAAAAAAAGAATGAATACAGAAATTAAATTCATAACAGAACCAAACTGTGAAAAAACCAAATGCCTATTATCAGCAGAGTGGAGAAATAAATTATGGCATTTCCAATTTGTTGTACAGGAATGCTGTACAACAATTAGAACAAATTACAACTTCAAAGCATGGATGAATCTCCCTAATGTTGTTTGGCACAAAATAAGCCAGACAGAAAAGAGCAAGTACTGTATAAAACCACTGATATAAGTCCCAAAGTAGAAAAAACTAATATGTATTTTTAGAAGTCAGGCAAGGGGCAACCTTTGCATGAAGATTAGGAGTGGTTACTGGGTCATCAAATGCTCTTCTGAGATATTTATAATCTTTTTTTTTCTTGATCTGAGTGCTAGCTATACAGAGGCATGCTTACTTTGCATAAACACCCATGGGTTAATGTATTTTTCTGTACGTATATGTCACTTCAATAAAAATATTTGTTAAAAACAATGCCAGTGTGCTAAGTGAGTGACTATGTTATTTACTTTCATCTGGATGAAGTACACCATCAAACTGCCCTGAACAAAGCATCTGAAGAATAAGCCAATGGCCAAAGAGTCACTAGATTTTCTTCAAGTTTGGAAGAAATTTTATCTACTAACTCATGGGAATAAACAGAGTCCCAATTGAAACTGTTTTTAACATTTTGTTGGCAAATTGGTTGACATGAGATTTATGTCACAGGATCTGAGAAGTGAAGGGATGAATATGGGTCAGTTTGAAGACTACCACAAGTTTACAATAGGATGGTTATGAATTAGATAATGCATCTCATCTTAAATCTCTCCTGAGATTTATATATTATAGGGGAAAAAGAAAATAATGGTAAGAACAATAATTATGTAAAATTCATATAGTGGAGTCATAGTGACAGTGGCTGACTAAGGGACTCTGAAATTTTGCCCCTTCATAACAGCAATAGAAAAAACTGGTGAAAATTATCAGAATCAACTTTTATGGAAGTCTGGAAATCAACCAAAGGCTTACAGAAACCTGAACTTTAGTCCCTGGAAGACTAAATTGAAAGGCTTGTTTTTAGTTCATCTGATTTGGAAATCCCCAGTGCCAAAATCACTACCTAGGTGGAGGTGTTTTCTGTAAAAATTTATATCCAAATGTTTTAGTCGCTGCTGCCTGAGGTATAGATAAAAGTTGGGTCAAACAATTGACTAACTGAAAGCTTGGGAAGAATGACTAGGAAGGGAAATGTGTATAAGGACTTTGGAAAGCTCTGACATATTTCTTGGAATGTAAAAGGCCGTGTGCCTACCTAGAACTGCAAATATGCTCAGGATAGTCCTGAGAAGGCCCTGAGTTCTCACTTTTTGTTAACCTTCAGTCTCTGCATGAGCAGGAAGTGAAGGCTGAGGCATAGTTGTAATGGCCTTGTCGAGTGTTGAAGGCATGTGCCCCAACAGGTACACAAAGGCTCCCAGTAAAGACTGGGAGACTTGTGTGTGTGTTCTAGGCATTAAAAAAAATCTCTGACCAATCTCTGACCTCTAAACTAATGGAACTGTGACTTCAGTGGCAATACATGACAAACAATTCTCTCTTAATATAGAGAATTATAAAAAGTAATTAAATGTATTAGTCCGTTTTCATGCTGCTAATAAAGACATACCCAACACTAGGCAAGCTACAAATGAAAGAGGTTTATTTGGACTCACAGTTCCACCTGGCTGGGGAGGCCTCATAATCATGGTGGAAGGCAAGGAGGAGCAAGTCAGATCTTACATGGATGGCAGCAGGCAAAGAGAGAGCTTGTGCAGGCAAACTCTTGCTTCTATCAGATGTTGTGAGACTTATTCACTATGACGAAAACAGCACAGGAAAGACCTGCCCCCAAGATTCAATTATCTCCCACCAGGTTCCTCCTACAAAGTATGGGAATTATGGGAGCTACAAGATTAGATTTGGGTGAGGACACAGAGCCAAACCGTATCACTAAATAAATAACAAGCACTATAAGCAGTAACAATACACTCTGAGGAGGAGAGGTGATCTGATTACCAGAGTTGTCATAATACTAAAGAGATTTAGTTTTTTATTATGAATATTATTTTTTTGATGGGCATATCACAATTGTATATATTTTGGGGTACAATAAAATGTTTCAATCCAGGTATACGATGTAGAATTACTACATCAAGTTATTCAACATATCTGTCACTTCACTTACCTATCATTTTTTATTGTGAGTCATTTGACATTTACTCTCTTATTTTTAAATATACATTATTACTGACTATAGTTACCCTGCTGTGCAATAGATCTCAAAACCTATTTCTCTTGTCTATATGAAACTTTTTACCCTTTGATCAACACCTCCCCATCTTCTCCCTCCCTCCACTCACCCAGCCACTATCTACTTTCTCTTTTTTATGAGTTCCACTTTTTTACATTCCACATATAAGTGAGATTATGCAGTATTTGTCTTTCTGGGCTTGGCTTTTTTCATTTAGCATAATGTCCTCCAGATTTTTTTAATATGACCCAGAAAGCACAGGCAACAAATGCAAAAATAGCCAAATAGGATAGCATCAAACTAAAAACCTTTGCACAGCAAAGGAAACAATTAACAAACTGAAGAGACAGTTTGTTGTCACAGATGACAGAATTTCCCACTTTTAAAATGCTGAATAGTATCAAACCATGTGTATATGCCACATTTTAAAGATCCGTTTACCTGTTAGTGGACTGTTAGGATTATTCCATATCTTGGCTATTGTGAAAAATGCTGCTATGAACATGGGAGTGCAGATATACATTCCACATATTGATTTCATTTTCTTTGGATATATACCCAGAAGTAGAATTACTGGATCATATGGTAGGTCTATTTTCAGTTTTTTGAGAAACCTCCATATCATTTTCTGTAGTACCAATTTACATTCCCACCAACAAGGTACAAGAATTCTCTTTCCTCCACCTCCTTACCAAGACTTGCTATCTTTCATCTTTTTGACAAAAGTCATTCTAGCAGGTATAATGTGATAACTTATTGTGGTTTTAATTTCTATTTCTGTAATGACTAGTGATGCTGAACAGTTTTTCATGTACCCATTGGCTATTTGTATGTATTGCTTTTGAGAAATGTCTATTTAGGCTCTTTACCTTTTTTTAATTGAATTGTCTTATTGTTATTGAGTTAACTGAGTTCCTTATATATTTCTAATATTAACCCCTTATCAGATGTATCACTTACAAATATTTTCTCCCATTCTGTGGGTTGTCTCTTCAGTTTGTTAATTGTTTCCTTTGCTGTGCGAAGGTTTTTAGTTTGATGCCATCCTATTTGGCTATTTTTGCATTTGTTGCCTGTGCTTTCTGGGTCATATTAAAAAAAATTTTTTGCCCAGACAAATTTCATGGAGCTTTTCTTCTGTGTTTTCTTTGAATAGTTTTCCACATTGAGATCTTATATTTAAATCTTTAATTCATTTTGAGTTGATTTTTGTGTATGTTGTGAAACCAAGGTCTATCCTTCTTTTGCATGCGGGTAACTAATTTTCCCAAAAACCATTTCTTGAAAGAGACTGCCCCTTTCCCAGTGTGTGTTCTTGGTACCTTTGTCAAAAATCAACTAACCATAAAACCACATTCCATTGTCAATGTGTCTGTTTTTATGCCAGTACCACCCTGTTATAATTACAATCACTTTATGATGTATTTTGAAATCAGGGAGTGTGATGCCTCCTGCTTTGTTCTTTTTGTTCAAGATTGTTTTGCTATTCATGGTATATGAATTGAAGGAGTATTTTTTCTAAATCTGTGAAAAATGACATTGGAATTTTGATAGATATTGCATTGAATCTGTTTATTAGTTTGGGTTGTATGGACATTTTAACAATATCAGTTCTTCCAATTTTTGAACATGGGATATCTTTCCACTAAAAAATATTTCCTTCACTTTCATCAGTGTTTCATATTTTTCAGCATACACGTCTTTTACCACCTTGGTTAAATTTACATCTAAGTATTTAGCATTTTTGTTGCTATTGTAAATGGAATTGTTTTCTTAATTTTAGTATGTAGAAATGTTATTGATTTTTGTGTGCTGATGTATCCTGCAACTTTATTGAATTCAGTTTATCAGTTCTAACAGTTTTTTGATGAAGGCTTTAAGATATATATATATACACACACACACACACACACACACACACACACACACACACACACACATATATGATCGCTGTCAGCATACAGAGACAATTTTATTTCCTCCTTCCCTATTAGGATGCCTTTTGTTTTTTTTCTTTTGCCTAATTGCTGTTGATAAGACTTCCAGTACTATGTTGAAAAGAAGTGGTGAATAATGGGCGTTTTTGTCTTGTTCTTGATCTTAGAGAAAAAGATTTCAATTTTTCACTGTTTAGAATGATATCGGCTATGACTTTGTAATAGATGGTCTTTATTGTACTGAGTTACATTTTCTTTATACCTAATCCGTTAAGGTTTTTATTATGAACAAATGTTGAAATTTGCAAAATCCTTTTGCTGCATTTATTGAGATGATCATATGATTTTTATCCTTCACTTTGTTGATGTGGTGTATTACATTTATTGATTTGCATATGTTGAACCATCCTTGCATCCCAGGGATAAACACCACTTGATCATGGTGAACGTTTCTTTTAATGGGTTGTTGAATTCAGTTTGCTAATTTTTTTTGAGAATTTTTTGCATTTATGTTCATCAAAAATATTGGTCTGTAATTTTCTACTTTCTACTTCAAGGACAGTCTCTTTGTCCAGCTTTTGGCATCAGGATAATGCTAGCCTTCTAAAAAGAGTTTGAATGTATTCCTTCTACTTCATATTTTGGAAGCGTTTGAGAAGAATTAGTATTAATATTAAGATGTTTGTTACAATTCAGCAGTGAAGACTTCAGGTCTTGGGCTTTTCTTTAATGGGAGACTATTGTGTCTAATATAAATACAGCTACTGCTGCTCTCCTTCAGTTTTCATTTGCATGGAATACCTTTTTCTACACCCTCACTTTCAGTCTATGTGTGTCCTTACTAGTAAAGTGAGTATTCTGTAGGGAGCACATGGTTGGCTCCTATTTTAAAAATATATTCATCCACTCTAGGTTTTTTGATTGGAAAGATTAATCCATTCACATTCAAGGTAATTATTAATAGGTAAGGACTTGCTTCTGCTGCTTTGTAATTTTTTTTTCTGATTGTTTTGTAGGCCATTTGTTAATTTCTTCTTCTCTTTCTGTCTTCCTGTGAGGTTTAATGGTTTTCTGTTGTGATATGTTTTGATCTTTCTTTTTATGCTTCGTGCTACTACTGTAGGTTTTTCTTTGTGTGTGTGGCTACCATGAGACTTACATAAAACATCTGCTTCTTATGACAGGTTACTTTAAGGTGATAACAACTTTAACTGCACACGAAAACTACACTTTCACTTCCTCTCCTTTACGTTTTCTTTATTTTGATGCCAAAACTTGCTTTTTTTTTTTTTTTAGTATTTTGTATTCCTTAACAATCTATTGTAGCTAGAGTTATTTTTGATAGTTTTGCCTTCTAACTTTCATAGTAGAAATAAAATTGCTTTACATACCGTTCTTATAGTAATAGAGAATTCTGAGTATGACTATACATTACTTATTCTACTAAGTTTTTAACTTTCAATTTGTTTTTACTTTATTAATTAACAGCCTTTAATTTCAGCTTCAAGAACTCCCTTTGTAGTTTCTATAAAGGAGGCCTAGTAGTGATGAACTACCTTAGCATTTGCTTGTCTAGAAAAGTTTTTATTTCTTTCCCAATTCTGAAGGTCAGTTTTGCCAAGTAAAGTATTTCTGGTAGGCAGTTTTTTTCCTTCATTACATTGACCGTATCATTCCATTTTCTTCTGGCCTGCAGTACTTCTGTTGAAAAATCTGCTGAAAACCACTTGGGGTTTCTTTTGATAATTTGATTACGATATGTCCTGGTAAGCTCCTTCTTGAGTTGAAATTGATTGGTGACCTCTGAGTTTCCTGCATCTGGATCTTATTTAATTATTTAACTTAATTATAAATTAAGTTAAATTTAATACCAGGGCAACCACCAAGAACATTTAAAAACATATAGTACACGAAATGACAAAGGAATTAAAGTGATACACTAGAAAATATCTGTTTAACACACAAGAAGGCAGTAATACAGGAAATGAGGAACAAAAAAGATAGGACATGTAGAAAAAAATAACAAAATGGTAGAAATAGGTACAGTTGACCCTTGAACAACATGGCTTTAAATTGTGCATGTCCACTTATACCTGGATTTTCTTCTGCCTCTGCCGCCCCTGAGACAGCAAGACCAACTACTCCTTTTCCTTCTCAGGTTATGCAATATGAAGAAGAGGATGAAGATGTTTTCTCTAGCTTACTTTATCGTAATGATACTGTATCTAATACGTATTTCATACAAAATATGTGTTAGTTGACTGTGTGTTATTGGTAAGGCTTCTGGTCAACAGTAGGATATTAGCAGTTAACTTTAGGGTTAACTTTTAACCAATTAAAATACAAAAATTAAGAATAAAAAAGCCATAATCAACTATATGCTGTTGTGAAGAAACTCATTTTAGTTTCAAAGACACAAGTAAGTTGAACTTGAAGGATGAAAAAAATATATACTATGCAAACAGTAACCAGGGAAAGCTAGAGTGGCTACAATAATATGAAGCAAACAAGACTTTAAAGCAAAAATTGTTACTAGTGACAAAGAAGGACATTATGTATTGATAAAAAGGTCAATCCATCAAGATAGAAACATTATAAATACATATACATCTAATAAGAGAGCTTCACAATAGAGGTGGAAAAGCTGACAGAATTAAGGGGAAAATAGATGATTAAATAACAGTTAAAGACTGAAATACTGCAGTTTCACTACTGCATAGAACAATTAGAAAGATCAGTAAGAAAATAGAAAATTTGAACAACACTATAAACCAAGTAGACCTAACAGATAGCTATGGAATACTTCATCCAACAACAGCCTAATACACGTTTCACAAGCACACATGGAATATTCTGCAGAACAGATCATATTTTAGGCCACAACACACATCCTAATATATTCAAAATGATTAGAATTATACAAAATATGTTTTCTGATTGTAATGGAAATAGAAGGGAACTTTCTCAACCTGGCAAGGGTATCTGTGGAAAATCCAGTTAACGTCATACATAATGGTGAAAGTCTGAATATTTTCCCCATAAGAACAGGAATAATACAAGGATATCATTCTGTTTATTGTTGTGCTGCAAGTTCTAACCCTAGTGTATTAATCTGTTCTCACAGTGCTATACTTGAGTCTGGCTAACATATTTTTAAAAAGAGGCTTGATTGGCTCATAGTTCTGCAGGCTGTACAGGAAAAATAGCAGTTTCTGCTACTGGGAAGGTCTCAGGAAGCTTCCAATCATGGAGGAAGGCAAATGGGGGAGTGAGAGGTCTTACATGGTGGAAGAAGGAGCAAGAGAGAGCGATGGGGGAGGTACTGCATACTTTTAAACAACCATATCTCTTGAGAACCCACTCACTATCACAAGAACAGCACCAAGCACATGGTGCTAAACCATTCATGAGAAATCCACTTCCATTATCCAACCACCTCCCTCCCATCAGGCCCCACTTCCAACATTGGGGATTACAATTCAACATGACATTTGGTGAAGACATAGATCCAAGCCATATCACATGGCAACTAGACAAGGAAAAGAAGCAAAATACATACATACTGGAAAGGAAGAAATGAAACTATTAAGAGATGTCATGATCTTATACACAGAAAAGGCTAAAGAGAAGAAGGATCAAGATGGCCAACTAAATACAGGTACTATGTGCTTCCACCATGGGGAAGAGCCAGAATAGGAAGTAGATACTCAAATTTCAAACATATCTTCTAGGAGAGAATGTTTGGATTCATCACAGAAGAGATGGAAAGCACCAGAAATAAGTAGGAAGAGAGTTTGAGGCAGATTGTCCAGCTAGGAACTTACTGAGAGTTGGGAGAAATGCCTTGATGTGGGGAAACAGTAACAGAGAAATACCCAGACCTCTGAAATGAACTTTAACAAACCTGGCATGGGAGAAACCATCAACCCACTAGGTCCTCGTGCCTGACATATGGAGCTGCCTAGATTTTGCACAGAGACGTTGCTCCAGAAAGGGTTCCTACACAGAATCCCACAGTTATCTGTGTCAGGAGCAGCCTCAGTCAGGAGCCATTTTCAGAACCAAGATGCTGTGGACCTATAGACCATGGCTGCAACCACTGTGCTGCTCCAAGAAGGGAGAGGGGTGAATAGGTGCACCCATACACCCCTGGGTGGGTACTTGCTGTCCTGCTACAAACTACTGTTGAGACTGAGATATAAGTGGATCACACTTCTCCAGAGTCTTACTCATGCTGCTTGCCTGGATGGTGTCCCATCCCCTCTGGTTCCAGACCAAGGCACCATTTTGAGAGCTTAGTGGTGGGCTGAGGCTTGCCTTCGACCTGAGCTCAGGCTGACAAGGTTAAAGCCACCCCCTGACCAAGGACTGACAGGAAATCCAGGCTATCCTATATATATATATATAGTCATACCCAGTGCTCTGAAACAGGCTGCTGTGAGACTGAAACATGATCAGACCACACTCTCCACAGCTTTTTGCTCACACTGCTTGCCTAGGTCATCCTCCACCCTTTCTGTTCCCAGTCCAAAACTTCACCATTGTCTTGATTTTGGGCTGATGCACTCTAGCTGCCACCCAGCCAAAGAGGGACAGGGAAGCCAGGTTCTCCTATGCATACCTAGGACAATACTCAATGCCCTGGTACAGGCTGCTGTGAGGCCAAGATTTCAGTGGACCACACTTCCCAAAGCTTCTTGCCTATTCACTAGAATGGGGCCCCACCCTCCCCAGTCACAAGCCCACAACTGACACCATTTTGATAGTATATAGACAGCATTTGGTGACCTGGTAGCAGCAGCCACAGCAGGTATTTTAGTCTCGAGACAGAAACTGGAGTGCTTGCTCTTGAATGAGGGAATGGTCCCACAGCCAGAATTGAGCAATGAGTGTGGAGAGTACCCAAGCAGTAGGTGCTGCAATTAGGCTCTCTCCCATCACTGAACTAGAGGGGGAAGGTAATCGTGGAAGCTGAAGGCAGCAAGACTTGCAGCTAGGGACAGCTTTGTGACCTAGAACCAGTCTCCACATGTTATTTCTGGGTGCCCCAGCCTGCTCGCTTGCTCAGCTTGGGGACAGTGCTCTGCCAGCTCCAAAGAGTGGAAAGGAGGTGGAGCTCACTTCCCTGGAGATCTAACCCTTGGCACAATCCACCCCTGAATGGGCAGTGCAGCCTGCCAAAGTTCCCTTGGGTCAAAGAAAATGTGAACATGGTGCCAGCTGCTGAAGGTGTCACCACTAAAGCCCAGGAATGGAAGTGGGGGGCAGTCATCTCTCCAGCCTGCCTCCCTCTTTGGTGCACCTTTGTGGACTCAGCTGTGGCTCTTCCCATCTTGGACCAGCGAATGGACTAAAAGAGATCATTTCTTGGGCTTCCGTAGTGCCTCCACCTCACTGAAGATGAATGTGCATGCACTGGGAAAAGGCACGTTTCATGCTTCTCTGTTGCTTCCACTCCTGCCCCTATGCGCTGGTTCCTATTCTTAAGTGCCACCTACTGGACTTCAGCCTGAATTACACCACCAAACAAAATCATATTGCTACAAAAAGTGATGTCTGAGAAAGCCACTGCACAAACCTACCTGCAACCAGAAAACTTGTAAAGACCCTTGATACCCTGAAAGCAGCCAGAGACAAAGCCAACTGACCATACACAACATACACCACAGTTATTACTCCTGAGGGGAAAAACCAATAAAATATCAAGAAGTACCATCCAAAATATAGCAAATTCAAAAAAAAAAATAGTGTTAGCTTTCTCAGATGAGAAGAAGCCAGCAGCATAAGAACTCTGGCAATACAAAAAGCCAGAACATTTCATCAACTCCAAAGGATCTCACTAGCTCCCAAGCAATGGCTCCTAACCAGAATGAAATGTGTAAAATGACAGACACAGTATTCAAATATGAATGGGAAAGAAATTCAATGAGATCCAAGAGAAAGTTAAAATCGATCACAAAGAAGCCAGAAAAATGAACCAAGATTGGAAAGATGACATAGCCATATTAAGAAAGAAACAAACAGAACTTTTGGAATTGAAAAATTCACTACAGAATTTCAAAATACAGTGAGAAGCCTTAAAAACAAACTAGATTAAGCAGAATTTCAGAGCTTAAAATCAGTCCTCTGAATCAACTCAGTCAGCAAAAATAAAGAAAAAATAATTTTAAAAAATGAACAATGGCTTCAAGAAATATGGGATTATGTAAGGTAACCACATGTATGACTTAATGGCATTCCTGGGAGAAGAGAAAAGAAAGTAAGCAACTTGAAAAAAATTTTGAGGATCTAATTTAGAAAAATTTGCCCAATTTTGTTAGACAGGTCAACATGCAGATAAAAGAAATTCAGAGAACTCCTGTGATATACTATATAAGAAGACCATCCCCAAGACACATAGTCATTATACTATCCAGGGTCAATGCCAAAAAAAAAAATTGAAGTCAAACTATTGCTCTTTGCTGATGGTATAATTCTATCCATAGAAAACCCTAACAACTCCACCCAAAGACTGCTGGAACTGAAAAACAAATTCAGTAAAGTTTCAGAATATAAAATTGATATATAACAATTGGTAACATTTCTATACATCAGTAGTGTTCTAGCTGAGAACAAAATCAAGAATACAATCTCAAGAAAATAAAATATCTAGGAATTCATACAACAAAGAGATGAAAGATTTCTACATGAAGAACCACAAAACTGCTGAAAGAAATCATATACAATACAAGCAAATGAAAAAATATTCCATGCTCATCGATTAGAAGAATCAATACAGTTATTATAAAATAATCATACTTTCCAAAGCAATCTATAAACTTAATGCTATCGCTGTCAAAATACCAATGCCATTTTTCACAGAATTAGAAAAAATCTATTTTAAAATTTATTTGGAACCAAAGAAGAGCCCAAATAGTTAAAGAAATCCTAAATAACAACAACAACAAAAAAGAAAGCTGGAGGAATCACATTGGCTGACTTCCAAGTTTATTCTAAAGCTATTAAAATAAGCTCTAAAGCTACTAAAGAAAGCTGGAGGCATCACATTGGCTGACTTCTAAGTTTATTCTAAAGCTACTAAGATAAGCTTCTAAAAGTAAAGTAAGCTACTAAAACTACTAAAGTAAGCTTCTAAAGTAATCAAAATAGCATGATAGCATTACAAACAATATACACATAGATCAATGGAACAGAATAGAGAACCTAGAAATAAACCCACATACCTACAACCATCTGATCTTCAACAAAATCAACAAAAATAAGCACTGGAGAAAGGACTCCCTATTTAACAAATGGTACTGGGATAACTGGTGAACCACAGGCAGAAGAATAAAACTGGAAACTTACATCTCACCATATACAAAAATTAATTCAAGATAGATTAAAGATTTAAATCTAAGATCTCAAACTAAAAATGATAGAAGAAAATCTAGGAAATACCCTTCTAGACATAGACTTTTGCAAACAACTTATGGCTAACTCATCAAAAGCAATGACAACAAAAGCTAAAATTGACAAGTGGGACCAAATTAAACTATAGAGCTTCTTCTGCACAGTGAAAGAAATTAACAACAGAGTAAACAGACAGGTTGCAGAATGGGAGAAAATATCACAAACTGTGCATCTGACAAAAGACTAATGTGTTAGTCTGTTCTTATGCTGCTAATAAAGGCAAACTGGAGACTGGGTAACTTATAAAGGAAAAAGGTTTAATTGACTCATAGTTCCACATGGCTGGGGAGGCCTCACAATCATGGCTGAAGGTGAACAAAGAGCAAAGTCACATTTTACATGGTGGCAGGCAAGATAGCATGTGCAGGGGAATTCCTATATTTATAAAATTATCAGATCTCATGAGACTTATTCACTACCATGAGAACAGTATGGGGGAAATAGCCACCATGTTTCAATTATTTTTACCTGGCCCCACCCTTGATACCTGGCAATTATTACAATTCAAGGTGAGATTTGGGTGGGGACACAGACAAATCATATCAACTAATATCTAGAATCTGTTAGCAAATTAAACAAATCAACAAGTAAAAACTAAAAATCCAGTTAAAAATGGGCAAAGGACATGAACAGACCCTTCTTAAAAGAAGTCACACAAGTGGCCAATAAACATGCAAAAATGTTCAACATGACTAATCATCAGAGAAATGCAAATTAAAACCACAGTGAGAAACTGTCTCACACCATTGAAAATGGCCATTATTAAAAAGTCAATAAAGAATAGATAGTGGAAAGGCTGTGGAGAAAAGAGAACACTTATACACTGATGGTGGGAATACACTATGGGAACAGTTTGGAGATTTCTCAAATAACTTAAAATAGAACTCCAATTTAATCTAGCAATTTCACTACTGGATGTATATCCGAAAGAAAATAATTCATTGTATCAAAAAGTCACATGTGCCCATACGTTTACTGCAGTCCTATTCACTATGAAAAGGCATAAAATCAACCTAGGTGCCCATCAATAGTGGTTTGGATAAAAAAATGTGGTACATATACACCCTTGAATACTATGCAGCCATAAAAAAGAACAAAATTATGTTCTTTGCAGCAATATGAATGGAGCTGGAGGCCATTATCCAAGTGAACTAACACAAGAACAGAAAAGCACATACTGCATGTTCTCACTTATAAGTGGGAGCTAAAAATTGAATACACATGAATGTGAAGACAGGAACAATAGACACTGGGGACCACTAAACAGGGGAGGGAGGGATGGAGTGGGGAATGGGCTGAAGAACCATCTGTTGGGTACTATGCTTACTGCCAGAGTGATGGGATCATTGGGATCCCCAAACCTGTACATCATGCAATATACCCATGTATCAAACCTGCATGTGAACCCTTTAATCCATAATAAAAGTTGAAATTATTTTTTTAAAAAAGAAAAAATCTTAAAGGTAGCAGAGAAAATCCAAATTACCTATTACTGTATTTCTCAGCAGATATTTTATAAGCCAGTAGAGATTATGGCATATTTTTAGCATTCTTAAAGAAAAGAAGTGCCAGCCAATAATTTCCTATCTTGCTGAACTAAGCTACATAAACAAAGGAGAAATGAACTGTTTCCTAGACAAACAATTGCTAAGGGAATTTGTCATCCAAAGACCAGCCCTACGAGATATGCTTAAGGGAGTTCTAAACATGGAAACTAAAGACCAATACTTGCTACCCCAAAAGCACATGCAAGCACACAGCCCATTGATCCTATAAAGCAACTACACAAACAAGACTACAAAAGGAGATAGGGAGATCTCAAATTAACAACCTGATTTTGCACCTAAAAAAACCTAAAAATATAAGAACAAACTGAATCCAAAGCTAGCAGAAGAAAAGAAACAACCTAAATTAGAGCAGAACTAAATAAAATTAACCCCCTTGAATTATACAAAGAATCAATGAAACAGAAAGTTGGTTGTTTGAAAGAGTAAAGAAGACTGAAAGATCACTAGCTAGATTAACCAAAAAGGTAGAGAGATCCAAATAAACACAATCAGAAATGGCAAAGGTGACATCACAATTAATCCCACAGAAATACAAATGATCCTTAGAGACTATTATGAAAATATTTATGCACACAAACTGGAAAGTCCATAGAAAATGGGTAAATTCCTGGAAAAAATCTCCCAAGATTGAATCAGGAAGAGACAAATTCCAAACAGACCAATAATGAGTAATAAAATGGAATCAGTAATAAAAAACCTTCCAACCAAGAAAAGCTCCAGACCAGATGGATTCACAGCCAAATTCTACCAGAAACACAAAGAAGAGCTACCAAAGTAGAGCTGGTAGCAGTCTTCCTGAAAGTATTCCAAAAAACAGAGGAACAGGGAATCCTACTTAACTCATTCTATGAAACCAGTATCATCCTAATACCAAAATCTGGCAGAGACACAATGAGGAAAGAAAACACTATAGGCAAATATAAAATACTGGCAAAATGAATCTTGCAGTACATCAAAAAGTTAATAGAACACAATCAAGTAGGTTTTATTCCTGGGATGCAAGGATGGTTCAACATATGCAAATTAATACATGTGACCTAGCACAGACAGAATTAAAAACGGAAACCATATGATCATCTCCGCAGATGAAGAAAAATAATTTGATAAAATCCAACATCCCTTCATGACAAAAAACCCTCAACAAACTAGGTATTGAATGAACATGCTCAAAATAATAGGTGCCATGTATGACAAACCTACAGCCAACATTATACTCAATAGGTAAAAGTTGGAACCATACCCCCTAAGAACTGGAGCAAAATGAGGATGTCTACTCTCACTACTCCCATTCAACATAATACTGGAAGTCCTAGCCAGAGAAATCAGAAATGAAAGGCATCCAAATAGAAAAAGAGGAAGTCCAATTATCTTTCTTCAGTAGTAATACAATTGTATTCCTCGAAAACCCTAAAGATTCCACAAAAAAGCTACTAGACCTGATAAACAACTTCAGCAAAGTCTCAGGATACAAAATTACTGTACAAAAATTAGTAACATTTCTATGTAGCAATAACATGCAAGCTGAGAACCAAACCAAGAATGCAATTCCATTTACAATAGCCACAGAAAATAAAATACCTAGGAATTCATCTAATCAGGGAGGTGAAACATCTCTACATGGAGAACTGCAAAACTGCTGAAAGAAATCATAGACAACACAAACAAATGGAAAAGCATTCCATGCTCATGAAATGGAAGAATCAGTATAGTTAAAATGTCCATATTTCCCAAAGCAAGTTACAGATTCAATCTATTCTTATCAAATGAGTAACGTCATTTTTCACAGCATTCTAAATTTCATTTGGAACCAAAGAAAAGCCCAGATACCAAAGGCAATCCTAAACAAAAAGAATGAAGCTGGAGGCATCACATTGGCTGATTTCTAAGTTTATTATAAGGCTACAATAATCAAAATAACATGGTACGAGTACAAAAAATAGATTCATAGGCCAGTGGAACAGAATAGAGAACCTAGAAATAAACCCACACACCTGATCTGATCTTCAACAAAATCTACAAAAATAAGCAATAGGGAAAGGACTCCATATTTAATAAATGGTACTGGGATAACTGGTGAGCCACAGGCAGAAGAATGAAACTGGACCCCTACCTCTCACCATATACAAAAATTAACTCAAGATGAATTAAAGATTTTAATGTAAGACATGAAACTATAAAAATTCTACAAGTAGATCTAGGAAATCCTCTTCTAGACATTGGCTTAGGCAAATAATTTATGACTAAGTCCTCAAAAGCAAATTCGACCAAAATAAAAGTTGATAATTGGGACCTAATTAAACTGAAGAGCTTCTACACAACAAAACAAACTATCAGCAGAGTCAACAGATAGCCTGAAGAATGGAAGAAAATATTTGCAAACTATGCATCTGAAAAAGTACTAATATCCAGAATTTGTAAGGAACTTAAATGAGTCAAGACAAAAACAAATAATCCCATTAAAAGGTAGGTAAATGTTATAAACAGACACTCCTCAAAAGAACACATACAAGCAGACAACAAACATATAAAAAATGCTAAAGATTATCAATTATCAGAGAAATGCAAACTAAAACCGCAATGAGATATCAACTTATGCCAGTCAGAATGGCCATTATTAAAAAGTCAAAAAAAAAAAAAACAACCCAGATGTTGGCAAGACTGTGGAGGAAAGGGAACACTTAACCACTGTTGGAGGGAATGCAGATTAGTTCTATGGAAAGCAGTTTGGGGATTTCTCAGTTATCCAGCACCATTTATTGAACAGGGACTCCTTTCTCCATTGCTTATTTTTATTAATTTTGTTGAGGATCAGATGGTTTTAGGTATATGGGTTTATTTCTGGGTTCTCTATTCAGTTCCACTGGTCCATGTGTCTATTTTTGGTAATGGTATCACGTTATTTTGATTACCATAGCCTTATAATAAACTTAGAAGTCAGCCAATGTGATGCCTCCAGCTTTGTGCTTTTTGTTTAGGATTGCTTTGGCTATTTGTGCTCTTTTTTGTTCCAAATGAATTTTAGAATAGATTTTTCTAATTTTGTGAAAAATTAGGTCTGTGGAAAGCAGTTTGGAGATTTCCCAAAGAACTAAAATAGAATTACCATTTGACCCAGAAATCACATTACTAGGTATATGCCTAAAGGAAAATAAATCATTTGCACTTGTATGTTTATCACAACACTGTTGAAAATAGCAAAGATATGGAAACAAGCTTGGTGCCCCTCAATGGTGAATTAGATAAAGAAAATGTGATACATATATGGCATGGAATACTACATAGCTATAAAAAAGAATGAAACCATGTCCTTTGCAGCAACACAAATGCAGCTGGAAGCAATTATCCTAAGTGAACTAATGCAGGAACAGAAAAACAGATGCCACATGGTCTCACTTATAAATTGGGAGCTAAACATTGGGTACACATGGACACAAAGATGGGAAAAATGAACACTAGGGATTCCACGTGGGGTGGTAGGGAGGGAGCCACGGGTTGAAAAACTATCGTTCAAACCTCAGAAGTTCAAACCTCAGTCCCATGTAATAAACCCCATGTAACAAATCTGCGCATGTACACCCAAATCTAAAATTTAAAAAGAAAACCCTAAATGATAAGCAGACACACACACACACACACACACAACTACTAGAGCTAATAAGGAAGTTTACAGAAGTTTCAGGACACAACAGCAATATACAAATATCAATTGTAATTCTCTACACTAGCAGTGAATAATTCACAAATGAAAATAAGAAAATGATTCTACTTACAATAACCTCAAAAGGAATATAATATTAAGAAACACATTTAACCAAAAGGTCAGAGTTATATATTAATAAATACAAAATATAGTAAAAAAATTAAAGCCTAAATAAATAGAAAGACATCCTGTGTTTGTGGACTGAAATACTTCATATTGTTAATATGACAATACTCCCCAAATTGACTCATATAGATTCATTGCAATCTTTATGAGAATTCTAACTGCCTTGTTTGCAGAAATGGACAAGCTGAACCTTAAGTTCTTATGGAAATTTAAGAAACTTTGATTATTCAAAACAAATTTAAAAAATAAGAACAAAGTTGTACGACTTGTGGCAGAATAGATATACAGATCAATGTAATAGAATTGAGAGTTCAGAAATAAACCCATATATCTATGGTCAGTTGATTTTCAACAGTAATACAAACACCATTTAATGGAGAAAGAAAGAATAGCTCAAAGGTAGAAACAGCCTTCATTTTCATTGACTGATATAAACGGATAATCAATGTGGCATATGTATACAATGGAATATTATTTAGCCATTAAAATGAATAGGTACTGATTCATGCTGCGACATAGATGAACCTTAAAAACTTTATGCTAAGTGACAGAAGACAGACACAAAAGGCCACATATTTTCATTAATGTGAAATGTCCGGAATAGGCAAATCTAAAGAAACAGAAAGTAGATAATTGGTTTCCAGGGACTGGAGAGAGAGAAAAATTTGGAGTGACAGGTACAGGGGTTCTTTTAAGAAAATGAAGATATTCTGGAATTAGATAGTAGTGGCAGTTGTATAATAATTGTGAAGACATTAAAGATCACTGAATTTTAAACTTCAAAATGATGAATTTTATGCTATATCCATTATGTCTCAATTTAAAATGCAAAAAAAATTATATAGTGGGTCATGTAGATCTCCAGTGCAGGTCCAAATGCTTTACATGTATTCACTCTTTTAATCATAATAATGATCCTATAAGGTTTTCACTATATCTCCCCTCATTTTACATATAGGGAAACTGAAGCATGAAAAGCACAAAGAGGTTAGGAACTTGCCCAAAGTCACACAGTGATGAGTGCTGGAGTCAGGACTTGAAGACTGACAGACCAGTTTCATGGTCCACTCAGTTATGGATGACCACTCTAGGAAGGCATAGTGCTGGGTACATTATGGTATTCTATTCGTCCCTAACAAGAGCTATATGAGGTAATTGTTATAATTCTCTCTTAATAGATGAGGAAAGTGAGGCTAAATACTGGTAACATTGCCTAGAGTCATATCTCCATGAAGACAATGAAACTAGAGTAATCAAAAGACTCATATATAGAGAATATTAGATTGTTCTCATGCCCTGAATACACAAATCCTTCCTGTTTTCTTGCACTTGAAGCCTTATTGTGTTTATGTCTGTATCAATTTACCTGACTTTAGAAAACCTATCCCCCTGCTAAATACATTTACATTATTAAACAGAGCAGGTAGAAGTCTTCAAGTGAAATTAATTTTGCAGGCTGCCGATAAGGAGGCTGAACACAGGAAGTAGTTTTACAATAAACTACTCAGTTTTATCTACGTCAGGAAGGAGGGCGGTGGCAGCAGCTTCACAGGAGGACCTAATGAATCACTGCAATCTAATTTGTCCAAATAAACTTTCTTTTAAGACAGTTCCTAGCTAACTATGTCTATCAATTCCACAGTGTGGTGTAGAAGCTTAGGTCTGTTAACAAAGAGAAAGGCAATGATAAGGTATATAATGATAATTATATACAAATGACTGAAGTACTGAGATAAGTTTTGGATTTCTTGAGGATAAGAGAACCCCAGGAAAATCAGGGATAAAAGAATGGATAGGAGCACATTTTTCATTAAAAAAAAAAAACAAAATCAGAAGAAAGCAAAACTTAGATTAATTTTGTTAATAATACCATCTGACCTCTTGTTCAGCTGTAGGCCTTGGACCTCAGTGCGGTGAAAGGGAAAGCATTGATGTTGAAACCAAATATGTTCCTAGTGGCCTCTGCCTATCTTTATAAACTTGAGCAAGTTTCCTAAATTATTTAAGTCCTAGTTTCAGTTTCTGTAAAATGACAATGATAATACTTGCTTCTCAGGGTTTTTATGGGGATTTACTAACATAATGGGTAATTTTTTAGTATAACTCATGGCAATGTACACTGGGTGCTTGATAAATGTGTTTTCCTTTCACCTTCTCCCATATTCCTGTGACCTTGTAAAGGATGCCCTTGTTTTCCATGCCTATATCACTTCTTTCTCAGCCCCTTTTACTATCTGGATTTCTAATATCTCTATCAATGGGCTTCCAAGATCTTCCCATGCATACTGTATTTCCAGGAAAGGATTAAGTATGGACTTGAGATATAGCCTCTTTCCTCTCAGTTATTTTAAGCCTCCTGTTAGGACAAGATTTCCAGATCCTTTACCACCCAAGCATGGTCTAAAATGTAGGTTTATTATTCTTCAAGTATGGTGAGGCCAACAGATCAGAAGACTACTGCCACTGAAAATACAGTTTGTTCCCAAGAGGAGGAAGTAGAGCATGCCAGTCAGGGCCCTTGGGGGAGCACACTCTGTGGAAGCAGATGCGTCAAGGGAAAAATTCAGGCAAGAGCATTTATTCTGGTTTCCTTTAGAAGGAAAAAGTGAGGCAAGGTCAGCTGGCTTAGGATTGACTAGTTTGAATAATTTCAGGGGGATAATGACCTAGAGTGTAAGACCCCAATAAATGAGGTAGTTGGTTTGCATATGAAAGGCATGCTTCCAAGTGAGCTGTTCGCTATCTCTAGGAATTGGTTAGCCCTGGGTAGGACACTTTCTCTAAGCTCATCGAGGCACCAAACACAGAAACTAGAAAACGTGGTGATTACAAGGCCACATCCTACAGTGAAAATAGCATAAGATTTGGAGTATTAATCCAAATTTTAGGTCTAACTGGTAGAAGATATGTGACCTTGGACAAGTCACTTTACTTCTCTAAGCCTCAGTTTTCCCAGGGTAACACGGACTTTCTTCACAGGGTAGTAATGGAGATTAAATGATAGAAACTACGTGCTTTTCACTTCCTAATGCAGTATGGGTTCCAGGACAAATGATTGGAGCAACAGAGGTGAAGGGAGTACCCAGGTGCTCTTGTAGCCACTGAGGCTCAGCAGTAAATAATTTAGACAAAAGGGCTGCCCTCATGTAGCTTACATTCTGGAAATGATATGATAACCAATAAATTAGTAAGTAAATGTGCCATATGTCAGATGACAGTAAGTGATATGGAGAAAATTAAGGCAGACGGTATGGGGAGGTGAAAGTTACAGTTCTTTAGGGTGTTCAGAGGAGGTCTCATAATGTTTAATAAGGGCAACATGAAAGGGAAGGCCAGGAATAGATAAGGAAATGAGACATTTGGGTATTTGGGGGGGAAATATACCTGGTAGAGGGGACAGCATGTGTAAAAACCTTGAGGTAGGAGATGGGTTGTGCCTGGAATGTTGAAAGACTACAAAGAAGAAACTAGTGTTGAGAGAAAGACTGTTACAGGTAGTTAGACATGAGTGGGGCAGGATAGGGATCTTCCCCCACCCACTAGGAATGTCTGGTGGTGGTTTGGCAATTATCACACTGCCTCTTTAAAAGCGTTAAATTGGCAGCTGGCACCAGGGAGAGGCCATATCTTGATGGTCCACGTCTGTTGCACTAAAGTGTTAATTGAGTGCAGATGCCAGGGAGAGACAACTTCCTGGACTTGCGCATTAAAAGACAAAATGGCAGAGTATGACCTACCAGGGGCACTCTACTGGAAAAGGGAAGAAAGCCTGAGATGGGCACACACACACAACTTCCCAAACACACTGTGCATGCTCATCTCCCAGGGGTAAGGAGGGCACTGCACATGCAGGCAGCCCACCTTAAGGGGAGAATCATGAGAAAGGGGCCAGCCTATAAAGTCCTAGAATCAAAGGTTGAACATTACACTTGACCTTCAGATGCCTGCTTGGGTCCCTTCCAAGTGAACTTTCCTTTCTTTCCTGTTCTAAAGCCTTTCAAAATAAACTTCCACTCCTGCTCTGAAACTTGCCTCAGTCTCTTTTTCTGCCTCATGCCCCTGAGTTGAATTCTTTCTTCTGAGGAGGCAAGAATTGAGGTTGCTGCAGACCTATATGGATTCACCACTGGTAACTTGGATACCTTCCACCAGTAACAAGACGAGTGAGGTGGAAATTGGAAAGGGATGGAGACTTGGAGACCATGGGAACCAGATTCTGGAGGGCATCACGGGCTGGAGTGAAGCATTTGGCTTTTGAGAGTAGGGCGATGGGGAACCCACAATGGAGAGGCTGCATCAGGGGCAGGACATGGCCTGATGTGGAAGTAACTGGCTCATTTTTGTTGCTGTGCTATGAACAGACTGTGTTGTGGAATAAAAGTAAATTAATCTCAGGAGACAATTGTGATCATGGAAACATTATCCAAGATAATCCAAGAATGGATGGGGGCTAGACCACAGGGCAGTGATGAGGATTAGATGCTGGGTGGATTTCTGAAGGTAGAGGTGACAGGATTTGCTGTCTGATCAGATAAGAGATTATTAGAAGAAGGGGGAATTAAGGAAGACTCCAAGGGTTTTGGCTTGAGCAACTTAAAGGTTGGAGTTTCCATTAATGGAGATGGAAAAACTGTGGGACAACATAGTTTGTCTATGAGGGTGAGGGGGTGGTGTTGGAATAGAAGATGCTCTTGAAAATAGAATTGGAGATGCCTGTTAGATACCCAAATAAAGATGCCAAGAAGGCAGTTGGATGTGTAGTATGTGGAGGAGCTCTAAACTGGAAGTATAAAATTGTAGAGTCATTTGCATGTAAATTACATTTGAAGCTTTGAGGCTTGATAGAATAATAAAAGAGGTGAACATGGAAAAGGTAAAATAATGGATGTTGAGAGTCTTCTGGGAACAATCCCCAGCTTTGACCTGTAAATCCACTTACTATCCATCATTTCAGCATCATTGCCCCACTCCCTTTGCTCTATTTTCCCCATAGCACACACCACCTTCCAATATGACATTTTACATACTTGTTTCTGTATTTGTGTTCATTGTCTGCCCCCTCCAGTATCTCCCCCTCATATGCTGCACTGAATTTTAGCTCCTTAAGGGCAGGCATCATTGTTTATTCAGTAAGATATCCCAGGCACCTAAGATAATGCATAGCAGTTGATGCTAAATAAGTATTTATTAATGAAGGAAAGAAATAGTGATTTTTATTAATTTCTCTCTTGAAGGTCTTTTAGTCTTAGAATTTTGACTTTCTAAAGCCAACATATCAAAAAAAGAAAGCTAAAACTTATCAACTTTTTGCATTCATTAACAGCTAACATCTCCAATGACAGTTTCGAGCAAGATCTCAAAATAAATGATATTGAAGACATTTCCCTGGTCAAGAGACAGCAGGGAGAGAACAAACAATAATGTTAAAAGAGAAGGAAGGTGCCCAAGAAAACCTGGCTCCTGGACTGTACCCTGATCTGTTTGAAAATAATGTAAGGTGTAAAATTACCAAGACCTGGCTTGTCTTCAGGACTAAGTCTGATAGGAATAGCTTTGCTAATAATTTCAACACTGATTTAATTCAACATTAACATAGGTATGCCACAAATCCTTATTAATGAGGAAAGATTTGTTCTGCATTAACACTATTCTAAAAAGTGTGCCAGCTGTTGAAGGTATAAAAATGAGTAATGATGGTCAATATTCAGTTAGGATATGGTCACTTAAATAATAAAGAATGGACGCAGACAGGAGGATCATAGGACACGGGGTTTAAGTTAGAAAGATCTGCAAAGCAGGTACGACTTGGAGTGGGACTTGAAGGGTGAATAGCATGACTTTTTCAGTCACAGGTCTTTCCTGGACATTTACTTTTTGTTGTTATATGGACCCTGACAGCTCATAATCCCATCTTCCTAGATGACCCAAAGGAGTCATACAGAAACTCAAAAGGTTCAAAAGCAAAATCTTTGACCCTCTTCACTCTTTCATAAACATGTTTGGAATTCTTACTTTAGGTCAAGCACTGGACACTAGAAATATCAGTTTAAATAATCCGTGAGCACTACCCTCAAATAATTTATGCTCTATAGCAATGTGGTTCTTAAACTTTAGGCTACATCAGAATCAACTGGAGATTTTGTTGAAACATAAAGTTCTGGCCCAAGCTCCTGAGTTGTTGATTCACTATGTCTGTGGTAGAACGCAGTTATTTTCATTTTTAGCAAATTCTCAGATAACGAGATGCTACTAGTCTGGGTACCAGCTGTACGAGGAAGCATACAGCTAAGTAGGTCAGTGATTACCAATCAGTGTGGTGAGTACATGAAACAGCAGGCAAGGTTTGGGACAGCCCTGTTTGAAATTTGGAAGTGAAAATCATGGTGCACAAAGCCATCCTTGCTCTGCTTCCCTGGGGATTCTCTGCTGATGAATTACTGGCTTCCCTAATGATGTTTCTTACAGAGAAGTATCAGAACTGCAGTTCTTATAAATTCTCTCATCTAAAGAGTTTTCATGTTCACTGTCAATACTCAAAGTCTTAGCTACAAACTAAGTACTTCTGGATCTTGATTGATTTCATTGCAAGAAAAAGTAAGAAACACATTTAATTCATGTTGGTTGAAGGAAATTGAGGTAGAAAATTAGACACTTTATAAAATCTACACATAACCAAAAATTCAAATGGATAGTAGAATCGGGAAGGATAAATTATTTATGTCTCCACAGCAAAAAGAATTCAAATAAGAATATGCAACCAATGAACTTTTAATGGATCAATATTATTCTGTGTCAAAGTAGTCAAAAATATTTCTTGAGCTGCCTTTCTGTGCATAGCATGTTGGGATATGATGAAATAAATAACAACATGAGGAGTGATCCACGGCCTCAAATAGATTGCAGTATAGTTAGATGGATAAAAAGATTAAGTCATACCTATTCACTCATGAGAAAATGTATTTTACCTTTACTATATAATGGAAACTGTGTTACATGCTGAGAATACTAACATAAACTAATATAATACTAACGTAATTCTATGTAATGGGTATGATTATCATTCTCATTATCTATATATGAAGCACAGAAATGCTAAATAACTCACTTAAAGTGAAGAAGTTAGTGGAGTCAGTCTTTAAACCCAGAAGTCTGGCCTCTTTACTGTTGTATTATACCTGCCTCAGAAAACAGGCACACTAGAACTGATGATGAAGATATGCTCGTTTTTATTCAGAGTTGTTTTCTGGGGTTGGGAAAGCACTTATTTGAAGAAGGTTCTTTTGCTTTGTCAAGTTAGACACTTGGGAATATTTGCTAAGTATCGTGTAGTCGTTTTCTATTGCTGTGTAACAAATTGCCCCAAAACTCAGGAGCTTAAAATAACAAACATTTGGCATCTTGCAGTTTCCGTAGGTCAGTAATCTAGGCACAGCTGATCTCAGGGCGTCTGACTCAGGATCTCTCACAAGATGGCAATCACAGCACTGGTGGGCACTGTGGTCTCATGAGAGAGCTGGACTTGGGGCAGATCCGCTTCCAAGCTCACTCAAGGTATTGTGAGAGGCATTCAGGTCCTCGTGTGCTGCTGGACTCAGAGGTTTGTGGAAGCGTTCGGGTCCTCACGTGCTGCTGGACGGAGGGCCTCAGTCCCTCAGTGGCTGTTGACCAAAGGCCTCGCTTAGTTCCTTACCGTGTGGACTTCTCCAAGGGCAGCTCACACATGGGGATTGGCCTCTATCAAAGCGGGTAAGAGGGAAAGATTGGGGGCATGCCCCTAGATAAAGCCACAGTCTTTGTAACCTAAACCTAATCTCAGCAATGACACCTTATAATTTCTGTCATGTGTTATGAATTAGAGGCAAGTCAGTAAGTCCAGTTCAAACCTAAAGGAAAGGGAGTGCACGAGGATGTGAGTTCTGGGAGGTGAGGCTCTCTGGGGCCATCTTGGAGGCTGCCGACTACAGTGTGAACTCTTATTTTATTCAGAAGATTTGGTATATTTGCTGGCCAGAAAGCAAGGAACTGTTCTAACAAACTTTCTGAATCTCTGAAAAAAACTCATGAAAAGAAGAGTGAAGGAGGCAGAGTCCCGGATATTCTTAGCCAGACCCTCCATGAGCTTGGCTGCCATCTGACACAAACATGTCAGCGGGGACGGAAGATGAGCACGGTATGTCTGAGGCACGGAGCCTGCTAAAGTATTCTGAAAGTCAGATCGATCACGGGCTCATTGAGGTTCTAGTAATCCTGCAGAAAAGCCACAGAGTCTGGCTTTTAATAGAGGGAAAGGTGAGCCACAGCTGTCTCATAAAATGCGAGGATGTCTCCTCCATGCTGGCTCCCTTGCTGATATGCTGCATATGCTCAAGTCACAGTGCATTTTGTTTGTCTTGATTTTTCATTTCTGTTTTAAACTCATGCTAATTCCTGAAAGGATAAAGGAGGCATATAGTTAAAATGTGATTCTCTATTGAGATTTGGGTTTTCTGGGGCTTCTTAAGAAGACTTTGCTAGCCACAGTAGCTGATTCCTCTGGGTTTCTGGCCTTATAAGATTCTAGCTAAGCTTTCAGTCTTAGCTTATTACATATAGAGAGAGGGGGCAAGGTTAAGAACACCTCCATACTTTTTGACTTGTTCAAGGATCACTCAGGGAGTATTTTATTTGATGCTTTCAAACAATATGCATGGCCAGAGTTATTATGATTGTCATTATTTGGGAAATGAAGACAGTGAGGTTTGGAGAGTTTCGATCACCTGCTAAAGATCACTCTGGACACAGGTAGGGAAAGGGCCAATGCTTGATGCAGGCCTGGCTGACTGAGGGGTTGCTAACTCATGGTGCATCTCTCTTCTCCACTGAGGAAATAGTCCCCAAAGCTATAAACAGACAAACCAAAAAAAGCCCTTTATACTCTTGGATGCTTGCACTTATAGATCAAGGCCTATGTTTCTCCTCCTTTCTTGACACCCAGTGCTGTTGCTGGTGTGAGTGCTGGGGTTGGCACTCCAGGGTTCATCAGTCCATGTATGGGAGAAATAAACCAAGGGCTTTGGAGCATGGCACATTCCAGTTCAAATCCTAATTCCTCTCTCTACCACCTTGGTGAAGTTACTAACACTCTTTGAATCTCAGTTCCTTTACCTGCAAAATGGAGTTAAAAGTGTCCGTTAGTGTGCGGTACTTAGTAAGTGCAAGTGTTTGACAAAAGGAAGTTGCTTTCTTTCAGTGGAGTAAGAGACAGTCAAGTGTTTGGTGCTTGTCTGAGGTTTGCTAGATTCCTTCATCAACTGGAAGGGTCCAAGTTATGATCTTACATAGCCTGATATCTTTAATAGAAATTGTTAGACTCAGTCTTCACTATTAAAGTTGGTCTTTGTGTAAGATGCCAATAAAATTACTTCTCCCTGAAATGTGTTTCTGTCAGACTATTATCCCCCAAACCTGGCTGGGCATTGATGAGGGACTCCACTAGAGCACGTTCCAGCAGCCCATAATAAAAGGAAAGAGCCACTGAATCAGAAGCAGATAAACTCCTTATAGTCCACTTGAGAACACTGGCCTGGTTCCCTGGTTTTGCTGAATGTTGTTGCATGTGGACATAAATCACCTACTCATTTTAGAGAAATTTTACCTGTAGCTAAAAATCTAAGGAGCATTTGAAAAGTGTAGACATACGTAGACTAAGAGAAAATAAAAGCCAAATTCAATTACATGGTACACCTTAAAGTAAGTGTTTCAGGAACAGAAAAACCCAAATAACATCTAATACATAGATTCCACTAGGAGGAAACTGAGTGCCCCTCAGGTTTTGGAACCAGTTGAATGGACATTGATAGATTTGTCTTCCTTTCAGATTAAATTGAACTTCTCATGTGAAAGTAGTTTCCCAGCTTCTGCTCTTGAAAGCTACATTTTTTTCCTTAACTAAATTTCTCTTGTTTAGATGTCTTAGCTTTCAAGCAGCTTGAAAAGTGATACATTGGAGTCTGGGAAGGTTTAGGAGAAATTATTTATTTGAAAATTTTGAGAGAAAGGAAGAGTCTTTGGCAGACTCTTCCTTCCCTCTGGTGAAGTGGCATGTGGCAAATGGACCCTTCACTGGGCTTCAGCGTTTTCTCTCAGGCTCAAATGCCCAAAAATGTACAAAATGACTTTTCAACAATTTTTCATAACTTGACAAGATAAATATTATAAGGGCTGAACGTGAGCATTTGTGAAAATGAGGGCTGTCCTCGAAAGAGTGGCAATACCACATAGGAGTACTAAGCGGACAGCAGGCTTGGCTGTTAATTAGATAATGTGCTGAGAACTTGTTTTTCCTTTAGCATCTGTGGACATAACCTCATCTTTGGGGTTAGCTGGCTTACAGAGAGATACTAATGCTAATTTATAGCTCAAGAAAATATTTTAATTTTAGGCATTGACAGATAAACATATCTAGACATGACAGAGACATTCACAGAAGTGTGGAATAAATGCTATTGTTCATATGTAATTACAGACTCCCTAAGGACTGAGCCTGTGGATTATTCAATTGTTCCAGTTCTTGCTTATATTCCGAAGTACAGCAGGACCCTTACCTTATCCCTTATGCATAGCTGAGCAGTGTGGTTTTAGAATAGGGTTTCCCACGTGGACACTGTTGATGTTTTTGGTTGGATACTTCTGTGTTGTAGGGGCCGTTCTGTGAATCATATGATGTTAAGCAGCGTCTCTGGCTTCTACTCACTAGTTGTCAGTTGAAATCTCCCTCCCCCACCATGACTATAAAAAATGTCTCAAGACATTGCCAAATATCTCCTGGGGCAATTGACCAACTTGAAAATCACTATTTTTGAGGAATATCTGTTGTGACTCATAATATTTTTGCTTACTTTCTTATCTCAGAATCTGACACTATTTTCTCTCTCTTCGTTCCACTTCTTCAGGCTTATCATAATCACCATGTTATTGAACAACTATGATTAGGACATTAGACACTCGTGTTTTATATACAACAAATATTTACCAAGTGTAGATTGAAATCTAGGGTAGGTGTCAGAGACTGATGGGTGAAAAGCCTAAAAGATAGATGCAGGCAGGCAGGATCAGGAAGCCTCAAATGCAACAGTAAGCAGCTGGAAATACACACACACACACACACACACACACACACACACACACACACACACGTATAGTCATGAACAAGGCAAGACCATAGTGCTCAAAGAAATTATAACCTAGTTGGGAAAATGATGCATTCATGTTCAGAAAAACAGTAAAAGGCAGCCTCCCCCACATACCAAATGAATGGCAGAGACAGTAAAAAACAAGATGAGAAAGACCGCACTGGACTAAAAAGAAAAAAATATACAGGATGAATTAACTTTCTATTGCTGCTATAACAAATTACTACCACTTTAGCAACTTAAAACAACACCCATTTATTATCTCATGCCTCTTTAGGTCAGAAGTCCAGGTTGTCTTGGCTGATTCCTCTTCTGTAGGTGTCACAAAGCCAAAGTTAAGATATTGGTTGGTGGGGGTTGTTATGGAGTGGTTCTGGGAAAAAAAGCTTTCCAAGCTCAGCCAGGTTATAGGCAGAAAACATTTCCTTGCAGCTGTAGGATTGAGCTCCTCTTCTCCTTGCTGGCGGTCAGCTGGGGACTACTCTCAGCTTTGTGGCCTCCTCTGGTCCATGCGTGGGGAGTCCTGCATTTCAGAGGCAGCAACAGCACACCAAATCCTTCTCATGCTTGGAATCTCTCTTACTTCCCCTTCTGCCACATCTCTTCTGCCTCTAGACAAAAAACGTTTTCTGCTTTTAAGAGGCTCATATGATTAGATTGGGCCTACCCAAGTGATTTAAAATAATTTCCCAATCTCGAGGCCAATAACCTTAATAGAACCATGAAAGACAATGTATTAATAGTTTCTGGAGATTAGGGTGTGAACATCTTTGGGAATGGCATCATTCTGCCTACAGAGATGATTGAAGAAGGCAGTAGTGAGCCAAGGACAGCAGGATTCTACACATGGACTTGATGAACAGTGGGGCTCTAATGAAAATTTTTGCACACAGAGCATTTTTTAAGTAAACTTTTTATTTCAGAATAATTTTAGATTTACAAAAAAGTTATAAAGAGACTTTCTATATACCCCTCTCCTAGTTTTCCTCATTTGGTACCTTGTCAAAACTAAGAAATGAACATTGGTACATTGCTACAAACTAAACTCCAGCCATCTGCATATCTCTTGCTTTTCCGTGAATGCCTTCTCTCTACTCCAGGATCAAACCCAGGGTACCACATTGCATTTAATTATCATACCTCCCAGTTTCCTCTGGTCTGTGACAGTTTCCCAGTATTTCCTTTTTTTCTTAATGACCTTAACAGTTTTAATGTGTGCTGGCCAAATGTCCACTAGAATTTCTCCCAACCTGGGTAAGTCTGATGTTTTTTCCTCATGATTACACTGGAATTAAACTCCAGAGCCCTTCCAGTCACCTTACATGATGGGGTCATGATATTCGCATGACATATCTGGTGATGTGAACCTTTATCACATGGTTAAGATAGAGTGTGCCAAAGTTCTCTACTATAAAGTTACTAATTTTCTCTTTCCCTACTCAAGGGGATTTTTTGAATGATTTATTTTGACATACTGGGTAGAAGGGATTTGAAATGAAAGGGGGGCTTTTATTAGAAAATAATGATTGGACTATGTGCCTATGTAGGTGTAAACTATAGAGATAGTTGTACTTAAGGCAGAGAGAGAGAGAGAGAGAGAGGGAAAGAGAGAGATAAATGAGGAAAATTCAATAGAACCTAGTGTTTATCTTGAAGGAGAGGGTCAGAGGGTCAAGGATAATTTCAAAGTGTCAAGCATACACAATAAGATTAATGACAATATCAATGACAACAAAGTATAGGTGGGAAGGTAAACTTGGATGATAACTTTAGTTTTACTTGGATTATTTTAATTCAGAGGATTTTATTGTTCTTATCTATAGGGCCATCCAGGAAACAGTTGAAAATGTGGAATTGAATGTCATAAAGAAGGTCAAGATTGAAGACAGCCAGTTTGCAATAAAGTACTATTAAAATGGAAACATTATTTCAAAGGTCTCCAAATATGTTCATTTCCTAATCATTGCAATTTATTCAGGGGAACCAACCTTCCATGCCAGACATGTTTTTGGCTATCCTCATCTCAACCTTTCATTATGACTTCAGAATAAAAGCAAGGTGAGGTCAAATATCAGATCCCTGCAGGGAGATAACCTGGGCTCTTTGTCTGATGGAATCTCAGCATCTGACAGCTCACTGCTCTTCAGGGAAATCCAGGGCAGCTGCTTTCCTTGACATTCAAAATTTAGAACTTAGAATGGAGCCAAGTTCTTCATGGCTGCTCCTCTCTCCTCCTCTCCAGTGATCCAGCAAACTGAGTGCTTTGCTGGCAGCCCTAACTGGCTCCTGGAGTTTTAAGACCCATAAGGGAAGGAACTATGTATAATATTTCTCTTTGCTTTTGCAAAGTACTTGCCATGGAACTAGAAGCATATCATATCACTGGGGGGAAATATGAACTTGAAAGTTAGATGGGGCTGGGCACAGTGGCTCATGCCTGTAATTCCAACACTTTGGGAGGCTGAGGCTGGTGGATTGCCTGAGGTCTGGAGTTTGAGACCACCCTGGCCAACATGGTGAAACACTGTCACTACTAAAAATACAAAAATTAGCAGGGTGTGGTGGCATGAGCCTGTAATCCCAGCTACCCAGGAGGCTGAGGCAGGAGAATTGCTGGAACCCGGAGGCAGAGACTGCAGTGAGCTGAAATCACACCACTGCACTCCAGCCTGGGTGACAGAGCAAGACTATGTCTCAAAAGAAAAAAAAAGAAAGGAAGAAAGAAAGAAAGAAAGAAAGTTAAATGGACTTGAGTTCAAAACCTTGCTCTGTCATTTACAGTTAAGCAACAAGGCAAGTTATACAATTATTTGGAGCTGCAGATTCCTTCCCTGAAATACTAAGAAAATAGTATATACTTCACAGAAAGGTTGTAAACCTTGTATATGGCAGTAAATTGAAGCTCTTAGCACAGAATCTGGACATAGAAGACTCTTGATAAAGGTTAATAACAACAGACACCTACACAGTACTTACTAAGGATCAGGCATTGCACTAAGTGATGCCAATTTTACCCCTTCATTTTAATCCCCACGGCAACCCAATGAGGTAAGTAGACCATTGTTATCCCCATTTTATAGATGAGGAAACTAAAGCAAAGACTGGTAAAATGACTTGCCCTACATCACAAAGAGCAGAGATGGAATTAGAATCCAATAAATCTGGCTTTTTAATCTGTGCTCTTAAGAACTATAACATACTGTTATTATGCACCTAGCACCAAACAGTAATCCACAATAGCTCTTATTATTATTGTTAATAAAGGTTTTTTAATAACTTAAGCTTATTAAGCCATTAATGTAGGAGAAGACAAGAATATTTGCTGTGCCCACTTTTACTTAACACTAGTTTAGCTCTTCTAGTCAATGCAACAAGAAAAATGAAATATTTGAATAATTTAAAAAACTATCATTTTTTAAGATGTTAACTTTCCAACATAAAATCTTAACATAACACATGTAAATAGTAAAATGGCTGGTTATCGAAAGAAAAGTTCAAATTCAAAAGCTTTCCTATATAGAAGTTATATTACACAGAATTCTTGGGCATTGCGAAGGCCCACAGACATATTTAGGATTTGATGCTGGCAGTCGTCTGAGAATTCAGTGAAGAATGTTACTCAGAATGCCTCCCTAGAACCTCTCCAACATGGTAGTGTCAGGATAAAGATACTCCTCAGCTTTCAATGCCATCTTCCTTTAGCTCTTCTCCAACAACCTTCTCGAGTCCCATCATGTTTCCACTAAGAGTCTCCTTAGGACACTTCCAGCTTGTCCACAAAACTGAGTTGTGCACAACAATCATTTTATTATTATTAAAATTTTGTGGGTCAGGAACTTGAGAAGGCCCTAGCTGGCTGGTTTGTATTTGGTCCTTCTAGGCAGCTGCATTTAGATATCAGCTAGACATCATTATCAGAAAACTTGGCTTGGCTGTGAGTTCAAGATGTTGTACGCGCATGGTTGGTGGTTTTCCTGGCTATCGGCTGAGAACTCAGCTGTTTCTGTCAAATGGGCTGTCAAATTGTGACCTTTCTAGCAAGGTAGTCTCAAGGTTGTTGGACTTCTTACACAATAGCCAGCTTTCCCCAGAGTGACTGCCCAAGAGAATCAATAGGAAGCTGAATGACCTATTCTGACCCAGCCATGGAAGACACACAGCTTCGCTTCTACCTTACTCTGTTTGCTTGAAGCAGTCATAAGCCTGCCAGATTCAAGTAAAAATAATCTAACGAATAGAATAGGAGACAGTGTTTGTGACAAAAAAGTGACTAAAAGATTAGGTGATATAATAATAAAATTTATCATGGTAATTTAAAAACTTAATTATAACTTCAGATACCACACTTATTTTTCTAGCTTTTGCAAGTGTTAATTGCCAATAAGTTCCACTGGATCCTTCTCTGCGACTTGCCATTAGCTGAAGAAGCCACTTTGGCCAAAGAAGTCCTGTCCACTTCTCAGAATCTCATTTCTAATGATTGGTTGATGCAGAATATAAACAATTTTCTTCTTAGTACAATTTAGGACAATTCTGAAAGTTATTGAAGAAAGGGGGCACCAAAAGACACCCATTGGTTCATCTGGGGAATACACATGTTCTTCCCATCTTTGTGATGTATGAACAACCTTCTGATGATCAGAATCATTTGTCCTGCCAGGATGTTGATTCCTTCAGTTGCTGGTCTCTTGGCAAAAAGAGTAGAGTCAGAAGTGACCAAGCAGCAGCTGTCACTTGGGTTAGTAGGACTCAGCTCTTTCACTTGGTAGAATTGTTTTCCATCTAGGAATCAAAACGTCTAAACCAGCTTTGGAAATGGGAGGTCCAGGTTCACCAAGTGGGAAATTCAGAATGACGGTAAATGTAGCCTCTCTTACTTCCACTCCTTGGTTTCATCCATGATGTGATTCTCATATTGGATCTCACCATAATATCACATGGCATCTTTCCCTCCAGTGGACAGTTCCCTGATTATAGCTTTATGAGACCCTAGGCAGAGACCCAGCTAAGCGGTGCTCTTTTTCCTCCACTGAAGCTATGAGCTCATGAATGTGAGAAACCACAGCCTGGAGCTGATGTAGAGCCTTTTCCTGCTCTAGGCCTAGGAGGATCAGCGTTATGTGTCCACTCTGCCAAGCTCAAGTCCTCAATTATGCAACCAAATCCTAATCTAGATGTTGTTATGAATGTATTTTGTAGATATGATTAATAGCTGCAATTTGTTGACTTTAAGTACAGAAAATTACACCAAATAATCTGGGTGGGTGGGCCTGATTGCAATCACATAAAAGACCTTAACAGCAGAGCTGAGATTTCCCTAAGGAAGAAGAAATTTTACCTGGGGACAGCAGCTTTGGTTCCTGTCAAAGAATTTCCAGGCTGCTCTTCTTGATTGTCTGCACTATGGATTTAAGACCTGCTTAGCCAGCCCCCAAAATTGTGTAAGCCAATTCCTTATAACGAATCATATGTATATTAACACATACACATATACATATATGCATATGCATGTGTCTCTGTGTGAACACACACACACACACACAATGATGTATGTATGTATATCCTACAGGTCTGCTTCTCTGGTGAGAGAAGACTGACTGACTGAGAGAAGGCCTTACTAAAATTTGGCAGTTTTTGGTTGTTCCAAAGTCCACCCCTTTCAAGTAGAAGCAGGGGGTTAGTCTCTCTCTATGCTTCTAAGAAGACCCTCTGGCCTTAGTCTTTGGTTGGACATGAATCACCTTCAGCCCTTCATTGTCCATCTTCACAGTGTTCATTGTGCACAGCAACATTCATCCAGTTCCGTAGTCCTCATAATTATTAATTCTCAAATATTTCTTGGTCATCTTTTACATTGCACATATCAATGCTTTCTCCTTTCTTGGTATGCAATCTTGGTTAATACTGGGGAGAATTTTAATAATTACTCCACTGTTATATGCCAAGGAATGTCCATGCTCCACCAATCACCATTTTTGGGGTCCTTATTGCCTGCCAGTCTGCAAGTTATCTAACTGAGTTCCAGTAATCTCATTTTAGAATTTTGTCTCTTAGACTCCTGGCACTGCCTGTCATAGGTTGGGTTCCCTGGGAAGCAGACAGTGAGATGGGAATTTACGAGCAGAATATTTATTGTAGGAATGCTTTCAGAATCCACACCTGTGGAGGAATAAAGGTAGCAAGATTGGGCAGAGTGATGCTATAGCAATATTGACATTGGTCAATTCTATGTAAAGTTATGAAGCTGAGTTGGCCCTTCAGAGTTGTCTAAAGTTGAACAGGGGGACCAGGCATTTATACCCCTATGTTGACCGGTCATCAAATGTGCCTCTAAATCCAGGGAAGAGGCAAAAATTGTGAGAGTCAGCTCTGTTTAGTTGAAGGCAAGTTCCAAAAAAGAATTCAGCTGAAAACTGCTGGCTGCTAAAACTCCCAGAAGTAGGGAAATGAGGGTTTTAGACCTGTACAGGGGTTGTAGGAGGTACCCCATGGCATCCATTACAGCCTAGCATCAAGGCCTATTGCTACAAAAAACAGTCTACCAGGTTGGGATCCACATACATGGATCATATCTTTAAAAATGTCCCAGTATTTGTAACTGGGAGTCCTTAGAAATATAATAGCCTTGAGGTTGAGTGGGGTTTTAAAGTAGTTCTATTGTCAGAGAAACATGCTTTAGAGATAAAAGTTTTCTCAACTTCCAAAGCAAACCAAAGATTCCTATCATTGTCCCTACAGGAAATGGGCTTCTAAAGTGATAGAACTTCTAGCATGTAATTTGTTTCTATGTCTCTGCCTGGCATGATCATGGAGGAAATGATATCAGAGCACGGAAAGTAGGACAGCAAGATTGACTGACCAAGGTTCTTATTCCCCAACTAATGCAGAGAGATAGGATTCTTCTTGTCCAGGAGTATTCGGCATGTGCTATGGATCAAGGGTCTCCTCATAATATTTCCTTTTCTTTGCTTTGTAAGTGGGAGTGTTTGAGATTATTACGTTTTTCCAGCCAGTTTTCAGTTGGTATGCTTCAGATGATGAAACCGAGTACTTACTTTATTCATAGACCTCAGAATATTGAAATAGGATTTTAGTAGAAATACAGGCAGAATGAATATTCCTTTGATTCAAAGCTCATTTCATGGGATGAATCGTTTTAAGATTCATTTTGTATTATGAATTATGATTCATGATATGTCATGACATGAAATTAGCATGCAGTATCTGGAACTGACTTTAGGCTATAACCCCTTGGGCAGTGTTGAACATGATTTTAATTGTACATAGATACTTGTAATTTGTTAGATAGAGCAAATGTTTGAAAAGAAGGGTATATACGCTTGTTGGTCACTAAAGGAAGACTCAAGCTATTGTTTTAATGTTTAGCCTGTTTTTTCCAATTACATATCCTCTTATCTTTAAGATAAGCCTTATCATATGTCCTCAGTTGGTCAGTGAATCATAAAATCTCTCTGTATTGCACCAGCTATAGAGTTGAAATGTTATTCACCTCTGGCCAAGAATAGCGACTTCTTGAGTATAGAGTTGGTATATGTTAATTACCAACATATACCTTTGGGGCAGAAATTAATGTTCTGCTCCACAATTAATGTTTGAACGTTGAAAGGCAGGCTTTCTTTTTCAGCTGAGGTTGCCAAAGTGGGAGAACATAAATACAGATTACAAAGTGGCCCTCTTTCTCACTGCATGGAAGATGCTACCTATAAGAAAGAATAAAACCAACACAGAAAGCGAAGAAACAGAGCTCGAGAAAAAGGATTGATAGTCATTTGGGCACCTCTCTGCAGGTGTACTTGAAATAACTTCTAAATCCAGACTTCTTGGTAACATGAGGATGTAATTTTTTCCTTTAGCTCAAGCTAGTTTTAGATGGTTTTCCACCACTCATGACCAAAAAAGTCCTGACTATAGACATCATCTGTAATCTGTTTGCTACAGCCAATGGCCTTTTACCAGCTGTTAGTCTCATTCAGTTCTTCTTAATATTTCCCCAGGATAACTGGTCCTTGGCCCCTGACAGTCTCTTTCCCACTGCTCAGACCCTCCCATCTTGGGCTATTCAAGAAGCACAATCAGGAGTTCTTAGCTTGGTTCCATTTCTGCCATCAATTTACTGTGTATCTATAGGTAAATTACCTTACTTACCTAGGCCTTTATCTCCTCATTTCTAAAGTGAGAATTTGACACAAAATTACTCATTCAGCTCTAAAATCCTGCCATTTTATAGCAATAGAAAGTTGGAAGAAGAAATTGTGCGTTAGAAGTTGCATAAACTTAAGCATATGCTTGATTCAAATGCAGATGCACTCAGGTGAAATAATTTTTAATTTCTCTTTTTAATGTTGAATAAAGTCATGATGTTCTATAATATGTGCGCTTTTTTCCAAAATGAAGGAAGGAGACCTTTTTCTTAAAGTTGTAAAGGATCCAACAATGCCCAGTGTTATTGTTGCTTGAATTCCAATTACTGGGGAAGCATTCTGCACATCTTTACTCATCACATTTCAACATGTCATCTTCTCTAAGTGAAACCAGTTGTATTAAAGCAGCTGTGAAACTCCAGTCATCCTCCTCCTTTCACTAAAAATGTAATCATAAAAATTTTAAATGCACATATTCATTTTCTTCCCCTTCAACCATGCAAGTACACCTCGGCAATATTCACTGCAAAAGTGGTTATCAGGTCTCTCTCTATGAAAATCTTAATGGAAAAATTAGATACACAACAGTCTCCTGCTAAACTAAACATCTGATTCTATTACTTGGAAAAACAGTTAATATTCATTTTTGCATCTGCCACTACAAATCTTTCTAGCTTTGTTATTTTTCTTCCTCTCTATTCTTTTCTTCCATTGTGTGTGTGTGTGTGTGTGTGTGTGTGTGTGTGTGTGTGAATTAGGGAAAAGAGAAAGGAAGCATTTCTCAGATATTCAAGCTAATACTGTACTAAATATTAAAACTGCAGAATGTCAAGATAATATCTACACACAGAAAGGGTCTTGCCTTACTCACATCTAAGAACCTTCCATTTCTTTGTTTCAAATTAAATGAAATCTGAGTCCCGGCCCCTATTTCTCACAGTAGATAAGAAATTTAATATCTTTTTGTTGTGGAGAACTCTTACCCTCTTGAGATTCATTTTGGAACCCTTAAGCACCACGAAATTCCAAAGCATTTGGCTCAGGCCCTATGGCCTGTCTACAATGGTCAGCAGGAATGTAATTGTCTAAATCTGAGTGGTTTTTTGAAGTTGACTGCATTACTGTTTCTATATTAAACTTGTACAATGAGATTATTCATGAGGCTAGGAGCCTTACCTCCTCATGTGCAGCCTTTCTACTGTGCAATATCACTAATAGAAGTCCTATCACCTTTCTCAGGAGGGCAGTAACTAACACTTTCACCTGTGGGATCTCTTCCCTCCTCCACTTGCTTCCTAGTTTAGACAGAAGTTTTAAAAAAATCTATATGCATCTATCTATTATCTATCTATCTATCTATCTATCTATCTATCTATCTATCTATCTATCTGTCTATCATCTATCTATCATCTATCTATCTCTGTCTATCAATTATCTATCTATCTATCTATCTATCTATCTATCTATCTATCTATCTATCAGATTTGACCACACCTAATCTTTAAAGCCCTCCTTCTCTAGGTTTTGAAAACTAAGGCCAGGGAAAGTTGTTTTCTAAAAGTTTGTAAACTTCTATTTTGAGACAAGACAGATAAAAACAATAAATAACCCTCTCAGTTAATGTCCTGGACATATTTGGGGAGGCTTAGGGGAAGGAAGTGATCGTTACGTGTATTACTAATACAGTGTAGTGGGCAGGAAGACAAACTGTGTTCATCTGGGTTCAAATTCCTACTACTCCACTTCATTGTGTGACTTTGGGCTGATTATCTCAACTCTCTGTGCATGTTTCCTTATTTATAAAGTGAGGGTATATTAGTACTGAACTGATGGGGTTGCTATAAGTTAAATAAGTTATTCCATGGAAAGGGCGTAGGAAGTTGTCAGGTGCCTAGTGAGCACTCTGGAAATGTTTCTTATTATTCGTCATATTCTGAGCCTGACTTATTTGAACTCAATAGCCCTCAAGATATAAGGTACAATCTCATAACATGGCCTTCAGAATCAGAGGTTTAAATCCTGACTCTATCAAGTGTCAGACTTTGGGGGAAGCCGTGTAACCTCTGAGCCTTGGTTTCCTCATCTGGAAAATGGAGATATTAGTATCTATTCATAGGGCGATTGCAAATATTAAAAGAAATAATGTATGTGAATCCTTTATTAGATTTATTAAAAAATGTTTAACCCTTCACCACAGTGAGGAATTTATTTCCTCCTCTCATTACACACTGTCCAACTTTAAGATCACACCTTTGTCAAAGGACGCCTTAGTTCATCTTTCTTCCGAATCTCTGATTGCCCATTTTCGTGATCACAGGGCTAGATACAAAGTAGGCATGCAATTATTATAAATCCCTGTTGAATTTATCTAACTCCTCTGGGACTGCAGAAGTAGGCCTAGATGATCTTTCAATCGGCTGTCCCCAGTCATTAGAAGAAGTACACCATCTGTAGACCAGATCTGCCAGCAGGACTCAACCTCCCCAGCTACATTCATTTTTCATGAAGTAGAGCCTCGCTGGGAGAGTGTTCGTTCTTGCCATGGACGCTCTGTCTCGAGCCAAGTGGCCAGGCTGCCTGAATGCAAGCAGATGCAGTGTGCCTGGCCTGGAGGAGTCATCAGAAGGGCCCCCAGGTTGCCTGGGAGGATGCATCTGGTGCCCGTGTTGGGCCAAGTTTAACACATGGACCTGTTAGCAATATTAATGACTGTCCTCACAAGGACCCAGCCAAATGTCATTTATATTCAGCAGTCTTCCAACTCACTCTGTGTGGCCAGGCTGAGTGGGAGGAGTAAGCAATGTGCTTTCAATAGAAATGGCATTTATTCTTTGAGGGAACCATGAGGAGCTCAGCTCACATCCATCAATTTCGTGTTTATTATTGTTTTTAGTCAATCAACTGTTAAAGAGTTATGGTTTTTGTACTGCGTGCCCATCCTTGGCCTAGGCACTTTGTGGAGTGGCACAGAGGAGAACTGTTTCCCCCGGAATATTGATTTACAAGCATTCATTCACTTCCCCCATTGTTATCAAAGAGTGACCATGTGTTAGGTATTGGTGATAACTGAAGAAACGAGACAGAACAATGCAGCCTGAGACAGTCATAGAACATTTCACAGCAGGGAAGGATTTGGCATTGACTAAAGGATGGGACAGATTGGGATAGCTAATGTCTTTCCTGCTTTGGCCCTTTTAATTTAACCCAGCCCATCAATACAAACCGTCAGAGAGATAATGCAAACAGCTTCTCTAGGGACCCATTTTCTCTCTCAGTACTTTTCAGGCTACCTACTAGCTGTTGTTGGAGCTGCAATTTGAGTGTGAGAATGTCTATTTCTCAAACCTAAGTTAACATTTGGAGGCTGTTGGTAAATAATGTGCTCTGGTTCTCTTATTTCTGGGCATATGAAAGAGATAAACTTTCTTCCCCTTTTGAAATTATGTGTGGTCATGTGACTAACTTTGGCGAATGAAATTGAAATGGAAGTGAACCGTGTTACTTACAGATGGAAGCTTGAGAGCCAGTGTATGACTCCCAACAGCCCTTTCTTCTAACACATCATACAAGCCCATGCAGGGATGGAACCCCATTAATGTTGGAGCTCCTGGTGGAACTGTACTGATGTTTATTGTGAAGGAAAAGGGCATGCTTGATGTGTTAAATCACAGAGATTTGGGGGCTGTTTGTTACCGAGGCATAACCTGGCCCAACCTGCCTGAACTGAAAGCATAAGACAAATACCAGTTATAATAGAGGACCAGTGTAGTCATGGGCAAAACAGATGGCTGCCTACCCCTGAGGACAAGGGAGTCTTAGAATTCCTCAAATATAAAAAAAAATTATCTCTCATACCTGCAGTCACAAAGAACCAGTAATTCTCACCCCCTGTATCTTCTCCAAATTATGGCAACATACTTCCTGTCAGAATGCAAATGTGATCCCCTACAGCTGCTATTTAGGCAGCCTCACAGACTGAGTTTCCAGCTGTGTTTCTTTCTAGCCCAGTGGTTCTCATTCTCTGTGTTTGCATGGCCCTGTGGTCTAATGCTTCATCCAGACACAATGTGACTCACCTTTTTCCCTCCTTCAACTTTTAAGGGGAAGAAGTTGATGAGAGCAATTTTCTTAATTAAAAAAGATCTTCTGTGCATTGTATTTAAACCTTTTACCTGGTACTGCTTATTGCTAGTGAAGTGTAGTCCTAAATACCATATATAATCATTTCAGTTACAAGTATTTGAATCTGACATTCTTCATGGTGTCATAGAAAGAACAAGAAGGTGTTTAGGTATTCTATGCCTTTAATCACCTCAAGAAACACTGAATTATTACTCATTTCTGTCTCCTGGTTCAAGGATTCACAAACCTAGCTGTGCACATCCTCTGGAAAAATATATGATACATTAAAAATGAAGGGTTCCAGGAGAAAAGAAAAACTCCCCAGGGAATTAAAGCACAAGCAGCTCAGAGCCAGCTCACAGACAGGATTTGGAGACTGAGAGCTTTAAAGTGTTCAACTTCAGTGCTGTGCACTTGCAAGAGACATAGGGCACGAGAATGGAATTTGCATTCTGTAGTTAAAGCAAAGTTCTGGCCCTGGGCAGAGAGCAGAAGAGTGTGGTACAAGGGAAAGGGCACTTGACATGGTATCAGGAGAGAAGGGACAACCTGTGTTCGCAGAGCTTCACTATCAGGATGGAGGACTGAGGCTGACTATAAACACATAACTTCACAATTTGTTGCAGGACATTCTTTTTTTTTTTTTAGTAAGATAAAGGCATAAATCAATAAATAACTTCCCGGCTGCTTCAGGGAATTTCTGCAAATTGATTTGTCCATACAAATGGCTTGCTTATTGGCTTGCCTATCCAACCTAGTCTATTCCTCAGACTCACTTCAAGACCCCACTGAATTGTGCTACCAGTCCTAAACCATGACCTTATGAACCAAGCCCAATGACAATTGATTTCCTGCACTGAAAGATCTGCCTTAAGTCACTTGAGCTCAGACCCCAAAATTCTCTATTCTCCCAATCTCCTCCTTATGGGATACTACTATGGTTCTGTGGAGATAATATTTCCATTTCTTGCATTAAGTAAGAGTTGGTGAAATACAGTAGATTAGGATCATACATTTATCTAGGTCATATGTCACCTTCTCCTTCTTTAGAAATGTAAAAGCTGTCCTTTTGACTATTTGCCAAAAAATTGCAAAATATATTCTAAACAGCAAATTTATTTTCTCTCACCTGTTTATTTACACTTGCTAATTAACTAGTCCAGTACCAACTGCACAGGGATTCTGGTTGTGTTGATGATACATTTGAACAAATTAAAAGGAAACAAATATGCATGTTTTTTGGCCAAGGAGTCCAAGTTTCAAAGCCAGTCTGCATTGCATCTTTTCCCAAGGGAAATTCAAACAGCTCTGTAAAGAGAAGGATAGCTAGTGCAAATGGAAATTCTATAGTCTCATATGCTGGTGCTCCCTCCTTAAATTATCATTTCCAGTTTCATTATTGTCAAAGAAGTAGATATTCTTGCTGTTGATGATGATCCTATCCTCACAAAATACAAAGATGAGTTTGGGGTGTTTGGACTTTTCTTTATGAAAGCTCTGGCTGTAACACAATTTTGTTTGCAAACGAAGACTGCTTTTTGGGTTTTATCCATTCTAAAATTAATTAGCCCTTTTTATAATTGTAGCTGGCAAATCTCACACTCCAACAGACGGCAAGGCCACTTTTCTGCTAACTCCCTCATTGCAATGGTTTCTGCAAATCAGATCCATTTCTAACAAACCAGACACCAATTTTAGAATTTTGCTGTCTAAACACAAACAGAGGAAATAAATATCCCTTCCCACCCACCAACAAACACCCAGCACTTACTGAGCATCTACCATGGGCAGGAGATTCATTTCACGAATGCTCACAATAGCCCTATGAATTGGGTACTGTGATTAGGCTCATTTTAAGAGGAGAAAATGGAAGCAGAGAGAGCTTAAGTGAATTTCCCTATGGCAGCCACTATAAGATGTGGGGACCCTGGGATGAGATCTTTACCCACTGCCCCCACGACCTGTGCACCTAACCACATTCTCCACGGTGGCCTCTAGCTGATGCACAACAGAATTTTTCTTATTAAACAAACCTCAAATATCTGCATTTGGATTACTACACTGTTTTTTTGTTGTTGTTGTTATTGTTATTGTTGTTGTTGTTTTTTGAGACAGAGTCTCGCTCTGTCGCCCAGGCTGGAGTGCAGTGGCGCGATCTCGGCTCACTGCAACCTCTACCTCCTGGGTTCAAGTGACTCTCCTGCCTCAGCCTCCCGAGTAACTGGGATTACAGGCATGCACCACGAGGCCTGGCTATTTTTGTATTTTAGTAGAGACAGAGTTTCACCATATTGGCCAGGCTGGTCTCGAACTCCTGGCTTCAGGTGATCTGCCCGCCTCAGCCTCCCAGAGTGCTAAGATTACAGGCGTGAGCCACCACACCCAGTCTTACACTATTTTTCCTTAAGACACACACACACACACACTCTCTCTCTCTCTCTCTCAAGGAAATGGCTCTTTATTTTACATTGTATAACAAAAGAGGTAGTTTCTTCCAAATAAAGGGGTGGTCTGTCAGCAGGCAAAGGCAAATGGAAGCTTCTACTTCTAGGAATTGACATGTATTACAGAATCCATAAACTCTTGTGACATGTGAACAAAATTGAGCTCCACTTGCTAAGAGGGCTGCGCTCATCCTCCTGGGTCCCAAAGTCACCCAGAGCAGAAACACCATGTATTAAATATACTGTCACTTTTTCTCTCCTCATGAGGGCTGGATGTTAGCTGGCCCTGACCAGCCCTTCTCTCAAGTCCTTTCAGGAACTCAATCAGCTGTCTGTTGCCATATCCTGGACTCCTTCCTCCCTTTCTGTACCGTTTTTCTGGGGGTAATGCATTTTATTATTTATTTCCAAAATGGTGTGCCCAGTGGTTTTATGTACATTTAAAATTCTTTTTTCAAATAATATAAGATTAATCCATTCTTTTTACTTGTATTAGATCATTTGTTCACTGGCACAATAAATGTAAAAGACAGATGAGATTAGATTAACTTTATTAGTCAGATTGTTACGAAGTCTGAAGGTCTTTAGGGAGAAAACAGATTACTGTTTTTTACAACTGGAAATTTTTTCAGGTGGCTCAGATGCTCTAGAAAACAGGTAGAAATTATTTTACTTTTAATGTATACCTGTTCAAGCTTCCTAATAAATCACTGTACCACACACTTTGGTTCTTATCCTCCCCACACACCTCTATTTAATTTGCAAAATGCAAAGATGCATGCTTCATCTGTGGGTGAATGAGTCTGTTTAATTGGCAAGTTGTCATGATTTTTAGTAATTATGGTTTTTTAACTATGTGAGAAAAGACAAATGGTACATTATAGTAACATCATTTGTCATTTGGTGTAACAATGATCTCTGAATTATAAATGCTGTGTGCATTAATGCATCTGTTATTTCTCTGTGACAAATAGGGTGATCAAAACCTCTAATAGATTGTACTCTTTTCTCTTGACAGTTTAGTTTATTCTTTTTTCTGTGTTTAGAAAGCCCCCTCCCACTCATTAGCCTCTACTAACACCCAAGGCAGGGGTACAGAACAAGGACTGAGAACAAACCAAGCTCTCCTCTTGAAAGCAAACCAAAGTAAAACTGCAGTCATTACTGGTGCATACGGTGCCATTACAGGAAACTTGAGGAGGAAAATTGAATAATTGAAGCCACCATTTACTTGACATCAACTCTTTGCTAGGTATGCATGATTATCCTTGTCATCTCCAGGGAAAAGAAGGCTGGGGGTGGGAGGTCATGGGATGGATTTCAAACAAGGTTGTTCAGCAAAGACACAAGCCTTGTTTGCAGCCTACAGACTTACACATTTTCATCTGGGTTGACTCTGCCATTTGAGCCAACAGACAAACTGTGTGTGTGTGTGCGTGTGTGTGTTTGTGGGTGTATGTATGTGTGTAACATATGCCTTAATAGTGTATTTCATTAAAATATCAAAATAAGGACTATAATACCAAAAAAAAAAGTGAAAAAGGTTTTATGTTGGGGGAAGACTTTGGGAGAGAGAGGAAATGGGAGGACAATGGCAGGCACTTAAATTAATTTGCTACATCTTACTTCTATTAATAAAAGGAAAGGAAGGGAAGGAAAGAGTGAGTGACTAAAAGGATGTTATTACGCTTAGTGAAATACAATATATTTAAATAGAATATTATATTCATGTCACATGTTTATTTCATTTCTGCTGAGTCTCCTTTTCCCCATTGTCTATCAGAACTTGGTTGGGATCCCACTTTCGTGGAGTTCCCCTTTCTCCCTTTCACTGGGATGAGGTGTGGGGAGGCTGAGGGACTTGCACAAATCACAGAGCATGAGCTCACTTTACAGTGGTGAGATGATTCCATTCAGCATAATTAGCTCTATGTGAAAATAAGATCAAAATACCCCTCTGTGAATGCATTCTTAGAAAACCTCATACACAGTTAATTTCCAAAAAGGACAGATTAAAAAAAAATTACAAAAGAAGAAAGCCGCATCAACATCTTAATGCAAGTAAGAATATGTTTGTAGATCATTAACTGCTCAAGGGTATGAAAAGAGGGAAATTAAAGCTAAGTGTTAGGAACCACTGTCTATTGAAGCTCATTCAGCAACAAGGATAAAATATTCTGAAATTATAATGAAAGTCAACAAGAAAAGTTAATTTTAAATCAAAGGACAATTTTCCAACCATGCTTTACTAGGAAATAGGTTTTGCATAGTACAGCACCCTTTTATTAAAAACAAAAGTCAACGGGTGACTATGATTCATTGTGCTATGACATCTTTCTTTTTAGAATTTATAAGTATAGTTAATCTTATCCCCATTAACATTAACAGTAAGGTTGTGATTTAAAATACTATGTTGGCTAAAGGCAATGGAGTATTCTGGATTTGATCCTGAAACACATAAAGGGCCTTAGTGAAAAACTCGATGAAATCTGAATAAAGTCTGTAGTAATATGCCAATGTCAGTTTCTTAATTTTGACAACTGTACTGTAGGGATGGAAAGGTGTGGTCCCTTTCCTCACCCATCAATAAGGTCACAGCAGACACTCCTATAACAAAAGATGGATTAACAAGAGAAAAGCATGCAAATTTATTTAATCAAAGTTTTATGTGTTATGAGAGCCTTCAGAAATGAAGACCCAAAGACTCAAGGGAAATGTGCATTTTTATTCTGAGGTTTGATGAAAAACAGGCAGTCATGTAGAAATGTGACTGGGCCAAAGAGTGTGATCTAAAGAGGGGGAGCCTGGCAAGGCCTGTCTGTTTGGATTCTTCCTGGCCTCTGTGTGACCTTCCTTTCCTATGGGTATAAGACAGGACACCTGTCACATGAGGGTCTTCGAGAGAGAGGGAGAGGGTCAGGGAGTGAACTTTCTAAGTTTTATGGCGAATTTGGGGAAGAGTTCAAGTTTTTATGACCTGGCTTAGGAGAGAGGAATTCTGATTTCTGTGAAACTCTTCAGGAGAAGGAACAGGGGTGGGAGTCAGGAGAAAAGGAAAAGGTCAGAAAGGGTTTGCTTCTGAGGCTCTTCCAGTCCTTTAGCTCAAAGTACTCTGCACGCCAGAGGACCATGCTTTGAGATATCATGTTCTGAGCCCCCACAGTCCATGGCAGTGTGAGCCATAGCACTAGCGAGAACTGGGTGAAGGGCATATGGGAACTCTTGGTATATCTTTGTATATTTTCTATAAACCCCAAATTATTCCAAAATTAAAAGTTTATTAAGTAATTCTATTATGAGGACTAGGGCTTAGGTTAAATGTCTAATCAATTAGTTTGTACTCAAAAACTTTGTTTATGTCAGTGTTTGTTTTTAAAAGTCTTAAAACTTCTGGGATTTCATTCTTAGCTTATAACTATACTTGATTTTTTTTTTTTTTTGAAACTGAGTCTTGCTCTATCACCCAGGCTGGAGTGCAGTGGCGTGATCTCGGCTCACTGCTGCCTCTGCCTCCTGGGTTCAAGTGATTCTCTGCCTCGGCCTCCTGAGTAGCTGGGACTACAGGCGCGTGCCACCATGCCTGGCTAGTTTTTTCTATTTTTAGTAGAGATGGGGTTTCACCGTGTTAGCCAGGATGGTCTCAATCTCCTGACCTCGTGAATTTTTTAAGTGATATTAAATATCTTATCTTTTACTTTTTTTTTCAGTTCTCTTTGCTTATTGCTGCCAACCTAGTTGGGCAGGAGCATAGCCTGACCTCATTCGGTTTTCCCTTGCAGCAGCTGTTCCCTTGGGCTAGTACCGGTTCTTACTTTGTCCTAGTGGTTTTCCTTCCCAAAGTAGATCGTCACGTATATGTACATTATCTCCTCTGGGAAGTCTCCCCAACAACAAACCTCTTCCCCATTCCTTACTATTCTATTCTTTCCTGACTGTCCACTGTCTCTTCTCTGTGTATGTGCCATTTATGCTGAGCCCGGGGCCTAGCACACAATTGCATCTTCACAAATGTCTGTTCACAGATTTGATCATGGGGCATAACCTTCTTAAGGGATGGCAAATCATGGCCCAGCTGCTAAGATGTACATATGCTTTGCACAAAAGTGGAGCCCCACTATATTTTCAATTCATTGAGGTTTTAGTTAGTGGGTTCTGGGGTTTAATTGAATAATGTGTTATATTGCTTTCCAATTTAATGCAATGTGACTTGTTTTTAATGCAGTTTTAGATTGAATTTTGTCTAGTACTCATTTTTTGAGAAACGTCCATTTCTCCCAAGGTCCCAACACCTAGTGATTTTCAGTTTTGCTAAGGTATCAATGTAGATATCAATAAATCAATTTATTATTCAGAACATGTTTTTATGTATGTTGAAACAGCGAATGAAGATGGGATACAATGACTTTATTTCTTTCTTTATTTTTTATTCCAGCAATAATTCTTGAATTACCTAATATTTTATAATTTATTTATTCAATTGATAATATTTGTTATACACCTACTTTGTTCTAGGCACTTTACTTGGGGTAAAGCAGTGACAATGGACAGACCAGGACTCTCCTGGCTGACCATACATTCTAGTGTGTGTGTGTGTGTGTGTGTGTGTGTTGAGGGGAGGAGCATGGGAGTAATAAATAAACAAGAGAAAAAAGCCAGGTGACATAAAAGAAATGATGAGCCTGTGGTAGGGCCACTGATGTGAGAATGGTTGAGGATGATTCTTTAGGAAATACTATTTAAGCTTAGTGTTGAAGGAATCAAAAGAGCTGAGCTCTGAGGAGCAAGGGGCCGATGTTCCAGGCAGACAGAGCAACAATTGTGAAGGCCCTGGGATGCGAATGAGTTTGAGCAGGGCTTAAGGGTCAGAACAGAAGTCCAAGTGGCTGTAATTAAGTGACCATAGGAGAGACAGGTGCAGACAAAGATTGGAGCAGTGGGAAGTGCTGCTTGGCTTTGTTAGCTTGGGCTATGTAAGCAGAAGGTCTTGTTCCCTTTTCTGGTGGATTCTGTGGAGGTTACAAAGAAAAGCAAAATATATTTCTTTTTCCCAAGAGTGTAGTTGGATTAGTAGACTATACAAGTAACTACCATACATGCAGTGTTTGAGAGCAG